>NC_000005.10:68234807-68859807 GCF_000001405.40 Homo sapiens
CATAGGCATTAGACAAGGCTGCATTGTGAAGTCAGAGTGACTGTCTGGGGTTGTCACTGTCATCTTCCAAGCTTTCTCCTAAAGAAGAAAATTGACATAATGCTCTCAGACTTGGCACATGGGACCAGTGCCACAGCAAGCACTGGTTCTAGCCTGCTACTGGTTTTTGGTAAAATGCAGTTTTCAGAACTACTCAAGGGTGTAATAAGATTAATTTTTATGATATTAGATATAATATGTTAACTTTTTAGCTATTGTTAATCTTAAACACTGATGGCTTTATTTTTATTCTATTTAAAAAAATAATTTTTGAGGCCAGGTGCAGTGGCTCACACCTGTAATCCCAGCATTTTGGGAGGCCAAGGTGGGCAGATCACTTGAGGTCAGGAGATCAAAACCAGCATGGCCAATATGGTGAAACCCCATCTCTACTAAAAATACAAAAATTAGCTGGGTGTGATGGTGCATGCCTGTAATCCCAGCTACTAGGGAGGCTGAGGCAGGAGAATCGCTTGAAACTGGGAGGCAGAGGTTGCAGTGAGCCGAGATTGTGCCACTGCACTTTAGCCTGGGTGACAGAGTGAAAGTGTCTCAAAATAAATAAATAAATAAATAAATAAATAAATAAATAAATAAATAATTTTCAATGCTTAAGAATTTTTTATCAGTAAACAGTTCATTTGAATTTTTTTTTGCATTCTTGTTTCCCAACTATAGAAACATAGCTGAATATTTGTGGCATCATTAATGCATAATTTCAAAGCATTTTACACATTGTTAATTAAATCTCACCATGTTCTTTCAGGTAGCAAAAAGTAAGTTTATTTTTGATTCAGAAGTATTTGAAGAAGTTAGAACAAGATGATTTTATTGCTAAATAATAAGGAATATCTGTGGAGTACCAAGGAATGAGATATAATGAATTTGGTTAGAGTATATCAAAGTACATATTATAGTTTTTGTCTTACACTTCCCTGTGGGTCTGTTTAACTATTGAAAATGTCTTCTTCAAAATGAACCTTAAACATTTGCAAACTTACTCTTTGCTAATTATTCTGCCAGGCATTTTTTTTTTTCTTTTTTTTTTGAATCTTGCTCTGTTGCCCAGGCTGGAGTGCAGTGGCTCAATCTCAGCTGACTGCAACCTCTGCCTCCTGGGTTCAAGCAGTTCTCCAGCCACAGCCTCCCAAGTAGCTGGGACTACAGGCACATGCTGCCACGCCTGGCTAATTTTTGTATTTTTAGTAGAGACAGGGTTTCACCATATTGGTCAGGCTGGTCTCGAACTCCTAACCTCAGGTGATCCACCCACCTCGGCCTCCTAAACTGGTGGGATTACCAGCGCGAGCCACCACGCTGGCCCTGCCAGGCATTTTATAGACATTTTTCATTTGACGCTCACAACCACCCTGCAAAGATGGCATATTATAACCTTTTTTTGTTTGTTTGTTTGTTTTTTTGAGATGGAGTCTCGCTCTGTCGCCCGGGCTGGAGAGCAGTGGCACGATCTCGGCTCACTGCAAGCTCCGCCTCCTGGGTTCACGCCATTCTCCTGTCTCAGCCTCCCGAGTAGCTGGGACTACAGGCACCTGCCACCACGCCCGTCTAATTTTTTGTATTTTTTGTAGAGACGGGGTTTCACTGTGTTAGCCAGGATGGTCTCGATCTCTTGACCTTGTGATCCGCCCACCTCGGCCTCCCAAAGTGCTGGGATTGCAGGCATGAGCCACCACGCCTGGCCCTATAACCGTTTTTGAGATTTAAAAACTGAAGGTCATGTGATTGTGTAAATATTTAAAAAGTGATCATATTAAAAAATATCATAGTGATGGCACATTGATAAGATTCAAGAACATTTTGGGCAAGGCAGGCAGTCATGAGGATCTCCTTAAGCAGTCTCTTGTGAAGTGATCGGTAACTGAATTTTGCTTTTTGGGTGGTCTTCAATTATGTCTGCTTTATCTGTTAGGTTTCACTAGCTATTACATTCATGCAACTCCAGAAATTTACCTCCAATTTATATGTGACTTACAACATTTTCTTATGTCTGGTAAATATTTGAAAGGATTGAATTACAAAGAGACGGATAAGGCCATGAAGCTAAGACAAAGTTTTGGGTATGTGCATGTAAATGCAATTTTTCTCAGGAAGAAATACACCATGATCAGATAACTCAAAAGTTTTATAACCTTGATAAATAGATTTACCTTCGTTTCTGTTGTTTTTGAAGAAGTTAAATGTCTGCTTTAAATGTTTCCCTGAGTTTCAAGTTTTCTTATTTCAGACTCATAATTATATCATTTTGATTAAAATGGAGCACAGACTGGAGTTATTACTTGCTTAAAAGCCAAAAACTTGAGGGTATCCAGCATAAGAATTGTGTGTTTTGGTCTGTGGATAGCAGCTGCTTGAAGTCCATAAAAACAAGAAACCTGAAGTTGATTCAGATGAATCTGAAGTCTTGTACCTGAATTATGTCAAGGTTAGCAGTAAATGCCATTTAAAAAGACTGAGTACAAATTGCCAAATTCCTTTGAATGCCAAACCATATTTCTCAGGAAAGTTGGCCACTGCCAAATTTATAACATTTGTGTTTCTGTTACCTGAATTCCAAGGGCAGAGGGGTGATTGAGGGGGTAAGGGAAAGGCACAGGTGAATTTTATTTTCAGATGTCTAATAGGACAGTGTGACATTGCCCAGAGATAGTCTCTCAAAGGTAGTGAGTGCCAGCAGAACTTCTCGAATGCGAAGTTGAGAAATTTTACTTATTTACTTATTTTCCCATTGAAAAAAAAAAAAAAAACTTTAAATGTTTTCTGAGTTAAAAAGGCCTCTGACTGGTAGTCCTGACACAGCTTCTTGAGAGTCTCCGAGAGAGCCTCTTCTCAGTACAATTCCTAAGAAGATAGGAAGAAAAAAAAAAATATTCTTAACACATAAAACTAGAATTAGTGGGAAGAAATGCCTACTGTAAACTCAACAGAACCGGGGTTAAAAAATATAGGATAAGTTTTGACTACCTAAAAGTAGCAGGGCAGACCCATCTCTTCCCTAACTCTGTCCATAATTCAGAAAGGGCCCAGGGAACTGTCCTCAGGAATGCTCTTCCCCCCTCTTCCTTGTCCTCTCCGACAGAGCCTTTCTAATCAGTAGGAGGTCACAACTTAGAAAATAACCAGAGAGAGCTGGAATGGTAAGTTAGGGGCTATTACTGTTATATTCTGAGAATCCTGATCCATGAAAATAAAGTGCTGAAGGTGGGGTAGAGTTAGAAAGACCTGTGTTCACTGAGGGTTTTGAGTATTACAGGCTCTCCATCACTCAGAGCATCAGAAAGTCAGGCGGTGAACGCAGGAGATTTTTCTCTCAGGCTAACCAAAACCATGTTGAAATGAAAACCACCTTGGAACTGGCCTTTTCATCTCAGACTGCCAAATAACTAGCACCCAAGTGGATCCCTTAGCTCAGAGCAGTCACCAGGCATGGGTAGGTCTTTCCTTGTTTAGTGATAAACAGGAAAAACCTAACCGAGCCTACTGAACCATGTCCATCTATAAAAGAAAAAGGGAGATCATACTGGAGATTTGAAAGAAGAGTAGACCTCCAGAACTGATTGATTATAATTTATTTCTGTTATAGTATTTCCACTTAGTATTATGATTTATTTCTGTCCCTCATGAAAGGGACAGAAAGTAGTCAGGCGGTTATGAGATGAAAAGACAGTAAGATGGGATGAAATCGGAGTGAAACAATAAAAAAAAGACTAAGTTAAAAATGTAATAGCATATTAAAATTCATGTGTAAGGGGGTAATGAGCTGAAAATAAAGTCTGTGTTTTGAAGGAGAAACAAGATAAAGCTCTTTGGAATCCAAAGGATAAAAACATAAAATGAGGGAGAAGATATATAGAGAGAATATCTAACAGGAGAATTACAAGTGTTGATAAACAGGGAACCAAGTGAAATAGAACAACATCATTATAAGAAGTTTTCATGCACGTGTGCAGATTTGAAAGTGTTGCCGTATTTTTCATGTGAAATCAATGAAAAATATGTTTGGGCATTTCTATTTAAGAATAATGTTAAAGTACCTTGCCAAAATATCTGGCAAGATATTAGCTACCAGGGAACAAAGTTGTTTTTCTTCTCCTTTCTAGCAATAAATGCCAAAAAAAAAAAAAAATAGTGCATTGATTTTAGTAGAGTTTTGAGGAGAAAAGATGGTGACTTAAGAACTTACTGAGCTTCCTCCTTATATGTTATGTGGAAAGGCAATTGAGAGGCATTCGTTGATAAGCAGGAGCTCAGGAAAGATACACTAAACCTCTTGTTCACGTGGGAGTACCTAAAGGTTGCCTTTTTATTGTTAAGCTTTATAATTTAAAAAGGTGTAAATTTAAACTTAATTCATTTTGGTTAACTTCAGTAATTATCAAAATAATAAAACTATAAAGTATGTATCTTCTAAACACCTAGAAATATATATTCCAAAAGATAGGCAACAAAGAAAGAATAAAAATAATACAGGGAAAATGTTTACTATATATGACTACTTTAAAGAAATACAGACATTAACATATGTATGTACGTATATACACATACATATATACATATAAAATTGACCATATACATATATTTGTGTGTTCAACACACGCATTATTTTTCAGGTACTGCACTAACCTTTTATTCCATTGACTTGTTACTTTTCCTAAGAACTCTGTGACACTGGCCTTATTATACCTGTTTTAAAGATAAACAAGTTTAGTTAGAGATGGCCCAAGGTCACACAGCTAGTGGAGGAGCTGGGATTTGACCCCAAACAGTCTGACTGTTGACCCAATGCTCTTAAGCAACTGTGCAATACAGCGAAAGGGGCGCCGGGGGTTAATGTTCACACTGCTTGATGCTGCTGACTTCCGACCAGCCACAAGGCACCCCGGAGCCAAAGGCAGATGACTCCCTGGCTTGCCAGTGACGTGTGATGCGGTCTGATATGACAAAGTGAGTTAAACAAGCAGATTTTTCCTCTCAGGAAACAGACACAAGAACAACTGAAAAGAATAAAGCAGATGTGTGAGTTACTATTCCTTACAGCAAAAGAACCTCATCAGAACCGCAGGCTGGAAAGAGGTGATTACTTTTAAAGGGCAGTTCATTCCTCCTGCATGTTGGAAACTGTGGCTCTTAACTGGCTAAAATTTTAACTTTCAGTGTAGCCCTCACTTGGCTTGTGCTTCTTAATGTTGTAGATAACATTATAGATTTATATAATATTCAACTTTTATATATATATTACTTATATATAAATGTTTATGTATAAATATATATTTGTATATAATATGTATTCGTATATGATATGTAGTAAATGTTATATTTAAACCATCATATAGAAAAGCCATTATTGGGTACACTGTACAAATCTGCCTTTATAATTGAGTGTACTGTTCTACTAAAAGCAGCTTTAGAGAAAGGATTGAAAGCCAGCTCTTTCTACTTCACTAGCCTTCATTGTTTGGATTGGCATTATGTGTACAGTTATATTGTAACTGTCACTTGTGGTCTAATCTTCCCCTTAGGGGAAACTTGAGAAACCTGGTCAGCTTTAACATTTAGAGGAAGTTTAAACATATTGGAGCATAAAATTCACAGTTGTTTAACTGAAACTCCAGTTCTTGTCAGACCACATCTCTCCAGCCCTTCTGTGATTGGAATCATCTAACTTTGGCCCTCAATAAGGAAAACTTTGACAAGATGCAAAAAATGTTTACTCTTGTTTTCTTTGCCAGGAACCTGAGTCTGCAGCAGACTCTGAGACCTCTTTGCCTACCCCAAATAAGTGAATTGTCACTGTAACTGTTTTTTATCCCCATAACTGCTTTCGGTGAATGCCAATCTAGTTGTTACATGCCTTTAATATTTTGGGTAATTATGTTCTTTAAGAATGAAAATATTTTTTCCTTCCTTCCTTTCTTCTTTCCTTCCTGGTTTTGTTATAGTCTAGCTGTGAGACCAGTTGCCTTTCATATATTCTAGAAGAGAAGGATGAGGTGAGTTTCACAGTGATCTTTTTCCAAAATACAAAACCACTGTCACTCTCCACTTCCCAGGCAACCCCACTCATTCTATTTTCTAGTGAGGGTTTTGCTTAGATGATGACGAGTCTCTTGATTCAGTGGACTCCTAAGGGACCATCTTTCACCAGCACCAAATGCTGTTTAGTTCACATATTGAAATGTTTTAAATTATAACTTAGCAATTGTAGTTAGTAATCTTCACATTATATTGTCTCACATTTAATGTATAATTTCCTAAGAGAAGGAAATGGTCCTGGTGGGGGTCAATAGTTATAGTAACTATTAATAATACTGATGACTACTAGTTAATAGTAATTAAGGCCTCCTAAAATGAGAGGAAAAAAAATCTTTTGTTTATAAGGTTTAAAAAGAAGAGTTGATACTTAATAGTTTTAGTAAAACCCCAGTGCATGTTCGATTAATTTTGTTACTTTATTCTGGGCATGTAGTTGAATAATTACCTGCATTTTTGATTTGCTGAAAAGGTGGTGGTTACAATTTTTTTTGTTTTTTTTTTTTTTACAGTACTGTTTTTAGTTCATTACATTGAGATGCTACATTTTCCTTTTCTTAAATACATGCAAGATGAAATGTTTTACCTCTGAGATGAAAAATTTGAAATTTCTTTAATGTGACTCCTTACTAACACAATTGCAGGCAAGCATTGAACATTTGCTTTGTTCCAGGCACCATGTGCTGTGTGCTCTACCTACCTAATCTCACTTAGTCCACTTAGTGCTATTTGCAGGTTGAGGCTTAGAAAGAAAAAGAAACTTGCCCAGAGTCCAACACTAGTAGCTGGTAAAGAGCTGGTCTTTGCATGCAGCCTCTCTCACTTCAGGATGGGTGCTTCCCAGCACCACACTGTACCACCCTCAAGACGAGTTGCAGGAGGAAAGGAACCTCTAGTGGTATTAACTAAATCTTAGCAAGTAGTTGCCTGTAAATTGTAGACTTTTAAATACAATCTCACATTTCTGTGATCTTTACCCATACACCAGTTACCTTCAAACTAATTTAAGAATCTTATAGATATTAAAAATGCTTGATTGGCCAATATCTCATTTCTGTCAAAATCATGTACTAGAAGCATGTATCAAATCAGAGACTTATTTATGACAATTTGCACACACATTTGGATAAAATGCATCAACTTCTTTCAAAGTTTACTTGAAATAAAAAGGGAAGAATACGAAGTATCACAGGTTAAAGCAATGCCCTCATTCCATTTAGGCAAAAGTGTTGTGCTATTTGAATAGTGTTAGTTTGAGAATATGGAGTTGTACTCCTTATAGCAATTCCAACCTAGAAAAATGTTTGTGTTTTAATTGATGGGTTAGGCAAAAAGTTAATCTTTGCATAGAGGAAAGAAACAGCTCTGACTTAGAGGTTTTGGGGCTAGAACATGGATCAAGTGTCTGAAGTTTTTCATGTGGCCTCAAGTTGAATCTTGGTCAGAGAATACACGGTGGTCAAACTTCACACCATAGTCATAATGTATGAAGCCAAAAGAAAAGTCCTAGTTGCTGGGTGCTTCCATTATATCATCAACCTGGGTTTAATGATTTTATTGGAAGCACGACTTCCAGTGAGGCAAGGCAGTAAGCCCCAGAAGAGAGGCCTTCCATGGGTAGATAGGAACTCAAATGCTTTCCCAGGCTGGACCCAGGAGACTGTGTCAGCTACTGTGATATGGCTTGCCACCAGGACAGATCATTCTACCCGTCTAAGGAGTTAGGGTATCCCCAAGAGCTGTGATGGGAGGTGGAAATTCACACCTGTGAAATGGGAGGTATGCTGAGTTGAACGGGATAGCCCAAGGCCTGTCCATGAACTGAGCCATGGCCAAGGATTTCTTAATTCTAGAGGCCTCCTTCTTGAGCTTGCCTTCTTTTGAACTTGGCCCTCAGTGTCTGGGTAAGTTGGAGCGTGACTATCCAGGGAAAGCCCCTGGTTTGTATTTAGTCAAGTTGGCCAGAGAAGACTGGATCTAAGCGGGAATAAAATTTGCTGACCCCCATCTCAGAGGTTAACATTTTCATTTGTGTTTTGCATGACTCATTTTAAATTACAGTGCTCTACAAGTATAGAAAGAAGCCTTCCTCTTCCCACCGTCCCCAGACACCACATAATGGAAAAAGCAAGAATTTTCTGCATAAGCAAGGCCTTAAAAAAAAAAAAGCCAGCCTCTGATGGGACTTCTTTCCTGCCAGAAATCCCACTGGTCCACTGTCGCAATTTTTACAAAAGGCCACGATGAAAGAGTAAGGCCCATTTTGAGCCCTTTGCTTCTGTATTATGTGAAACATAACTTGTATGTTTCACATATGTTCTTGGTATCAGAAGAATTGTTAGTTTTTGAACATGTAAAATCTACTAGGGTCTCTGACTGTTAAAGTATAATTTTGATTAAGAAAAGATTTGTTCCACTGCTTTGATTAGACACATAAAACTTTGAAAAGTTTTGATGTTCTGTTTCCTGTTTTAAAAAAATATGTCCTCTCCTATGAACTCTAACTAGATGAGAGGATTTTCCTCAGAGAAAATTCAGCCCTGGGAAGAACCATCTATGGAGGTCATAACCTAGAAAATTCTTCAAGGGAAGTTGCAGTGAATTAAAAGAGGGCGGAGTTAGAAAGTCCTGTTCTACCAAATTTGTGCTAATAGTTGCACCTTTCTTTCTTTCCCAGAATGGTCACTGGAGAAAATGTGTAAACCAACTGCAAACAAGTTTATCCGTTGCCACCTTTCTTTTCCTTTAGTGACAGTTCAATTCGTTAACCTGAAGGAGCTACTGTACCATCAAGACTAGCTCCCAGCCCAGGGCTTCAGCATAAAGCAGCTGCTCAGTTAATTTTGGTGGATCACGGGCAGAAACAAGTTACCTTTGGGATGCAGATTCTGAATAGTCTGCCATGAAATGATTAAATGAATGAGAGTGATGAGGGGCTACTTAATTGGACTATGTAAAATGGCTCCTTAAGCTTCGTGGACAATTGAGTAATTTCAGTTTCCTCTCTTCACTCTTGTTTACTTCCTGCTCTTCTAGCATCAAGTGTTAGGTATTCTGTTCTCTTACAATGAGAAGATTAAACAGCTGTAGTTTAAATTAAAGCATTAATTTGGAGTGTTCTGTGGCTACATTAATTATATTTTCTACTAAGATTAAATTGCAGATGGATATAAGCAGCAATATATGTTTATCCAGGGCAAACCAGAATTCTGTTAACCAGCCATCCTTGGTGACTTTTTATTTATATATAAAAACCTTTTTAAACTGAAATAATGTAACTTGATTTTTCCCCCCAGTTAGGTAGAAGAAAAAATAATTGGATGCAGAAAACAGTTGTATGGAGCGTATTTGCATAGGTACAGGACTTGAGTGACAGAAAATTCCTTTTATTTTTTTCCCCAGTGGGATTTAGCAAAAAGCATGTGTTGAAAGTCTCTTGACTAAATGGATCATAATTAAAGACTTTGGGATTTATTTATGGGTATTTTAATTAGAAACATTAAGTTCACTCAGTGGTCCTTGTGAAAACTTTTTTCTAACTGCTTATTTTATATCAAGTAATAAATAAAATTTCTGTGGGTATGAAGATGAGTTTTAGGGCCGCCTATTTCTCTAGGACCGCCCCCCCGCCCCCCGCCGCCGCTTCAGAGAGCTTTTCTCTTTCTTTCACCTATTAAACTTCTGCTCTGGACCTCAAAAAAAAAAAAAGAGTTTTAGCTGTAACCACATTGTAATTCGTGCTGAATATATGAATGCTGCTGTTCACTGAATAGTTAACTGGTTATATCCCTTGTTAATTTGAAGTTTTCTTCCTTCGTTTTGGAATGATAGTTATAAGGCAACATGCATTTTAGAAAAATGCACTTGTTTGAACTTCTCAGATCTAATGTGACTCTGTGGGACTAGATGTTAAGAAACCATATCTTTAACTGAACATCATCTATGATATTCCATCTCATAACATGTTCCATGAGTTTTATGGACAATTTCTAAGAAATCCAAAGTAGCATGCAGTTTTATCAACCTCTCTGCATCCCCTTGGCACAAGGAATAATTTTTCTGTTATTGAGGGGCAAAACAGAGGGGTAAAGGCACTCATACAGTTAAATGCCAGATTAAGTCAGGCATCCAAGTCACTCTGCTTTGGGTTGATTCTCTGAGACTCAGCTGGCTGACTTCAAAAGGACGAAATAGATTTCAACATTGGAAAAGAATACAGTATAGAATATATGATGGGTCTTGTTAGCTATCTCTTATTTTCTAATCCAAAGAGCCTCCTAGTTGGAGGAAAAACTTGAACTACATAAGTATATCAGCAAATTTTCATTATATTTTATAATTCTTTATTGCATTATACGTGAATATATTTAGCAGTGGTAGTACGTCTTGGAAAGTTTAAGAATTTAGACAAATATGCTTTTTTTTTAAAAAAAAATAGTTGAGTTTTAAATATGCTGTTTGGGTCCTTATGAGCATGTGGGAGATATATAGGAGAAAGAGTTTGTTGCTGATGTTATAGAATCACCAATGCAGCATTGCACTTTTGTTCTTTTCCATTCATTGTTCTTGCTTACATGGAGCACTTGCAAATAGGCTGGACGTCTCAGAGTTCTGAACAATGCCCTTGGCTAACCGTTAGTCCTAATTGCTGTGACTAATGTGCTGTGTGACCTAAAGACGGTAACATACTTAACCTTGGTTTTCTCATCTGTAAAATAGAATTGATGACCTCTACCAAGCCAAGGATTTCAGTGAGGCACTCAAAAATAAAAATTAAAAAATACATTTGGGACAAACATGAAAAAAATTACTTTTTAGACTTAAGCAATGCATTTAAACCTGACGAAAATGAAAGGAATTGAAATTGTTTAGCCACAGAAAATAAAGACCAAGGACCAATTTAAACAGTTGAAAATTATATGAAGCAGTGTTTTATGGAGAGTAGTAATGAACTCTTCTTCACCTTTTTTGAGGCTGTCCAAAGAAGAAATGAAGTTAGATTATTGCAGAATTACATAAGTTAGTAAGCATGGACTGACCAGTTCTTTCTAAGACACATACTTGAGTATTTATTCTCTTCAGTTGCAATGAAGGTGACAGTGAATTTGCTGAATAGCTGTGTACATGTTTCCCCAAAGAGACCACTGGAATAAAGTTTTGTTTCTTGAGACAGTTTCCATTGCATTTATAAGTCTTGTCCCTTGAAGGATGTTTTCTGGTAAACACCTGTATTCTTTTTACATTATATATCTTCATTACCGTACAAGTTTGGTTGTGAGCCATTCCAAAGTCTTTAGTATGCTGTATGGGTGTATTCTATACTTTATACCTTATTTGGAAGTCATAATAATGTCAAAACTATGCCTAGCCATCCCCTTCCCTGCAGAGTCTCTTTTGCTTTGTCCACTTGGTGTGTATATTTTTTTTTTTTTTTTTTGAGACAGAGTTTTACTCGTCGCCCAAGCCGCAGTGCAGTGGCGCGATCTCGGCTCGCTGCAACTTCTGCCTCCCGGGCCCAAGCGATTCTCCTGCCTTAGCCCCCCAGGTAGCTGAGATTACCGGTGCCCGCCACCACGCCCAGCTAATTTTTGTATTTTTAGTAGAGACAGGGTTTCACCATGTTAGCCAGGCTGGTCTGGAACGCCTGACCTCAAACGGTCCATCCGCTTCAGCCTCCCAAAGTGCTGGGATTACAGGCGTGAGCCACCGCGCCCGTCCATGTGTGTCTTTTTTATTTTTTGTTTTTTGAGACGGAGTCTCGCTCTGTCGCCCAGGCTGGAGTGCAGTGGTGCGATCTTGGCTCACTGCAAGCTCCGCCTCCTGGGTTCACGCCATTCTCCTGCCTCAGCCTCCCGAGTAGCTGGGACTGCAGGCGCCTGCCACCACGTTGTGTGTCTTTTTAAAAGATTTCCAGGACTTCTTTTTCCTTTACAAATCCAAAATTGCAGTAGCTTAATAAATAACAAATATTTTGGTTTTATGATTACTGTCAAATAGCTCATTAGTAAGAGAAAAAAAAAAATGCTGAGCCTTAAGAGGGGAGAGGAAAGGCAGTCTTTCTGAAGCTGAATCCTTTGCCTAAATTGTCTTAGCAATAAATCTTGCCACCTATTGGTAAAAAGGAAGAACTAAAACTAAAAGGTGTTTGCCGTTCTCACAGGTAGTTAGTAGTGTGATCGAAATAGAATTCTTTCAGCGGTGCTTTTGGATAAGGGGCTTGGAAATATGTGATTTGATATGGAACTTTTCCCTGTGCTTTGAATTTATCATGGCTCATCTCTAAGTCATAATAGTTTTTTGAGTAGAGGAGGTATGCTGCTCTCATGGTCTCTCTTAAAATTATATTTTTTGAGATAGAATTCCATTTTAATAGATCAGTGGATTTTAATTGGACACATTTTAGAGGCTTGATTGATTTTGAAAACATTTTTCTTTTTTCTTTCTTTCTGTCTTTCTGCCTTTCTTTCCACCACGGCTAACTGCAGTCTGAACCTCCTGTGCTCAGTTGATCCTCCCGCCTCAGCCTCCTGAGTAGCTGGGACTACAGGCGTGCGCCACCATGCCTGGCTAATTTTTCTGTAGAGATGGGGTTTCACCATGTTGCCTAGGCTGGTCTCAAGTGATCTGTCTGCCTCAGCCTCCTAAAGGGCTAAAATTATAGGTGTGAGCCACTGCACGTGGCCTTTTTTTTTTTTTTTTCTTGAGACAGGGTCTTCCTCTGTCACTCAGGCTGGAGTATAGTGGCATCAACATGGCTCACTGTAGCCTTGACATCTTGGGGTCACCTGATCCTCCTACCTCAGCCTCTGGTGTAGCTGGGACTACAGGCTGAAAACATTTTTCTAACTCTGTTGTTAGTTTGGGCTTTCCTTCATTCCAGCCTCTGAAATCCATTATTTCCTGCCCAACGGGACAGGCCAGTGGTGACGTTGGCCTTTGGTGCCAGGGCCTGTTTTTCCAGATCATGGGCACCATACAAAGATAACTGCCCTAAACGGCATCATTGCCCCAGAGTCATTGAATGTCCTTAAGGTGCATTTGATAAAACAAAAACAGTTTTTTGTTTTGAAAATTCTCAAGTATTTCCATACTGGGAAAATGTTCTTTTTTTTTTTTTGACAGGGTCTTGCTCTGCTGCCCAGGCTGGAGTGCAGTGGCGGGATCTCAATTCACTGCAACCTCTGCATCCTGGGTTCAAGCAATTCTCCTGCCTCAGCTGGGACCACCGGCACATGCCACTAAGCCCGGCTAATTTTTGTATTTTTAGTAGAGATGGGGTTTTGCCATGTTGGCCAGACTGGTCTTGAACTCTTGACCTCAAGAGTGACCCATCTGCCTCGGCCTCCGAGAGTGCTGGGATTACAGGCATGAGCCACCATGCCTGGCCAACAATGTTCTTTTTAATGGTGTTTTCCCCACTATCTGGATAGATATATGAATTCAGTTACTAAGATGACTTAGATTTAAATATAAAACACTAGCATAGCAGTTTTTGATTCTTAATATTATCTTAAATCCACCTCCCCTCATTGTCCTCTGTATCTAAACACCCTTCAATTCTTGAGAAAATTAAGATTACCAAAGATTAGTAATCTATTTGTGATTGTGTGTGTTGGTGGACATCCTAACAAATTTATGAATAAAGCCAATACTGTTTTGTTAGTGTCCTTATTTTTTCTTTACGTCTGTTCATATTTGGAATTCTAAGGCACTACCCAGATAATCATTTGATACCCTTTGTTGGCATGACATGTTTGGTCAATTGTTTTGGCAAAATTATTTATCCACCACTGGGAACTAAGCACTGTAACAACTAAAGAAAGAGGTCATACAAGGGAAATTGGAAGAACTATATGTTATTTGTTTCAATTTTTATGTAGTACACCTATATATGTGTGCAAAAAAAATGTAAACTGTTACAAAGCAACATATTGATGAATTTAAATGAGTAGAGCATAATAAAAGCAAAAACCAAACAGAAGAGTGGTTGGAGTGAGGCCATAATAAACCAAGAGATATTTTCTGAAGGAAGTGAACATGTTTGCATTTTCCAGCATACTGCTATGGATGTCAGCGTTAGGCTAATACATAGTATTGCAGCGTGATTCAAAAAGGTGAGATAGAGGGGAAATAAGATAGCTTCATAAATATTACCAAGGAATTTAAGACATGAGCATTTTATGTAGGGAGGTTGAAATGCATTGTTATAATCAGGCTGTGTAATTTCCTTCTGTCAAGACCTACCCATTTACCAGTAATGATACCTTCTTTCTCTTCTATTTTTGTCTCTTCCTTTAGGAAAAGGAATATATGCTTACTCATTATTTAAAATTCAGAGTCATTTTCCTGTTCCAGTTGGTTTTGTTCCTGGAACCACCAAAGAAGAGTAGAATTAGGTGCATGTGAAACTTTTGTTTCTGCTTTTTCTACTCAATCAACTTTTATCCCTTTTTAATTTTTACTCTCTCAACCATCAGTTCTATATCATGGTATCTCTTCTTGGTCTTTTTGTATTATATTTCCATAAAACCAGATGTACGGGGTTGTTAAAATACTGCCTGGACATATTATCTACCCTGCACTAAGTGGTCCTATCACAAAATCCAGTTAAACACACATTGAAGTATTTAAATTGTTTCTTTTTTAAATAACATCATATTGGGCATTGGACTTCTTAACTAAACTATTTCTTTCACTAAATGACATTGGTTAATTCAACAAGCCATTGTAGGAATTCTGTTAACCCAGTAGCTTCTACTACTATGTTACTATGGTAATGACTTAGCTTCCCATAAAGCTGCATTTAAATAGGTGTTTATAGTCACCAATTACCAGGTATTTCAAGTACTCTTTGAAAGGGGCCTGCTTGTGGTGGGGTGGGGGGCGTTAACATAGATACTTTCTCAGTCACGTAGCCATTTGAAGTTTTTCAGGTAGAAGACAGTTGATAGACTATTTGGTGAGCAAATGAATAACTGGATGAATACCCATCTGGGAACCCCTAAAGAACTGAAGATAGTTCCCTGGCCATCACTGTTCACAGTCATCTATTATGTGCTTACTCTATGCCAAGTGTTGGGCTGGATTCTGGGGTCACCAAAGGGAAGAGAAAATTTTCACTGCCTTGAGGGTAGCTAAAAACTTAATGGAGGGAAGCTGAGAGCATGAGCGAGCGTGCCACCCCAGCTGGGTGAGCGGCACACCTTGGGAACAGCTGGGAGACCCCCAGTGGTGTGTGTCTTCCTTCGCCCTTAGCACTTGCTCCTCTCCAGCTCACTGTGTTTCTTTTCTCTCTGGGGTCTAAGGAGCTTAGGCTTCACTGCCTGCTCCTCAGATTGTGGGAGCAGGAGCAGAGAGTGGGTGCCTGCCACGGGACAGGGGGTCCTAGAGACAGGCCCCAGCATGGGAAGGCAGTGGAAACCCATGCATTGCTCTCTGGCATTGCCACACGTCTTCTGCTGCCTGCCTTCCAGCCCTTTGCTTTTCCCCAGCTCCGTCAGCTCCTTGCCTCTGACATCAGTGATGAAAGTCAGGCGTGGGGGGATTAGATTATTTCCATTGGCCTTGATAGACTTAGACATATAATAGAAGCTATGATAAGTGAGTTAGTTTTCCATGTTTGTTTACTGAAGTTTATATTACCCTTTATGTCACCAAAACATGCCCGTTTGCAGTCATTGCCAATGTAGTCATGCAAAATCACTTGAGTGAAATAGACTTTGGGGATCTAATCTCAGGACCTAACCACCATTTATAAAGCTTTTTTGGGGAAAATGTGTTCTGGATTTCGCACAGCCAGCTTACAAATGAGCTTTGGAAACACAATCCACATGTAAGTTGGAGACTTCCTATTATTAGCATTCAGCCCTGCGAGGAGAGCCCTTGCTTTGTTAGCAGGCCTATGTGTCCTCAGCCCTAAGTTCCTAAAACCAGCACTACTTGAGGAGCTTGAATTGGTGCTCTTGGAGTTCTTTAGATTAGTTATGAGACTTCAGAACCTGCTTACCAGCAGTACTGAGCTCAAGAGGAAGCCTAATTCATATCCTTCAGAAGATAATTTTAAGAGAGTGTGTATGTTTTCGTTTTGTGAACAAAGGAAAGTTAATCTGGTGCTCCGTGTCTGTTTTGTAATTCCCCAAGGGAGAAGGAAAGGGAGGGAAATGATTGATTTCCAGATAGGATAAAAACCAGTCAGCACACAATGGGTTACTGCCACCGCTTTCTGATAAGGATCCTACTTCAACTATCTGAAGAGATTCTTCAAGGTGGAGGATACAGTGGTTATATTAGTTACTCTCACCCTTGTTATTATGGAAGGTAAAATTCCTGGATCCTAGATTTAATTTTAAAATAGTAATTTAATAATGTCTGGTGGAAACCTCTTAAAAAAAACACTTTGCAGCACATCTCTGGTAGCCCTGTGCTTGAGATGACTTTTAGGCTGCCAGTTCAGAAGATGGAAGATATAAACTGTGTTGATGAGTTGGTTTTTCAGTGGACCCTGTTAGGTTCCTTTTTTAAAAAAATAATAATTTTTATAATGAGTATGTCTTCGTGAGCCCTCACAACCCTTGAAGTTTTTACTTGTTTGGCAGAACTAAGGGCACTGAACGTTTGTAAGCCGTTCACTAACACTTACAGGAAGGGCATAAAAGGGTGCTCAAGTCAGTCTGTAGGTGGTGGGGGCGGGGTGGAAAGAGGGGATTCCTGTAGGCCTGGATGAATCAGCCACTGATTTCTGATGGTAGCCCCAGCTGCAAAAAAGTAGGAAGCTTTTTTTATGGACAGAACTACAACTCCTTTCTTTCAAGTTTTTCAGCCTTTTCACACTTTTCCATTCTTCAGACTTTGCAAGTTTTTAAACAAAATGTTTGTATTTCCCCAAAGGAAATCACACAGTTGACTGCATTATGAGAGGGAAAGGAGCAAACTCTGTCTCATCTGAGGAGGGGCTCAGATCAGGAGTTGTGTAGGGCCCTCACCCGGTTGGGGGTGGTGGAGCCTTGGCTGTGTGCAGGAGTGACTGTTCTTGGAGATGTTCTGGTTGGATCATGAGTTTGGGCTTGGAAAGCACTGCCTCAAGTTCATCAGCAGGAATGAGGTAGAATTCACTACTTGCTGTCTTAAGACCTTTCTGTCTGCCAAGTGTTTGAGCAATCCCTCACATCTCCCCCTTGAACTAAAGAGCAACAACTGGTCAAGAGCCCAGCAGGGATGAAAAAGGTTGGCCCCTTGCATCCTTCATCTGCTGTTTAGACTAAGGGCCGCATTGTAGACCACTCTCGGCCATGCTGTCCTGAACCCGAGGATCAGCAGAATTACAGGCCCAATTTCAGGCAGACGTGAGCTTGCATCTGATGACAGGCAAGTACCTACATGTGTCTTTCATTACTCCGCTGCCTTAGGAGATGCTGTTTAAGTTGGCAGATATGCTTATTTGAAAGCAAAGCTTGTTGCTGGTGAGATTACTGAATTTACAAAAAAAAAAAAGTGGGGGGATCAGATGCCAAGGGAGAGGGAAGGGAGTGTGTAGCATTTAAAAGTGTGGTGAAGCCATCAAG
The DNA here is from genome assembly GCF_000001405.40 of Homo sapiens. NCBI lineage: Eukaryota > Metazoa > Chordata > Mammalia > Primates > Hominidae > Homo > Homo sapiens. The sequence goes on from NC_000005.10 coordinate 68,252,456, forward strand.
TTAACAAGAAAAAGTAGAATAAAATGTGGTTCCAATTTGTTGTACTGGGCTCAAGATGATAATATTGCAATAGTAAACTGTAGGGATGTGTGCGTGCAAATGTGATTACATGTGTGCTTGCTTTCTGAATTTCAAAATTGTAGAAGTTATTAGAAGTTCTAATTTTAGTTCCCAATTTAATTTACTCTGATAGTAAATTAGTAATTTTCAAGGGATTTACTGATAATCAGAACAAAGATTTGCAATTTCTAGGACAGATCCCCAATTTTGGGGGTGGGAAGGAGCTACTTTGTATTTCCCTGAAACCTTGAGTTACTGGGGCCGAACATGTAGGGCAGATATTGAATGACCAATCCTAATGCTCTTAGCAACTTTGCTAAGTAAAACCCCGCTGCCATCCAGTGGCAATTGGCTATACGGCATGGTAGCTGTAAAATATGCCCTTTTCTGCCTTTTCTCCCTCAGATTCCACCTTTCTCAGATGCTCCCAGTTTTTTTTCCCAGATGGCACCTGACACAGTACTTGACAGGAAAAATTGACTTTATGTCTGGCTTAGGTAATTCAGGGCAAGTGTGCATTTATTTACCTTGTCTCTTCTCCTAGCAATACTAATTTTTATCTACGTTGCATTTTTATTTTCTCCCCAGATTTGTCATAACACACATACTTTTTCCTTGAATATTTTTGTTACCTTAGCTAAAGAATTAATGCATTGTGGTATTTCTGCTTGTCATAGTTTTACTTTAGAGTAGATTTCGCTTATATCTTTGTATTTATGCTTTGAGCTGTGGTTTACCAATTTCCTAGCATGTTTCATGACACTTATCCTACATTTCAGACAAGGATTTATGTGTCCCATAGGATTCAAGCTGGACTTGGAGAAAGAGCCAGCTAGCAAATGGAATTATTCTGACTTGTGAAAGGTTCCAGCCTTTTAAAACTAGGCTCTGAGAAATAAAAAAACAAATATTCTTGGGAAGAAACTGGGTTTGTGAGTACTTGGCTAGAAATTTTAGGAAAGGAAAGAACATTTCCTCTGGCCTCGGGAGCACATTCAATGTGAAATATTGCTGCCTTTAAAAGAGCCAAACTTAAATTTCTATTTGGATCATTTACTTGACTTAAAAATAAAGGGATCTATTTTTTTTTAAGGTTCAGAACCCTATTTTAAATAAAATGACATTCTAGTAAGTCAGGCAAGATGCCCCCAACATGAGCTATTAATTAAAAACAGCCGGAACTTCTGGAGGTGTTAGCAAGTATCTACTATGAGCTTGGGGATTGGCGAAATCTGGTACAAGTTAGTTCCAGCTGCGCACATTTGCCTTATTACAGTTCTTTATGATAAATTAAATGCATGCTTCATACATCCTTTGGTGTAGTCATATTCTCTCAGCACTTGACTAAGCAGGTGGAAAGCTTATTTAGTCATAGGATGACTGAAAACAATGAACTATAAACCCATGTATATCCACTCCAAGAAAAGAGCTAATAAATGTCATGTTTTTTATTTTCCCGTGGACCCCCTTTTTTTTTTTTTTTTTGTATTTTATAACCTTTCCAGAATCTTGAGTGATTTTTAAATGTTTGCCCTTTGGTCATAAATGCAGCAAGTAAATGTGAGTCTGCACACTCGAATGTTGTATAAATCAGTTGACCAGTCAGTGTTGGAGCAAACTTCTCAGGATTGCTCTGTGAACTCCCTGTTCTCTGGCAGTTGCCAAATACAAAGATAAACCAGGAGAGACTTATTCCCAAGAAAAGAATGATTCTGCATCCTTAACTTACATATAAACTGTTGAGATGTTTCATTGTTTTGTATGGTCAAGCCCCTTCTCTTGTTCTCTCTCTTCATCAATTAGTATGGAAAATTGGAAGTTTACTGAAAAGAGTTTCGAATCATGGGATTTTAGATTTGAAAAGGACCAGAGGGATCATCTACTCTTCCAACAAATAAAAAATAAAACCCCCAAAGGAATGAATGATCCATGGCTGGGACATTGGAATCTCTCTATAAAGGAGAAATCATATTAAGGTATTTTCATCTTAGGCCTCTAACCCCAAGGGTATCTTTACAAAGACTTTATTTTAGTGAAGCCTTCAATAAACAGTGACCTCATGTCAAGAATTCTAAAGAGAGGGTTATGGAATATTGGTTTGATATTAAAGTCATTGTTATCTTGGAGCTGGCCTGAATGGACTAATAAGTGGCCTGTCACCAGTTGTAACTTACTTTTACAATTTTAATGTGATTTAAGGGAAGACACTCTTGGAAATGCTTAGTTATGGTTCATACCCATAATCGTGTTTCTTTTAGGTCTTAAAATTTTATATAATACAGGGGAGTAGATTGCATCAGTACAGTCTTTTTCTTTTTTTCTTTTTTTTTTTTATGATGCAAACAAAGCAGTATCTTAAATTAAATCAAGGTTTCTTAAGGTTCCAGATTCTTATTCCTAAATTTTCCACTGAGTAACCTCCAAATTCTTCTCCTGCCTTTGTCCCTAGTTGACACAAGTCAGGCCACAATTTTTTTTCTGCAAATGGACGAGCTGCTGCTCAGAGGCTGCACTTACTGGTGAGAGATCCTTCAAGGGAAATGAATCTGGAATGGCCTGGAACATTTGTCTTTGGGTTGCTCCAGGGCTTTATTAGAGCTTCTGAGATTTCTAAGTAGGTGATGAAATTTAGCAGCATCTGATTTTCTAAAATGACCAAAGGAGAATTGTTTCAGTCCCTGATTTGCAAAGTACTCACTTTTTGGTCCTCTCAAAATTTTTGTCAGATAAAGATTTTTCCGTGCCATGGATATAAGAAATAACCCACTCTTACCGATAAAGGGAAGTTAGTGTTGTAAAGGAACAAATGGTGATTCAGGTTTGGGAGACTTTGGAGGTATTCATTCTCCACTAAGCTATATCCCAATACCATCATTATCTGGGTCAGCCTCCGATTCAGCCTCATCCTGTGCTTCAGCAGTGGGGTAAAACAAATGTCACTTGTTAGCTGCTTCTTCATGACCTTCATAGACTATGCATTAATTTGAAGCCCTGCCCCCAAAAATAGTGCTTGGGGGGGAAATGAGTTAGTGATTTTGTGAAGATAATGGGAGTTGAGGAAAACACTTAAGTTTGCTTTTCTGAGCTCTAGCTTCATTTTACTTCTCAGTCTCAGTATTTAATTGTCTCCACTGTTTTTTCTAACTTGGAAGGAAATCAGATGGCGAAAGTGAAACATACGGCTATCAATGTGAAAAAGCTGCTCCCTATAGCACTGGAATTCTCTTGTCATTAATAGCTCTTGTAGTCGACAGATTATAATATACAGAGTCATAAATGTTCTTGTTGTCATTTGGAAAATTACAAATTCCCAAAAAGTGGTGATTATTTGGGGCTTTGGGTCTGCAAGACGTTTCACATTAAAATGCTGATAATATCTTCAAAAACCACAGAGCCATGGGCCTTGCAGGCTTGGTAACTGACTGCCTTTGTGGTGTGGTTTTATTCTTTCTACTGAAGCACCTGGTTGAAAGGAGTGGGATGCTGAATTCATAGGGGCGTGTTCACAAAAATCTTTAACATCAAGTATCTGTTTATTCAAAATAGTGCATAGTTCAAAGCAACCTTGATTCCTTAAACTAGATGTTTTTCTGTTCTTTAATGAAAACAGCCTGAACGTGGTTATTAATCTGAGTCTTTCTCCATTCTGACCACCCCACTCTGTTTTTCTCTTTGAATATCAAAAAAAAAGTATAAAAACATTTTGTAATTTTTTATTTATTTATTTTTGTTGAGACGGAGTCTCGCTCTGTCGCACAGGGTGGAGTGCAATGGCGCAGTCTCGGCTCACTGCAAGCTCCACCTCTCAGGTTCACACCATTCTCCTGCCTCAGCCTTCCGAGTAGCTGGGACTACAGGTGCCCGCCACCACGCCCAGCTAATCTTTTTGTATTTTTAGTAGAGACAGGGTTTCACCGTGTTCACCAGGAGGGTCTCGATCTCCTGACCTTGTGATCCGCCCGCCTCGGCCTCCCAAAGTGCTGGGATTACAGGTGTGAGCCACCGCACCCAGCAACATTTTGTAATTTTTTAAAGGGCTACATAAATTCAAGGTATTATTGCTGTACTTCTTTTCTGTTACCTTATGAAGTTGATTGTTGTTGAAGCACCAACAGTATGCATACATGGGTATCCAGAATGACCATCTAGTCTCAGTTGTGCAAAATTCACTATGTAGTCTCATGGATTGAGAGGGGCAATTAGCAAGAGTGTGAGATAATGGAGAACAAAAAATAATGCCAAGCTGGGTTAAAAAAAAAAAAGTTTGGGAAAGAAAAAACAAGTGCTCAAGACAAGCCTCCTATTTTTCAGTTTGGCCTAGCCCTAGCCCTATTGAAGAAGGTTAGTACATTCACCTGGCCAGTTTTAGCTAACTTGGTTACCTGGCAAGTGGCGGGGATGCAGTACATTAGTACTTGTCCTGTGGTACAGAGCATGTGTCTCAGGGTGTGGCCACTCCAGGGAGAGGGAAGACGTGCTTTATGGGGCCTCCTCAGCCATCACTGTGATATGTGCCACCAGGAACCCAGGACCTTTCATGGTCCAGTCTGAGGTGGGAGCACCACAGAAGCAAGAGCTGCCTGGCCCAGCCAAGCCCAGATTACCCTAAAATCTTACTGCTTTTTTCCCTTCAGCATTTTAAATTATAGGAGCAAGTAAAAGTGTACATAACGCAAGGCAATCTGAACAGGTGGCTGATAGCTGCTCCATCCAGAGGAAGAGCCATGAAGTTCCCCCGACCCACACATTTCACCCTGTCTTGTCTACCAAAAATCACATGAAAATGCAGACATAACCATGGAGGAGTAACCCATGAACAAAGGGCTGGTAATTACAGTTTAATGCTGTTCTTTTTACCCCTTTGGCTGGCTGGCTGTGCAAAGGCAGGCCCCGGTAATTACGGTTTAATGTTGTTCTTTTTACCCCTTTGGCTGGCTGGCTGTGCAAAGGCAGGCCCCACAGGGGAGTAATGTATTTGTGACAGCCAGTTGGGGTGGGGAGAGATGGGCTGTACTACACTTTGAATTTATTATGTTCTGCTAATACTTTTACTCCTATGCTGGAAAGTTATGTTTTCCTTCCTTTGTTAGACAATTTTTGCAGAGTAGTTTAACATTTTCAAACATTTACTATATATAGCACTTTTAAAATCCAGGAACTGTCATTTCCAAAGAAGATTCCATGTCTATAATATTAATTCCCTGTCCTCTCCTCATTGCCTTTTTCAGACATCCACTGTAGATAGCCTCTGTTCCCCAGGAACTAACATTTCCAAAGGAAACTCCCTTGCCTATAATTCCCTGTTATCTTCTTGTTGCCTCTCCTGAATAATAATTTTTGATTCAGTACCTTTTAGCTATTTATAATGTTATCGTATAATCTGAGTTTGGGAACTGCTTGCCACTTCCAGTTTCTGACACCCAAAACACATTTTATGCTTAGAGAAAACAATAGCACCCTGACTTTTTAGAAGACATAGTTTTCCCTTGGGGATCCAAACTGGAAGCAGATATTTGAGCTGTGAACACATTTTTTCTTAGAAGAGTCAATTAGGAGCTGGGTTGAAGCTTCAGTCTATGCACTTAGAGTCAGGTTTTAGGACCAAGAGCAAGCACTGTGGGCACCTGTTGTAAGAAAACATCTGACAGCACGAGGTGCTAAATTGCTTCAAAATCCTCCATAGCTCGTGGGGATGCTACCTTTTTAGTAGGAGTTTGAAGCCCAGAATGCACTTTATATTATAACCAACACAGTTGAAAAATAGGTTCCATGTTCTATAAGAATGGATTCATTAAACTGCATGTTCTGGAAAAAGGATGTATTAGAGACTTTGAATTTGAGGATCCTGTGTTATATACATCTCTGAGCCATCTTATCAGGAAGAAAAGCAGCTCCTTAAGGTGCCTGCCTCTTCCTCTAATACTATGTACATATTTCGACCTCTGCCCTCTTTAAGTTATTTTCATTTGTCTTGTAGCCAGTATCAGACATGTTAATGACCACTAACTTTGTAAATGAAATTATTGCAGCTCATAATGTCAAGATGTGAACCTAAGCAGGCCTTAGGTTTTCTGACTTAATAGCCGAACCATACCAGTCTTTCCCTGATCATTGAACCTTCTGTCTTCTGCAGTCAGCAGACCGTCTCTAATGAGAGGTGCACAGACACTTTTGATGCTTATTTTAAGGGAAGCCAGTGGCAGATGGAGAGCCATCAGATGAAACTGTTATTAATCACACCATTTCTGAAGCTGTTCTGACTCCACACCCTGCATTGTGACAAACGCCAGGATGCCAAGTTCCTAGTATTGCAGCAGGTTCTTAGTACATAACAAACACTATCAGTGCCCCCAGCTCAACTTCGACTAAATGCCTTCCAATAGAGTTAAGCTGTTTTTATCTAATACATGCTAACAGTAAAAGGACACAGACCCTCTTATTTGACCCTCTTAGCATCTAAGGAATATGATACTTTTTTTCTTTATACTTAGCTGTGTATTCAAAGCTAACACATTCTCTAAGTAACCAAGTTCACACTAAAGAAAAATTGAAGGCCATCCTCTAAAGCCATGCTGCTCAGTGCAGGAGCCACCAGCCACATGGTCAAAGCCACACAGAGCCACTGAAAGGTGGCTGCTATAAATTGAGATGTGTTATGAGCATAAAACAAGAGAGAAATGAAGACTATCTGCTTAATAATTTTTATATTGATTATATGTTGATTATATTTTGGATATGTGGGGTTAAATAAAAGATTAAATTTCACCTTTTGTTTTTGCTTGTGATGTGGCTACTAGAAAATGTAAAATTACATGTGTGGCTTACAGCGAGACCCCACTATTTACAGGGCACTGAAAGTCATTCTTCCTCTTAATTCCTCATCTAAACTCTACTCATTGACTATTTTGTGTATCTGCATCTTTTCTTCCAAAATGAATGATCAGCTGCTAGAAGGCATGACTATGGAAACAGTGTATCTTCTACTGTGATTTTTCAAGAGTGAGGAAGTTTGGCTATCACCATGGGCGTGAGGAGAGGGGTTCTGTTCTCATTTGGTAAACATACACCAGATATGCTAAACATCCCATAGAATATCTTAGACAAAGAAAATTACAGTAAGTAGAGAAATGGATCAAAGAGTGGCTATTCTTGGACTCTCTACTTTCCAGGTCTTTTTGGCTAGAGAACTCTTTTTCTAACTTTGTTGCCTGGCTCTTGGCAGTCAATGTCCAAAGTAGTGCATTGAGCTGCCCCCCAAAAGGGGCACAGTTTGTAAGGAAACCATATGCCCTATGGGACCTCATGGGATGACACTCAGTTAGTACATAAGGATCTCTTGGAAGGGAGCTGCCTTTATGTCCTCTAAACCAGGTCATCTCTTATCAGTTAAATCCTGGTGCTGACTAGTACAGCTATATGAGCCTGGACAAATCACTTCTGAGCCTGTTTTTCCTCTCTGTACAATGACAATGATGATAGAACCTTTCTTATAATGTTATGAAAGATTATATTTTCTGAGATAATTTTAGTAAAGCAACGTAGCATAGAGCCTGATACATGTTAAGTACGTTGTGTATATTGGCCATGATTATTATTGGCTTCTTGGTAATGAAAGCATCAAATACTAAGGGCAGCTTTTAGTATATTATTTCTGATCTTGTGTGATCAGAAATACCACATTTTTGAGAATGTATTATTTTCCAAAGAATTAAATGACTCTCAGAGGGGAATGGATAAACCCACAGAGGTTCTGGAAATGGAGCAGTTTCCTGTAAGTATCATGACTTCCAATTAAGCCCCTTTGTCTGTTTTATCCCTGTCACTTGTACTCACTGTGTAGATCATGAGCTAATTTTGCTTGGACTCTCCCCTCCCGCCATCTCTTAGAGCCCAGCAGTGCTGTGCATGCATGGGTTAAAAATTTCAAACTGTCCAAATGAATTGCATTTATTGGCAATTTAATGCTGAAACTCAAAGAGGGAAAAGAGGAGAAAAAAAATCAAAGATGAAGTGGAAAGACAAGGGCCCTTGGATGCAGCCGGACAGAGGTTGTAATATCTGCTCTGCCAAACACTAGTTAAGTGATCTTGGTGTAGTCACCAAACCTCTTGAGTCTCTTTCCCACATACAAAATGAGGTTGATGTGTTTCACAAGGCTGTTATCATGACTCAAGGAAATAACCTAAATGACTAGGGCAGTGACAGTTCACCTCTCTCTCTTCATATTGCTCTCAATTTCATGATCTTCTTCTCCCCGCAACCCCATGATTTATAGAAGCCAAATTACGTTCTCTGATTTATAGCTGTTGTAACTTTGGAATACATTTAAGAACATGGAATTAGTTGTCTTTTGTTAGATCCACATACAGAAGTCACAGAAATGTTTTCATCATTTTGAATTTTACTGTTCATTCTGGCAAAGTGAAAATGTATACCAAAACACTATTTTAAACCACCTATCCCCTGGGTTAGAAATTATAAGTTAGTGTAGCCCAGTGAAGTATAATTAAATGTTGCCATTCTCCCATTTATTTAACTTCCTTCCCTCCATATTTGAAGTAATTTTCGCTTGGTGCCAACTCCAGTCATTCTCCAGATGCCTGTGATTTCTTCCAGATTTTCAACACACAGTGGCTAAAGATAATATAGAATTATTTTTTAAGTAATTTGTGATTAAATGTAAATTTAGTAATTTTATGTTGGGACATGTGATCTCCTTGACATTTTCTCCAAAACACAGAATTTAAGCACTAGAAATGATTTTAGGACATCTAGTTAAACCATTACCACTTCACTGTTATGACAGTGAGGCCTGGAGACATTAAATGTTTTGCCCAAAGTTACCAACATGTTGTTGGCAGAAAAATCTGGAACATATGGCCTCATCTATTGTCTAAATTTTTTCTACTAGTGCACAGTGCCTTTTCAATTGCTTTTTATTTGATAATAGTGACAATCATAAATAGGGGATTTAATCAATACTCTTTTAAAAAAAAAAGTCACAGAAAGAAAGCAATTGTATTGAAAACCCCTTTCTAGTTTTTCCAGTAGGTTACATTAAATGGCCCCAAAAAGTAATTTATGGGCTAAAATGAATGTCTTCAGAAGGCTAACATAAAAGATGACCAACAGGGGGAAACCTGAAACAGCCTTTTAGGTAATTTGCTTAACTTCTAGCCCTTTTAAAAAAATTACTCAAGCTCATGTTAGAGCCAACAAAAAACATCTGTTGTTTTATTTATAGCCACAATTTCTAAGAAGCATATTCTATAGCAGATGAAAAAGTAGTTGACAGCTTATAATTCATAAAGTTACTGAGGCCTAATCTGATAGAACAAAATGTACAAACTCCCTCCCGTGGTTCAGACCCTATCCCTTCCCTTTCTGCTGAAGACAGAAATGGTGCAACAGAGGAGTGGAGCATAGGTTATTACGGTTGTTAAGGAAGAGGCGACTCTGAGATGATAATGCAGAAAGGAGTACCCCGCAGTGATAAATGATTGCTTTCACCTCTGGGCCATCCACCAGCCTGAGTCACTGCTACTTTTTCATTAACATTGTATGGACTTTCATTATAGGAAGCCAACATTTTGCTGTGTTCAATCTACAGATTGTTAACAGCGTATTTCCATCAGGAATCTAAAGTGTTAATTAAAACGACTGATTGAATAGTTCCCTCTCTGAGGGAAGCTTTTAGTTTGCCCCTTCCTTTCACCAGTTAGCTGTAGTCTATATTGACATAACTTTCTCCCTGCTGACTCTTAAGCAATTATTAGAATTCACTCATTACTCAAATATCACCTCTCTGTATCTGTTGGCTTATTTCTGAGAATCTTTTTGAGAACATGACCAGGCTTCTTTCTATAATTTTTATATATATATATATATACACACACGCACACACACACATACACTACATATATATGTATGTAGAATACATATATATATCTATATATGTACATATATATCTATATGTATACATATATCTATATATGTATACATATAGATACATAGCTATATAGATACATATCTAATGTATACATGTATACACATGTACCTACATGTATACACATGTATCTGCATGTATACACATGTATACACATGTAGATGCATGTATACACATGTATACACATGTATCTGCATGTATACACATGTAGATACATGTATCTGCATGTATACACATGTAGATGCATGTAGATGCATGTATACATATATACATGTAGATGCATGTAGATACATGTATACATATATACATGTAGATGCATGTAGATACATGTATACGTAGATACATGTATACATGTAGATACATGTAGATACATGTATACATGTAGATACATGTAGATACATGTATACATGTAGATACATGTAGATACATGTATACATATATACATGTAGATACATGTAGATACATGTATACATATATACATGTAGATACATGTAGATACATGTATACATATATACATGTAGATACATGTAGATACATGTATACATATATACATGTAGATACATGTAGATACATGTATACATATATACATGTAGATACATGTAGATACATGTATACATATATACATGTAGATACATGTATATAGATACATACATAGATATATAGATACATAGATACATATATATTTATATATGTACATATATCTACATATATATCTATATATACATATATCTACATATATATCTATATATATATTTCTACATATATATCTATATATGTAGAAATATATATATATTCTACATTTTAGTTCTGCTATATCTATAGGGCCTTCTGTATATCACAGTTTTGTGTGTTGTTGTTTTTTTTTAAGTGCATTGGTTTGGCACAAATAACTATAGTACTATTTATTATCCTGAGCTTTTTTGAGAATGTAGTGATAGGGTTCAACATCTGCCCAAATTGACCCATCTAAAATTATAATTCTAAAACCATAACCAGAAGAAGCCCATTAATTTCTTTAGTAGAGAGGTGAGTAGCCTCTTGTTTATTTCACTACTGATCATAGTCTATTGTGAGATATGAAGATGTATTAGCCCACCAGAATTAATCACCTTTGTCTGAAGTAGTGAAAGTATATTGCTTCATTTTGTTAAACTCTGATTCCTTACACAATTGTTAAGGATTGTGTTTACTTTTATCTCAAAATTGTTACCTTTTAATATATATAGTCTTATATCAGTGATCTTTTCAAACTTTTAAAATGAAGTCTGAATAAATATTATTTTCTTATGCATTTCTTCTGCACCAGCTGATAGGGAATTTTCTGTACAATGTTTTCAGGCCTCTTGCCTTTCTTGCCTTTATTTTTCTCTGCAATTCCACACACAGGTCATTGCTTTCCCTTCCTCTCCCTTTTTGATCATGGATGCTTCAACTCCCTTCATATATTTGTTAAGCATATTTTACTAAGATTTCATTTTGTGATGCTTGCAAATATACATTACAAAATATATATTTTTAAAAAGTGATTTGAAGGGCCCTCTGTCCATCTGATGATTAACTAGAAGAGTCTTTTGTACCTTGCTAAAAGTGATAAGTTAGCCAGCTATATTTAGCTGGATAAAACCCATTACATCCTTGGGGAAGAATGTGCTTTGTTTAGCTTTATGAGAAAATATTTAATAAATGCTGTCTTGAAAATATTTAGCCTGGCTGAGTGAGCTGGCAAGGCTTCAATACTGATAAAGCAGAGGTGATGGTGAAAAGCTGGCCTGCCAGTCCAAGCTCAAGTTAAAAAAATGCACCTCTTGTCACTAAGGGTTGCAACTGTCGCCAAGTGCTTGTCCATCAGTGTCACGTAAAGATTTTTTAACCTCACATATGGCATCATGCAGTTTGTCTGCCTAAAAAGGCAACCTAGATTCACAGAGTGGTTACAATTGGCTTTGAAGTCCCATCTGTTCTGTAAAATCCTAGCTTTATTTCTTACTGCTGGTATGACTTTAGGTAACTTGTTTAATTTTTCTTAATCTCAGTTTTCTCATCTGTAAAATGGGGACAGTGATAATTTCTTAGAGCGTTGTACAGATTAAATGAGATTAAACGCTGAGCAGAGTTTCTTACACTAAGTGTTCACTACATGGGAATTAATCAGCAGTAGTAGTGATTTGTAATCAGCCTAACATTTTCTGTCCCTCCCTAACTCCTCCCACCCCACAGGAGATACAAAGAGCAAAGTCCTCTTGAATGTGGCGAGGTAGGAAAGGCTCTGGCATGGGCATCAGGAGGCCTGGGTCCTCGGCTTGAACTTCCTGTGGGACCTTGGGCAAGTTGTGGCTCACATAATCCCTCCCCACTCATCAGTACACAGTGCACAGGGCAGCAGAGCTCCTGGCTGCTAGTCTCTCTTTTGATACCTAATTCGTTGTGGTATCAGACCAAATTTGATATGATAGCTAGACCCGCCGGTCCGTCAGTATCATTTGGGGTCTGGTGTAAGATCAGCCTGTGAAACTCAGGCATGTAGGCAACAAGTTATCAGTAAGAAGGTCAATCATTGGGATTCTGTCTCCCACAATGGTCTGGATTTTCTCTCTGTGGCTGGTGGGCTCAGCCCCAATCCTTGCTACTCAAAGTGTGATTGTGGTCCGAGGACCGGCAGCATGGGCATCACCTGGGAGCCTGTTGGAAATGCAGAATCCCAGACTGCACCCCGACCTCCTGAATCAGGCTGTTAATATGTACATTAAAGTTGGGGAACCACTGCCTCAAACTACTGCCCTTGGGAATATTCTGACACGCAGAGGGTATTTATTTACTAAATACTTACAGAATTTGTGTTTGACATTGACATTTTCTAGACAAGGTTCCATTCCTCTCTTTGGGTGTAGTGTACTGATGTGTTAGGTCAGGGTTACCATAACAAAACACCACAGACTGGTGTTTATGTCTGTACCACCATAGACATTTAGAAATCTATTTCTCACAGGGTGCCAGTGTGGTTGGGTTCTGGTGAGGGCCTTCTCCCTAGCCTCCAGGCTGCCACCTTGTCACTGTGATCTCACATGGGAAGGGTGGGGAGAAAGGTCTCTGGTGCTGCTTCTTATAAAGGCACTAATCCCATCGTGAGAGCACTTGCCCTCATGACTTCCTGTAAACTCAGCTGCCTCCCAAAGGCCCATCTCCAAATATTATCACATTGAGGGTCAGGGCGTCAACATGAATCTGGGGGGAAGGGACACAATTCAGTCTGTAGCAACTGACTTCCACATCTGACTTTAAAATGCATCTTTAAAAAAAATGTGCTGGCAGATAAATATGTAAATAAAGCAAATATGAAAATGTTAATCGTAGAATCTAGGTGAAAGATAATGTGGGCGTTCACTAAACAATTCTTTCAACTTTTCAGGATATTTAAAAATGTCAGAGAAAAAACCCCCTACTCTCTATAGTTATTTAAAAGGAATCTGGTGCTGCTTTTTTCTCCTTATTTCCATCCAGGCTTTCTTAAGAGTGCTTGTTCGGTCTGGCTGGACAAACTTGCCTTTTTGGCAGTTTCTCTCTCTCTACCCACTCACTTTCTCCTTGGTCAGCCAGTGGCCTGCTTCTGCACTGTCAGTGAGGTCCCAGCCTGGATCCAAAGCTTCTTTCTGGTCTCTAGTCTGCCAGTAGCATCTTTCTGTCCAGTTCCTCTCCATCCCCCTGCCCTCTCCTAATACTAATCAGGGGATCCTTCAATTGCTTGTGACATCGCAGCTTCTCAAGTTACATTTTACAACTCTGCTTTATTATTTTTAAGCATTTCTAACATGACATTTTATAAGTTTGACTCTGAAATTTATCATCACATGTAAGTAGGAAAGAAGTGTCTCCACAAGTTTGCCCTCAGCCAGAGATAGTGTGGTTCATCTGGAATGCCCCTGCCTTTCTCTGGTTATTAATAGGGGCTCCTATTGCTTTTCCATTTACAGTGTTAATTATCTGCATTTCAAAGTAGTTCATAATGAGAGGGAATATATTAACTTGTTATTTGGGGAGGAAGTACAAAAACTGCTATTATCAAGATCATTTAACTTGAGCATAATCAGAAAGTATTAAGGTTATTCCCTTGTGGGATTGACCATCAGATATCTGTGTGTTTCATAACACCCTTATTGCAGATACCTTTTAAAGAAGGGAGGCTTGCAGGAAGTGTTGGGAAACTTACTATAAGCTTCTTTCCTTGACTGGCACTTGTATACTCTGGCGCAGGGAAGACAAGCCCAAACTAAATACATAGGCATTACTTAAGAGCTTTGTGACATTGGACAAATAGTTTCCTTGCCTTTAAACTGGGGATAATAGAGACTATACACCTTTGAACTGCTATGAAAAATAAATGAAAATATTTCTGTAAAATACTTACTGTGGGAATGTGGCTCCTAGTTGATGTTCAGTACTAATCATTCATTCAGCAAACAGCCTACCGCCCACTGTGTGTCATGGCCTGTGATTTGTCTTTTTTCTTTTTGGGGGCTTCTGGGTCATACTTCGTATGAAATCTTTCTTAGCACACCGAAAGACCAACTTTCCTTATAAATCATTGGCTTCAAAAATCCTGTGGACTCAGGTATAAATTATTTTTCTGGTGAGGAGAGGAGGAAATCCCTTTCTTCCCCATTTACATCCTGCCTAGCTATTTTAATTTGCTGTACACCGTAAATTGTAATCTTAGAATCAAACTCCAATTTAGGTGATAAGGATCACAATTAATTAGGCTAGCCTGTCAAAGATTAAATGTAATCTTGCATTTCAGTTACCTCCTAACTCTGAGGCTTTAGCTAAGCCCGTCAGAAACAAAGCTGTTAGGTCTGCTTAGGTTTAATAAGATCTTTGCCTGCTGTTTGTTTTCTATACCAGTCTGTTGTCTAGAAATAAAACGAATGGACAGAGGATCTCAATTCCCTTTCATTTGTTTTTAGCTGTGCAGCAGGAGAGATAAATGAGAGAAGATAAACTTAACGATATTAAAGACTAATTAGGATATCTGAGGAGATTTGCAAACTTCTAGTTTAAATCTGTCGGCAACTCTTTTAATTCCCTCCTGCTAGTTATCTCTGAAAATAATGTAGTTATGGCTGAAGATTTATTTCCACATCTACTCTTTGTACTCTCATTTTCAGTTGCGCATACTTTTTTTCTCCTTCTTCCTCCAAAAAAAAAAGCTCTTGTTTCGGCCACACTCAATATAATTTAGCACACAGTCATTCCAACTTCATTTTGTCTTCACATTCAGAAAACTGAAGTCTAATATCTCAAATATATTAGTATTGTGGTCCTTTTGGGGAAAGTATGATAAATTGAAAATATTTTGGTTTTGACTTCTGAAGATTTTGAGTATTGTTTATATATACAAAGGCAAAATGCAAATATATACAAGGCAAAATGCAAATGTGCTTCCAGCTTGCTTCCTTAGAAAAGTATTGAGAACAGTCTAAGTATGATAATTTCTGGTCTTAAAACCTGCAATTGCAATCGGGTATTTCCATAATCTAAACAATAATAAAGATTACATGACTAATTCTAACAATAATAACTACCTATTAGTTTGTGCTTTCTACATACTGGGCACGATGCCTGTCATGTTTATATATATATATTATTTAATCCTTATTACTGCACATAATTACTCCCATTTTACAGATGAATAAATGGGATTCAAGTTAACTAACTTGCCCAAGACTACTGAATTCAGTAAGTGGCAAAGCAAGGATTAAAACCTAAGCCTCTTTGGCTTTAAAGCTCTGCTTCTAATCACTTTTTTACTACTGATTAAACAGATGTGTCCCAAAATTAAGGAAGTCATCGTTGTTTTTTTTGCTTTGTTTTTGCTTAGTCAAAGAGCACAGGCCATCATTTGTTGTAGTGTCACCCGTAAAGCTTAATAAGTTTAAAGTTCAGGGTGTTAATCATTACAAGCATAAAGTATGAATATGCTTTAAAGGTTTATTTAAGAAAAGAATTGGGATTAGATTTGCCCACCAGAATATACATTTTTCACTTGAAGTCCTGAGAGAGATTCAGACAGAAACAGCTTTGACTCAGCAGCAGTTAGCAGACAAACATCTTGATATAATACTGATCCACACTTTGCATATACACTTTCTTTTCTTTGTATTACATTTTTAGAGGTAAGTGGCAGTTTTTCACACACTTCCAAACTGCTTCCATCAGTAATGAAATATTTGGCTTGGGCAGCCTCTGGAGTCCCAGTGTTTCAGCTTAAACTTTCCAGTGGGCCCTGCCAGGCACTAACTTCAAAATATCTTTTTTTATGGTGAATGCCTCCAGAAGGTGCAACTGTGTGGTGGTTTCATTTTGCACTTCATAACGGTGTTGGCATCACTTAATGCAAAGAATGCCACTGTCTCCCACACACCGCTGGTGCCCAAGGACTGTCGAGGCCTGTCCATGTTAGTGGTTTGGGAAGGGCTGAAGTTTGGAGAGAAGGCTCTTTTTCTATTCCATGTGATTGGCTGTCACCAGGGCAAAGGGGGAAAACTAGAACGAGTGGAAAATGCAGCATCGGATGTGTCATCAAATATTCTTCCTACAACCTGGGACACCTAGTTCATTGGTGTTCTGGTCAACATTGAAGGCTGAATCCTCCTTTCTTTTGAAATAATGCGTGTCTTGGATTCACTACTTTTAAACCTTTCTGCTGATCTTTATCCTTTTCTTCCTAAGCAATACTGATTTCTTTCAATGAAAAATGATTTAGCTAGTGAAAAACTGGGATTGGGTTGTAGTAAAGGAATCAACAAATTTGCCCAGATTCTTAAGAGTGGAGTTGGTTCTCCACACTTATACACTGTGCTACAGCAAGCTTCACAACCAAAACCCATTACTTATTCAGGTATAAAAATCAAAAGCTGAACTGTAATGAGAATTTAAATGTAAACTGTTGGAGGATGGTGCTCTGTTAATTTGTGTTTGCTCCATACCCCACCCTATATAATTGATAATATTTGCATCTTTTTGTTTTTAGTACTATTATTTTTTGGTTTATCAAACTTTGTAACATGGTGCTTTATTGTGGACTTTTCAAAGAACACCTTGCCAAATTTGGTAATTCCTAGCAATTGTCATTTCCTGTTGGAATTTCTTAAAGTGGAATCTAATGGAAAAGTAATTCTTGACCTTGTGTATTTAGTAAAATTAAAGGCATAGTTGATTTTAGGATTGTCATAAAAATTAATATTTTGTTTTAAAAGACTTTTTAGACTTTCAATGCTAATTGATCCTATTGTTGGAAGTAGATGATATAAACTTTAAAGCTTTTTGGGTAGAACTTTCACATTCACCATGTCTAAATATTTTAAAGAGGAAATGGATTGACTCGCAGACATTTTGTACTAAGGAATAGAAAATCTTTGAATTGCTATTTAAAAAAAAAAAAATCCCTGTAAAATTTACCATTTTAAACTCCAGTTGCAAAATCCTGATCAGCTATGATGATTCATACATTTGAGCGATAAAGCTTTTTTCAATATTACAAATTCAGTGGGGAGTCACTCAATACATTACAAAAAGAGTACTTACACTTCCTAGTACCCATGTGTATTTTTTTTTCTTTTTAAAGCAATCTGGTGTGCCTTTTGAGAAAAGTTCCAGTGTTCTCACAGATCCTGACTTGGTGTAGCACAGTGCTTTTCAGAAACTTGGTCCAACACCTGAATGAGTAATGTGTAAAACATATAATGTTTTGTAGCTCAGGATACTGCAGGTAAACTAACACTTTTTGCCGAAAAAACATTGAAAAGACAAAGGAAAGCAAGGAAGTTTTGCTTTTTTAAAAAATTTTTTCAAGCTTAATGAAGAAAGAGCTGGAAATCCTTTTGTATGGAGCATTTGCCAGCCCAGCAATATAACAACTTTTGGGTGCATATTTCAATCACAATTAGATGAAATCTTTAATTATCATTTAATTTGACTTTCATATTTGCCTGCAGAAATGATTGTGTTGATAAGACTCTGGAATGAGACAAACCTTTATTAAGTAATTCCATTTTCAGAGCCAACATTAAAGTTTTTTTTAATTAAAAAAATGCCTGTGTAATTTATGAGAAAAGGGGAAGAGGAATTGGCATGTTGGTTGCATGAGAGTTGCATGGATATGTATTTACTATTTAATCTTTAGCTTTTTGAGATTTGGGGTGTGCTAAGTCTTGTTAGTTTGAGGGGCCTAAGGAGTGACACAATAATGGATCTTAATAAATAACACTTTTCTACATCATTTCTCTACCTTTATATTTCCCTTCTATTATATATGCTGACAGGATGATATTTCATTGTATTCAGTGTAGAAGGTGTTTGTGAGAGAGGATACTTTTGTGAGTTGATATTAAGGCAAAGGGAAGTGGTTTATAATTTATCAGAGGAAATGAAATGGTGTGCTCTTTCATTTTATAATATTTCTTTTAAAATTTTATAATGCTTTTAATTGGACTGTGAAACCTTTAAGACATTTGTATTTGAAGTGCTTTTCAGATATATTTACATTTTAACATACAGGGATTTGAGAGATGTCATTGCTGGATTTTTTCATAGGATCACCCACATGAATTTTCTTATCAAAAGAGTATGTCCTAAAGCTTATTTCTAACCCCAAACAGGTTACTAGCCCATTCCTGGATGTTCCGATTCTGAAGATTTAGGGTGGTACCTGGGAATCAGTATTTCTAGCACGTCCTCCAGGTGGTGCTTAGCTCTGGCAAGTGTGGGAGAGACCAGAGAGAGGTGAAGTTCCCACCCAGCCCTCTGCACAGTGACTGGAAAGTTAATGGCCAGTCGTTTGTGCTTCTATGAAACCTAAGATGTGTTACAGTGATGTTGCAGTAGGACAAAGTCACTCAGGAAATCGAGTGGTAAACATTGCAGGGCTTTGAGTTCAAATATTGATTAGCTCTATGTTAAGATGCCTTGTCTTCAGGGATAGCTTTAGAGTGGGATCTCTAACACAAAGCTGACTCGGGAATCTTTCATCTGCCATTGACAAAATTTGCCCTTGTGCAGGCAAGTAAGACTATACTCTCTAATTTTATGGGCACTAGCCACCTATGGTTGTTTCCATTTAAATCAGTTAAAATAAAAAATTCAGTTCTTCACTGGGAATGGCTGCATTTTACTCAATAACCGCTGTGGCTAGTCATTGCTTTATCAGAGAGCACAGCTGTAGAACATTTCCATCATCACAGAAAGCTCTAATAGTGCTACTGTAGGATTTTCCCTCATAATATAGCTCTTCTCTTTTTATCCTGGGTAGTTGCAATGGCTAATAGAATTAGGTGGAAAGATCATGCATCCATCTATGTACTGCACATTGCATACTGAAATCTGAAAGAATGTTTTTGCAAAATGACTTAATCATACTTCTCTGAGATCAAAATTTAATAACATTACTTTCATAACGTGAATTTGTTCTATGTTGACTTTTAGTACTTGAAATACAGGCTTAATTAAAAATTTGTTGGCCAGGTGCAGTGGCTCACACCTGTAATCCCAGCATTTTGAGAGATTGAGGTGGGTGGATTGCTTGAGTCCATGAGTTCGAGACCAGCCTGGGCAATATGGCAAAACCCCGTCTCTACTAAAAATATACAAAAAATTAGCTGGGAGTGATGCTGTGCACTGTAGTCGCAGCTACTCAGGAGGCTGGGGGGGGAGGATCACATGAACTCAGGAAGTTGAGGCTGCAGCGAGCCATGATCACGCCACTACACTCCAGCCTGGGTGACAGAGCGAGACCCTGTCTCAAAAAAAAAAAAAAAAAAGAAAAAGGAAATTTGTTTACCATAGTATATGGCTTCTAATAAAGAGCTATACTGGTAAAATCTCACAGAAACAAAATTGCAAATATTTAGTCTTTCTCAGATTATATAAATTATTCCTAGAAAAGACTGCAAGCAATGAGGCTAATAAACAGGTTGTACTTATATTTTCATAATGACTTTAATTTACCTTTATTTTGCAGTTTCACAAATTTAAGATGAATATATTTAGCTCCCTCTTCTGGCATAATTTGAGAATTTTTTTGCTTACAATGGTCTTATTTATTTTTTTTGGACTGAGAATAAGGTTATCAATGTAATGTTGAAGAATGTTATTTATGAGTGTCATCCAGTTAGATTTTTTGGTATCATTGTAAATGGTTAAAACGCATGCAAAAAGTTTACGAAAACACCACATTTTAAAAACTACTAATTGACCAAAAAATACATAAACAAAGGCTTTGACAAAGTTATACAGAAATTTATTTTGATATCAAGTGGGCAGTGATCATTCATATTGGCTTCTGGATCTGAGACTCAGCCCATACCTGGCATTTGTGAGGCTTGGGGCAAGAATGCAAAAAGAGGCCCAAGTACCCTGTGCCTAAGTATTTTTGTTATAAATCATGTCAACTGTTCAATAAAATCTGTCCCATCCTTTCTAGGCAGTTATTTCTTCCTAATGACCAGGAGGAGAGATCTGAATTCAGGTTCTTGGGCTCCTGAGAGTTCTGCCCTAGAGTGTGGTATTATGGGGAGAGCTGGATCCTGGTTCATCCCTGGCTTCTCCCTGCACATCCAAACTCCCATCCATCCTGCCACTCCCCCCACCTTTGGGGCCCAGGGGTGTACCTAGACAGGGGGGTTTGTCCTGGGGAGGGTGGACCTGGGGGAAAGGCCATAAGAGGCCATTTAGCAGGAAATCCTGGAGCATTACTCTGAGTAGACCCTAGGTGAGAAGCAGTGGGCATATCACTTTGGCCTGGAAAGTGCAAAAGCCCAGAGCAGGGGTTCTTCTTGCTCGGGCCTGATGTAATTAAATTATTTTGTACGTCCTTCATTGTGGTCTAATGCATTCAACTATCCAAATTAAATACAATGGTGGGATTTTGTTGTTTGCAGCTTTGACTCTCCCGGATCTTGCAGAGCAGTTTGCCCCTCCTGACATTGCCCCGCCTCTTCTTATCAAGCTCGTGGAAGCCATTGAAAAGAAAGGTAACCAGACTGCTAGAGGGCATCAGTTCCTTTGTTCTACCCTTATTTCATGGCTCTTATTATTTGTCTCTTGTGCATTCATTAAGTAAATTTCCTACTACCAGCTATGTCCAGATACTCTGCTGGACACTCAAACTGTTTGGGGCTAAGTACTGGGAAAAATGTCTCAGTCTATAATTTCTAACTCTAGATTATCATGTAGTTTCCATATGGAAACTATTAAATTCTTCATAATTTAATAAATATGATTAACTTTCTTCTTAGAGGCCAGATGGTTTTGCCAAAATTATCAACATGCCAGGTAAGATTAATAGTAGGAGTTGACTTCCAAGAATATTTGGTACACATCTAGAACAGATACTGGATGGAAACTGGAATGTCTCTGGCAGCAGCCTCACAGGTTCTCCAGAGAGCTGTGTTTTGCATACATGGTCTGTGGTCTGTTTTGTGTCCTAGGTCTGGAATGTTCAACTCTATACAGAACACAGAGCTCCAGCAACCTGGCAGAATTACGACAGCTTCTTGATTGTGGTGAGTGTCACAGAGCTAGAAATGCAAATGGGAAAGACAGGTCTTGGCTTTCTGTTTCAGGTAATGCACACACACAAAATTGAATTTAATCTATGCAGTGTTCTAAATTTAAAGGGAACTCAAATCATGTACAGTTCTCCCTGCCCTGTTATGGTAACAGTGCAAACCTTTGAAATTTTTCTCCTGAGTTGGGCTGCAAGTGTGTGCACGCCTCCCTGCAGGCATGTTGGTCATCATCATAGCCATCAGGCCCTGGGTCCTGCAGAGGAGAGAAACCACCTCTTGGTGTTTCTCTCGCTCTGTGTATCTACCATCTTTCCTTGACCCTGAATTTGGCTACATCTAATTCATCTGAATCAATTAAAAAATATTTTTAAGCCTATGTCACTTAAGAAATGTCTCTTCTGACATCCTTTTTCTTTTATTACCTTTCCCTTCCATTTTCCTTTTCCGTTTCCCTTTCTTTCTGGCTTGCCTTCTTTCTTTTTTTGTGTTGAGTGCATTAAGTAACATCACGATATTGTTATGTTCAGTGGTGTGCTGATAAACCAACTCTCTAGGAAGAAAAAGGCCCTGGTTTGTAGCATCTGCCCATTTTTGTGGCATGAATATTCCCACCGGGGCTTATTTCAAGCTAACCAACATGATGTCACTGGATGTGGAATTGGGAAGAATTGAGGACAGTTTGTTAAATAACACTAATTAATTTAGCCAAGAGGGCTTTAGTACCCCAAACACCCACTCCCTCCTTTGGCATAGATGAAAAACTACAAATCAATTTACTTGCCAGCATTCCAGCAAGTCATCTTCTTATAAATCTTTCAAGATCCTTCATTCCCTCATAACGCTTAAAAAAATTATATACTGCCTCACATCATTTTAACTGAAATTAGGTGTTTAAGCCAAAAAGAGTGAAACTCAGTTTTGGACTCCGTCAGAGGTATAATTGTACAAAGAATGCCCACATGACAGTAAATGAGAATTTGAAGCATGAGGCAGTTTCAAAATGAGGCAACTTCTGAGACTTTTAGAAAAGAGGTTTTTTTGGAGAAAAGGAGGAGACTAGACCTTTATCAGTATCAGTAAATTCTTACACTTGAAATGTTCTGACCAGATGTTTCAAAAGTTAAAAAAATGTTTAACTCCATTTTTCCTTTGTACATGGAAATCAGTTGCATGCGAACAGAGCATATCCTCTTTGCTGCTCTGCCTCCTGCACTTCCCACAGAGCAGGTCATTAGAAGTTAACATGCAGAACACTCAAGGTGAAAAGGCTTGTTTTTCGGTGTTTCTGACAGCTTTATCAGGGCTTTAAGGAAACGCTGAATTTTGTCCTTAGCCAATTGAAATGAAGACACATGTTTGGGTCAGAAAATTGGTCAAATTATGAACACGTTTAGTCACAGGAAGAGTTTAGACATCAGAGCCCGATGAAGTGGAAGTTATTTGAGAAATAGTGGTTAGGTTTATAATGTGATCAACACAAAATGATGCAGTTTAGTTATTTAAAAAAAAAAAAAAACTCTTCACACCACTCGTGAGATAGAGTCAACAACCAAGATTCACGTCAATGGTACATTTTGACCAACAGGTTTCCTTCCCCAGTGAGATCAAAACACATAGAAAACTGGTTTCATTTGGAGTCTGTGCTAAAAAAAAGTGAAATTTGTGCCCCACCCCAAAAAATATAAATAAATAAATGATGTCCAAACTTGGGAGTGGATCTGCCAGATCTGTTTCCAACTCAAAGATTTTTCAATACATAAAAACATTGTATAATATCCTGGAGGAAGCTCCAAAATAGTCACTTACACCTAAAAAAAAAAATTATGGCTTTTAACTAACCTTGTGAATTACCAGTCTTTGAAAAGGACAGACATGGCAGACAATAGCCCACTTTTATTAGCACCTGTTATGCTAGTTCATCCATACATTAACTTTGTGATGTATGTCCTAGTAACTTTAACTCACCAGAAAAGAAAGCTGACCCTCAGGTAAATAATTTCTTTCACATTTTTCAGTGCCTTAGTGGCTAATTTTTCTGACTCCAAAAGTCCTTGATTTTTTTCTCTTTTTTAATTTTGCCCTAAAATGAATTGTTTCTTTGTCTCATGCAAGTTTTAATGATTCAGATTTTCACCTGACAGTTTTTGGTTTCATTTAACCTAATTCAGGCTTTCTTAGCCTTGGTACTATTGACATTTTAGGCTGGATAATTCTTTGCTGGAAGAGTGGGAGCTTGTCCCGTGCATTGTGGGAAGCTTAGCCACATCCCTAACCTCTACCCATGAGGTGCCAGCAGCATTCTCCCCCAGTTGTGACAATCAGAAATGTCTCCAGACATTGCCAGATGGCTCATGGCAGAGGGCAGGATCCCACTCCCACTGGGAACCACTAACCTAGGGAGAGACCTAAGGAAGAGGAGACTCCATTCCAGGGGGAGGGAGGGAGGAGTGAAGGGTTGGAGAGTTTACTGGGTACCTGTCATGAGTAGACTCAGTGAAAAGTGAGGTAGGAGAGAATGCAAACACCTCCAACCCAGACCTAAAGATTATGTAGCTCTTCAAAAGTCATCGCATGACAGGTAGGAATAGCTAATGGAAGAGCACGTTAGGCCAGTTTCAATGCAGAAAAGGATTCTTAGAGAGCAGAAGTCAGATAAATAGAACAGACTTTGTCACTAGCTCTAGTAGAATTTGACATAAGGTAAGGTTACCCAAAGACCTGCATAGGATAATTTTATTCATATACTATGAAAGTTCTTTTGATATACCTCATGTGTTGGAAAAGGGCTTTGATGAATTAACTTCACTTGTGGATTGAGCCTTCTAGTTCAATCCACAAACATTTAACACGTTGTATGTGCTGGACACTGAGGGATGCCAGAAGAGCAGGTGACAGCCACAGTCCCTGCCCTTGACGTACCTCGGTCTAGTAGGGAAACACATAATCCCACACTATGATTATACTCCTTGGGAAGTGTCTTGTTAGAGGGGTGGCTCATTAGCACTGCAGAAGCACAGAGGGAAACCCTGCCTGAGGGAGGGATGTGTGCATATTTATTATCTTAACGTTTATACTGCATCACCAAATGTTTTATCACATATTTTAGGATAAGCAAATTCGGTAATATTAATTTTCCGGGCAGAGAGACATTAGATGAAACATGCGGGGCAAAGTGTATGGGAAACCAGAAGCACGGCCAAGAGTGGTGACCATAGAGAATTCCTATAGCAGCACACACACAATTTTATTTGACAGTATTTAATTATGCTCACAATTGCATTACCTTCAACGTAGATCCTTTATGCAGAGGATCTACTACAGTGGTATTGCCCCTCCCACACTTGTTAAACATGTGATATGTCTCTGGTTGGTTGTTTGTAGGACATTTAAGTGATTTAACACTTCGCCTCTTCACCTTTTAAATTTAATAATTCTTTTCCTCAAGTTGACCTATCCATATCCTATTCCAGACCTACTTTTCTTAGAGCTGTGTGGTTGTGTGACTCACTTTCGGAACGTCGGCCTACCTAGTGGGGCAAGTTTGGTTTATGATGATATGTCCAAGGAATTTTTGTAGTCTTAGGCTCAACCTAGAATGATTTGTACTGTCATATTCCATTCAAGGTTATCTAGGATACTACCTTCTCCCACTCATTTATACTCAAACACTTTGCAGTAAACTTTCATACTTCCTCATTCTCTCCTAGGCCACAGCCCAATGCAGTCAATCACCGAGTTATATGAGGTCTCGATAATATTTTGTACATTTCTAACTGCATTAGAATTCAGACCCCCATCACCTTGATTCAGAGAACTAAATCTGGTAGTTTTACTTCTAGCAGCACTCCCTTCCAATTTATTCTTAACACTGTCATTAGTAAAGCTGTTACAAACGTAGTATCTTGCCCATCAGCCCACCTTTGCTCCACTGAGTACACAAGTCCCCAGATTACTTTCCTCAAGTTATCCTTCGCATTGCTAGTGTACATCCTTCAGCAGCAGCCAAAGTCCTCTCCTTTTCTAGAGGCCCATGGTCACCCCTGCCCCCAGATCTTTGTTTCTAGCATCCCTTTCTTCTGCTGGGCATTGTGTCTTTTTCCAACCCAAGTACTTAGAGTGCCATGCGTAGTGAGTGCCTGGAGGGTGGTATTGATTAGTTTTACCCCCATTATTGGATTGCTTGACCTGTTTCCCAGCTGAGGGATTTACTGGACAGGTATGCTCATCTTATTTTCTGAGATTGTCTGATATCCACAGGTTAGATTAGTAATACTCAGACAGAATTAGGGAGAAACATTCTAAAAATGTTCAAATTATTTTCATGGATATTCTTGAGATTGGTTGCTAAAAGTCTGTAGTATCTTACTGTTGAATCCATCACTCTGTTGGTGACATTTACATGAATTCTGAGACATATCAACTCAAGTCTTAGGAAATCTGGGAATATGCATTTTTAAATTTTTCCTGTTGAGGTTTTAGGAAACATTTACTATATGACTAACCATTCCTAGTTAGAACCCTTTTCAGTCAGGGCAGAACCACCCTCAGAGGATGTTAGGAAATGTTTGGGTTCTGTATTCGTTTGCTCAGGCAGTTATAACAAGTTACCACAGACTGCGTGGCTTAAAACGCAGAAACTTGGCCAGGCACAGTGGCTCACACCTGTAATCCCAGCACTTTGGGAGGCTGAGGCGGGTGGATCACGAGGTCAGGAGTTTGAGACCAGCCTGACCAACATGATGAAACCCTGTCTCTACTAAAAATACAAAAATTAGCCAGGCGTGGTGGTACACACCTGTAATCCCACCTACTCAGGAGGCTGAGGCAGGAGAATCGCTTGAACCCGGGAGGTGAAGGTTGCAGTGAGCCGAGATCACACCAGAGATGCACTCCAGCCTTGGCTACAGAGTGAGACTCCATCTCAAAAAGCAGAAACTTACTTCTCGTGGTTCTGGAGGCTAGAAGTCCGAGAAAAAAGCATGTTTGGTTTCCCCTGAGGCTTCTGTCCTTGGCTTGTAGATGGTCACCTGCTCACTGCATCCTCACAGCGTTTCTCCTCTGTGCCTGTGCATCCCTAGTGTGTCTCTCTCTGTGTCCTCATTTCCCCTCCTAGAAGGATATCAGTTACATTGGATTAGAGTCCACTCTAATGGCCTCATTTTAACTTACATGCAGTCACTTTCTGAGGCATTAGGAGTTTGGGCTTAGAGGGGTGGGACAGAGGATGGGGTAGGTAACCACTGAAGATGCAGCCCAATTCAGCCCATAACAAAGGCATTATTTTTTGTTGCCCCAAAGTGTGGAGGTCTGCTACTGGCATCATGGGCAGGGGGTCAGGCATCCTAAGTGCTTGCAATATGTCAGAGAGACCTCCACAGGAAAAATTGTTCTACCCCAAATGCCCGGAGCAACCCCTACAAGAAGTACGGCTAACGAATACTTTGTGTCTTGTATTTATCCTCATATTGCTTCCTTATTTTTTTTTTTTTTTGTCACATGTGAGTCAAATTGTTCAGAAAATTAGCCCAACTGATGTATTCTATAAAATAAATGTCTGAAATATTTCTTAAATTGTTTCCTAGATACACCCTCCGTGGACTTGGAAATGATCGATGTGCACGTTTTGGCTGACGCTTTCAAACGCTATCTCCTGGACTTACCAAATCCTGTCATTCCAGCAGCCGTTTACAGTGAAATGATTTCTTTAGCTCCAGGTTTGTTTTTTCTCTTCTGGGAACCTCATTGAACATACATGGAGATGTAGAGGTGCTTGTATATGTCTTGCATATATAGAAATAGTGGTTAGAAAATAGTAGTAATAACCTGTCCCTCCCCCAACAATACCACCTCAAATTTCCTCCTCCACCCAAGCATCCAAGAGAAGACCCAGATTCTCATTTGCTTGGGAAGCCCGTCTGCATGTCAGAATCAGAAATGGCTCATTGTTAACCTATTGGTCTTAACAAAGTTTGTACGTCAATGAAGGACACGGTCTTCCAAGTACTAGTGTCAGATTCAAGGAACTGGGACTAGAATCCAGTGATGGGGGATGTTCTTGTCATCTTTCCTGAGTGGCCATAACAGAATGTGTTGAGGGAAGATGGCTCTCAGTTTTAGGAGATAAGGTTCAGTTAAGTGCTTTGGGGACAGGAAACTGGTTCGTAACCTTCAAAGTTAAAACCTGTGATACTTATCTGATGCTCCTCTGAGTTAGCCAATCACACTTGAAGCTGCTCAATACTGGGTAAGTTGCTGCCAGCACACCCTGAACAGCTTGTGGTTTCTTTACACACTGAGCTTTTTGCATTTCCATTTGACCTGAGATTTCTACTTTCTCATAATGCGTTTTCTAATGAGAAGGACAAATGTACTGTGTGCTTCTCCCAACAACTTTTTAAATGACTCCTATAGCTTGAAGAAAGAGCAGAACTTTTCTAGGTGTTTATTCACTGATACCTGGAAGTAGTCGCTTACTCATTTCTCTTTTTTTTTTTTTTTAAACTTGTAGAAGTACAAAGCTCCGAAGAATATATTCAGCTATTGAAGAAGCTTATTAGGTCGCCTAGCATACCTCATCAGTATTGGCTTACGCTTCAGTATTTGTTAAAACATTTCTTCAAGCTCTCTCAAACCTCCAGCAAAAATCTGTTGAATGCAAGAGTACTCTCTGAAATTTTCAGCCCTATGCTTTTCAGATTCTCAGCAGCCAGGTAAGTGAAAGGAGACAAACATGTATTTTGGGGTGATGAGGGTAGTCCTAAATGGATTGGTCATGAAAATGTATTCTGAATATACTACTCCAGAGATGCATGTGCAGATGCTATCACACACATTCACTTGAGTGTATATAAATGAAAATGAGTTTGCTTTTAGGGAAAAGGTTTCTAATAAACTCTCTTTCTTACAGCTCTGATAATACTGAAAACCTCATAAAAGTTATAGAAATTTTAATCTCAACTGAATGGAATGAACGACAGCCTGCACCAGGTAATGCTTTTTGAGCATTTAACATTCTCTCATTGTTCATTTTTTAGAGCCTTAAAAAATGATGGCTATAAACCTCCTTTGAAGTAACACAGCTTCTTATGGAATTACAGTTGGTAGTAATATGTTACCTTGTGATTTAAAGAAAAAATAGCTGAGTGGTAGTGTATATGTTAATTATTATCCGAGTTTCAACATTTGTGGATTTTAAATTATCTTGGTTTTAGGTGAGAGTTTGGAGAGTTCCCTGTACCCTTCAACATTTATGCTTCAGGTTGTTGAAGAGATTTATGGAGTTCATTTTAGTTGTTGACATTTTTGTTTTTCTTTCTAATACTTACAAAGTAGGGGATTTATAATTACTATATAATTTAAAGTATTTTAGAATGTGTTTTTTGGAAGTGGGTATGCTGAGAAATGCCTGTCAAAATAAACATTTTCAATAATGCAAGCAGTATGAAACCAGTGTTCCCTGCAGCAAGTTCGAGCAAGCCAGACACTTCTTTGAAAGCAGGCTGCTGTTCAGTTAGCCATTTAACAAAGCAGGAAATGTAGACCATGTTAGCAATGCATTTAATTTAAACTGATGTATTTTTCTTCTACCGTGGAAAGTCTAAACAACCTCATTTTGCTATATACCAGTTAAAAGTTAGCTAATCGACACTGGTCATTTAGAATAGTAATTAGGGTACTATACGTGTGAAGTTTCAGGACCAGTAAAAGGTGTTGCTTGTAGTCTTAATTTATGCCTGGAACTTAAAATGAAACTCCATGAATATATTTATTATAGGTAATATATGCAGATTACCATATTTATCTCTGTATGAGCAGGCATGGGGACTCAGTTTCATCTTCATGCAATGGAGAGTTAAGTTGTGCTTTTTCTTAATTGGGTATTGCACAGCCAGGCTTGGTTACTTGCATCTGGATGGGGCAGCCTAAGAGAGGCCAGGGCCTAGACTCAAAACCCACCTGCAGCAGGTAGGATAGAGGATAGGGTAGGTAAACACTGAAGATGCGGGTATTGGGAAAGGTTTATGTGGACAGGCCCAAAATGTACCAAAGGTGAGAGAGAGGTATCCGGTATAGTAGATAAGGCAAGCATGGGATGTTCCAAATCACAGCAAGCAGAATGTTTTAACAGGGGTGCCCAGAATTCTAGGTAAACTACGTCAAAGAAGACTGTCAACAGGTAGGGACTAGGACTTCAGTCCAGGGGTTGGCCAAAAGGCTTCATCTCGTGTGAGTACACAGGTCACTGTGAATGGATTTGGGAGCTCTGTGCTGGTGTTCAGAGGCTGCCTTTGGACTTAGTGGAAAAGAATTGGGGTAGGGGTGTGGCACATGGCACTTAAGTTGAGGTTTATGTTAGAGACTAGGTAGAGCTGGACCCTGCTCTCAGTGAAGGGCTAGTGGGTAGTCCTGATCTTTTCAGTGGCCACTCCTCTAGAGAGAGGAGACACATGGAAGCCAAAGCCAGACAGGGTTTGACAGATACCCACAAATGAATTTATCACATGGAATTTTGGAGAATTTCTACTACACAAGGTATAGCAGAATCAGTGGTAGAGTTTGATTAGCCTGACTGGTGTAAACTAGTTAAACGCCTTTGTTAGTTTCATCCTAATTCCACCAAAGTAAAAACGGGTATCTGCACTATTTTCATAATGCCACCCGGAAAGCTGTTTGATATGTCAAAGGACCCTACATTTCTCTGCTGAGCAATTGGTGCGCCTGTTTCAAAGGAGGATTAGTTCCATCAGCTCTGCTAAAGGATGACAAAGCCTTGAACATTTGCTAGATCATCCCAGTATTTATGTGGCCTCTTAAAAAAAATTAAATCCAAGTCGGTTTTAAACTCTAGTTTGAGCCGTTTTCCCAGGAAGTTTGTGTGATTTGTATAGGACCTTTGGAATTAAATGGCTGTTTTAGTGTCTCTCATGTGTGCATACATTGTACTGCCCACTCCAGGAACAAAACGTCCCCATCCAGAACATCTTCGTATTCAGGAATGGCTCCAGTGCAAATGACTGCTATGGCAGCCTGGGTTGAAGAAATGATTCTTAGGCCTGGTTTAAAAAATGCAATAATTTCTTAGAGTCCTTCAGCATTGCCACAGCATGTGCTAGTACCAGACAGAACTTTGAAAGCACAGCACCTTACATCTCCAGCGAATGGCCATTTACAGTAACATTGTTGTGAACACAAATGAGTACCTGAATGATGTTTAAGGGAGACAAAAGCAAGACTCTGTTATAGGGCAGATAGACAGCATTTCTAATTATTACCAGATAGAACTTGAAATGACAAAGCTTATGATGTTTGAGGCAAAGTATCAGTTCAAATAAGAGCCATTAGCACATAGTATCTAATTAAATGCTAGGTGGGAGTACACATACTCTAAGTACAAAAAGAACTTTAGAAATGCAGCTGGTGACTTTCTAGGGTAATGGAGTAGACAGAAAAGGCTCATAGAAGAAATAGGGCTTGAAATGTGCCTTGAAGAATAGGTACAATTTGAATAGGCAAAGGAGAAATAGCATTTTGATGCATGGAGTTTAAAGACTTATTCAAAATAAATTACACAGTACAAAATAATGGCTTGGTATTTTACAAAAGCAGTACATATTTTAAGTGATAGTATCACAAAAAACATCATTTTAGAGTTGAAAGCATTGTCCAGCTTTACCAATTTGGACATGAGGAAACCGAGGCCCACAGATAGAGGTTCGCTCTGTGCTACCCGGCCAGTATGGGCCCAAACCGGGTCTGCCCAGGAGCCGCCTCCTACACTCCAGCCCATTCTATCTGCCATGCCCTGCTGCCTGGATTTTTGGAAACTTCGTGAGCAATGAGGCTGCTTTTAGTGTCCAATCAAAAACTCCTCTGAAGTTTCCAGCATGTAATAAACTAAAAATATGTGAAATTAGCCCCCATGGGTCACATATAGTAAACAAAGTCAGGGCAATGTTTATACTTTTCAGGATAAGGCTCCAAATCACTCCATGAGCTGTGCAGTGGAAAAAAAAGTGGGCTTCTGACTCAAATAGATCTGGATTGGAATCTCAACTCTCTCGAGTAACTCAGCTTTTCCAAATTGTTTTCCAGACTGTGGAATTGGGTTAATGCCTCTCTCCTGGGGTTGGTATGAGATTTAATGAACTGATAATTTCTCTGCTATCTATCGCATCAACTCTAGCTTTTGAGGCCTTATGGGAGCTGTCCTCATTCAGCAGGTCTGATTCCTTCAGTCCACCCATTCCTCATTAGTTGTGTGAATCCTGTCAGGCCTTTTTCCTTACTGACGCCATGTTCCCAGCCAGCAGAGCTACGGCCTCTAGGAGCCTGTAGGGGCTAAAAGGGACACTTGGGAAGTTGCCACCCTGATGTGGGTACATTGCTTGGAGGGAGAAAGGTGCCTTTGTATGAATATGTGGCTTGGTGAATGGAGCAGCCTAGATTTCATCACCACTCCTCCATCTTGCCTAGGTGCCTTTGCACAGTGCACAAAATATGCAACCATACGTCGCTGCCCCAAGCAGTGCCATCCACTTTATCTGCACTCAAGTAGGTCCTTCCCGTTTTATATGCAAGTTAAGTCGACCCATTCAGTATGTTTATGCCTTTAAGCTTCCTGTCACCTTATGTTTAACTGTCTATAGTTTTTCCTATTCATCTGCTTAATTACATTTCTAAAGGGTAGGGGTAAAGGCTTTTTCTCCTTTTGAGCTCTTCCTAGCAGAGAACTAGGTACAGCATAATAATTATCTAAATTTTTCTTTGATAAACTTCCAACTTTCAAAGAATAGTAATACATCAACACATCTAATACATCCAGCAATCCTGGGAAATAAGGATTCTCCTCATTTACAGAGGGAAGCTAAGATTTGGAAAAGGTAGGGCACAGAGTAAGCTCTCTAGACTTTGTTGATAGTTTGCTGTTCTATTTTGTTACTAAAAAGTCTTAACTTGTCGTTTGGCTTTCAATATTTTTTTCTTGAATCATTGTGTTATCTTTACCCAATTAATGCT
This sequence comes from Homo sapiens, assembly GCF_000001405.40. NCBI lineage: Eukaryota > Metazoa > Chordata > Mammalia > Primates > Hominidae > Homo > Homo sapiens. The sequence continues at coordinate 68,285,036 of NC_000005.10, forward strand.
TAGGCAGGTAAAGTAGATTTCTGTAGGCAAACCAAGGTAAAAATAAGTCTATTTAACACAGGGTGCCTTTGAATGAAACCCATTATAAGTGTATTTACATATTTCAGATTTCATGGATATATTCAGAAATATTAATGTAATATAATTGAAGTCTAATATTGCACCCTCAAGCCCAGAGTGGAAAATAAATGACTCTTTCTACCCCTTGCCCTTCTACACCTGTCAAAGTTAATTTTTAACCACTGGCACATTGCAAAACATTCATCCTGAAGAGCCTGATTCATAAATCTTGTTTTAAATGCTCTGGGCTTGGTTCTCAACCCAGACTAAAGGCAAGCACTAAGGTAGAGGGAAATGACATTCAAAGAGTTTTACTTGTCTCTGATTTAATTTTTATTGGTTTAAAATGTGGTCTGACATTAGAGGGTTGCTTCAAAGGTGAAAAATGAAACTTTGAAAAATTACATGTTTGTAGATGCGTAGAACTAAACGGGCAAGCCACACTAGGTTTTGTCAAACAATAGTTTTATTTGTGTCCTGAGAGACACAGGTATTTTGGTATGTATGTGTTTAGGAGGGGTATATAGTCAGTTTTACTTTTGTTTTCACAGTGCAGATGTCTCTTTGTCTCAAGGGACAAAGATCTGAGGGAGAATTGCAGGGGGGACTACTTTATTCTGCTAAGCAGTGGGGATGCCTTTATCAGAAACCTGGTAGAATGTGTCAGAGTTTATACATACGTAAACCTGGGCTTATTTATATACTTAAATGGATGTTTTCCTTAGCATAATGTCAGTTAAGACCAGTGGATATGGAGCAAATAATTTGAATTACCCTAAAAGGCCCTCTGTTCTAAGTTGTCTTAAGTTAAAATTATGAAGAGAGGTATTCATTTTACCCTTAGATGAAGATTTTGGTTAATTTTTGTTGTCTATTCTTTTTTTCATGGTCTTTGTTCATAAATGATGTCCAGAAAAAGAAGAAGTTTTCTAGGTTGAAAGCTGCTTGTGCAACATTTGCCACTTGATGGTGACTTGTACATATGAAATATAGTATTCAGTTTGTAACTTTTGAACAGTTTAAGGATCAAGAGACATTTTCCTAACTATATCTGCTGAGAAGTGAAACAATGGGCTGTATTTGCCTCTGAAATGAGTTTTACGAAACTTTGAGGAAAGGGAGAATGATACATATTGTTTTAAAGAATCCAGAAGGTAAAGTTAGTTTTCCAGTGTGTCTAGGCCTTTGAGGTCCCAGAGAAATGCTGACATTAAAATAAAAGTTTTCCTACAACACTAGCAGCTTCGTGAAAACTGTACTTTTGATTTACTAATTAGTGAGTCATATAGATCAAGTGACAGTAATACAATTATGTACATTAGTTGGTGTCAAATTTGGACATACGAAATATACAGAAAGTTGATGGTTTTCTCCCAAAGCAGGAATTACTGATTCAGTTCTACCAGCAGAGGGCTCCCTTTTTTAAGCTAATAAAGAACATGTGTCTTGCAGATCACTTTTTAAACACTAAAATTCAACGGGAAAAAGATTCAGCTCACACTTTCCTAATATAATAGGACCTCTTTGGTAGATGATTGTACATATTGTGAGAAATTTGTTTAAGGCAAAGTTTTTCCAATCTATTTCAAGACTTTCTATACGTTGAGAGAGTACTGCTTTCCAGTGGCTTATTTTCTTCTGAAACAGAAAATATACTGGTGGACTTAACAGAGCATTTTAATCTTAGAAGGTTTTGACATGAAACATCATGTGAATCCAGACAGGTATGCTTAGGAGACTGATGTTTCCAATGTTTCTAGCTTTAGAAAGGCTATTTTTAAAAGTAGGGCAAGATTATGCAGCTCAGGATGCAAGGGTATTCTCTGAACTAACCATATGTCCCTATGATCAGATGGCAGATTCACTTATAGACTGTTATTTCCATTGGGAAAGTTTTTCAATATTATATCAGTTGCACTAAAGGAAAGTTTGTAAAATCACTTTCATTGTGGGTTTAACAGCACTTTCCAGATATTTCAAGTAACCCTGAAGCTAGTTGCTGCTGTTGGCCTGTGTGGACTTTATGTGACCACTGGATCACTTTCCCATGCAGAGTATGAGGGTATTATTGAAAGAACCTATGTCTTCAAAGGGAATGAAATGTTTTGTTTTAATTTAAGCAAGCTAAAAATAGAAAACAGAAAAAACCAGAGTTTTGTTAGGGGTGTGAAATTTTTTGCATGTGGCTTAAAAGATTAACTTCAGTTTTGTCCATTTTTTTTTACGTTCTCTAGCAAAGGGAAGTGAGGAGCAGGGACAATGGGTAGAGAAGGGCATTTGAAACCATCAGAAGATTGGGTTCTAGTCTTAGGGCTATAATCTTCTGTAAACCACTTCACCTCCCTGGGTCAGATTTCGTTTTCCCCTCTATGGCATGCAGGAATTGATTGAAGTGAACTCTAAATTACTTTCTGGTGTAAAGTTTGGTGATTTCCCTGGATAACCTTAAAGCTATCTATGCTCATGCAACTGAAAATTTTCTTAGATCAAATTTTAATTAAATAGTAGTCAGTAATCCCAAGTCTGGTCCATTGCCACTTTCTCAAATAAAGGGCAAACATCCGCTTAGAAAGGTATGCCCTTCTCTGCCCTTCTATCCTTTACCCCATTAGCTGGCACATAAACCTAATGCAGAGACACCTTTTAATTAGCAGGTCATATGGCCATTTAAATGCGAGTTGCAATCGACCTCATAAAAATAGCCGCAGTGTTGTTTTATTCTGAATCGTCACATGATCATGGAGTATAGTATGCATATGGTGTGGGGTTTAATATTCGTCCGAGGATGCCCTCCTACTACTTACTATTGAACATTTTTGTAATCTCCTCCCTGCCCGAGTTGCTCACAAGGGCTTTCCTGTTACACCTGCAGGGCTGTCTGTGCTGGTGTGTGGGAGGAGGTGCAAGAGGTGGACACGAGCGAGGCGCTGTGTTCTGGGTTGTTCCAAGAGGTTCAGGCCTTTACAAGTGAGGCTTTGATTCTATTTTTTGCTGAACTAGCTCAGCCACTTCCTGTGTTTGGCTGTGCATAGTGCCTCGCTTCACTGTCGGCTACTTGAGCCCCGCGAGCCAGCCAGCGCGCTCAGCAGCCAGTGAGACTATTTTAGGTCCCCTCACAATGGCCTTCTCATTTCCCAGGCGAAAATGAGCAAGTTGGTCTTGCATTGGCCACTTGTCAGCCGATGACAACTTTGACTTGGGCTCCCCTCCCCCTCCCGAAATCCCTAGCTCAGCAAATATTTGAACCTGCCCAAGTTAATCATGAAGCTGCGATCTTTATCTAAGGGAGACGTGCGAGCGCCTGGGCTCCTTTCCTCCCCGATACAGTAGCGAAATCCAGTTGGCTTCTCAATGAGGAGCCGGCAGTGAGCGGCGGTGGCCCGGACGCACTGCCGGGCGGGGCGTGGGGCGGAGGGACGAGCCGAGCCGAGCCAAGCGGAGCTGGGCCACTGTGCACGCCCGGAGGGTCCTGGCGGCGCCCCCGCTCCTGCGCGCACTCTCGGCGCCGGACACGAGCACTGCCTGCCGGGAACAGGCTGGGGGGAGGTGCGGGGGCTTGGCCCACTTGGTGGAAGAACAGCTTTGGGGATTTTTTTTTTTTCATTGTCGGATACAGGCATTTCAAAGGGAAACCGTTGAAATGCATAACCTGCAAAGTAAGTTGCCTTGAATTTGTGCACTTCTCTGTTCCTTATCTGAGCGGTGCCTTTCTGTAGTTTGTCTTGGAGTACGTGTGTGTGCGTGCGCCCCTGTAAGCGCTGCCTGGGGAGGACAGATGGGAGATTAGGGGAGACACTCCCCCTGTCCTCGAGGGGGACAGTGGCTGGGAAAGATAGGGTTTAGGTTGGAATTTCAGTAAGAAGGTACTAATTACAACGTGCTTGGTTGGAAGTTGGTGCCAGGCCAGGGCTTGGAGAGACCATGGGAAAATCACCTGTCTCCCTGCCTTCTCCCTGAGTTAGTTTGCCACAGAAGATCCAACAGCCAGACTGGTTTGCACCGACGGTTCCCAAATGCATGGACTGGCACTCTGGGCTGTTACACCCGCCACAGCTGCTCGGAGAACTTGTCTCCTTGCTTCGGGGGAGGGTCGACATTTTAATTAAACTAAAAAAGAATGTTTTTCTGAATCTTAGGGCATACAGCCACTTTTACCATTTTTATTTGAATTTGAGTTCAGGTAAACTTAGGCAAATAGAAAAGTGGGAGAGGGTGGGAAGAGACAAGGTGAGCCTGCTTTTCCCAATACTGGGAAAATGAATTAAACTAGACGGGGGACGTCAGAGAACAGAATGCCTTGCCTTTGGTCTGCTTTTTAATATATTTTATGATCCCAAATTTTACAGAAAGTCTCAAGGGTTTCTGTGTTTTTTAAATGGTCAAATATGTGACATACATGTGTACATAGATCACAGAGCCCCACTGTAGTTTTTTAAATGAGCCACATTTACCTTGGGGAAGAGCCCCTCCCCCCCCGCCATCATAATATTGTGAATGTAAAGAGAGATTGGTTCACAATGAGAATGTACAGTAGGCTCCTATAAGGGTGACAGGATTATATGCAGAATGACTTTGAAGAGCCAAAATTGATTTATTTATGTTAAGTAGTGCTAAGAAGGAATATTTGTCCCGGAGTGAGGCATTTGAGATAGAGGGGGAAAAGCAAAAAAAAAAAAAAAAAAAAAAAAAAAGTGATTACATCATCTTCCCGTTCAAGCAGTATTAGTAGCGAAGATGGGTTCATCAGTGAAATATTTTGCAAAGATAAATATACCTCCACTCTGCATTCTGATCTATAGCCTCTTTCTTTTTGGAAGAAGCATTTTCTTTGCCCAGTTTTTTTAGGCAGTCACATTAAAATTCTCATTAATAATGTTGACAGACAATTACGTTTATTATTTCTGCTAATAGGCATCTGCATTCCTATTCAGAATTTTCATTGTTAGTCTATAAAGTCTAGTTTTAACTTTGGAATGTTTGGTAGAGGAGGACATCTATACATTTTCTTTTAACTGTCCTTTCTAATGTGGTACATTTGTGACAGTGTTTGAATTCTGGGTTTTCAGTGAATTATGGAGGACTAAAATACCAGGAGTAGTCCGTACTGCTTCTCTTATACATGAGAGATATCTAAGGACTATAAAACATAACTTAAGTATACCCTTTTAATGCCTTTGTAAGATTTTTAAACCAAGGAATGACTGGGCTATCTATAAACCCAGATGCACTAAGTGGGGAGAAAAGCTCGGAGCTGCAGCATATCAGCTTTTGTCAACCTGCCAACAGCAGAGCGTACCATGCTGCAAGGAGTAATAAACAAGGAATTAGAAAACTCGCTGCTGGAGAACAGTCAAATTAAACACCTTTTTGAAAGGATGAGCATGTATATATTGCAGTTCTATTAAATGTAGCTTCTTAGTGAGGTTGGCATTATGTTAAGGCTGGTATGGAAGAGAACTGATGAAGCAGGAGTGGTCTGGTGACATTTTTCTGACTTGATTGGCTGGGGCGTGTGATGTAATAGGTTTCAGTGCAGCCCCTTATAGGTTTTAAAATGAATTCCAAGACACCATTACAAAGAAAGCCGGACTCTTTTCTTATAACTGAGCTCAGCCAAGGAAACTCTTGCACAAATGTACAATACTGTTTGGAATATGGAAGACCTGGATTTAGAATATGCCAAGACAGATATAAATTGTGGCACAGACTTGATGTTTTATATAGAAATGGACCCACCAGGTAATACTGCAGTATTATTGTAGAGAGTTAGTTAATTTCGTGGCTTTTTAATTTTTCGAAAGCTACTGTAAAAGATCCTTTTTGGATTTCTGTTTTTATTAATTTGTTTCATTGATAAAAATTAGTTTGCTCATGGCTTAAAAATTAAACAGATTGTTTGACTGTCTGTGGAAGCAAGCAGCTCAGGCTGTGTGTGGTAAATGCTTATTCTTACTTGAATGGATATGAATTGAACTCCAGTTTTTCACTGGTGTCTTTTGTTAATCGAGATCCTTCCCTGGGTGAGTTATGTTGTGGGATATTGTCCCTGTAATTAAAATGATGCATCTTTTGTGCTGCTTTTCTCTGTTGCCAGTGGATGAGAACAGTGTAGCACTTTGCAGTGATAACACTTGGTACTTTAGAAAGCATGTAAAATGTAGCAGTGATTACAACTCAGTTCTCTAAATGTTGAGACTTTGCTTGCTCTCTCATATTAAGATATTATAATGAAAAAAGAAGTTGACTTTCCATTATTGTTAGTCTTTGTAAAATATTCTTGGTAGATACCTGAAATCATTTTTTGTATAAGTTAAAATAGTAACAGTGCTTTAAAACTTATGACAGAATTTACCTAAAAATCCTAGATTTATTTTGTTTCCTAAGTAAGTTGTTTTATTCCAATGTTAGCTCTCCCCCTGCCCCCATTTAAGGTATTCAGGAATACTGCAGTCTTTTATTTGTCACCAATTGGTATATATGAATACTGATTTGACATTGAGGAAGGGGGATATCATTTTTAATCAGACCTAGTATATAGAGCACAATTTATCCAACAGAATATTAACATATTAAAGAGATTTAGGGCACAGATGAGAGTTTCTTAAAGTGGCTTTTGGCAGAACAGTGCCTGAAATACTAAGATTAGAGAAACCCAATTGCTCCTCTTAAAACATACTGCTGTAGATGAGCCTTTTTATTACTGCAACAGAGTTTGTGGAGGACAGAGACCAAATTTGTCTTTCGTAATTAAATAAGAGGAAATTAAAGCCAACTCATGTTATTCCTGCTACTCATATGTTCATAGTTTCTTACTTTAGATGGATTTGACCAGGCATGAAACTTTAATATAACTAGAATCTAGAAGTACAGAATGTCATGACTCTGGATTTACTTTGAAATTTATTCACATGGCCAGCCCAATTTATTTGTTAGTTTCTAAGGCTCTCTCTCTTTTCTCCTTTTCAGTTTCATTTCTTTTTGAGCCATGCTCTGAAAGATTTTTTTTAAGAAAATTATCTTCCATATTGCATGGAATTGTGAACTAATGCTATATATTTCAGTTACTCTAACTTTTTATTTTTTTAAAGTAAAAGTATTCATCTAAAGAAATTTAGTTCTAATGTAGTTGGGATTGCGAACAACTTTTTCTTTTTCATCTGCAGCACTGCCTCCTAAACCACCAAAACCTACTACTGTAGCCAACAACGGTATGAATAACAATATGTCCTTACAAGATGCTGAATGGTACTGGGGAGATATCTCGAGGTAAGGCTACAGAAACTTCATTTTCAGAGAGTTTTAGATTAAAAGAAAGAAAAGCACCAGCTTGCTAAGTTCCATTTTTAGGATATCATCCAACATAAGCATGAAGCATAGTTGGTTCTCTTCCAAAGACGACCAGAAAAAGTCACTGAGCACTGGAGAACTGTGGGTGCTGGATGCCACAGGAAATTAAATACCCGGGAAGTTTCATTATTGACAGAGATGTCAGTGAAGTGCCAGAGTGAAGTGGCACTGCCTAAGAACAGAGTGTGAAGGCACTCTATCTATTAAGCACAACTCTAAGAATTCTTGCCTTAAACACAATAAGAAAACAATGCCATTTTATGTTAGCTTTGGGAAGGGGGAGTAAGGTTGGAGAAACTCTTTTGAGATCATGAGTTTCTGTGCTCATTTGTCAGAGAGATTGTAATGTTTGGTTGAAAAAATAAAAACTTAGTACCACAGATACACCAATAGTGAAAGTGATATGCACCTGTTTGTGATGAGACTGCAATTGCTAACATTTCTATTTAAACAAATTATTAGCTCTTATTAGTGAGCTCTGAAAATGCAATTCATTAATTTAAATCTATGTGGGCAGGAGGAATATGGGCACTCACTGTACTTTCCACTTGATTTTGCTGTGAACCTAAAACTGCTCTAAAAAATAGCCTATTTTAAAAAATATAAATCTGTGGTCACTAAACCTTAAGATGAGCATTGTTTTGTGTTTTCATTTCAGGGAAGAAGTGAATGAAAAACTTCGAGATACAGCAGACGGGACCTTTTTGGTACGAGATGCGTCTACTAAAATGCATGGTGATTATACTCTTACACTAAGGTAAGCCAGGGAATATAGCTGAAATTAGGGTTTTGGGCTGATATTAAAACATATTTCCTTATTCCAAAATGTTAATACCTTTATTTTTATATTGTTTTTACAGGAAAGGGGGAAATAACAAATTAATCAAAATATTTCATCGAGATGGGAAATATGGCTTCTCTGACCCATTAACCTTCAGTTCTGTGGTTGAATTAATAAACCACTACCGGAATGAATCTCTAGCTCAGTATAATCCCAAATTGGATGTGAAATTACTTTATCCAGTATCCAAATACCAACAGGTAATAAAAACTGAATGAATTATCCAGTTACGATGTTTAGACAAGATCCTTTTAATACTTAGAAAACATTTGAAGCAGATGAATTACATGTAATCAAGTCTAAAAAACTTGACACTCGTAATTACATAATTGCAATTTTAAAGATGTTTCCATGTCAGCTATTTTGTTAAACAATTGTTATTTGATTAAATACCTTATCCATTGAATTTATTTTAATCTTTCTAGGATCAAGTTGTCAAAGAAGATAATATTGAAGCTGTAGGGAAAAAATTACATGAATATAACACTCAGTTTCAAGAAAAAAGTCGAGAATATGATAGATTATATGAAGAATATACCCGCACATCCCAGGTGAGTTTTCTATGAAAATCAGATTAAAAAATAAGAGTTCTAAACTTTTAAAGACTAACATGGAAAAAAGAATTTAAAAGGTTGAGTTTTTACGAATGAGGTGGGGGTGAGAGCATTTATTTGTGAATCATTGTTGATTATTCTAGTGTAATATCTCTAAAGCTTTAAACCAAAAATTTTAAGTATCAGAATAATAAATTAAGTTCACGTGATAACTGAAGCAGTCACTGAGTTTCAAGTTGATTTAATTCGTGATAGAAGGATCCTGTTTAGATTGGAAGTTAGTAATAACTGGAAGTTTCACAGACTTGTCTAATCCCTGAAATGGAGATTTAGGCATTAATATATATCCTACCATGAAAAGGAAGGGCTATATACTGCTGTGCTTTTCTAGACCCTTATTCTTCACTGGTCACTCATGTATCTGGGAATGCCAGAGGGAACAGAAAACAACAGGGATGCTATAAACTACAATAGCTTTTAAGAAGATAAAAACTATAGGAAATTGCTACGCAATCATTTTTCATAGATTGAGAAAATTCTCCAGAGGAAATACTTGTTTCTGGGATACTGTTTTAATGGATTTTATGAATTTGAGTCCCACTCTGCTAATAATACAGATCAAATGTCCTGGTAGTGTCTTGCAGTAAGAGATTGTTCTATGAAAGGTATGACATTATCTTTTTAAAATTATGTTGCAGGAAATCCAAATGAAAAGGACAGCTATTGAAGCATTTAATGAAACCATAAAAATATTTGAAGAACAGTGCCAGACCCAAGAGCGGTACAGCAAAGAATACATAGAAAAGTTTAAACGTGAAGGCAATGAGAAAGAAATACAAAGGTTGGTGTTTCCCTTGTTCTTGTGCTAGAGATAACCAAAATCCTCTAAAACCATTTAAAGATGATCTCGCTTTCTGTGCTTTGAATGATCACGTGGACACAGGAAGGGGAATATCACTCTGGGGACTGTGGTGGGGTGGGGGGAGGAGGGAGGGATAGCATTGGGAGATATACCTAATGCTAGATGACGAGTTAGTGGGTGCGGCGCACCAGCATGGCACATGTATACATATGTAACTAACCTGCACAATGTGCACATGTACCCTAAAACTTAAAGTATAATAAAAATAAAAAAATAAAATAAAATAAAATATGTTGAGCCACTCCAAAAAAAAAAAAAAATGACAGGAAGAGAAGCCACGCTTTACCTAAGGAAAACTGCTGGGAAACCATAGTGAAACTTTTCATAAACTTTGGGGACCGTTCCTGATGTACCCAGATAATAACAAATACGTTTCTTTTGCCTGCAGGATTATGCATAATTATGATAAGTTGAAGTCTCGAATCAGTGAAATTATTGACAGTAGAAGAAGATTGGAAGAAGACTTGAAGAAGCAGGCAGCTGAGTATCGAGAAATTGACAAACGTATGAACAGCATTAAACCAGACCTTATCCAGCTGAGAAAGACGAGAGACCAATACTTGATGTAAGTATTTGAAATGGAATCCTATACATGAATAATTGGTGATTGCTACAATTCAGGATGAGTTAATGCGTTCTCTTTTCAAAACTGTTTTTCAGGTGGTTGACTCAAAAAGGTGTTCGGCAAAAGAAGTTGAACGAGTGGTTGGGCAATGAAAACACTGAAGAGTAAGTAGTTACTAAAGATGGTGATAGCAGAAGATTTTTCTCATTTTAGGAAAATGCATGACTTGCTTTGTTTTTAGAACAAGTGAGGAATTTTACTGAGTTTGGAACATCTTGTAGGAGAAAATGTATAAACTCAGTGCCATTATCCAGAATTTTAAAAAAAGAAAGCTTAGCTAAGGAGGACTAGGATTTATTTTTACTCATAATGCTGTGAAACAACTCTCTGTGTCCATAATGATGTCCCTGAACATCTGAAAAATCCCAAAATATTTTTGGAACAGTCAGAGAAAAAATAATTATGCTTAATATATTTTAAAGCTTAAGTATATACTTTGTTTGAATTAGTCAAAAACTGGCAATCTGCCTAGTCAATTTCCTGATCTAAACTGGATAAACGAGATTGTTTTAATACCTTCCACTCTGCCCAGGTACCTGAGTGTGGTTGCTTGAAAACAGAAATAGTACAGTTGATTGGTAACTCTTTGTCCTGGGAGGTTGCACTGGAGGCTGAATACCAGGAGAGGAAAACTCAGGTCGGGCAGAGGCAGGCATGTGATGGCCAGTCTGACTGGCTTGGTAGGGGCCAGGAGGGAAGTGACGGGGGTATGCCTAGGGAAGACAGCAAGGCAGGCTGATGGCTCCTGCACTCTTCATTTAGAAACTTTCTGTCCTGCCTGCCTAGCCAATATTCACTGGTGGAAGATGATGAAGATTTGCCCCATCATGATGAGAAGACATGGAATGTTGGAAGCAGCAACCGAAACAAAGCTGAAAACCTGTTGCGAGGGAAGCGAGATGGCACTTTTCTTGTCCGGGAGAGCAGTAAACAGGGCTGCTATGCCTGCTCTGTAGTGTATGTATCTCCAGCAAACTTTTCTTTACAACATCTCATGAAGAGATGTTTCATTTATTCATTCATTGAGTTTTGGGGGCAAAGATTTGACATAGTTTTAGTCTTGAATAAGCTTACAGTACAATAATGTAGAAGAGAAACCAAAGCAGCTGTAATACCATTTTAAAGTCTAGCCAGAAGTGTATGTTAATACAGTCTAATAGATACCTACTGTTTAGTTGGAAGACTAGGTTTGGATTCCCATTCAGTGCTAATTAATCATGAGAAATCGCCAAGTCTTTTTTTCTCATCTTTAAAATGGAAGTGGCAGTGCCTGCCTTTTTTGCCTCTCAAGGCTACTATAGTTAGAATCTGAGGTAATTTATGTGAGAACATCACCCATAGGAAAAATACTCATCAGGAACAGGTGAAAAAAAAAAGGATTCTGATCATTATCCTTGAGATAGGTACACCCACATTGGATCACTGACATCACCATTTCCAAGAAATTAATGTCCTCTAGTAGGGAATGGTTCTAAAAGTATGTTACACTCCATGATCACCTTTCATTTAATGAGAGAAATAGTCCTACAGCAAAGAAGGGTACTTTTGTCCTTACTGTGCATAAGGGCACATGCAGAGATGGAGAGTTGTGCAGACACCTCAAGGACAGCCAGAAAGAAGGAATCCTATGAATAGTCATAATGGGAGTAATAGTAACACTGCTAGTCATGGAGCACTGCAGATAGTTGTCCTCATCATGATTGGAAGCTACCACTTGTTGCATGCTTACTGCATGTCAGGCATTCTATCTAGCATTTTGCATGCATGATCTCATTTCATTTCTCAAAGTAACTGTATTACATGTATTTTACTATTGTCTTCCCTTTAAACCATTTTAAAGATGAAAATACAGTCAGTCAGTGAAGCTGGGTTACCTACCCAAGGCACTCGGCCAGGTGTCAGTTGTAACCTAGGACCCTTTCCCCAAGTTGAGACTGCACAATAATGCTTTTTATTAAAGATGCCCTGAAGAGTTGTGAATTGTCTTGGACAAGCTCAAAAGACAGTTTTTCTTCTCTCCTCTCTAGGGTGGACGGCGAAGTAAAGCATTGTGTCATAAACAAAACAGCAACTGGCTATGGCTTTGCCGAGCCCTATAACTTGTACAGCTCTCTGAAAGAACTGGTGCTACATTACCAACACACCTCCCTTGTGCAGCACAACGACTCCCTCAATGTCACACTAGCCTACCCAGTATATGCACAGCAGAGGCGATGAAGCGCTTACTCTTTGATCCTTCTCCTGAAGTTCAGCCACCCTGAGGCCTCTGGAAAGCAAAGGGCTCCTCTCCAGTCTGATCTGTGAATTGAGCTGCAGAAACGAAGCCATCTTTCTTTGGATGGGACTAGAGCTTTCTTTCACAAAAAAGAAGTAGGGGAAGACATGCAGCCTAAGGCTGTATGATGACCACACGTTCCTAAGCTGGAGTGCTTATCCCTTCTTTTTCTTTTTTTCTTTGGTTTAATTTAAAGCCACAACCACATACAACACAAAGAGAAAAAGAAATGCAAAAATCTCTGCGTGCAGGGACAAAGAGGCCTTTAACCATGGTGCTTGTTAATGCTTTCTGAAGCTTTACCAGCTGAAAGTTGGGACTCTGGAGAGCGGAGGAGAGAGAGGCAGAAGAACCCTGGCCTGAGAAGGTTTGGTCCAGCCTGGTTTAGCCTGGATGTTGCTGTGCACGGTGGACCCAGACACATCGCACTGTGGATTATTTCATTTTGTAACAAATGAACGATATGTAGCAGAAAGGCACGTCCACTCACAAGGGACGCTTTGGGAGAATGTCAGTTCATGTATGTTCAGAAGAAATTCTGTCATAGAAAGTGCCAGAAAGTGTTTAACTTGTCAAAAAACAAAAACCCAGCAACAGAAAAATGGAGTTTGGAAAACAGGACTTAAAATGACATTCAGTATATAAAATATGTACATAATATTGGATGACTAACTATCAAATAGATGGATTTGTATCAATACCAAATAGCTTCTGTTTTGTTTTGCTGAAGGCTAAATTCACAGCGCTATGCAATTCTTAATTTTCATTAAGTTGTTATTTCAGTTTTAAATGTACCTTCAGAATAAGCTTCCCCACCCCAGTTTTTGTTGCTTGAAAATATTGTTGTCCCGGATTTTTGTTAATATTCATTTTTGTTATCCTTTTTTAAAAGTAAATGTACAGGATGCCAGTAAAAAAAAAAAATGGCTTCAGAATTAAAACTATGAAATATTTTACAGTTTTTCTTGTACAGAGTACTTGGCTGTTAGCCCAAGGTTAAAAAGTTCATAACAGATTTTTTTTGGACTGTTTTGTTGGGCAGTGCCTGATAAGCTTCAAAGCTGCTTTATTCAATAAAAAAAAGAAATGAAAAAGATATATGAATATGACAAAGTATTGCTGAGTCCAACAATGTTGTTTTAAGACTCTTAAAATACGGTACCTGGCAATGTTTATTTCATAAAGAATTGTGAACTTCTTGAATCTAGGGAGGGGGAATGTAGTGAAGGGATGTATCAAGTGGGGTGGTGGGAGGGGGAGGCAAGGTTATATGCACTTTCTCATGATTTACAGAGAAGTGAATAACTGCAAAGTGAAGTTGCTTCTTCTACTTCAGTCTTCTCTCACTTTGATTTGCTAGTTGTTATCAATTAATGACAATTACAAACCTACTGTATCTCTAATACAGTGTGACTGGTCAGGTATTTCAGTTCTTAGGAAGGAAGTGCCAAGTTTGTTTTTGGGTTCCTGGAACAGCGCTCACCTTTGTTTAGAACACTGGTTTAAAGGGATAATCATCTCTGTCACATTAGACTATCCATCATGACCAGCAAATACTCATTTTAGGAAAAAAAAAAGCATGATCTGAAAAATACTTTTGGTGGTATGTTGGTTACCCTCCTAGCTTTCCATTTGGTTTAGAACATAAAGCAAATAGACACAGTCATACTGTCACTGCTCTGGACTGTGTGGAGCTCGCTAAAGTCATGGTCATTGCAGGAATCCAAGTGGCAGTCCTTCTCATTCATTCTAATCATTGTATGTGCTTCACTACGGGGGGGAGAAGGAAACGTTAGCATCATGTTTCCCATTTAGGGCAGGAGTGAGAGGTCTCTCTTCCTGATTTAGATATGCAAAAGCTGGTATGTTCAGTAGGAACTGTACATGTGTTGGGAGGCATAAAGACTAATTAGCAACCATAATATGGTCACTACCCTAATAGACTAAATGAAATCTTGCAATTTCAAATTACTCTTTCTCCATATTAGATTTACCCACAGCTATATTTCTGTTTAAGTACTAGGGTGAGGGTTTTCTGTTACTTTGTTTTTTAATGTTGTTCCTTTTGAAAGAATCAGTCTTGCAGCTGAGTGAAAAATCTGTGGAATGTATTATTTGTCCTCTTTACATGAAACTACTCATACTTAAGCAAAAGTCAGTCTTATAGCAAGACTGTTAGCCCTCAAACTTGACTCTACTGATCTGACCATTTCCCTCTCATCGCCAGACAACTGACGATTTCCCTGGTTTTAGTCTGCGTCTCTGCTTTAAAGTTATTGTGATATCCTTCTAGATCATACACAAGTCTAACAGTTAATTAGTTAACAGTTTTTAAACTAGGTTTGTGGGTATTTTTTTGGTAGCACATGTATGCTATTACATACAAATTTTTATTTCTAAAATATAAGATCTGAGATTGAATATTTTCATTAAAAGCTACAGTTTTGTGAATCTTTGTGCTTCAACATTCTTTGCAAGATGATACGGTATTTAGGCATTTGCCTTATTTTTGCATCTCACAAACATAAGTGCAATAGATCTTTTCATTGAACAGCAAAGTAGGATTCATCATTCCATATGACTTGAGTTACACCAGACCTGTTCTGCCCAATGCCTTTTTGATTACAGTGTAGCTTGCCCACCGCATTTGTCGTTTTAGATACTTTGCTAGCCGGCCACTTTGGATTTCATCAGACAGTCCTAACAATATTGTCTGAACGGCTGAATATGAATAGATACAGCAGAGGCACTCCTGATATATGATTTTTATCCATGCGTCAGTTTTTCCCACCCAGTGTAGCATCCTAAAGATAAAGCCAGAAGCTAAGCTGCAGTGAGGCTGTGATTGGGCGTAGAAGTGGGAGCATTGGGACCTCACATTACACACACGAGAGATCATAACCATGTGAAAAGGCAAAAAGCATGTGTTTGCAACATCTGATAACTTCATGGCCTTTGATAAATGTATATATGTATATGTGCATGGACTGTGTTTCCAGTACACCTTTCAGCCAAAACAGATCCACAGTAGTTGTTGAGTTCAAGTACATAAAGTACATAACAAGCGAACGTCTAGTACAATTCTTACTTATGTGTATGGGATTTTTCCCTTTGAGGTTGCTTTGTTTTGTCTTACAAAGGTGAAAATTGTTTGTAAGTGAAGTGAGAAGTTCATATTTCTTTGGCTTTTTTGTGTTTTTAAAAGTTACTCCTTTTAGGGAGCTGGTCTGATGACTTGCTTAGCTTGGAAATCCTTGTTTTCAGTGTGTCGAGTCAAAATGTGTTTATGTGAGCTGTCACTGTGGGGAACCAATTGCTTTGTCATATAGCTGGTTATGAACTAGTAACATGTTTGGGAAGTCCTACTGATGTTCCTTTGGAAGAAAAAATCTGCTGGTTTTAACAACTGTGCTTTTGCTATGTATGGTATCCAAGTTAGTTGAAACGCAGACACTGAGATCTGTTTGAGTTTAGGGTCATTTTTAGAAAGGGGCAGTTTAAAGCACAATGTCTCACATGGGACAAAGTTCCAAAATGCCAAATTCTTATTTTTTAAAAAGCTAGTTCTATAAAATACTGGTATTATGGGTGGGGAGGAAATAGAATTGAGTCAATTGGAAAGACTATCCAACTTAACATGAAACTTGTCACCATGAGATAGCATTAGCTGCCCAGGATGCTGCTATATATATATATATATATATATATGTGTGTGTGTGTGTGTGTGTGTGTGTATATATATATATATATATATATATATATATATATATATATGTGTGTGTATATATATATATATGTGTATATATATATGTATATACATATATGTATATATATGCACATATATATATGTATTTAAAAAAATCAAAACAAAAAAAAACTCATTTATACCTGTGTATTTTTTAAAGCTACAATCTGTTCAATGTTTTTAAAAATCTGTTTATATGACATTGTTAAAATAAAGTTGGTCTTTTGACGAGAGGGAGGATGTCACGGTCAGTTGTAACTTTGCCTTCACAAGGCAACTGGGGTGGGGGGTGGGGGTAGTGTGCCTCCTTGACATTTCGTTCAAGTTATAGATTCAATGGAGCTATGTCTTGTTTTAAGTTGCTTTAATGCATTGTATTAGATCTTCAAACAGAATAAAGGTTGTTTTGAAACTGAAGTTTTGGGTTGAAATTTCACTTATCACCTAAGAAATCTTTCTAAAACAGCTACCTTTTGGCTTATAAATGTTGCTGCTATTTCTGTTGTCTCCCACCCACTCCCTTTTGATTGTTATCACAGTATCTCATTTTTGTAAAGTTGAGAAGGACATTGAGTGGTCACATGTAAGTAATACATATGAGCTGTCTTTCATAATTTCACTGTTTTTTGAGACGGAGTCGGAGTCTCACTCTGTTGCCCAGGCTGGAGTGCAGTGGCGCTATCTCGGCTCACTGCAAGCTCCACCTCCTGGGTTTACGCCATTCTCCTGCCTCAGCCTCCCGAGCAGCTGGGTCTACAGGCGCCCGCCACCATGTCCGGCTAATTTTTTGTATTTTTAGTAGAGACGGGGTTTCACCGTGTTAGCCAGGATGGTCTCGATCTCCTGACCTCGTGATCCACTCGCCTCGGCCTCTCAAAGTGCTGGGATTACAGGCGTGAGCCACCGCGCCCGGCCAATTTCACCATCTTAAATGAGGAAATACACCTAGGTAATGTCCCTTCAAGGCACGTTCTCGCTATAGGAAAACTAGAATGCCCATCATCCTTCAATTCTCGCCTCCTCCGCATTCATACCCAAACCTTGAGAATCATCCTCTAAGAACGAAGTGTCCAGTTTTGTCTCTGTTGTGCAGTCTGCATATTTTGAACACTCACAGTGCAGGGATGACATGGGACTGTAGACAGGGAGCTAAGTTACACCTCAAATGCAGATTTTACATTGTATCACCTAGTCAAGATACACAAGTCTTACTGTAGGATAACTTTCCCATTTGTTTTGATTGCTAAGTGGACTTAAGGCAATACCACTTTGCATGTATATGGTGTTTACATGTAGACACAGTGAGGGTCTAGACCTGAAAGACATAGTCTAGTAGTAGAGGGGAGAGGGACGTACAAATAATTACTCTCAGGGCAACAATGACTAATATTTTTTGAGTATGGCAGTAGCTCCCAGACTGATGTTCTGCTTTCCCCCTGCTCTGTTTGGTATCACAGAGAACTATATTCGCTGGAGCGCTTGTCCTGGGGCTTCTAGGTGTCTCTTCCCTGGCTCTAGCTCCTGCCAGATAGACCCTCATTTTCAGGTCTGAGCAAACCCCCTCTGCTCTAGCTCTCAGGAGAAGGCTCTGGAAACATTACCTACTCCCATTTTTTACTCCAGCCCAAGAAGTGGTTGCAGCTTTATGCTGTTGCTAAACGTCTGGTTTCCCTCACCACCCCCATTTGGTTTCTGAACCCTTCCCTCACTCAAGTAATTATCATTCAATTATTCCAGTAAGAGCTAGGGTAATTCCCCCCCCACATACACACACTGGTCTCTGACATATCAAGTGATTATTATCTGTTAAACTCTTTGTTTTACTCTTTCCACAATTACCTGGGTAAGATGATTATATTCCCATTCTTTAGATGAGAAAACAAGCATAGATGTGAGATGACTTGCTCAAGATCATGCAGCATCTGAGAACAGAGTTGAACGCATAGGCTTCTCAAGCCAGAGCTCTTTGCCCCTATGCTGTAATGTAATAGACTTTCAATGGAAAATGCACAAGAGAATGCAAAAAAAAAAAAAAAAAAAGGCTCACTGGTAACTTTTTGCTGGGGAGGTAACCATGTGGCTTTCAATTAGTAGACAGTGCACAGGTGGTCAATGATGAATCACAGGAAATAGCCTGGGCTTGCTTTAAACCAGTGGTTCCCAAAGTGTGGTTCCCAGACTAACAGCATTCACATCAGCATCACTTGGAAACCTGTTAGAAGTACAAATTCACAGGCCCTACCCCTGACCTACTAACTCTGACACTGGAGCCCAGCAATCTGTTTCAACAAGCTGAGTGATTTTAATGTATACTAAAGTTTGAAGATCACGACTTTAGATCACCTGCTTACTGAAATAGTACTTCTAGCATTTTAACTAAAAACCATTACCATTAATGAGTGATATGTTACTTTCTAATTTATTTTCATAATGTAGGCCATAGGAAAAAGAAAACAGATTGATTTGCAGTTTAGGAGGCCCAGTCTGCTCTTTTTATCTGTCTTTAACCAGCTGTGGGAAGTGGGCCAATTCAAGGCACCTTCCAGGCCTCCAACTCCTTATCTGTGAGATAAAGGTATGGGCCTCTGGGACTCCTTCTAGAGCATATGCTGTGATTAAGTGAGCTGAATGAAGATTCCCAGTCCCCCAATTCTCCATTTACAACTTGACCACCAATTTTAACCCACAACTAATGGTCCTTTATGTTGCCAGTGACTATGGCCAAGTGAAAGCATGCCTCGAATTGGGGTATACTTTTCTTGCTGACATCTTAAAAGTGACACTTGAGGCGAATCTAAACTGGCAGCCAAGTTCTTGACAGTGTGGAGAGAGTGTATTTGGAAATGACACTCTGCCCATCTACCTAAAGCGTGAAGTGCTAAGAGAATTTGGCCTACCAAACCCTCTGGGGCATGGTGGGAGGCAGGAAAGTAGAGTCTGTTAAGACCTGATACAATGTCAGTCAATTTCAAAAACCCTTTTTTTTCCCCCGAACTTGTCCCTTAAAAGGTCTATTTAAAAATAAAAATCAGTTGCAATATCTTAAAGAGACAGAATTGATTATTCACTCTCCAAACTTCAGATTATCTTCTCAAAAGATAGCACTTTGTAACCTCCAGTTTGGTATTGCTGTCATAAATCAACTCAACAGAAAACCGCTGAGATGCTTTGGGGGAGGGAGGGTGTGGAGGATAAATGAGTAATCACCAACATGCTAATCTGCATTTTGCTTTCCAGAAGGAAAAGAGAAATTCCCTTCTCTCTGTAGCACTCAATCATAAGAGTCTGAAGCATCACCTCAGGCTTAACTTGTTAAATAAAATATTCTAAATCTATACCTGTCTTGACAGGTGTAAAGGTTTGGCCTATAATATGAGAACAGGACAGTCAACCTCTAACTACCACCACTAATCACATTAGGAAGAAAGTTACAAGGGAGGTCTATTCATCACCAAGACTGCTCATTAGAATTATAGTTTTGACTGTGAAATATACCATACGTTGTAAGACTAACTCGCTGGAACCAATTTATTTATGGAGCTCTCATTTCAGAACTCAGTGATTTATAGTCCAAACCCTCACAAATCAAAAAATATAGATAACTTCATCACAATGGAGATGATGTGCTAGTCACTTTATGTCATATTTACTGTCCTCTAACAGAGGCCCAGTGCCATGTTTAAAACTATTTAAAATAGTTTTGTTGACAGTGGTGATGATCTGTTTCTTTGGACCTGCGAGGATAAGACATCCAACGAGATGTCTAACGTACTGATTCATTCAAAGCTTTATTGAGCACCTACTATTTGCTGGACACTATTTCCCTCTGAAGGTCCAGTGATAAGACAGGTGAAATCAAAGATTACAGTCTGCTGGTGAAAGCAAACTCAAACAACTGCCCTCTATCATGAGATACAGAGAGGAATGAACACTAAGTCTCAAGCAGGCCTGCATGAGCAGCTAGGCCAAGCTTCAGAGAAGAGTTGACATTTCAAATGTTTCCTACTCTAGTAAAACAGGCCCATGTACTCCTGGTGGTTGCTCCTCCCACCAGCCTTCATGGAAGCTGGTTCTATTGAGGCTAGACCATTGTACTTCTTTAATATAATCACTTTTCAGGTGACATGTTTGGTTTTTCAATACTGTCAAAGGCATTATCTCCATTATAAGTTCTCTAGAGTTCAATGTTCCCATCTGCAGTTCCCATGCTGCAGGTGGTTCAGACAGCTGACATCACACACCTCAGCTTCAGGCAAGCCACTTTTCTCCCTGTCCAGGGACAGATGCCAGGGCCTCACTTGGCTCTTTGCCTTGGCACATTAGACGTGATCTGCATGCAACTGTACCTTTTCCTTTTATTTTAGATGAGAAATTCTCAACCCTAGCTGAACATTAGGATCACCTGGGTATCCATTTAATAGAAAACCTGACTTATTGGAGTCTCTAGGGGTGAGCATTAAATAAGATGTACAGAATGCACCTGCAACATGGCTGGCACTTAATAAATGGAAGGCAATAAATATAGTTGTTAGTCAGTCTTGCCTATCAAGATTAGATTCCCCAAAACTATCGCTTTCGATTTCCTGTCGTTTTTAGGATAGGGCTGGCTGGACACATGGTAAATCACCCAAAATCTGTAACTTTTAAGATATTTTATATAAGATATTTATATTTATTCATATCTGTACCTACTTTCAGGAAGTATTTACCTTTTATTGGCTCTTAGGCACACAGCATTGATTTACTCATCCAATGGACTAAAAATCACCAATTTATGTGTGGCTGGCTCTTCTATTATTCTGAAATATTGTATAACATTAAATACATTGAATGTATTTATAACATTAAATACATTCAATGTATTTATAACATTAAATACATTGTATACATTAATATACACTGTATAACATTAAATATAAGTATGACAAAAAAGCCATGAAATAGACACAAAACAAGTAGTGAAGGAAGAAAGGAAGGGAGATGTTATTGAAAATAAAAACCAATTGTCTCTAAGTTTCAATAATTGAAAGAAAACAAAGCTTCCTATTAGCCAGGCAAAAAAAAAAAAGGGGTGCACAATGCTTTCATAGTTCCAGTGCTCTGGGAGAAGGAACTTGTCAGTTCAGTGTGAACTAAACGATCCTCTGGCCCTGACACTTGAGAGGAATCTGTCAAAGGGATCTCTGTAAGTGGTAGTGCCTCTTACACAATGTTCGATTAGAAATGGTTCTTCAGATATATTCTCCATATGGTGCTTTCTTATTTAGTCTGTGGCAGAAGCAGAATATTGTTCTAGAAAGGAGGTTCTGTGATGTTGGCTCCAGAACTCTGCTCGAGGTGCATCTTGCCTGTTTCCTAGCACTGTTTGGGCTGCACCCACTTCAGCATGCCGGAGAAAGCTGCCCTGCAAGTTCTACAGAAGGAAAGGCCAACAAAATCAGGGCCGCTGCTTATTTGCTAGACTGTTCCAGGCCAGCAGTTCGGTGGTGAATCTTCGGGAAGTCTTTGTGACATCTCAGGCAGTGCCAAGTCTCAAAGCTGTGGGGGACTAGACACTCCACTCTTTTATCCAGACATCAGCTTTGTCTGGTCTAGAGCCCAACTTCATGCAGCACTGTGTTTCATTCATCATTTTCCCCATAGAAGATCCTAGTTCTAGTTCATTTTACTACCTTTAAAATTTTATCTCTCAAAGATACATTCCAATGATACATTTTAATAACACCCCGTAAAACTGGAAGTTCAAGTTTTCTGGCTTTTTCCCCAAGGAGAAGGGTTGTCATCAATATATGGAACTTTTGAGGAATTTCTGCAAAAGTCTGTAATCACAGTAGAATGAAGGAAATTTTAACCAGCCTACAATACATAAGGGAAATTGTCTCTGGCGAGTGGCTGTAAATCCTTAGCAGAACTGCACAGTGTATTCTCCCACATCTCCCTAGTTTAGAGAAATTGAGGCTAGAACTAAGGGTGAGGCAGTAAGGGTGCATCGGAAAACCTTCAATCATTAGCTCTTCCGCATGTCACTGAACACAGAGTTGGGAGGAGGTGCACAGTAGCACACCAGTATATAGTATTGCCATCATCCAGATGCAATCAATGAAAAGTAATCTCAAGAGTATTGATAATAAAGTAAAACAATTAGGAAGTGATGAGTTTTTAGTATTTGATTGTAAGTTTATGGTTTTTTAATGATGCCTGTAATTATAATTTGTGTGATATTAAGCTTGTATCATTTAATGTTTAATAAAAGCTGTGTATAACAGCCAGCTCACAAAATGCCCGAAAAGTGTAGCCATCAGCTCTCAGGGTTTGGTTTGAATTGGCTCCAGCACACCCTGGCAGTTAGAAGGGGCAAAATCTTAAGTTTAAGGATGCTTTGGGAAATGCATTGGATGCCAGTGTACACCAATTGGCTGTGATCTCACATCCGGCTTCTGCTTGGAAAGATGGTTGCTAAGAAAAACAGAAGTAGCCCCATACCAGGTTCCTAACAAAATCAGTTAGGAGGAGCAGACTATGTCCTGGCATTTAGGTCTATCACAGTAAACACACAAAAAAATTTAGTGCAAGTTCTCCCTTATCCCCTTCACAGAAAAATTGTTTCCTATCTAGTCTAGAAAAATCAAACCTTTTAGAGTTTAAATATTTTAAAATTAAAAACTTTTATTAAAAACATACATGTAACTCCTCACCCCTTTCCAATATCTGGGATTAAAAGATTTGAACAGAGACCTGTATAATCTCAGGCAAAATTCATATGGATTCTCATTACTCAGTCACACAGTAACCTCCTTCCTGCTGCAGAAGCTTTACAGACAATCACAGGGCATATGAAATGTTTTAGTAATGAAGATGAAGGGTTGGAGCAAATGTCTCCATACAAAACAAATTGACTCTAGGAAAAAGGGGAAAAATCAAATCAATGTCTCTGAAACTTGAGAAACTTGTATTTATTAATAGGAAAAAAGTTTTGAGCTCAGGTCTAATTGCTATCACATGAAACACTATTAGCAAATTTAAAAATGAACGGTTATGAGTAAAAAACAAATTGGATGCTACAGAGACAAATTAGTAAAATAGAATTTACAATTCAAGATATCCTCTCAGAATACGGACAGCAAGAAAAAAAAGATGACAATGATAAGTAAAGAGACGACCTAGAGAATAGATTGAAAAGATCTAATACATGCACAATAGGAATTCAGGAGACAGCAGAGCAGATTGAGAAGTACTAATCAAAGAACTGAGAGAGGAAAATTTTCTTGAGTTAAATAAGGATTGCGCCTACACATAGCAAGGACCCACTGAGTAGCCAAAAACAATAAGACCCAAATTGCTTGGTAACTTTTCCTAGGGTTCAAGAAGAAAAATTTATAGGTAACCAAACGAAAACAGGCTACTACTACAAAAAAATTGTTTTAAGCCAAGTGCAGTGTGGCACATGCCTATAGTCCCAGCTACTTGGGAGGCTGAGGTGGGTGGATCACTTGAGCCCAGGATTTCAAGCCTAGCCTGGGCAACAGAGCAAGACCCCATCTCTTAAATTTAAAACTTAAAAAAAAGGTTAATAATGACTATCCTTCATAGCACTTAATGACAGAAAAAAGATTGTGGCAACAGCTATATAAACCAAATAATTGTTTATGTTTGGAGGCAACAAAAATTTAAGACATAATGCCAAAGAGTGACCACTTTTACCTTTTCAGAGAAAAAAAAAAAACTAAAAATCCTCCAGCCAAATGAAAAGCAAATAAAAAGAACACAAGTAAAAGGAAGTTGTCTTTTAAAAATGGTAGAGAACAATAATAGCAGTAACAGAACCAATATGCAAATAATAGTTAACATATTTATGAAAAATAATGAAAGACAAATTATTGAATGAGAATATATGTAAAGATAAATTAAGATTTAAAAAACTAGGATGGATGTAAAAGTTCAAATTGTTCCAATAATTCTGAGAGCTGGGAGAGAGAATGAATAATTAGGCAAGTGTGTAAATATTTAGAAGCAATGATGCTTATTGGTACATTTAATACTGAAATTAATCTAAATCACTTATTGAATAAATAATGCTATAGTGTAAGTCAGAAGGAAACCATCAGCAATTAAAAAGTTATACATTAATATCCTATTAATTGGCATGTAAATAAATCTATATGTATATATTCAAAATATATTTTTAAACAATGAAAAATTATCCCATTTTATTCAATGTGTGTATACAGCTATATCTTATAGAGTATGTTTATGACAATTCTGGAAGTCTATTGGGTTTAGTTAATAAAATTACATGGTTGATTTTTTTGAATGTATGTTTTTCCTCAGCAAGCATGGAACACTCACAGAATTTGAAAAGTTAAAAGCAAATGTCTAAGAAAGCACAGGACAACTTTAATTGGGAGTGTCAGAAAGTCTTTGATGAGATACCGTAAATAAGTGAGGGAAAAGATTTTGAAAGGCAACAGACTGCAGCAGGAAGAAAGGTGTGGAGGGGTGTGTGTGTGTGTGTGTGTGTGTGTGTGTGTGTGTTTGCGCACGCACATGTGCAGCCTCAGAGATCCAATCACTTACCTGAAGAACAAGTAACTGGGTTACTGTGGGGAAATTTAAGAGTTCAAGAGCACATTCAGATGGTACCTTCCAGGTTTTTTCTTGACACTCTATCTTTGTCCTACCTCAACCTTCCCTTCTAGCCCCCATCATTTGCTGATGATAGAGACAGCACAAAACAAAATGGTCTTACCAAAAAAGACAGTTTCCTGCCCTTGAGTTTTCCACAGTGTCCTTGAAGTCCAAACTTCTTTAGAACTTGCCAAAGTCCAAGCCAGTTTACTCCAGACAATGGCAACCCTGAACCCTTCACTGAGTCTAAAGGTCATTGTTTAAAGTTTTTATCTTCTTGCCTTACATAATTCTTGTATCTTCTGCTGGGGGTGGGGGGATGGGGGAGATCATAGTGATTTTTAGCTCAAAAATCTACTTAAAGGGCTTAAAAATAACAAAATGCTGGAAGTTATTTACACACTCCAGGCAAACTGATTTCAAAGAAACTTTCTCAAGGATCCTCCTTAGCAGGTAACACAGCTTTGAGAGATGACATTCCCTACTGATAGATGTAACAATTGGATTCTGGAGTTAAGCAGGCATCCCTATGGTGGCATGTAAAGATGAATATAATAATATCTGATCACAATAATGATAGTAATAATTACCTCTCAGGCCAGTAAATGCTTACTATATACTAAGCACTTTGCATATGTCACCTTGTTTAATTTTTATTGCCCTCAACTTAAAGATGAGGAAGCTGAAGCTTAAGTAGGTTATGCAGCAGGCTCAAAGTTATGCAGCTGGTTTGTGGCAGAGCTGGGCCTCAAACATAGGTCTACCTAGTGCAAGAGCCCTTGCTGTGACACATCATGTTGTGCTGCCCCAACTTATACAAAATGGCCCAGCCATGTGTCACATCTTAGGGATCAGGGACCTGTGACAACCTTGTCGTTAGAGTTACGGATTCAGTGATCAATTCTTGGTGCATCCACTCTGGAAGGCTATTCTTCATCCCATCTGCTACATTTCCATCTATTCAAGCACTCCCCATTGACCTCAATTCCACCAACCAAGCCCTTCCACAACTCTCCAGCTCTTGCTGAATTGACCTCACTGATCTTTCAGTGCATTTACTCTCTAACGCTCTCATTTGGCCTTAGTCTTCAACAAGAATAATCGGCAAATATGAGAAAAGCCACCTAAAAGTCACTTAAATGACTACTACTAAAAGTCTGTAGGTAGACAGTTGCTGGAATTGGTTTGGTAGTACAACAATGCCATCCAAGACTGTGGTTCCTTTTAGGTTTTGCTCTGTGTATGGGATTTTCAGCCAAATGTTTACTGTTTCATGACCACAAGGTGACTGCCCCACTCCAGCCATCACATTTGTATTCAGGCAGGAGGGAAAAGGAGCAGTGCCAGTGAGCTCTCCTTTCACACCTTTCTCTTTTATAAGGGAAAGGAAGCTTTCTGAACTGCCTCCAACTGATTCTACACCTCACTGACCAGGACTGGGTTATGTAGTCACTTCTAGCTTCTGGTGAGGCCAGGAAAGCAAATAGCTCACTTCTTTTGCATCTATACTGGGAAGTGGGCAGGGGGAAGGTACTGAATGCCTCTGGGCCAGACTGTCAACAGTATCTGCCATTGTTGTATTTTTCAGCTCTTTTTCTTTAATGCTTTGTCACCCCTAATAGACTCTTCATCGTGCCTCTCTGATTCTCACCATTACCTCAGAGTTCTGGGGCACATTGTTGGTATTGTAAAAATATCTGCAAAATTTAATTAAGTACAAAATACATATCCTAGAAATATAAGGAACATTCTTTTGACACTTTATTTGATAAAGTTTTGACTGAGATACAACCTTTGAGTTGTGAAAATATATTGAGAAAACCTGTGAGAGATTGCACCGTGACTTCATTGTATTTCCCCACTGCAGAAAAAAATACAATGAATGGTGTAGAAAGGAGGTTGCTGGGCCCAACACCTTTTGTTTTGGCCACCTTTTATATCAATTTCTGTGATGGCTGACCCCCTTACAGAGGCTGAGCAGGAAAATGCACAAGAAATCAGGCTTATATTTGCTTTTCACTGGCAAGACTGATGACAGGTATGCTGAGGTGGAAATTTCAAACTATTGACTTTAACTTACTTCTGTCTTATAACAAGCACAGTGAGGGCTGGCCATGAAGCTGCTGCCTTAGTGCACCTGAAGCTTTTCTGAGCTTCTTTGCTAAATCTTAACTCACTAAGTATTCACAGCATTTCTTTGCCTCCTCACGCCTATTACCTGCGCTCATCCTGCTCTTCCAAATGGCCTTTGGAAAAATGCATTTTGGAGTCCTATATTCAGAGAACAGTAAGAGATACTGGGCTGAGAAACAGCCTGAATGTTAGCCAAAGTCTTTTCCTAAGACAGTAGTTCCAACTTACAGCAACATTCTGAGAACAATAAATCTAATGACACCTGCAGTAGCAGCTTATGAAATGGCCTCTAAGATGGCTCCTAATATTCTGATTTCTGGTATTCATGTTCCTATGTACTGTAAGGGACCGACTTACATGGCCAGGGGAAGGCCTGCTGAGGGAAGCCTACTATAAGTCATGAGAACACCAAAACAGCTCTATGGAGAGGTCTACATGGTAAAGGACTGAGACCTTTTGCCAAAAGCTAGCATCTACCTGCCACATGAGTGCACCATCTGATAAGCGGATCTTCCAGCCCCATTCAAGCCTTCAGATGACAGCCCTGGAAATCATCTTGACTGCAACCTCATGAGAGTTCTCAAACTAAAGCACTCAGCTAAACTGCCCTCAAATTTCTGAACTAATGAACCTGTGTGAGAAGACACATATTTGTTATTTTAAGCCACTAATATGCTCAGCATTCATTATGTCAGTTGATCCTCATCACTGCCTAATATGAAGTAGAATCAGTGTAACAATCTACACTCCACCGATGAGAGCACACTGGCTCAGAGAGACGAAACAACATGGTCAAGATCGTATTGCTAATACATGTTGCAGTCTGGCCAAGTGCCCTGGTTACCTGATTTCTAGTTTGGAATGCTTTCTACTGTGGCCCTCTGCTATACCAGTGGGGCATAAGGAAAATGACAGAGTCCTCATTTAATTCCCTGCCCCAGAGTAATGGATCACTAGCTTAATAGACTGAGTTTTATTCAAGTTGACACCAGCTTGGATCTCTAGCCCCTCACTGGGATCAAAGAGATAGTCTTCTTCTGATCGTCTTTGTTTCTCTCCAAAGAAGGTTTTGAAGTAACTAGGGGAAGATGACTACTCTAGATGCTTGGTCTTAGCCCATGGTTACATTTGTGGTGTGTCACTCTCACGTGGTTCAAGACCTTCCCAGGTATTTGGAGTAAAGTTTTGGACAGAAAAGAAACTCCCACACTTTCCATAACTTCTCCTCCTATCCTTTCCCCATCATAGCTTTTTTTGAATACTACCCTCCACTTCCGGAAGATCTCTGGTTTCAGGAGACAAGAAATATTATGTGGCCACTAAATTATGTTCACACTTTAAATTCTCTGCTTAGAGGGCAGCTCTCCAGGCTTTAAATGTTGACCATGTTTACTCAGCACAGACCACATCAAAGAAACGACCATAGACATAAGAGTTTTAAGCAACCCCTTTCTTCAGGAAAATAAAACAGGAATTAAGTTGGGCATGTAGGTGATAGCAAACTATTCTGGCCACCTTTCTGCAATTGAGATCTGCCACTGTGGTAGGGAATGTCCAGCCAAAGCCTGCTGGCCAATACCAAGTCAAATCCCCCACTGGTCCACTTTTCCAATCGGCAGGTTTCGTTTCATATTCACACAGAGGAGTGGAGCAAATACCTAGGGTCAAATGGGGCTTCAACTTATCTAATGCACACTGCCTTTGGATAATTACAAGCTGTCACAGTTGGAAAAGTTCTTAGTGGTATAGCTCAACCATTGCATTTTACGGATTAAGAAACCCAGGACTAAAGGGTAAAAAGAAGCACCTAGGTTTGATGACAAAGCAGGACTATAGCTTCCACACATTACATGGCCTCACCTGTAACCTACTCACCTTGCTAACACACAACTCAGAACACTTCCCCTTCTGCTGTCCCTCTACCTAAAGTTCAGTTTGAAGATTGACTGCATCAGGGTTTTGGAGTAACCTGCCCTTGGTCTCTCCTTAATGGAAATCAGTGTATGGCAGATGCATCTGACCAATGACTTAATGTAAGCCTACCTCAAGTATGACCCTATAGTCAAGAAGAATGTGTGTTTGGAGTTCTAAGCCTAAGGAATCTAGGAGTGGCCAACCCAGAGATTCATTCCTTGTCTAGAAAGAACATCTGAACCTCCGGCCCATCCCATGGAATGCAGGCCATACAGGGGATTGAGGCTCTTTGTTTTAGGTCCAGTGAAGGTTATCAGGTGGAGTTTGCTGGGGTGAGGGTCCTAAGTGAAAACGCTATATAAACTGCATGCTTTTTACAAAGGGTAGTGGTTCTCCTGTCCAGCCCACTGCCACTGCACCACCCTGTACATAAGTCCCCTCGACCTTATATCTTGTTCACTGGCTCCAGGTCTCTTCTTCAGCCTCTTGAACATGATGCCATCCCTATTGAAGTCAACAGGGGTCTGGCACGAAGATTAGCTGCAGTATTCTGGAGTATCACATACTACACATTTTTACATAACCCCTCTGTGACTCAGTTTCTTCATCTATAAAATGGGTACAATAGTGTGTTGAGATGTTAGAAGGATTAAATGAGAAAAAAATATGTAAAGAGCCTGACACCAGAAAACTCCCAGTAAATGTTAGCCATCCAGAAGAACAGTCACAGAGAAAACTTCCTAGAGAGTAGCAAATATTTACCATGAGGGAAGGTAGTCTTTTAGGAGGGCATTAGTCTTTCAGGGGGAACAGCAGTTCTCAAACTTTGGCCAAGCATCAGAATCACCCAGATGGCTTGCTGTAGATTGATGAGTCTCACCCTCAGAGTTTAAGGTTTGGTGGATCTCAGAGTCCAAGAATCTGACTTTCTAATAAGTTCCCAGGAAACTACATGCTGAGAACCTCTGGTGTAGAACATTAGGAAACAGGAGAAAGGTGGGGTTTTTTCTTTTGTTTTGAGACAAAATTTCACTTTTTGCCCAGGCTCAAATACAATGGCGCCATCTCAGTTCACTGCAACCTCCACCTCCTGGGTTCAAGCGATTCTCCTGCCTCAGCCTCCCAAGTAGCTGGGATTACAGGCACCTACCACCACACCCAGCTAATTTTTGTATTTTTAGTAGAGACAAGGTTTCACTGTGTTGGCCAGGCTGGTCTTGAACCCCTGACCTCAAGTGATCTGCCTGCCTCGGCCTCCCAAAGTGCTGGGGTTACAGGTGTGAGCCACTGTGCCCAGCCCATGAGAGAGTTTTGAAGACGTATCAGTTCTTTCAGAGCAAACCACACCATACTGCCTTACAAGGGCTTCTGTCACTCAAAAATGAAGCCCTCATCCAAAGTTGAACTGGCCATGTGATATTACCAGATGGCTGGATCAGGCCAAGGGGAGAAGAATCAAGCCATTTTTAAGGGAAGATTGGAGGAAGCAGCCAACAAGTGGGAGAAGGTCGGTGGACAGAATGAACAAGATGAAAAAAGGAAAAGGAGAACTAGACCATCGTGTTACATTGAATTCTCCTGTACAGCTGGAAGAAAGCCTTTAGCTTCCCAAGCCCCCAGAGAAAGTAGTCCTAGGTCAGCTCTTTGACAACAAGGCAAACATGAAGGAAACAGAGACCGCAGGGTCAGTGAGCTCTTCGGGCTACCCACCTATCACCAGCACTCCCTTCAAAGCAGGCACAGGGCTGGGGCAGGCCCTTAGGCCTTGGGATTTCCCCATCACTGTCTTTCAGCCTTAGCCACACCCTCTTCCACAGGCCTGCTGTACTGCCTCCGGGTGCGGCTGTGGGCACCTGCCTGGAAGGATGTGGGAACCTCCATTATTCCCCCATCCCCGACTGCAAGCCCCACCCCAGGCTTGCCCACCTCAACTTACCTCAGTAGCATTTTCTCCCAGGAGGACAGCTGAAGCAAGCCAGCCTGAACCCATGGCTTTTTGTTGAAAAGCCCCAGGGGTGTTTGTGGGTAGTGACCACGTCTTAGCACCAACTGGCTAAGTAACTTTGGCAGGTAGGCTAGCCTCAGATGCCACATCCATAATGTGATGTGAATAAAACCCTCCCCTGCTGTTATCCCAGGGAGGGAGTAAGGATCAGTGAACTGTTCAAAGAAATTGCCTCAGGATAACAGGTGTGAGTTAAATGCCAGCCATGAGTGATTTCATCTTGGACTTTCCAAGAGAAGTGAAAGAGAGGGAGAGGGGAAGGGAAAAAAAGAGAGGAGAAGGAGAAAGAAATAAAATAATTTTTTAAAAAGCTAAGTAACTCCACCTATAAGTGGACATCATTACCACTCTCTCCAGCCTCAAAAATAAGGCTTTGGCTTGCTGTATGGCAGACACACCTGACAGGAGTCACTTAAGCATACCCCGAGAATGACCCTGCACAGCAGACGCATCTGAATGTGTGTTTGGAGTTCCAAGCTAAGGAATACAGGAGTGGCCAACTCAAAAAGTCATTCCTTATCTTTGAAGAACATCTGAGCTGTCTTGTAACATAGAACGTGGGCCTCACAGAGGATTGAGGCCCTGTGTTTTGGGTTAAATGAAGATTGTCAGGTGAAAGTTGTTAGGGGAGGGTGCTAAGTGAAAATGCCATATAAACAGAATGCTTTCTTTTTAAAAATTATTTATCTTAGAGATAGTCTTGCTGTGTCACCCAGGCTGGAGTGTAGTGACATGATCATAGCTAACTGTAGCCTCAAACTCCTGGGCTCAAGCAATCCTCTTGCCTCAGCCTTTGAGTAGCTGAAACTACAGGTGTGTGCCATCACATCTGGCTAATTTTTGGTTTTTATTTTTTAGATATGAGGTTTTGCTATGTTGCTCAGGGTGATCTCATACTCCTGGCCTTAATCAATCTTCCCACCTTGACCTCCTAAAATGCTGGGGTTACAGGCATAAGCCACTGTGCCCAGCCTCAACTGCATGCTTTCTGCAGGTGGCGGTGGTTCTCTTATCCAGCCCACCACCACTGGATTGCTCTGTAAGTTCCCCTCCATAAACTCTATGTCTTACTCGCTGGGTCCAACTCTCTTCTTCAGCCTCTTGCACCTGGTGCTGCCCCTAATGAAGTTAATAGGGGTCTGGCCCAAACCTTTTTGCTCCCAGGAAAGCCTTCCAAAGAGTGAGGGATCCTGAGGGATTTTAGAGGGACAGCCAACTTGATTCTGCCCAAGATGCATCTGCACATTTTTGATCTCAAGACAATCTCCCTGTCTGGCTAAAAGCAACTATTTTTAGGATGGTGCTGAAGAGTTTTGGGTGTGTCAGTCCAGTTGTTTTCTTAGAGGACCAACCAGCTCAGTGGAATGGATAAGCCAGCAGTATGGTGTAGTTTGCCCCAAAAGAACTGACTCTTTCTCAAAATTCTCTCACTCTCTAATGTTCTACACCAGTGGTTCTCAAAGTGTGGTTTCCTGGGAACTTGTAAGAAAGTCAAATTCTTGGAGTGTACTGAGACCTACCGAATCTGAAATTCTAACAAGCCATCCAGGTGATTCTGATGCTTAGCCAAAGTTTGAGAAGCACTGTTCCACCTGAAAGCCTAGTGCCTTCCTGAAAGACCACCTGAAAGGCCCAGTGCTTCTCAAACTTTCACATGTACACAAAGCACCTCAGATCTTGTTAATCTTCAAGATTCAATTCAGAAAGTCTAGGTGGGTCCTGGGACCTGATAGCTCTATCAAGCTCCAGGTGTTGTGCATGCTCCAGTCTCTTGACCTCGCTCTCAGGAGCAAGGTCCACAGCAGTGATTCGCATAAGAATTCACGTGAGACTTATCTGGGGAGACCTTCAAAAGTGATCTAGAATTGCATTCCAGCATTGCCATGTTCCAAAAAGTTCCCAGGTGATTCTAAGGGGAGTAAAAACTGCCGCCTACACGTTCAGCTTTATCTCATTCAGTTTACAAAGCTTTGATTCCTGCTTTTACAGCCACCCAGGAGTATATGCATTTTAAGTTGTTACCTGATCATTGTAAATGAATATCAATGAAGTAGCTATCTAGTGATGTAGGGGTGGAGAGAACGCAGGTGGTTAAGAAGGGTAGAAACTGTTCTGAGGTGGAAGGCTACAAAGGAGGGGCTCTGAGGATCAAAGGGAATTTTTTTGTTGTAGAAGGTATCAGGAAACATTTCAAAAGACTGAAAGGGGCAAAAACAATGACTGGAGTCTGGGATCGCAGGCTGGGTTATCTGTTTTTCAAGGAAACCACAGCTCTGTAAATTGTAGAGTACTGATGATAGTAATGCAAACTATTACTATTTTGTTCATAAAAATGTGAATTGTGTGATGTACTCAGTTAGTGTCCCACATTGACCAATGTACATCTGTCTCCAAATTCTGTCAGCATTCCTGAAAGTCTTTAGATGTGTGGGAATTTTCAATTTTCCTTTGAAACAGTTGTATCATTTTAACTGTTCCTTAATGAGTTAAACTAAATCTGTGATATGTTTATTTTATATTTATATGCAGGTCGTGGCTTTAGCACTAAAACAAAGCCCTTAACAAAGAGCATGAAGTTCATTGGGTAGTTGTAGCAGGCTGCATAATGATCCCCCAAAAAAGATGTCCACGGTCATAATCCCTAGAACCTCTGAATATGGTACTTTTTTTGGTAAGAGCTTTTTGGATGTGATTAAATTAAGGATCTTTAAATGGAAAGAATATTCTGGATATTTGGTGGTAGAGGGGAATGTAATCACAAGAGACCATGTAAGAAATAGGAGGACAATAGTCAGGAGATATGAGGACAAAAGCAGAGGGTAGAGTGATGAGCAGTGGGGCCACAAGCCAAGGGGTACAGGAGGCCTTGAGGAGCTTGAAAAAACAAGGACACATTCTCCCTGAGAGCCTCCCAGAGGAATGCTGCTCTTCTAACACCTTGTGTTTAGCTCATAAGAACCATCTTGGACTTCTGCCTCTCAGATGTTAAGGTGATAAACTTGTATGGTTCTAATTGGTTGCAGCAGAAATAGAAAACTATAAGAGTAATCAGAAAGCTGCTTTCCATGCCCCCTGAAGGTGGTGAGTTTGCATGGGCATGTTTGCCATTGTCTTTGACACGGAACGATGCCTCAAGCGTGCTCCTGCCTCTGGCTTTCAATGGCTGACAGAAGCTTTGACTTATCTGCTCTCTGACTTTCCCTCTGGCTTGGTGTTCCAGGTTCTAGACTGAACCAATAAATGCCAGCCCACCTCTGATGACCTTAAAGTTAATCACCTCTTTCCCCTCTCAGTCACGTTTACCAAAGTGACACTATAGTACTGAGGTTTAAACTCCCAGTTCTTGGAGGCTCTCTGAAACATTCCTCAGTCTTCTCTCA
The DNA here is from genome assembly GCF_000001405.40 of Homo sapiens. NCBI lineage: Eukaryota > Metazoa > Chordata > Mammalia > Primates > Hominidae > Homo > Homo sapiens. The sequence goes on from NC_000005.10 coordinate 68,319,462, forward strand.
CCCCTGTAAAACTATTATTCTTGTCATTTTAAAATAAGGAAATCAAAAGACCACAGTAGAAGTGACTCACCAAAGGTCAGCAAGTGAACCTCGCTCATCCTCCCAAGGAGTTCAGCAGCCTTGGACTCCTTATTTAATGAGTGACTCTCCACACAAACTTCAATCTTTGAAGGAATGCGCTGCAAAATGCTGCTTAGTCCCTGAACTTGACCTTCTCATTCTCATGTCCAAATCCAGATATTTCTCTTACTTTTCCAAACACTACTGGGGCTTTAGAATCCTTCACTTCTTCCTCACTTGTGAAAGCAGCTGCAGAAACACCTACATGTTTGTTTTAGTTTCTTAGGGCTACTATAACAAAACACCTAGATCAGGTAACTTATAAACAGGATACATTTATTACTCACAATTCTGGAAACTGGGAAGTCCAAGAATGAGGCAACAGCAGAGTCAGTGTCCGGTGATCTATCCCTCTTTCTACGTGTCCTCACTTGACAGAAGGGGAAAACAGGTTTCCTCAAGCCTCTTTTATAAGGTCACTAATCCCATTCACAAGTGTGGACCCTATGACCTAATCACCTCCTAAAAGTTGCACCTCTTAATACTACCACAGTGGGGATTAGGTTTCAACGTGAATTTTGGAAATACATAAACATTCAAAACATAGTATTGCTGTATCAAACACTGCAACAAGAGAACTGCAAAGAAATGCAACCCTTAACCCTTGGGCGTTCACAATTTAAAACATGGACAAGATAGGTCACTGAGCCTAAAATAAACATTCAATGGTGAATAGACAGGAAAGAATTTACCCATTTAGGTCATGGATAAGTGCACAAAGGGCAGGGAGCCAGGCTAAGTGAATAGCTGGGGTGGAGAAGGAGGGAGGAGGACCTCAAAGTCCCAAGTCCAGATAAGAAGAAGTAAGGAACTAATCTCCAGTGGTCAGTGCTGGGTACAGTTTTGTGGAGGGAGTGGCATTTCAGGGACATCAATGAACACCTTCTGAGGGGGCAGTAAGTAAGAGAAGCTCTATTCCAGACACCTCAAATTCAGTGGGTCCCCAGGAGGACAGCCTAGAGTAGAGAGGTGCTGGCCTGAAAAGCTTCAGAGCAGAGCAAGTCAGCAGATGCTATGTGCTGCTAATAGGAGCCCTACAGACAGCCCTCTCCAGGAGAAACACAATCAAGTTCCAGCTGTATCAGCTATTATGGCTGTTTTTCAGCCAATTGCACCTAGAGTGAGCTGGAAAACGTACCAATTAGCTATTTTGATTTGACAACACTCAGGAAAACAACCTGAGTGAGCTCCGTGTATCTCCAATCCCAACTTGTCGTTTTCCTCATCTAGATAAGTAGAGAGATGACAGGGCTGCAGGAAGCCTCATCATCCTCAGGCCTGTAAATCCACACATTCTTACCACGAAGACGCTAAGAGGACCATGCCAAGACCTGAACAATTCATCAGAAGAAATCCACAGGCTGTCCTCTTGCCCACCTTCAAAGAAACAGGGCTAGAAGGGGGACTATTTCTGCATATCTGAACACAGGAAAGCTAATGAAAATATTATTGAAACAAATCCTTTTTTAATAGCAGCATTAATCTGGAAGCTTCATTCTCTCTCTCTCTCTCTCTCTCTCTCTCTCTCTCACACACACACACACACACACACACACACACACCCTTGTTCCCTCCCTCTTACTTCACAGGAACCACAACTCATCTAGTGTCTTTTTCTAGGCATGGTGAACTGGAATGCAGCTTCGGGGTTGGTGTAGTTAGCCTCCCGAAAGCTCCCTTGTCAGAGATCTCTCTTTGCCCTATCTGCTTGCTTGCTCTCCCTCCCTCCCTCCCTTCCTTCTTGCCTTCCTTCTTTCCTTCCTTCCTCCCTGTCTCTTTCCTTATTTTCTTTCCTCCCCTCCCTTCCCTTCCTTCCCTTTCTTTCTTTTTTTGAGACAGGGTTTTGCTCTGTTGCCCAGACTGGAGTGCAGTGGTGTGATCATGGCTTACTGAAGTCTCGATTGACCTCCTGGCTCAAGTGATCCTCCTGCCTCAGCCTCCCAATTAGCTGGGATTGCAGGCATGTACCACCATGCTTGACTAATTTTTTACTTTTTTGTAGAGATGGGGTCTTCCTATGTTGCCTAGGCTGGTCTCAAACTCCTAGGTTCAAGTGATCCTCCTGCCTTGGCCTCCTAAAGTGCTGGGATTACAGGCATGAGCCACTGCTCCCAGCCCTGCTTTCTTTTAAATTACATTTTTTTCTTATCAAAGTAATACATGAATATAATTTAAAAAGTGAAATGATAATGGATAAGATGCATCAAATGCTTCCTATGTGCCAGACGCCGAACTAAATGTTTTACAAGGATAGTCTCAGTTAATTCTCAGCACACCCTATGAGTTGAGTACTATCTGCGTCATCCCCACTATATTGATGTTAAAACTGACTGAGGCACACAGAGCGCATCAGTAACTTTCTTAAGGTCACGAAGTTACTAAGTTAGTAAGTAGTGGCATTAGAATTTCAACTGTAGCAGTTTTTCTTGGGTGTAGCAGCACACACCTGTGGTTCTAGCTACTCGAGAGGCTGAGATGGAAGGATCATTTGAGCCCAGGAGTTCTAGGTTGTAGTACACTAAGATCACATCTGCGAATAGCCACTGCACTCTAGCCTGGAAAAAAAGTGCAAACAAGTTTCTACCAAAAAAAAAAAAAAAAAGACATGGTATTATGATATTCTCCTTCAAGAAAGTTTATAATAAAACTATGGATTCCAAGTGCACACACACATACACACACGCACACACCCTTCACTGTCCCACTCTTCAGAGGCAGCTACTTTCAATTTTCTGAGGTGTATCTTTGGTATGTACCACTCTAGTCCTAAACAATATTCATATACTAATATATCTTGGTTTATAATTTTGGCATAATCTATTTAGTTCTTCTTATGGTAAATGAGCATGTTAGCTCTCATATCCTTCACTATAATTATCACCACAACTTTTTGTTAAATTCATAATCAGTGTTTTTATTATTTTCGATGATGGCTCATTTCTAAGTTAAGCGATGTATACTGTCTACATTTCCCATCTATAAGCTTTTGTTTTTCCTGGACTTTTGTTACCTAATTTTGATTTGCTTAGGTTATTATTTTTTTAATCTATGGCATGTCTTCCTATCGCTATGTACAATGGCTTTCAGTAGAACTTTTTACATCTTCAAACTCATCAGATAACTGTGTTTTAATATCTTTTTCTGAGGACATTCCTCCCAAATCCCTCTGTTCTGCTCCACTTGGGGCTGATAGGTCCTTTTCTGTTTTGAGACAGGGTCTCACTCTGTTGCCCAGGCTTCAGTGTAGTGGAACGACCTTGGCTCACCGCAGCCTTGACCTCTGGGCTCAAGAGGTCCTCTGATTGTTCTTTATTCTTGTTGCACAGCTGTTGTTTGGGGACTTCCCTTTGCCATCATCCTGGGATTTCCCTTTACCTCCTTCCTGTGTGATCTCCGGTTTCCTAAAATCCCGGTCTTCCTCTCTGTTAGGTTATTCCCTGTTTTGGTCAGTACATCATCCAAGAGTTTCCTGACAAAAGAGATGCGAAGGTAATTTGTTTCTCCAGAAGTAGATTTTTCTTTCTTTTTTTTTTTTTTTTAATTGATCATTCTTGGGTGTTTCTCGCAGAGGGGGATTTGGCAGGGTCACAGGACAATAGTGGAGGGAAGGTCAGCAGATAAACAAGTGAACAAAGGTCTCTGGTTTTCCTAGGCAGAGGACCCTGCGGCCTTCCGCAGTGTTTGTGTCCCTGGGTACTTGAGATTAGGGAGTGGTGATGACTCTTAAGGAGCATGCTGCCTTCAAGCATCTGTTTAACAAAGCACATCTTGCACCGCCCTTAATCCATTCAACCCTGAGTGGATATAGCACATGTTTCAGAGAGCACAGGGTTGGGGATAAGGTCACAGATCAACAGGATCCCAAGGCAGAAGAATTTTTCTTAGTACAGAACAAAATGAAAAGTCTCCCATGTCTACCTCTTTCTACACAGACACGGCAACCATCCGATTTCTCAATCTTTTCCCCACCTTTCCCCCCTTTCTATTCCACAAAACCGCCATTGTCATCATGGCCCATTCTCAATGAGCTGTTGGGTACACCGCCCAGACGGGGTGGTGGCCAGGCAGAGGGGCTCCTCACTTCCCAGTAGGGGCGGCCGGGCAGAGGCGCCCCTCACCTCCTGGACGGGGCGGCTGGCCGGGTGGGGGGCTGACCCCCCCACCTCCCTCCCGGACGAGGTGGCTGCCGGGCGGAGACGCTCCTCACTTCTCAGACGGGGTGGCTGCTGGGCGGAGGGGCTCCTCACTTCTCAGACGGGGCGGCTGCCGGGCGGAGGGGCTCCTCACTTCTCAGACGGGGCGGCCGGGCAGAGACGCTCCTCACATCCTGGATGGGGCGGCAGGGCAGAGGTGCTCCCCACATCTCAGAAGATGGGCGGCCGGGCAGAGACGCTCCTCACTTCCCAGATGGGATGGCGGCCGGGAAGAGGCGCTCCTCACTTCCTAGATGGGATGGCGGCTGGGCAGAGACGCTCCTCACTTTCCAGACTGGGCAGCCAGGCAGAGGGGCTCCTCACATCCCAGACGATGGGCGGCCAGGCAGAGACGCTCCTCACTTCCCAGACGGGGTGGCGGCCGGGCAGAGGCTGCAATCTCGGCACTTTGGGAGGCCAAGGCAGGCGTCTGGGAGGTGGAGGTTGTAGCGAGCCGAGATCACGCCACTGCACTCCAGCCTTGGCACCATTGAGCACTGAGTGAATGAGACTCCGTCTGCAATCCCGGCACCTCGGGAGGCCGAGGCTGCGGATCACTCGCGGTTAGGAGCTGGAGACCAGCCCGGCCAACACAGCGAAACCCCGTCTCCACCAAAAAAATACGAAAACCAGTCAGACGTGGCGGCGCGCGCCTTCAATCGCAGGCATTCCGCAGGCTGAGGCAGGAGAATCAGGCAGGGAGGTTGCAGTGAGCCGAGATGGCAGCAGTACCGTCCAGCTTCAGCTGGGCATCAGAGGGAGACCTTGGAAAGAGAGGGAGAGGGAGACCGTGGGGAGAGAGAGAGGGAGAGGGAGAGGGAGAGGAGTAGATTTTTCTAACTGCAGGATGGGGGTGGAACTCAGGTGTTTAAGTAGTTTTTATATAGCTTTTAACCACACCCTATCCCATTTTTTTTCCAGTATCCCCCGCCCCCAGTCTCCTCCTATATTTTACAATACGTGATGTTACCAATTTTGATGCCTTTCTAGCATCCCACAGATGAGTTTATTTAATTCAGTTCTTCCTCTATAGATTCCTAGTTTTTTCTTGTACTGTTTAGCTAAGTCATTCAGCAATCTTCCGTTCACTTTTTGTCTCCATATCTTGTGTTTCAGGGTTTTATTTGGCTTCTAGTGTCATGAGAAAGAAAGTGATGCTGATTTTTGTAATTCTTGTTATTAAGGGAGCGAGTTTTGAGATGAAAGTGGGCTTTGCCATTGTTACTCTGCTGCTGGTAAACCCTATGCCCTTTGATCACCGGGTGTTCTACAGAGTTGATATCAGGCAAGGTTGATCCTAAAATGACAAATGTTCTTTACTCAATTTAAATGTCGTACAAAGCCAGCTCATTATTATCTCTCTGGTCAGTTGACATCCTGAAGGCCTAGGAGTTGGGATTGTCTTATCAAATCTCAACATGCAGGCCTGCTTTTGTCTAGCTGCAAGTCCACTTTGACCCTAGTGGGATGCTCTTTTTCCATCCTTGGATGGATGCAAATCAAACTTTCAAGTGCCTAACAATCACTTAGTGCACCTATTCAAGAAGAAACCAAGGAAGGAAGGAAGGATGGAAGAGGAAGAGGAAGAAGAAGGAGAAGGAGAGAAAGAGGAAGAGGAAGTAGAAGCAGCAGCAGCAGAAGAAGCAGAAATGGATGACAGAAGAGGAAGAAGAAGAGGAGGAGGAGAAAGAGGAGAAGGAGGAAGAGGAGGAGGAAGAGGAGAAGGAGAAAGAGGAAGAGGAGGAAGAAGAAGAGGAGGAGCAAGAGGAGGAGGAAGAGGAGGAAGAGGAAGAAGAAGAAGAAGAAGAAGAAGAGGAAGAAAAAGAAGAAGAAGAGAAGGAGAAAGAAAAAAGAAGAAGAAAAAGAAGAAATCAATTCCCAGGGCTTCTGAATCAGTAGAATTCAGGCATTTACATTTTTTAAAGTGCCTAAGCAAGTGGTCCTCAGACTTCACTTTGATCAACACTTCTGACAATTTTACTCACATGCAAATAATGGGGTGCTGCACTTTCTCTCTGCAACCCTGTCAGTCCTCCCTTTTGCTTTACTTCCTATGTGATAAAAAAAAAAAAAAAAAAAAAAAAAACTAAAGTTATTGCTTAATGATAACATGGTGGTTTACTTGTAAAATAGTCACTTGTCAGGTGTGGTAGCTTATGCCTGTAATCCCAGCACTTTGGGAGGCTGAGGCAGAAGGATGACTTGAGGTCAGGAGTTTGAGACCAGCCTGGCTAACATGGTGAAACCCCATCTCTACTAAAAATACAAAAATTAGCTTGGTGTGGTGGTACACGCCTGTAATCCCAGCTAATTGGGAGGCTGAGGCACGAGAATCACTTGAACTTCGGAGGCAGAGGCTGCAGCGAGCTGAGGCCATACCACTGCACTCCAGCCAGGGAGAGAGAGCAAGACTCTGTCTCAAAAAAAAAAAAAAAAAAAATCACTTGTCAGTCTTGTTCTATAACCATGTTACAATTTGTTCTTATATACAATTATTATTTTTAATCTGTGGCTTGACTCTATTGCCCAATATTTCCAATGAACACTTGAGAAGTTCTGGAAACAGTAATAAATAAACATTGATTGAGCACTTAACTATATGCCAGGCATTATTCTCAGTGCTTTAACATGACTCACTTAATTTCACAGCCCTACAAGGTAGGTACTATTATTATTCTGATTTTATAGGTAAGGAAATTGATGGTTAGAGGGTTAAACAACTTAGCCAGATCACACAGCTAGTAAGATGAAGAGCTGGAAGTGACTGAGTTATAAAGAGCTGCAGGACGTTTTGGCAATGATCAAGGAGTGGAGGAAGGCACCAGATCCAAGCAGAAATGCCTCATCAACTTCTGCAGGCAGTCGGCTTCCTGACCACCACACAGGTGTTCCCTGGCAAAACAGGTGGCCAGGACTGGGGGCAACGCAGGAAGTGCTAGTAGCAGTGGCTGATAGAAATGCTGAAACAATACACGTAGATCAAATCTGGGACAATTATGATGGTGTGAGACACCCATTACTGAATCTGCACTGAGTGCCTCTGAGCTCCCTTTCAGTGGGAGTGTAAGGATCCCAGCAGTTGAAGCTACCTAAACATAAGGCTATCAGTTTCAAAAGGGTGGTGGAAATGGCAACAAAAACAAAAGAAATGACAGGTCAGAGTCTAGTCATGGGACAGTAATAATGCTTCCAGCAAAGCCAATCTTTTGAGAAATAAAATAGCCTCTTTCCAAGCCTCTCTTTCCCCATTTGTAAAATGAAGATAATATAGTGTACCTAATTAACAGCTTGTAAGGATTAAATAAGCTGATATGTAAATAGTGTACCATAGTACCAGACACTAAATAAGTGTTCAAGGAATGTTAATTATTCTTAAATCTCTTTGCACATTCAAGTCTAATGTGCATAAGAGCCGAAAATATAAGTAACATTTTTGAATTTTATTTTTGTAATTTGGTCTTCACTTTAACCAACTACTGGACTTTTTCTCTCTAAAAATAAAAACATCTTAATTTATAATAAAACAAATAACCAAATCAGGCTCCTATAACCACTGCAGCCTGTAGGAATCTCTTTTGGCCTTCCAGTAGTATACTTCATCCACATTATTCACTGGAAACTTACTTAACAACGGGAGGCCACATACTTGCCCTTCTGAACAAATGCCTCTTCCCAAACACTGCCTCTCCCTTGCCCTCATCTTGATTTTGAGATCCTTAGGGACCTTAGATAATGTTTTTTTTTTTAATTTCTTCTGAATGTCTCCAGCACAAGTAGGTACCAAATATTGTTTTGTGATGAATAAGTAGTGTCACTCTGAGAATATTCTTGTTCAATAGAAAAAAGTAAGTGCAAGCACTAGTCATTTTATTAAGACCTCTCCTTTCTAGTAACCCAAGCTGGACCTCGGTCTCTGTCCTTCCCTGTGCACCAGAAGGTCCCTTGGGATCAGTTAGCACAAATTTAGCAGAGTCCTCTCATATCAGGCTGAATCCACAGGAGACTTTCTCTTCTGGCTGCCTTCCGCTAGTCCAGACCCCCACACTTGACCTCTGTTGCAGTGCAAAAGGCTCAGTACAGTTGATCCTCATGGTCTAGGTCATCTTTTCTCTAGGCTGGAGGGTCCCTGCCCAATCTGCTTCCAATGGCACAACTTACACCAATCCACGAGCTTGTCCTAAAAACCAGAAGTGGCTAAAATCTAAGCTTCTCACAAACTAACCCCAAACCACCTCTACCACCTCTCTCCCACTTCTCTCCTGCATGAACCCAATGCTTCCGCCAGAAGGGCTTGTTTATTGCATCCCCTTCTCATATGAACATGAGACACTTGCATCCTGGCCTTCCTGAAATGCTCTTAACAAGCACCTCTCCTCCTCCCTCTATGTTAAGACTCTGGACAAACCCCACTGCCTTTAATTCACAGTGATCTTTCCTCCTGTAATTTGCCAGTTACCATTCATATTTACGATATGCTACCTGACTTGGGCAGTTGTGTTTTTATCTGCAGATCTATTGTTTCCTCCTAACTATACTATTTGGGTGCTTGCTCTATGCCACTCGCTTTGTAAATGCTTTATATGGATTAATTCTCACAACAAACCTATGAAGAAGGTCTTGTCATTAGTCCCACATTAAGTTGGGAAGCTAGGACAGAGAAAGGTAAGTTGGTCGTTTGAGTGTAGTAAGTGGTGGAGCTGGTAGATATAATGCCCATATGTTCAACCACTTTGCTGTGCCCTGCACATGGTAGCCATGCAAGAAATATTTGTTCAACTGCTTCCACACTGTTGGTGGGAATGTAAATTACTTCAACCTTTGTGGAAAACAACATGATGATTCCTCAAAGACCTAAAACAGAATTACCATTTGACCCAGTGATCCCATTATTTGGTATATACCCAAAGGAATATAAATAATTTTATCATAAAGACACATGCACATGTATGTTCATTGCAGCACTATCCACAATGGCAAACACATGGAATCAACCTAAATGTCCATCAATGGCAGATTTGATAAAGAAAATATGGTACATATGCACCATGGAATACTCTGCAGCCATCAAAAATGAATGAGATCATGTCTTTTGTAGGAATATGGGTGGAGCTGGAGGCCATCATTCTTAGCAAACTAATGCGAGAACAGAAAACCAAATACCACATGTTCTCACTTATGAGCGGGAGCTAAATGATGAGAACACATGGGTACATAGAGGGGAACAACACACATTGGGACCTTTCAGAGGGCGGAGGGTAGGAGGAGGGAGGGGATTAGGAAAAATAACTGATGGGTACTAGGCTTAACACCTGGGTGATGAAATAATCTGTACAACAAACCCCCATGGCATTAGTTTACCTGTATAACAAACCTGCACATGTATCCCTGAACTAAAAATAAAAGTTAAATTAAAAAAGGAAACCTTTGTTTATCAATTGTTGATTTCCCCACCCCTCTTTTGACCCAGTCTTGCCTATACTACCTTCTCAAATAGAGCCCAGCTTGGGAAGATAATCAAACATCTTTATTATGTTGACCTCCTTGGGAGGAAAGAGTTCAATAAAAACAGTTGAAACTGTTTAATTTTGATTCTGTGTTTTATCACTATGGTTTGTGATTCTATTCTGATATTCTTTGTTGACAGAACCCTCAGATATACAGCCTATTGCAAAGTTATTATTTTTGATATCAGAAGGGTTTCTATTTGAAACATTGTCTATTTACATTCTTTAGCTTAAAATAGTCCGAAGTGTCATTATTATGTCTTCATGTTTCTAATACAATTTTATGATGTTATATCAATATTGACAAGTCCCCACGAAGTATTTTTGCCCTCTCTGGCTTTTGGGAAAGTGTATTATGATAATGACTGAGATCATATTTATAAATGATGCCAGTATATCTTTCCTCAATATGAGAAGGAAGATAGCGTGTGCATGGAATTAAGTGCTTGGCATTGCGCAAGAATAATCTGCCCACATTACAGCAATAGTTCTCACGCTTTCTCCTCACAACTTTCTCATTACAGTGTCATGGTTCAACCCACAACTTCTGATTTTATACTGGCCCCCAGAAGAAAACCATGCCCCTAGTCAAGGCCATTCCTGTGGGACTATAGGACCCAGAATATGTTATACTACACAAGCTCCTTCATTTTCTCCTCGCATTATTATTGAGATAAATCCTAGTTACAGTAAATAATATCAAGGACAATATGCAGGAGGAAATTCATAAAAACTCATTCTGACAGTGTGTAAAAGGGAAGGAGAGTGGTTTGCTGCCAGTCATGGTCATATCACAACTCTATTGCCTGCTGTGTGTTCATGAATTTATAGTAAAGCCAAGGAAAGTATAGAGGGTGGTTTATTTGCGTATTTTTGAAAGCAAACATACCAGAACTTGTACATTTATATCAATGTGTTCTTAAAAGCAGTCACATTATCAACTTGAGCACTAATCCCAAAATCTTATCATTGCTTATATATTTGTTACCTCTTTTTCAAAATTGCCATCAGGATAGTGTATAATAATGTATCAAGCACATTGGGGCATTTTGAGAAAAACAGTGGGTGTTATAATAAATTACATTGAGATAATCATAAAAAACCCAGACTGGGTGGCAAGGATGGGTGGACACTTTGCTCTACAGTCATGTAAGAAAATCAGTTTTCTTCCTTTTTTGACCAGAAATGTTGTGATTCAGTTGGTAGCTTCTTTTATGAGACTTGACTTGTAATTACCTTTGGTTATCTTCAAAATAAAACTTTTCTCAAAAGGTGATTTCTCTGCTCTGATGATAGTCAAAAGAATGTGCTTTTGGTTTTAATATAATTCCAGAAATATTTTCATCAAAAGCAGCATCTTTGTTATAACATCAGTTCCAAAGGGAAAGCATTCTGGCTGCACCTGGTCTATTGTACATGACTTATACACACACATACACACACACACACACACACATGTGACACATATCCTGGGCTTGAACACCTCCAGGCTTATTTTGAGCCAGCTGTCAGGGCCACCTCCTTGCCCTCCAGCCAACTCTCCTCCCTCTAGTGATGGTTCTAATTTCCCTTATCCCAGAGACAGCTCTTCTTTTGGCATGTAGCCTAGACATCATTGCTTCTAACTCCTCCCTGGACTTTTGCAGTACTTTCTCGCCTTTCTCTTAGTTATCACTATAGATCTTAAAGCTTTCAAACTATGAACTTGTGAGGGAGTACATACAAGGGCCAGGCCTTGCAGGCAGAGGCCAACTCCTCCATATGCAACCTGAACAAAGCTGGGCTCCCTTAGGGTCAGTCTCAGCAAGCGTTGTATCCAAAATAAAGACAAATCTGACTCCAAAAAGACCTCAAAGAGTAAAGGAGGAAAATAAAATTCTACTGTAGATGTATTGCCCAGAGAGCTCTCACATGAGAGCACCAATAGAAAGATGTATATATATGGATATCAACTGCAATATTGTTTTAGTAACTGTGACAGGCAAAATAATGGCTTCCCCAAAGAAGTTCATATTCTTATCCCCAGAACCTGTGAATGTGTTATGTTACATGACAAAGAGGAGATACAGCTGCTGGGGGAATGAAGCTTACCAAATCAGCTGACCTTAAAAGAGGAAGATCATCTGAGTCAGCCCAATGTAACCACAATTGTCCAACTTAAAAGTGAACAAGGAAAGCAAAAGGGGAGGGTCAGAGAAAAAGATCTGATGATGGAAGTAGAGTCAGGGAGCTGTCATGCTGTTGCCTTTGAAGATGGAGGAAGGGGAGCATAGGACGAGGAATGAGAACAATCTCTAGAAGTTGGAAAAGACAAAATAAAAAGGATTTTTTCCTAGCACCTCCAGAAAGAAATGTAGCCCTGCCAATACCTTGATTTTAGCCTAGTGAGACCTATATTGGACTTTGGAACTACAGAGCTGCAACATAATAAATGTGTGCTGTTTAAGCCACTAAGGTTGTGATAATTTGTTCTGGCAGTAATGGAAAACAAATATAGTATCTTAGCCCAATAGAGGAATAGATAATATGTGTAGTATTTATTGAAGACATGCAGTATAGCAATTAAGAACGAATAAGCTAAGACGGAAAGTAAAATAGAGGTTACCAGGGGCTAGAGAAATGGAGTAATAGGGAGTTACTTTTTAGTGGATACAGGGTTTCTGTTTAGGGGAAGTGAAAGTTCTCAAAGTAGATAGTGGTGATGATTACATAATGTGAATGCCTATAATGCCGCTGAAATGTACACTTAAAATGATTAAAATGATAAACTTTATGTATCTTACACCATAATAAAAATGAGAAAACAAATGTGCTAGAGCCCTATTTCTTGCTACGGATAAATATTAAAAGTATAAATTATAGAATGGTAATTGAGCTCCACGGTGTTGTTGACACTGCTGGCCCATGGACCATACTTGCAGTAAAGAGGCTTGACAAAGTGAGGGTTGGGTAAGTATGGGAAGGGCTCATAGGAGCCTAAAATTTCAATTTCATATATTTTCCCTGTATTCCTTCTCACGCACATCATCTGCCACTCAGTGACCTGAACAAATACCCATTGTGGCCTCTCAGTCTCTGATTTTCATCACTTCCTTGAAACTTACTTTCTATACTTGCAAATTAAATCTAAACATAGTGTTAGGCTCTGTATCAAAGGGAAGCAGATGTTATCAATAGAACATTTACCGTAATAAACTCAGGTTGTCAGGAGGTTAGATTTTATATTCTGATGATATTTATAATGCTGCATCTAAAAAGAAAAGAATTGAAAAGGTGAAAATTATTGCATTCAATAGCATATTTATTAGTATTTTTATAACAGTTAACTGCCATTCATGTAGAGGTGTTATTAAAATAATCTATTTGCCCCATCACTGTTCTTTGCACTAAAGCTCTAAGAGAAGAATTTCTTGTTTCCGATGGTCTTAGTACTAAGCCAAAGCCAGGCCCAGAGGAAATGACTTACCAAGTGATTCAGGAAACCCCAGTAAATGGTAACTCATTTCCTCATCTCAACCAGCTGAGCTGCTGTGACCTGAAGCTGTTGGCCATTTCTGTCCAAAGGATGAAATTTACAGGAGGACAGATTTCACCTCACCATAAGGAAAAGTTCTGAAACAATGGCTTCTATATTAATGTAGATACTATTATTATCCCCATTTTAGAGATGAAAAAAACCAAGGCACAGAGAGGTTTAAGAAACTTTCCCAGGGCCACAGAGCTAGTGTCAGGAAGTATATGTCCAAAGTCCACATGCTTACTGACCACAGTGGAATAGATTGTATTTTAGTTTGGGTTCCCTCAAAGTTAGAGGCTGAGGTAAGGGCTTGAATGCAACCTACTTATTTGGGAGGTGACCCCAAGTAATGAAAAAGAGGGGACAGGGGGAATAAGACAGGAAAAAAAGAGAAGCCAGGTAAGCATGCATTATCCAGAGACCTCTGAGAATCTTGCAGGAAGCCTCCTGGAATCAACCCCCTTAGGGGAGGTAGACTGCCACACTGCCTCAAAGCCCACAGATGGACGGTTTACTTGAGGGCTACACTTGCATAGTAAGCAGTTTGGGAGAAGGTCTTAGGCTGATGTAGACATAGTTGGGGCACCCAGCAGCTGATGTGAGACATTATCAGCTCAAAGTGAGTCTGGTCTCGGCTGTGACTGAAATCCAAGGTGCGCTGAGGTGATGTGCTGGGGCACTAGCAATACCTGCTACAGATGGCCTCTGGAAGAGCAGCATTCAAGGGTGAAAGACAGTAGTGGAGAATGTTGCCAAGAAAACTGGAGCATGTAGGCTAGAGAATTTCTTCACATAAAATTCTATAATTCTCTAAGTAAAAGTACATAGGGACCATCGCATCTTGTCAACTAATAAATATATTGTTAATATCATAATTATCAGGAATAATGAGAAATATAATTTAAGGAAATACTGTCAATAGCATCCTACTCTTTTCATCCAAGTTAGACATGAGCCCAAGTTAGCAGTACTTAAAAGGAAGAACTGAATTCTTTTGAAATGAGTGTTAAGGTATTCCAGCTTTGATCAGTTGCATGGGCAAAGCTGAAGACTCTTCACCAGAGGTTAGCATGACTAAGAAAGTGAGATTGGAAATCTTCTAATTACAATTTCCAGGTCAACAATACATATTCACACAGGAATATGTATATATGTTCCCTTGCTAAACAAAAGCAATCAGGTAATAATGGGTTTTTTGGAAACCTGAACCTAATATTCTGTGCCATCCATCTTAGAGATCTTGCTGAATTCCTGAGTTAGTATTTGAGGGATACTTGGCAAAGACTCAGTTTTATCCACTGACTCACAGTTGTGGTCAAAGTTGAAGAAGGGCATGAGTCTGCCGCCTACAGGCTACTGGCCATTTCTAAGTTTGGAGGTTCTGTTTGTTCAATTCAGGGCACTCTGAGGAAACATGTGTTAGGATGTGTGGGGAGTGGAGGTCAGCCCCCCACTGACCAGGGAGCTGGTCAGAATTTGGCACAGTTGGTTAAAATAAGGAGCTGAGGTCAACTTTGGTGGTTTGACCCCTCCGTGGACCTTTTATCTTGTAATTCTCCCACCACAGACTCTAACCTCTTTCCAAGAAGTGGTCTCCTATATGCCTCCTTTTGGGTTCAGACAGGGAACAAGAGAGACACTGTGGATGAGTCAATGAACATTCATCATCCCTTCTTGGGGAAACCTCAAAACCTTTGATCTTTTTCCCAAAGGCCCAAACTAATGGTTGGAAAATGCCTAAAGGCAAATCAATGCCTAGAGAGAGTTTTATAGTGGAATAAGGGCAGCGCCAGTTTCTCTGTATTGTTTTCTTTTCTTTTTTTAGAGATGGGGTCTTGCCCTGTCACCCACTCTGGAGGGCAGTGGTGTGATCATGACTCACTGTAGCCTCCATCTCCCCGGCTCAAGCAATCCCCTGCTGACCTCAGCCTCCTGAGTAGCTGGGACCACAGGCACATGCCACCACACCCACTAATTTTTAAAATTTTTTTGTTTTTTTTTTTTTGGTAGAGATGAGGTCTCACTATGTTGCCCAGGCTGGCCTCCAACTCCTGAGCTCAAGAAATCCTCCTGCCTTGGCCTCCCAAAGTGCTCAGATTACAGGCGTGAGCCACCACATCCAGCCTCTTTATTGTTTTTACTTGCAGGTCAAGATAATCAATATTCATTTTCCCTTTGTTTTATTTTTGATTACTGGTGAATTTTCCCTTGAGTGATTTGGTGATTAAAATAAAACGAGCAGTTTCAAGTCCCTGCTGCTGACTGTTAACACACTCTTCCCTCTCAGGAAATGGAAAAGAGGAATGTAATTATACTTCAATAGGGGAACACTCATATAGAATATAGAAGAATTATAGCCTCTGGGGCAACCAAATGTGTTGAGGACCCCACTCTGATATGCAGAAGTCTTGCTTTCCATGGGAAGGAGTCCCTGAGAAGAAAAAAGATAATTCTAGATTGTCACATGAGTCAGCAGAAAAGGCTATGATTATGAGGACCCTTAATATTGCAAAGGACAAAACATACTTCATATTAGCTAAAAAACAAAAAAAGGGAATATCTTTATGACATCAGTGAGAGATTCAAAGGGTCATGCAGCCTTTGGGTTCAAGTATATCCAAGGATTCAAATGAGGTCAACAGGATTCTGTTTTCTTTATCCCTTGGTTCTGCTTGCTTCTGAATGGCTTCATTTTCAGATAGGCCCTCTCCTCACGGAGGCAAGATGGCCACTGGAAGTTCCACGCTCAAAATGTCTTTACTGCTTGCAGTGTCAGAGAACAAAAGAGGGGGAGTCTTTCCTGAGAGCTCTGGAAAGTCTCAGGAAGCCCTTTTATTGTGCTGGTATGTTAGTCAGAGTCGCTGGTTATGTTGTGGGTACGATGAATCCCAAATCCAAGGCTTACCACTCCAGCTTATTTCTCACTCATGTGACATGCCCAATGTGTCCTTGGTCATTAGGGACCCGGAATGATGAACACTCCACCATTTATAGTTCCACCATCTGGAACTTAATATTTTCTTTATTGCTGTAGTAGAGGAAGAAAAAGACTGTAGAATTAGGCATGGATTTTCACTGCTTCAGTCCAGAAGTGATCCATAGCACTTCCTCTTACATTTTATTGGCCACATCTAGCGACACGGCAAGATGACTAGGAATGGGAGGGAGGATTTAGAATGTTAGACGAGGACTACTGTCTCTGCCACAGCTGACTTGGGTCATACGTTCATCTTTAGGTGAGGACTGTGGCCAGAGGATTGAATGCTTTGATTGTAAGTCCTAAGTCATTTGCTATCCCCAGGACTGGTGGGGGAAGCACAACTTAACCACTTTAGACTTACCAATAGCCCCAGGACTAGACCTGAGGCTGATAATATTTTTGGAGCAAACTAAGCAATCAGATGTTTAAAGCCTCAGAAAAAGTTGTTCAGCCATGTTTCCCCCAAATGAAATTTCCATCTAAGGTAGAGTTTGGTGAACTGGTCACAGAGTGATTACTGAGGACACAGAGCAAGTGTCAGCTGAAAAGGAAAGGACATTAGGATCCCTGGAAGCTGATTTAGACTACATCCCTGGGAAGGCTGCCAAGGGAGGCTGATCATCATCATTTATCAATGACCAGGAGGAGACAGTTCAAGGGTGGTGCTGCCCTAAGTCCAGCATGTGACCAGGACTACTTTCAGCAATGGTCCTATACAAACTCTGCCTCATGGAAGAAGGATGAATGTGTATGGTATACAAAATAATGGCCCCCAAATGTGTCTACCATCTAATCCCCAGGACCTATGAATATGTTAGGTTACATGGCAAGATGAATTAAGGTTGCAGATGGAATTAGGGATGCTAATCTGCTGATCTTGAGATGGAAGGAGTATCCTGGACTAGCCAGGTGAAATCAATGTAATCACAAGGTTCTTTATAAATGGAAGAGAGAGAATAAGAGAGATGGCAGCATAGGGCCTCAGCCTCACCTTGCTAGCTTTGAAATGGAGGAAGGGGCCATGAGCTATGGAATGTAGGTGGTCTCTAGAAGCTAGAAAAGACAAGAAACTAGATTCTTCCTTAGAGTCTCCAGAAGGAATGCAACTCTGCCGAAGCCTTGATTTTAGCTGAGTCTTTTGTGAGGCTTCTGATCTCCAGAAATATAAGATAATAAATCTATGTTTTATTAGCCACTAAAGCTAATAAAGCCACTAAAGTTATTTTAATTTTCACTACAGCAATAGGAAATTAACACACTGTGGCTCAGGCTTCTAGCACCCTTGCCCCAGGAAGCACAGGCACAGAGGTGTTTAGATATGACTGAGCCCTTCAGGATGAGGACTGGGCTGGAGAGACCTCCCAGAGATAAAAGGGGACACTGGCCAGACAAGGCAGGCAGATGCCATGGTTCCTGTGATGGGGGAGTAGACAAAACATGAAGAAGGTGCCAGAGAACAAGGCCTTCTTGATCCCTTGTGTCCTTCCTGGAGTCAAGGCAGCCCAGAGTTTGTGTATCATTTGATTGCCCTTCTCGCCTGAAACATAGATGTTGAATTAGAACATACTAAAACCAAAGCAAAACACAGACAAATAACTGGATATTTTTTCACCAGGCCAAGTTGGGTGGGGCACTGTAAGAACTCAAACTTTACAGGCCGAGAAGTCAGGGCCAAACCCACAGACCTAGTAAATTAGCCCAAGTTGAGAGGCATGCACACAGCCTGGACTTCAGAATGGAGATTTTTCTAACAATCTTCACAGGAGTTGACTCACGGTATGCTCCATATCATGGTCGTATAGAAGGAGACAGTTAGGAGAACAGTACTCCTTTAAGGATAATTTATGAGCTTGCATAAATACCCATATACACACGGACAGAGAAAGCCAAAACTTTCTAATGTCTTCAATTACCTTGTCTGCCAAGAAGAAGGGAACACTAGCAGGAAAGGCTTGCCTCCTTAGAATCAAATGGATTCCCCACTCCCATCTTTGGTGTAATGCTACACATGTGCAGGTAGCATACCAATAGGGTCAGAAGAATGAGGCTTCGATCATTGGTAATGGGACCCACAACTTGCCATTGCTCTCAGAAGCATAGCAAGTGAATGCTGTGATCCTTTCATAGAAACTTGTAGCCCTCATACTGTGAGCTAATGGTCCCAGTCTTGTTCTTAGGTGACCATATGTTCACATTAAGCTTGAACTTTAGTGCTCCCATATCTATTAGTTATCAGCATCCAAGTCACTCAGAGCAGACAAACCACTCCAACATTTGGATTGAATTAACACCCTTACTGGCAAACCACTTACAGAGGGAATCAATCTCCCTTCAGAGGCCAAAGTATTCTCAGTGCCCCTTCTAGGAACAGCTCTGCTTTCAGACAGCTGAGGCTGAGAACTGCTGAGATGCTTGGCCACCCTGTCAAGCATCCACTGTCGGTAGTTTGTGGGCATGAGAAGGCTTCATGACTCCAGGGCTTTGGTTACTAGACTTTGCCAAGTGCTCACTTGTCAAGCTAAGGCATGAGGTAAAGGAAACCCACATCTATTGAGCATCGATTTGCCAGGTGCACATCTATTATCGAATTCAATCACCACAGCAACACTATGAAGTTGACACTGTTATTCTTAATTCAGAACCTGGGAACTTGAAAAGCTCCAGCCTAATATGGTTAACTTGCCCAAGTTGCACAGCTAGCAAGCAGGAGAGCTCACGCCTTTTCAGGATCCCCTTGGGCGTCCTAATTGGTCACATACTAAAGTCTCATTTTATAAATTCCCATCCCTCTTGCTGATTTTTTGTATGATCTGAATAAACTTTCTTTCCATCTCTGGGATGCAATTTTTCTAAAAATTGATATGAGAGAAGGCAAGAGTATGAATTTTCATCGGGCACTTCAAAGAGAACTGATATATAGATTCTAGTGTGGTCAGGTAGAATGAGCTGTGAATATGGTTTCAGAACACTCGTATGTGTCTCAGCTCTTCTCCTTATAAATTTTAAGGGCAAACCATTTAACTTTGCTAATCCTTAACATGATAATTTTTTAAATGAGGAAAATAATACCCTATTATATACTATAGGACTATTATAAGGATCAAATGGAATGGCAGATACAGAATTGCTATTTACCTGTAGTATTTTTAGCTCACAGGAGCAGGAATATAGGCATCAAAATTCTGTATCATTATTTTTGAAATCATACAGACCAAAAGTCTATACTTTTCCTATGGTTCATCTTTAGACATTCTATTACCTTTGGAAATGAATTCTAGAGTGGTTATCATAATATTAGCTACCATTTATTGAGAGCCTCCCCTGCATGCATTATTTCTAATCTTCACATCTCACTCTTTCAAGCAGATATTACCCACAATTAAATCTTAAGAAACTGAGACCCAGAGGTTAAGTAACCTGCTCAGGGAATTGGCAGAAGCAGGATGGGTCACCAGGTATGGCTAATCCAAACTCTGTGTTCTCTATCTCACATTTTGTAGAAAAAAAATACTAAGAGGTTATTAATTTATAATATAATTTATTTATTGCTATTCATGTATACATTTACTAATTTATATAGAACAAATAGTTAGCCTGTGGGTCTGTCACAAAGAGTTTGCACCAATTCCTAGGAACTGTTGTATTTACTGCTGATTCTTCATTTCTGCTCTCTCCTTTCTTCTTTTTTCTTTTTTAACTTGGACACAGAGACAAACGTTACATACAGGATGACATGGATCAGTTCCTATCAAAACCAACACATCCATGAGGTGGTCTGTGCTTGTGTTCCCACTGAAACTTGCCCTGGTCAGCCCTGGTGAGGGGCTGCCTGTGCTCCACTGAGATCATGCTGGGGTACTGGGCAAAGGGCAAATTTCATGGCAGACAGGCAGCCTCATTCAATTTCATTAGTAAATTCTCCAGCTCCCAACCTCCCTACCAGGCTTCCTACTTAACCTTCATTTCAGTCTTTTGAACAAACAGCCAAGGAAGGAAAAAAATTCCAGCTAGATCACAGGCTGGAAATACAACATAGGTAGAGGACAGAATGTTTTCAGGTGGAGAGAAGCGTTGAGTCGCCTTACTCCCCAGTCCCAGACCTGTGTGATTTCAAAGGGAGAGAGCATAGCAGAGTGGTAAGAGGAGGGTGATCTGTGCTAATAGGCCTCTTGGATGCCTATCCCAACTCAGCCACTTTCACATTGTGTCTAGACAAATTCTTTAGCCTCTCTGGATGTTTATCATCTCTAATAAGGAAATAACCTCATCAAGTGATTGTGAGGATTAACTGACCCATGTGAAAGCCCCAACACAGAGGCTGACACATAGAAAGCATTTAATAAATGCTGCTATTAGTAGCTAGTAGATGGAGTGGTTGGTTGGAGGATGGACCAGAAGCATCATATTCCCATAGAATGGTCCTGGTATGACCCAGAAATGTCTTTCTTAATTGTCTGCTGAAGGGCAACCAGACTGGGTGTGACTCATATTCGAGGTTCCCCCCAGGAATGGTATCTACTGCCCTGCATGCAATTTCTGTTTAACACATTGTTTTCTCAAACTGTGGTGTAAGGGCCTTCTGAATAACAATCACCTTGGGTGCCTTTAAAAATACACGTAGCTATACTCCACCCAGATCTACAGACCCAGCATCTCTTGGGTAGGGGGTGGGTGGGAATTTACCTCCTACCTTTGTCCAGAGTCTAATGAGATTAACCAGGCTGAGGATGGGCAAGAAGAATGAGGGAATGAGACTCCAGAGCAGTGGTGTAGCTGAGCAGACCTCTGAATGCCTTCTCCACCTCCCAGGAGTGAACTCCTGCCACTGAATTCCCAAGGACAGAGTGAGTCCATGGTCTGCAAGTTTTTTCCCCCACAGAAGAGAATCCTGGAGGATAGCGTACTTTCTGACAAAAAGAGGAATTTTTCAGGCTTTTTCTTTTTTGCTTTTCTTTTTGAGACGGAGTCTCACTCTGTCGCCCAGGCTGGAGTGCAGTGGCATGATCTTGGCTCACTGCAATCTCCGCCTCCCGGGTTCAAGCGATTCTCCTGCCTTAGCCTCCTGAGTAGCTGGGATTATAGGTGCACACCACCAAACCCAGATAATTTTTGTATTTTTAGTAGAGACGGGCTTTCACCATGTTGGCCAGGATGGTCTCGATCTCCTGACCTTGTGATCCACCCGCCTCAGCCTCCCAAAGTGCTGGGTTTACAGGTATGAGCCACCGCGCCTAGCCCAGGCTTTTTCTTAATACCCCTGAGTTATTCTAATAATTTTGTTAAACAATATTTATAGGAGGCCATTGGTTTGGACTGAGCCCCTGCCCTAAACCCCACAGACCAAACTGAAATGGAGCTTCTCCTGCTGAAGTTTCGCACCACCAAGCCAAAACTAAGATCTTTATCTGACCTTCAAGAAATGAGAGAGATAATAGCCAAACCACCAAGCAGGGCAACTTTAATCTGCAAAAAGAAGTCCCCTCTGCTTTAACCTTTACAAGAAAAGTAATTTTGAAATAACGAATTTGTATTTTGTTTTGTTTCTGCTTTCCTCAGCCATTTCCTATCTACAAAACCAAACTCCTCTGCTCTGCTCATCAGAACATTCGTTCTATTTTATAGAGTGAGGTGTTGTCCAATTCTAGAATCACAAATAAAAGCCAATTTAAGATCTTTAACTTTGTTATCATTTTGTTTTTTGACAATTGTAATCAAACACTTACTATCTAAGGCTCTCCCTTAACATCGTGATGTCTTCTAGGAGCTGCAATTCCATGGACGAATAAAACACAATCCCATATCTGAAATGCTTATGGACAGGTGATCAGTTGGCAAGACAAGGTAGTCCCTATGAAAGCAATTTAGGAGAACACAGATTGCAACCAAGTTGTGATTGGCAAAAATGGCCCCAATGCAAGGTAGAATATGGTCTCTCTCCCGTGTGGTTCACCCCACGCACACTGACAACCCACTTCTTTAACATTTAAACAAGGGAAATGACGATGACCAGGCCAAGGTAAAGTCCTGGGAACCAGAGGTATGGATTTTTTTGGAAGCAGGGTGTTTTAAAGGTAATGGGCTTTGCACTAGAGAACTCTGTGTCCTTTGAAGGATGAGGGGCCATAGAAGGAAGAGGAAATGGATTGTGGACACCTCCCATAAGTCAGATACACAAACACACAGGACTCTTCCAGGAGAAGGGGTAAGGGCCAGGGAAGAGCCACTCTCCATTTTCTCCCCAGTGCCCTGGATACTGTGATGAAGAGAAAAAAAACAATGCCTCATCTTAATCCCAAATCCACTTCCAGATACTTATTTAACTTTGAAAAAAATATCCTTACCTCTTTGAGGTTCATTTTTCTCATCAACAAAATGCAGATTATATATATATTTTTTATCTTGCAGGTTAATTGTGAGTAACCAAATTGCATAATTTATATGAAAGTGCTCTGTAAACTCTAACATGCCATTCATGTTTGTTCTGAAGGAGTTTAGGAAATACCACCCCAAATATGCTGCTTTGGTGTGCTGATGACTTCAAATTGAGGGCATTTGGGGAACAGCTAGTGCAAGAAGGGGCTTTCTCTAAACTTCCCTTATCTGCTTAAAGACAGATCCTTTGGAAGAACTCAGTCGTCATGAATCCCCAACAAACCCCACTCAGCCTGCCCACTACTGCCCTTGAATCTCATCTACCACCCATTCCTCTTTCCCTCAAATCATTTACTCTTCCCTAAGTTACCTACATTCTGTCTCCCCTACAACGAGCCCATGTAGATTTCTAGATCTCATTGGGTTTTGCAAATATCCCCTTTTCTTTTCTGGGATGCCGCCATGTACATAATAAATTTGTCTGCCTGTTCTCCTGTTAATGTGATTGCTGTCAACGTATTTTATAGACGCAGTTATCAAATTCTCAGAGGGTAAAGGGAAAGTCTTTTCTCCTCTGCAGTTCTTATTATGAAAAAAATCTATTATTTAATAAACCAGAATGTATAACTCCTATTCCACATCTGATAATAAAGGTTTGAGGTGTCATTTTCATTATTGCTCACAGCTTCTAACACAATGTCATAACCCTAGTTGGATCCTCAGAATATGTTACCAGCCAATACTGATAATCCTCTCATATGCTATTCTTTTCAACACTCCAAAGAAACATTCTGCTCTGTTAATAGTTCTAGGCCAGGAGCTTGGTGTTTGAGAATACTTTCCAGAGAAGAAAATATTTCAGAAGACCTGACATCATTAAAAACCTTCTCCAATCGCCTACTCTTAGTCTCTTCAGTCAGAAGGAGCCCTACCTTGGAAGAGGTAGCTCTGAATTGGAATGGTCAGAGGAGAACAAAAATGTGTGGTCTGGGGGATGCACTGTCAGCCAAGAAACCTTTTAAGGCATCTGCTTCCAATGGAGAACCCAATCTGGGATTCTGATGCCAATCTGGGACCAGCCCTGTGATGCCTAGAGTGTGCAAATCTTGGCACTGTAGGCCCTCATCCACTTAGCTAAACAATGAAGTATCCCAGAGAAATGGGTTTTTACCTGGTTTCAGAGACTCATCGCCCCCGCCCCCCAACTCCCACCCACTGCCCACCACTTCTCCATTCATGGGGCTTGGGCCAGAAGGGGTAGGGATCTATGACAATCTGATCTGGTTCTCAACCCCCGCAGAAAAGTCCATCCGAGGTGGTGCAGCATAGTTCATTGTGCCACCTGACCCTGAATAATGAGCTCAAGCCAGCTCCTTTTCAGATCAGAATGTTCTCGAGAAAAGGCTTTCCCTTTGCCAGGGAGTGACTGGCTGCCTGACTAGAGCTAGAGATAACTCCTGGCAACTGTGAAGGCTGATGAGTCACCAGAGAGGTTTCCAACCTATTCTTATACCCTGAGAACAGCAGTGATCACTGATTTGCATCAGCACACCTCTATTTTGGGTAGGTCTTTCTTGGAGTCGGGGTTTCCTGTAGTGTGCCATGAGTTCTCGGTCTCTCTTGACATCCCCTCCTCTCAGATTTGGCAACCTGGGCCTGTTGAGTTGCCTTAGCAACACTAGTTACTGATGTCAGAAAGGGCAGGGACTCACAAACCAAGTTTTAAGTAATCACTTTCTTATTCAAGTTGCTCAGATTCTCATCAATGGGATAATAGAATTAAATGATGTTGACAACTAGGCATTATGCCTGGGGTGTAGTAAAGGCTCTATCAATGGTAGTTCCTTTTCCCTTCCCTATTATGGAGGTCAAACGTTTGAAAAAAATCCAGTGGCACTTGCACTTCTGTTCTTCTATCTGCTAATGGTGGCAGGTTGTCATAAAACGATGTGCTCAGCTGGGATTAGGCTCTTGCTATTCAAAGTATAGTCCATGGAACAGCAGCGTCTGTTGGAAATGCAGAATAGGCAGCCCTATCCCAGACCCACTGAATCCAAATCTGCATTTTAATAAGATCTTGGGTGATGTATATGAATGTTAATGTTTAGGAAGCACCAAGCTAAGCCACTTGGGTGAGTCTAACCAGAGCTCCAAAAGGAGCAACCCATGGTTACAGGAGTTGGCGCGAAACTAAGTAAAGTACCAAACACTGTGCTACTAGTGTTCCACAGGGCAAAGAAAGAAGGGCCTCTTAAGGTAACCTTCCCTCATTCATTAGGAGCCTCAGACAAGTAATATGATGCCATGCCACTTGACTGACCATCGTTGGCATAACTGATTGAATAGAACAATGAATGCCCAACCAGAGCCCTGACAGGCACCATGGATATCTGGCAGGCTCTGTGCAGCAAGAGGAGGTTGATCCATTGCACTAACGCAGCAGATAGAGTTTGAACTCGCTGAGTCATCACAGATGCCTAGAAGCCATGTCCTTGTTTTAATGACACACCTACAGAAACCACAAAACTGTTTGAAGCAGTATCAACTCAGTGAGAAAATGAACACGGGCCCAAGAAAAGATAAAGGAGAAGCATGGACTGGGAAGAAATAAAGGAAAAGGGTCAAAATGTTGTGGGCAAGATTGCCTATCTTTCTTAAAAACTGAAGATTTAATTTCCTTTTACATTACAACTGCTTTTAATTTGCAGGATGTCACTCCCATTTTCTCAATGGTTTTCCTAATTATCATTCAGCTCATAAGATGCTTTCTCACCCATGCACAGAAACTCAGCCTCATTGTGTGGGGGAAGGCACAGATCTGGCTGCTGATGTCATCAAGCAACACTCTTCAGACAACACTGTGAAGAAAGACTTACTATTGTTCAGATGTGCTAAGATTTCCCATTTTCTTCTGACTGCCTATCTCACAGGAAGACCAAGAATAGAGATTGTATATTGTGAAGTACTCTCAGCCCAGAAAAGAGAAAGCAAAATAATAAGTGTGATAATGACATTGTCATAAGAGCTGGTTTGTGTATTATTCTTCCTGGTAACCTACCTATTGCCACCAGCGGCTATCTGAGATTGGGTAGACTGTGGCTCAACAGTAAGTGAGCCTCAAGCTTCTGGTGCAAATTGTTCGCTACAGCTCACACTAGCAGAGTAACAGCTCTGAGGGGAATACACAGACATCCCTGATTCATCCTTTTGACATCTATGGAAAGATAAAAGGGGATCATGTTATTTTATGGGTGACTGGACTGGTATCAAACTTGCTGAATAACGTCTTCCTCCATCATCATTACCATGACCATCATTGCTATCATGGACAACACATGTTTTTTGAGGGTTGACTGTGCAGATAGAATTCTCATCCTCAAGGAGTTTATATTCTGGAGATCTGAATTATTTCCTAAAATATTTCCTTTATTTATAGACTAGATTGGGCAAAATTCCAGAAGGAAACAAATTATGGTCTTTAAAGTGTAGTAAAATCTATTTTCTGATAACACAGTATTTGGCTAGGCCATTTTTTGTTCATATAATTACAAGTCCACAGATAACCAAAGAAACCAAATCTCCCCTTTGAGTCTTATCAGCCTGACTTGAGGCATATGTCCTTTCCTGGGACTATCTAACTGCAGCCACATAAGCAATGTGCCTGGTAGAAGCCTACTTTCAGGAAACGGCCTCATGGTAGGGGAAGAATGAAGTTCCCAAGATGATGGAACTAGAAACACAACCTAACTACTATATCCAGACATCCACAGGAAAGGCTGTCAAGGGCTAGTTGAGATTGGTCTTTTCCTTTTCCTTTTTATCCAGTGAAATTTCATTCTTCCCTACCCTGCACGGCACCCCCTACCACAATTTCTTTTCTTTTCCTTTTTTTTTTTTTTTTTTTAAATAATAGGCTTAATTTTTAGGAAAGTTTTAAGCTTACAGAAAAACTGAAAGGAGAAAGTAGATCATTACCATTACCCCTTCTTCCCACTACACATAGTTTGTCCTCTTATTAATATCTTGCATTTGTGTGGTACACTTGTTATAGCTGATGAACCAATATCAATACGCTATTATTAACTAAAGTTCATAGTTTATATTAGGGTTTACTCTTTGTGTCGTACAGTTCTATAGGTTTGGACAAATGTCTAATGTCAGTCTTCTGCCATGACAGTATCATACTGAATAGTTTTACTGCCCTAAAAATCCCCTGGACTCTACCTGTTCATCCCACACAACCCTGGCAACCACTGATCTTTTTACTGTCTCCGTAAGTTTTACCTTTCTTAGAATATCATAGTTGGAAGCAGATAGTATGTAGTATTTTCAGACTGGCTTCTTTCACTTAGCCATATGCATTTCAGTTGCCTCCATATCCTTTTGTGGCTTGATAGCTCATTTCTTTTTATCATCGAATAACATTCCATTCATTGTGTGGATATACCAAAGATTGTTTATCCACTGACATATTAAAGGACATCCTCATTTCTTTTTTACTTCTCTGTTCTTGGATTAATCCTCAAGACTATCTTTTACTCCCACTTGGTACCTTTAATAGGCAACCATAAATTTCTTGCTTCTTTGTATTAGCATATTCAACTACTATTTCAACGTAAAAATGGCAGGGCTTACAGAGTGTTTGGTTGGCAGCTTCAGTATTCAGGTGGTAAAACTGTATTAATTGGCTCACCTGTTTACCTGGCAAGTGATACTTGAGTATGTACCTGAAGTCAGTGGAATATATTTTTAAGATGTCATGCCTGCATTTACACAATAAATTGGCTGCTGAGGCTGAGAATGATTTTGTGGCTATTCCAAGAAGTAGTAAAACTTTAACAACCTGAATTTAAAATATCTTCAGGAATGGGGTGGAAGTTTTGTCACTATCCATGAGATAAAAACAGGATATGTAACAGCAACTTAAGAGGATATTGCCCAGCAACAGGCCAATAGTGTTGGCCACATTTAGTTAGCACCAGGAAAGGTTAAATGGGGTCAGAGATGTCATATGTAGGCAATGTTGGAGATAAATTTTCAATTTAACTTATTTATCATTAAAATTTATAAAAATGGTTTTCTTGGGGGCATGTTGTGAATATTATTTTCTTCCGTAAACACCCTTCTCTCATCCACATGGCTCTTTTGTGGAGTGAGCTTCTTCAGGCATTTTTATGTGATCCTATTGCCTTGGCTGCCATTGGATTGGTCTAGAAGAGGACTCAACTCAAAATGGGTCAATTAAATACAGAGGGGAAGATTCGGTCTTTTGAGTGTGACTAGATTTGGAACAATTAAGCTTTCATACTTTTGCAGGCCATATTTTATGCCCTGGGAATGAAACAAAGCCTGTCTTTAGGATGAAAAACATAAATGTATATGGAAAATAATACGGTTTGGATATTTGTCCCCTCCAAATCTTATGTTGACATGTGACCCCCATTGTTGGAGGTAGAGCTTGATGGGAGGTATTGGGCCATGAGGGCAGATCCCTCATGAATGGCTTGGTGTCCTCCCAGTGATAATGAGTAGTTATGAGTTCACACAAGAGCTGGTTGTTTAAAAGAAACTGGCACTTCCTCCTCTCTCTCTTGCTCCCTCTCACCATGTGACACACCTACTTCCCCTATACCTTCTGCCATGAGTGGGAGCTTTCTAAGGTCCTTGCCTAAAGCAGATACTGGCAGCATGTTTCTTGTACGATCTGCAGGACCATGAGCCAAATAAACCTCTTTTCAATTACTCAGTCTCAGATATTCCTTTATAGCAACACAAAATGGACTAATACAGAAAATTGGTACTGAGGAGTGAGGAGTTGCTATAAAGATACATGAAAATGTGGAAGTGGCTTTGGAACTGGGTAATGGGCAGAGGTTGGAGGAGTTTGGTGGGCTCAGAAGACAGAAAAACAAGGGAGAGATTGGAACGTCTTAGAAAGTTTTTAAGTGGTTTTGACCAAAATGCTAATAGAAACATGGATGGTGAAGACCAAGTGGAGGAGGTATCAGATGAAAATGAGGAACTTACTGGGAACTAAAACAAAGGTCACCCTTGTTATGCCCTAGCAAAGAACTTGGCTGTATTTTATCCATGTCCTAGGGCTCTGTGGAGGGCTAGTGATGATGTGGAGGGCTAGATATGAGTGATGATTTAGGGTATCTGGTGGAAGAAATCGCTAGGCAGCAAAATATTCAAGAGGTGGCCTGGCTGCTTTTAACAACCTATGATCAGATGTGGGCAAAGGAATGACTTGAAGTTAGAACTTATAATTAAAAGAGAAGCAGAGGGTAAAAATCGGCAGCTCTCCCTGTGGTAGAGAAATAAAAACTTTGGATTATTTTCAAGAGAATAATCCAAATGGGTTGTGGGGAAAGCACAAAAGCAAGCCAAGTGCTAATATCCAAGACAATGTTTGGAAAAGGGCCTTGAAGTCATTTCAGAAATCTTTGAGGTAGCCCATCTGATCACAGGCCCAGAGGCATAGGTGGAAAGAACGGTTTCTGGGGCCAGACCTGAGGTCCTGCTGCCCTGCCCAGCCTCTGGACACTGCTCTCCATTTCCAGGCTGCTCCAGCTCCAACAGCAGCTCAAAGGGCTCCAGGTATAGCTCAGGCTGCTGCTCCAGAGGGCACAAGCCGTAAGCTTTGGCAACTTCCACATGGTGTTAAGCCTACAGGTATGCAGAATTCAAGAGTGAAGGAGGCTTGGCAGCTTCCACCCAGATTTCAGAGCATGTATGGGAAAGCCTGGGTGCCTAGGTAGAAGCCTGCTTCAGGGAAGAAGCCCTCACAGAGAGCCTCTACTAGGGCAGTGCTGAGGGGGAAATGTGAGGTTGGAGCCTCCACACAGAGTTCCCACTGGCACACTGCCTAGTGGAGCTATGGGAACAGGGCCACCACTCTCCAGTCCCCAGAATAGTAGAGCCACCTGCAGCTTGCAGCCTGAGACTGAAAAAGCTGCAGACACTCAACTCTAACCTGTGAGAGCAACCAAGGGTGCTGCACCTTGCAAAGCCACAGGGGCAGGGCTGTGCAAGGCTTTGGGGTCCCACTCCTTCCACCAGTGTGCCCACAATGTAGGACAGGGGGTCAAGTATTATATTGGAGCTTTAAGTTTTAGTGTCTGCCCTGCTGGGTTTCAGACTTGCATGAGGCCTGTTGCTCCTTTCTTTTGGCTGATTTCTCTGTTTTGGACTAAGAATGTTTACCTAATGCATATACCACCATTATATTTGGAAGTAAATAGCTTGTTTTGGATTTTTACAGGGAAAGAAATTACCTTGAGTCTTAAATGAAAAATTGGACTTTTGAGTTAATGCTGGAATGAGTTAAAATTTTGGAGGACTCTTGGGAAGGGATGGCTGTAGTTTGCAATGTGAGAAGGACATGAGATTTGGGAGGCCAGGGGCAGAATGATATGGTTTGGATATTTGTCACCTCTAAATCTCAGGTTGAAATGTGACCCCCAATGTTGGAGGTGGGGCCTAGTGGGAGGTGTTGGGTCATGGGGGCAGATCTCTCATGAATTGCTTGGTGCCGTCCCCAGAGTAATGAGTGGTAATGAGTTTACACGAGAGCTGGTTGTTTAAAGAAGCCTGGCATCTTCTCCACTCTCTCCCACTCCCTCTTGCTGTGTGACCCACCTGCTCCCTCTTTGCTTTCTGTCATGAATGGAAGCTTCATGAGGTCCTCACCTAAAGCAGATGCTAGCACCATGCTTCTTGTGTAGTCTGCAGAATCATGAGCCATGTAAATCTTTTTTCTTTAAAAGTTACCCAGTCTCTGATATTCTTTTATAGCAATGCAAAATGAATGAATACAGGGGAGGAACAGAGAGTCTTCTTCTTTTTTCTGGGTTCTGTTTCTAAACATTTTTAAAAGTGTACATTATGGTTGTCTCCTCAACATTTATTCTTCCTTTTTTTTGGGGAACTGCCTTAGTTTTCACTCTGATATCTACAGCTAGCCAAGCAGCCCTTGGAAATGAACAAATGACTACAGCTTAAATTTTTCATAATCCTATTCCCCAGGTGCAGGTGTTGGTTCAGAGACAAATGGGGCTACTAGGTAGAACCAATGAAACAGGGTGTATTACTCTATTCTCACATTGCTATAAAGAAATATCTGGGACTGGGTAGTTTATTTTTAAAAAGTTTAATTGTCTCATTGTTCTGCAAGCTGTGCAAGCATGATGCCAACATTGCTCGGTTTCTGGGAAGGCCTTAGGGAGGTTTTACTCATGGCGGAGGGTGAATCAGGAGTAGGCATGTCACACAGCAAAAGCAGGAGCAAGAGAGAGCAAGGGAGGAGGTGCCACACACTTTTAAACGACGAGATCTCATGAGAACTCACTACAGTGAAGACAGTACCAAGAGGCATGGTGCTATACCATTCATGAGGGACCACCCCCATGATCCAGTCACCTCCCACCAGGCCCCATCTCTGACAGTGGGGATTATATTTCAATATGAGATATGGGTGGGGACATACACCCAAACTATATTACAGGGTAAGATTATTGTTGGGGGATTCAAAGGAAGAGAATTCCTTTGTCTTCTAGGGCAGCCTCTGGAAAGGATCCCCCACTCCAGATGGGGATGATGTATTGGGCTCAGTTTTGTTTTTTGTTTTTTTGTTTGTTTGTTTGTTTTTGAGACGGAGTCTCACTCTGTTGCCCAGGCTGGAGTGAAGTGGCGTGATCTCGGCTCACTGCAACCTCCACCTCCCGGGTTGAAGTGATTCTCCTGCCTCAGCCTTCTGAGTAGCTGGGATTACAGGCGCCTGCCTCCATGCCCAGCTAATTTTTGTGTTTTCTGTAGAGATGGGGTTTCACCATGTTGGCCAGGATGGTCTCGAACTCCTGACCTCAGGTGATCTACTCGCCTTGGCTTCAGAAAGTGCTGGGATTACAGGCGTGAGCCACCACGCCCGGCCTGGGCTCAGTTTATATGCCATCCCAGATCTATGCACTTGCCTTGCTCATAGCCTAATAAGGCCCCAACAACAGTCTTGCTATACCCAAGATTATAGGATCCCAGTCACTGTTGCTGCCGCTGCAATTGGCAGAGATGGAGAAGTTGGCAGAGAGATTGCTGCACTTCTGTGCTGGCCTCTCTGCTCCTGTAGGGGGGCTCTGGCTTTCCCAAAAGCTGCCTGGAGAAACCTGGGGATATAACCAGGAAGTCGGTAGGAATTAGGTTCCATGGGGATGACTGTAATTAGTGGAAAACCAGGGCCAGGAAGTTTCTGGTGGATAAATTCTTTTCCATTTCTGCACCCAAACAGATGGTCCTGGGATACAATAGCTTGTGCACCCTTTCTGCAGGCCCCCTGTTTTATTTGCTTTCTCTCCTTTTCTACCTCCTTCTCCTTTCCCCTTATCCTGTGTCTTTGAATCACACTCCAGTCCCTAATAAAGTGTGAACACATCAGTTTTTGCCTCAGTCTCTGAGAACTCAGGCCAACACAGACAAGGAGGCTTTAACCTCACAAACTGTTGGTAACTCTCTTGTGACCATGGGAATGTGGAACATAGTGTAAGGATGAAGCAGGTATTGTGAAAGCCAAATAGACAGCCGAAGGACACTTGATCACATCACTGACCTGCTCAATCAAAGCAACCTAGGAGCCCTTCCTACCTCTGGTCTTCCAGCCAGGAAGAAGTCCATTATAGCTATTTTTCAGTGATTGGCCACTAAATACATTATAACTGATATCCTTCTCTAGGCTCACCTATGTTTGCACATTCTGGGAGACTCACCTCCTTCCCCCACCAATCCCCATCACAGCCTTATAATAAATTCTCTTTTTGATCTTAAGTTAACATAAGTTGGTTTCTGGTACCTGCCATCAATCTAATCCTAACCAATACGTATACCTTCTCTGCTTTTTGGTACTAATGAAACGCCTTTAGGGCCCTTTGTTGGAGTTCTTTCCTTTTCACCATTTAAAAAACCAAAATCAGTTAAAATGTATGGAGTGTATCTATAGCCATGTATAAAACACAGGTTATTCCTATTTTAACTTTAAAAACAAACACATACAATGTTCTTTAACAATTCTTGAAGTTCTCTCGAATAAAAACTAAACAACAATGCCCCCAAATAAGAATAGTTTAAGGATTAATCTCTAGCAAGCCAGCTTTCCCCCAGATGATAGATTTGTTAGTTAATCATTCTGAAGCCAGGATTAGAGCACAGTCAACAGTTTAATAAACCATTCATTTCCTACAGTATTGAGTAGTTTCGTGGGCTTTTTGTCTTATGCCATAAACAAGACTATAAATTGTATTAGTAATTGTTTTTGAAAAGGATGTCAAGACTTCCGTTCTAAGATGCTGATTTGAGCCTTCATATTTAACTGTTCCCTTTCTTCCCAAGTTCCTATGGAAAAGGCCAAAAACATATTTTAGAATATAGTTAAAAAATTATTCTGAAAAACAGTGAAGAGTGCTATCAATAGGCCAGTAACTGGAAGGAGTTTGGCAAAACAGCATACATAGGAGCAGACAGATGGAAGAACCGACTATCCCAAGATTTAGCTAGAATAGTGCAAGGAAAATCCTACCCGAACTTGAGCAGGAGTGTCTAGCAGAATCTTGAGATCTCTTAGAACAAGGGGAAAGGCTGGAGGTAATGGGATATCTGGGGCTGCAATGCAGGATGTTCCCTGAAGCAGTCTTCCCTTGGAAGCCACTCTGTTCCTCAGAGGAGATTGAGGCCCAGGTAACTTCAAGTCACCACAGTAAATGCAGGAAAAATTAAAACGTAAAAATAAAACAGGAAAAAGAAGAAACGAACAAGGGCCTGCAGAGAACCTGGCCTTCTCCAATTGCATTCACTTCCTGTGGTCATTGTTGGAAACAAGAAAACACTTTCTAATCATTTGCCAGGGTTTGCTGAGCAATTTTCTTCAATCAGGAAGCAGTTTGAGCTTTGCTGATTATATGAAAAAGGTGAAACCATACTAGACCTGCAGCTCTCAGGAACAGAGAGGGCCCTTTTGCCATCCAAAGGTTAAAGTAATAGGATCCCAGGAATTGATTGAAGTTTATTGATTTTCAATTGATGAAACATTGACAACTGCATTGGGTGGTGAAATTACACCTTTTAGCTCAGAGAATATTGTTTCTCATCCCAGATTCATTGTCGAGGTTGACAAGTAAATGGGTTTCTGGTAAACATTTATTCTGTTTTTCAATCTGGACACTAAATTGGTATGTAGCAATAATGTGAGGGTAATTATAGGAGTCTGAAGGATCTGAAGTCTTGAAAAAGTCTAAATGTTTTAGAAATCAGGCTGTTTCTTTTACTTTTGAATTGGCCTTAGACTGTTCAAGAGGATAATGCATACCAAAGGACTGGATTCAACTCAATTCAAAAAGTATGCATGTGGGTTTTCTGTGAGACAGGGTACCGTGCTTAAGTTCACTCTGGTAAAGTCATCTTTCTCATTATCTCCCTTATCCTCCTGTTTAAATACCTTTTCATTAATTCTACAAAATCCACCAGAGAGTTCGCTGCTCCCAGGGGGCCAGCCTTTCTCACTTCAGTTGAAAACAGCTCTTCACAACAGATGATTAAGTTTTATTCCCCCATGCTGTTGGAGTGGGGGTGAGGAGATAAGGAACTATTCTTCTGAACTGATTTCTTAGCATCCTACACTGTCTTCCTCCTTCATATTCATGAGTCACCCCATCCCGTCTCTCCTCAAGAATGTTCTGTAGCGAAAGTCTAATTAGAATGTACCATACAAAGAAGAGCGAGCCTTCGACCTCTGAGGCTCAGTGTCCTTATCTGTAGAATGGGGTTAATAATTCATCCCTAATGGGGTTATGTGAAAAACTAATAAGATAATGAATATCAAAACATGTTTTAAAGCTAGCGTACTGTAGAGGATTCAGAGACAAAATGAAATCACAAGAGACCTCAGACTGGGAATCTGGCAGCCCCATCTACGGTGTGACCCTAGGCAGATTACTTAACTGCTATCTTTGTCAGCCACCCTATCTGTAAGTGGGGATATAAGAGTGCCCATCCATTTCATACAATTTCTGTGAAAATTAATGAGTTACTGTGTGTTAAGTTCTTACTATAAGTTAGTATAAAATAAAAGACATTGTTATCATTTCAGCATAATTTTGTCATACACAAGAGGTTTTCTATGTCCTCTACAAAGTGATAATGTTTAATGTCAGCAATGGCCTATTTGGAGGGGGTTAGTATGTGGGAGGAAATGCAGGTCAGATACAGAATCCAGTCTCTGTATTCAGAACAGCTTTCCAGTGCCATCAGCTGCTGTTGCGCATTTGAGCCCCGCCACCTTCACATCCCTCTGCTGTGGTCACCAGCCACGTCACCTCCCCCAGCTTTCTGAGAAGGCTCCTCGGGCTCTTGCCAGGCTCTGCCACCAGGGTCATCCTACCTCCTTCCTCTCATCCAGAGCTTCTGGCTCTCTGTGCTACTGACTGTCCTTCACTTTGCAAATGAAGCCCAGCTCCTTGAATTCTCACCCCAGGGAATCGTGACAACTAACACCTCACTTGCCAACATATTGTCCAGAGTGTGTTCTGCACTGGGGAAAATAACAACAGATTGGGTTTCTTCCTCTTTTGGAACTGTGCTGGGGCATCACCCCAGCATGGGGGGTGTAATCCCTGCACACCCAGATTCTCCGATAGTGACAGCAGAAAGAGCTGTGTGGTGGCGAATGACACAGGCATTAGAGGCCAAAATACCCGGCGACTTCACCTTGCAGGGCCTTGGCTTCTTCCTATGAAAATGAGCATGATGATAGACAGGATGATGCAGTTATTCTCTTTAAAGAGAAACTGCGGTGATGTAGGTTGGCACAACACCTGGCTCAGGGCAAGCATTTATAAGCGGCAGCCTTGACTTATAGCAAGGTGGGTTCCTGTGACTTTCAGAGGCAGGGGCCACTCACCCAGTGCACGTACCCTAGAGATTCCTGTTTCCCTCTCAATGAACCTCCTAGAGAAACAAAGGTGGGACTGGGGATTGACAGGCACCCTCAGAAAGGGTGACCCACACTTCAATTTACCTACCCTTTCTACAATTTTTCACCAAGTCAGGGCTCAATCAGAAGACATACCTGGCCTGTAGCTTAGGAGGAAACATAGCCCTGCCCTGCCCCAAGCTCCTACAGACCACTTGGCTTTCCAAGGCCAAATAACTGCGGAAAAGAGATAATGATGTCCTCAAGCCTTTCGAGCAAGATTTTCCAGCTGAATCCGTTGTACATAAAGACTTGCCTGAAAGTGAGAAAGGCTAATTTGACTGTCTGGGAGAGTAGAAATAGCACCTCTGGCAGTTTGGGGTCTGTGGCTTTTGCTTAACTATTTTTTTAAAGGATGTTTTAAAACTCAGATAATATCCTTCAGCATTTATTTCTACTTACAGTAGTCCCCCGCTTATCCCAAGACCCCCAGTGAGCAGACGCCTGAAACCATAGATAGCACTGAACCAAATATATATCATGTTTTTTCCTACATATTTATACCTGTGATAAAGTTTAATTTATAAATTAGGCACAGTAAGAGATTAACAACAATAATTAATAATAAAATAGAATAATTCTTAAAATATACTGTAATAAAAGTTATGTGAATGTAGTTTTCTTTTCCCGGTCAAAATATCTTATTGTACTCTACTATGGGTAACTGAAATCAAGGAGAGTGAAACCATGCATGAGGGGCTGGGGAGAGCTACTGTAATCGTCAAGTGTAAGCTCCACAGTCAAGTGGCTGCTTAAGGAATCTGTATAACTGGATTCTAGAACATTGTGGATCCCGTAGGGTCAGAATGCAAAAACTAGTTTGGTCCTTACTTTCTTGATTCCTTGAGGACTTTACAACCATAACCCCAGTTAGGGCCTGCTTCAGGTCAAGTGACCTATGCAGTCACATAGGATCCAGTACTTAGTATGTCCCCTTGCTTGGTTTAATGTTCTATTGTCACTTGCTTGACATTCTGAATAATTTTTTTTTTTTTTTGAGACTGAGTCTCACTCTGTCGCCCAGGCTGGAGTGCAGCGATGCCATCTCAGCTCACTGCAGCCTCCACCTCCCAGGTTCAAGTGATTCGCCTGCCTCAGCCTCCCGAATATCTGGGATTACAGGCACATGCCACCATGCCAGACTAATTTTTGTATTTTTAGCAGATATAGGGTTTCACCATATTGGCCAGGCTGTTCTGGAACTCCTGACCTCAAGTGATCCACCCGCCTCAGCCTCCCGGAGTGCTAGGATTACAAGTGTGAGCCACCACGCCCGGCCTTGAATAATTTTTGAACAAGGAACCCTGTGTTTTCATTTTTCACTAGGCCCTGCAAATTATGTAGCAGGTCCTGGCCCCAGTATCTGGCCTGGTGTCTATTGTATAGTAGATGTTTGTTATTGGAAGAACATTAATTATTAATGTATAATATACTCTCTAACTCTTCATTAGTGGTACATTCAAGCCATGGTCCATAAAGCATTTCTAATCCTCCTATGTGAGACAACCTGCACCAAAGGCAACATTAAGCCTAAAAATTACTTTACACTTAGAAACCCAAATTGATCCATTAAATAACTACAATCATCAGATTTCCCCCCAAATAGGAGCAATTTACAAATCTTCCTTTTGCCTGATAGTGACAGCTTCTGCTATCGAACATCTCAGGGGAATAACAGGTCAGAAGTGTTGAGTACAGAAAGCTGTGAAGGCAATTGGCTAAGGTACTGAGGCAATGCTATTAAATCCTGAGAAACAGATATTTAGATCTCATTCAAATGAGGTTCTCAGGGGAAAGATCCCTTTATATAACAATTGATTTTTTCTAAACTGAATTATCAGTTGCAGGATATTTACTCCGGTTTGTTATTTGGGGACTTGGGGACGCGTTTGAACTACACTTAAGGAGAGAGAGCTGAAAAAGCAGGGCAGCAGGCAGAATGGTAATCAGAGGTTGATGATAAAGTCATTAAAAGAAATAAAGCAGAATCCAGCTAAAAAACAACAGAAAAACCTGAGAAGTAAATGAGATTGGAGAAGATGTAATGAATTGAACCTCATCTTCCATTCAAAAGGATTCAATTAGCAAGGACACGACCAGTGTATGTTAAATAAAATATTCTTGTTTGAAAACAAGATGGTGATGGTGGAAGGTGACTGTAATATTCTACAACAAAGGATAAAAGTAAAAGATGTTACATTCCTTCTAAGTGTGTTTTCTTGCATCTACCTACGGACCATTATCATTGACATTTTCCAGTCTTCTCTCTCTCACATCCAGGCAGCAACTGGAAGGTTTCAGAGAAAAGGAAGACAAAGGCTAACCAGCAACAGCAACTGTAGGGACTGCAGCATAAATACGACAAGGAAGAGAGGAGCCAAATAGGAAAGGAAATGAGGGTCTAGATTGTAATAACTAATTCAAGAATTATTTTGGATTAAAGTGTGTCCTGTGCTCATGACACTTGTGTGAAGGACTGCAGGCAGGGGAATATTTGATTGTGCTACACCGGAAACATAAAGTCAGTAACTCCTGAAGGAGTCTTTTTCAGAATGGATTTAACTTGGAGGCTTGTTCCCTCCAGCCAAAAGCCAAAGCACAGGATATAATTCCTCTCAGCTAGAGCACGTGCACAACTAAAAGAAAAAAATAACAGAGTTATTATCTACAGCAAAATACTACATTTTGTGGAGCTTGAATGATTGCAGATGGAAAGACTGCAATTGGTGTTACAGTCTTAGAACAAGGAAACTCTGTGTGACCATTAAGAATAAAAATAGGATAGGAAAGAAGAAAGTCAGACAATGAGAAGGGTAAAACAAAAGAAAGCAGGCCG
This sequence comes from Homo sapiens, assembly GCF_000001405.40. Taxonomy (NCBI): domain Eukaryota; kingdom Metazoa; phylum Chordata; class Mammalia; order Primates; family Hominidae; genus Homo; species Homo sapiens. The sequence goes on from NC_000005.10 coordinate 68,357,996, forward strand.
GATGAGGGCCGAGACAGCTGTTGAAGCCAAGCTTGCTTGGAGTTTTCACCAATTCAGTGGGTGAAGGAAGAGTTTTAAGGTTTAAAGTCAAAACCACATTATTTTATTGGAGTTTGTTGGTGATACTCAGGTTAACAGTTGAACACACTGCATGTGGTTCTCATTTCTGCATAGAAAATAACATAAAGCTTAATATTAGACATTCGTGTCCTAAAGTTCCTTTGGCCCCTCTCACCATAGGGAAATTCGCACTGGCCGGCTTTGTCCCTGGACCTCACCTGCTCCCCTACCTGCCCAAACGCACTCCACTCTTCTTGTGCTCATACCTCCTCCTACTCCTACTAGGGAGCTGCCAAGGCCCACCCCAAAATCCATTTGCTTTTTAAAGCAGTGGGATAGAACTCCTCTTTGTCCAAATGTCTTCTATCTAGCTTATGCCCAGGAGCAAGACCACAACTTTCAAAGTGAAACAAGCCCTTTAGGGTGTTTTGCTAAACAAACAGTGAAGCCTCACCCTAAAACTGTTGCCCTGGCCTAACAGTTCAAATACCAGGTGGCTCTTTAAAATGATATTTTTCTACTTTACGAATTGTTGTATCCCTGAATATTCTTCTAAAATCATATTTTAAATGGTAGCATGTAATTCAGTCCCATGGATGTGACACTTTTACAATGCAGTGCCCTATTGTTGGAGGTTTAAAATTAATTATTATTGCCAATATTTTGCTATTATAAACAGGGCTAAGATATATTTATATTTATATATTTTAATACATATGTGATTTATTTTCTTCTAAATACACTGAAGTCAAATTATTATATAAAAATTACAAATTTAAGGCAAAATTCTGCAACTTTTTGTGTGTATTTTTAATGACAAGCAGAAAGCTTTGCAAATGTACAAAATGCCTTAGCTACTTTGGGTAGCGTAGTTCTTATTTTTTCAGTGATAAAGTTAAAAATATATAGTATTAGAATTATTAGAGACTGTCATAAAAATAAGTAAATTATCTGATACTTTAATGGTCATAAATAATATCATAATATCAACCGCTGAAAGGTGAAGAAAGAAACATTAAAACTCAACAAAAGAAATTTCCATAGGCTTTCATCAGTGAATCATTCCAAATTCATACCTTGCTCTTGATGTCTGTGACTGAGTATTCAGCCTCAGGGTAACTGTGATTTGATACATTTTTTTTTTAATATACTTTAAGTTCTGGGGTACATGTGCAGAACGTGCAGGTTTGTTACATAGGTATACACGTGCCATGGTGGTTTGCTGTACCCATCAACCCATCATCTACATTAGATATTTCTCCTAATGCTATCCCTCCCCTAGGCCCCCACCCCCTGACAGGCCCTGGTGTGTGATGTTCCCCTCCCTGTGTCCACGTGTTCTCATTGTGATTTGACACATTTTATAGGTCCAGGTAGAAGGGTCCAAAAACAAAGAAACAAAGGTACTGAAAGGGTTTTTATATCAAAAAAGCTCCAGTTGAGCTGATGGTCTCATTCATTTGCACCAACGCAAGAGGATTATTTTGAAGAACTATGAGTTAACATTGACAACATGTAATGACACATATGTTTAAAAGGCATACCCACTACTCCCCTGCACCCACGTTTTATTCTAGTCAGGCTGGTCAGGTCATGTTTACCAAATGTTTTAAGTTTTTTCAATTTCACAAAAAAATGTATTAATACTTTCCTTTAAAGATATTAAATGTTACAGATAGGAGACTTTCACTTCCAGCTATGATAAAATAACAAGTATCGATTAACTCTACCTTGAAAATATATAAACCTAGATAAAATTTAAAACCACAAAGGGAAGCTGTTTGAAGGAATCAGGAAGCAACCAAGGCAGCTAGAACTTCGAAGACCAAAGTCCTGGATAAAAAGGAAATGCACTGACATGAATCAATGAGCTTCATTCACTGAAGCTTTATTTCCCTCCAGATACTTGCTGAAGAGCAAGTACTATAACCCAAAGATTGCTACAGTCTTCACTTGCTGGAGAGGTAAAAATTTGGAATTCAGAGCTACCAACAGCATATGTGCCAAGATCCCAGAGAAAAGGCACACAGAACTGAGCCCAATATTTTCACTTGGTGTCCTTTTGAAACATTTACTGATTATGAAGATGTACTAGGTACATCTTCAGGGCAAGAGCAGAGAAACCAAAGAGAAAGCAGCCTCTAAGAGACTAAAAAGCTAAGCAGAAGTTTTGAAAGTATCACAGTAGAGGAGAGAGGAAAACTTGTTCAGAGCTTGCTGAGGAGAAATGGTCCCAGTAAAAACCACACATTTTCCATTATAGTCGTTAAAGAGCTTTGCCCAAGAGGAACACAAACTAAGTTAGCCAGGCTTCACTAAGCCTGAGAGGGGGCCTTGACTGGATCAGCGTGATCTTTCTGGGATATCTCTGGCTGCCCGAAGAGAAAGAAATTCTTTCTGGAGGAAGATAGCATCATCCAGACTCCCTGCAATTTATATATATATAATTTCCAGAATGTAGTAAAATAGACATACCAATGAAAAAATCATAAGATATGCAAAAAAGGAAGAAGACACTGAAAGAAAAATATACAGTAGACACAGACTCTCTGTTGATACAGCTCTTGAAGTTATCAGACACAGACATTAACATAACTATAATACAATCAAAAATATTGATGAAAAGAGAACTAGAATTTACAAAGAAAATCACTGCTGTGCATATTGTAATATGACTATAAGAGGTGGGGAGAAATAGAGACAGGGAAAAATAGACATACACACACCCACAGAGAGAGAGAGAGAGAGAGAGAGAGAGAGAGAGAGATTCTTCAAAGCAGCAGGAGGAAGAAAAGGAAATAGATGCATTATCTTCAGAGGAATGACAAAAAGACTCACAAAGTAAACCAGGATATAATGATATGATACTTTTAAAGGAGTAAAAGGGAACAACTGCTGGTCTCAAACTCTATACCCAGCAAAAGTATTCTTCAAAAATTAAGATGATATAAAGACAGTTAAGATAAAAACTTATACTAGAGGATGAATCACTAGCATACCTACATTAAGAGATATACAAAAGGGAGTTCTACAGGCAGAAGAAAATGATTCCCAATGAAATAATTGTAATGAAGAATTCTTCATTACAATGAAGAGCACTCTAAAAGGTAAAAATGTAGGTTAAATCTGAATGAATTTTGACTGTTAAAAGCAAATATAATAATCGTGTCTTGTGTGATTTAAATTCTGTAGAATTAAAATACATGGCCAAAAATAGCACAAAGGCATAAAAAAGGAGTTTTGTGTGTTGAAAGGTCTTTACATTGTCCTGAGAGCAGTAAAAGTACTAAGTTATATTACCTTAAAGTAATTCAAGAAATCATGTTGTAATCTCTAGGCTAATAACTAAAAAAAAGTTAAAAAAATGTGTAACAACAAAATAACAAAGGACAAAAATGAAATAATAAAAATGATCAATTCAAAGGGGACAATAATGTAGATTAATAACACGCTAGAACAAATAGAAAACAAAAAGATGGTCAATTTTGACAAAACTGTATTAATAATTATATGTCATTAAATGGCTAAATATTCTAATTAATTGACAAAGACTGTAGATAAAAATACAATTACATTTTGCTGATAAAAGACACACTTTATTTATATGGAAAGAGAAAGATTGAAAGGAAATGAAGGAGTAAAGCTAAACCAGTTAATACCAAATAAACTGGTAGCTATAATTATATCAGATACAGTAGATATTAAAGGAAAAAAATGAGATAAAGATATATATTTACGCATCTAATCACATGTCACATGTTATTATATATTCACATATAATACATGCGAAAATGATAGAAATAAAAATAGAAACAAATTCTAAACTCTCAAAATAAAATATATAACTAGTAATTTAAAATATCAGTGAAGATGAAGATTTTAAAAATGAGATGATACATTTAACATAATTGACATATAAAGAATCTTGCACCTAATAATTGCAGAATAAGCACTCTCTTCAAGTAAATATATTCACTAAAACTGACTCCATCCTGGACCATAGTAAAGGTCTCAACAAATTTCAAAGAACTGAAGAAAATACAAATTATATTCTCTGATGTTAGGAGAAATTAAGCTAGAAATCAGTCATACAAACACGCAAATCACTAAAAGTAAAAAAATCTAATGTTTGGAAATTAAGCAATAAACTTCTACATATTGCATTGATCTAAATATGAAATCACAATGGAAATTAGAAAGTGTTTTTAATGAAATGATAATGGGATTATACTTCATATCAAAACTTCAGGGTTATAGCAAGTTTCAGCTAACTTTTGCTATATAACAAACCATCCCCAGCTTTAATGGCTTAAAGACAACCATTTTACTTATATCAAGATTCTGTGGGTCAGCTGGGTGGTTCTTCTGTTTGGGCTTGGCTGATCTCTGCCAGGCTCTCTTGCATCTGGGGTCAGTTGAAGAGTGGACTGGAAGCCAGAAAACCTAGGATGGTCTTACTCACGTATCTTGGAGTTGGCTAGCTTTCAGCCAGGGTGTCTCAGTGCTTCTCCATTGGGCTCCAGCAAGCTAGCTTGCTCTCCTTCACATGGTGTTTTCAAGTTTTCAAGCACAAACTGAGAAAACACACTCAAATGTTTAAAAGCTTTCCAAGGCTCTGTTTGCTTTGTATTTGCTAATATCACATGGCCAAACCTAGACTCAAGGGTAGACATCTCTAGATGAAGGAAACTGCAAAGTTCTACTACAATAAGGAATGCAGACAAATATAGGAAAAATCTGTAGCTATTTGCCAACTACTACACAGTTAATATTGTGCTCAGAGGGAAATTTATAACCTTAAATACATATATTAGAAAAGAAGAAAGATCTGATTGTTTATTTCAAGAAGCTAGAAACGAAATAGCAAATTAAATCCAAAGAAAATAGAAAAAAGGCAATAATAAAGAATAGAAATTATTGATATAGAAAATAAATAGACAATAGACAAATTCAAAAAGTCAAAAGTTTGTTCTTTAAAAGTACTGGTTAAATTGATCAACTGTTGTTTAGCAGGACTAAGAAAAATTAGAGAGAAAACACAAGTTTTCAATAAAACAGATGAAATAGGAAACATTACTACCAAACATGAGAGTATTTACGAACATGTTTATTTTCCAATACATCTGAAAGTTTTGACACAATGAAAAAATTCATTGAAAAATACAATGTATCAAAGCTGACAACAGAAGAAATAGAAAATTTTGTATTTATTAAAGCAATGGTATTTGTTGTTGTTGTTGTTGTTGTTTTGAGCCAGTCTTGCTCTGTTGTCCAGGCTGGAGTGCAGTGGCATGATCTTGGCTCACTGCAACCTCCGCCTCCTGAGTTCAAGTGATTCTCCTGCCTCAGCCACCCAAGTAGCTGGGATTACAGGTGTGCACCACCACACCTGATGAATTCTTCCAAATTCACATGGCTTCACCAGTGAATTCTTCCAAATAGGTAAGGAATAATACCAGCCTTACACAATCACTCCCAAAGAGTATAAAAAGAGGTAACATTTCCCAACTAGTTTTACAAGGCCACCAAACGCTCATGCCAAACATTCAGGAGGACACTGAATTTATGGCTAATCTCTCTTATGAACCCAAAATAAAAATCCTAAATAAAATATCAAAGGGATTAAATCCATAAGCCAATTGGGCTTGTTTCAGGAAGATAAGTTTAAAAACACTAGAAAATCAATCAATAAAATTAACCATGTTAATGGAAGAAAGGAGAAAAATTATGTGACTATAATCTTGCTATACACGAAAAAGAATTTAATAAAACTTAATCCTCAGTCGTGATTAAAAAATACTTTTGGTAAACTAAGAATAGAAGGAACTTCTTAAATTCATAAAGGGTATCTTTTTAAAAACCTACATAATAATGAATACAAAATTACAGCTACATAGAAAGAATGAGTTCTGGGGTTCTGCTGCACCATAGGGTGAATATGGTTAACTGTAATTTACTATATAGTCTCAAAAAACTAGAAGACAGAATTTTTTTCTTTTCTTTTTTTTTTTTTTTTTATGGCAGAGACAGTGTCTCCCTATGTTGCTCAGGCTGGTCTCAAACTTCTGGGCTCAAGTAATCTCCCACCTTAGCCTCCCAAAACGTTGGGATTACAGGCATGAGTCACCATGCCTGGCTTAAATTAACTTTTAGGTTCAATAAATCCCAATAAAAATCCCAGCAGACTTTTTTTTTTGTGGAAATTGACACGTAGATTCTAAAATTTAAATGGAAATGAAAGGACTAAAAAGAACAAAAGACAAACTTGAAAAATAGGAATTTGGAGGACTTCAGTTACCAAATATCAAGGTATTACAAAGCTACGGTTATTTAAAAAGTAAAAGCAACAGCATGGTATTGGTGCAAGCATAAAAAAATAGAGAAAGAAAAACAGTTTTATACATATATGAAAACCATTTTTACAATAAAGATGCCACAGCACTGAAATGAGAGACGAAGGGAACTTTTTTCAATAAATGATGCTGATCAATTGCATATTCACACAGAAAGAGATGACCCCTGAACTGTACCACACATCATACACAAAAACCAATTCCAGAGAGATTATAAATCTAAATGTGAAAGGTAAAAAAAAAAAAAAAAACAAAACCCTGAAGCTTCTAGAAGGTAACAAAGGAGAATATCTTCACAACCTTGACAGCAGAAAACCGGACCACCAACCCTATTTAAATATCTGGCTCAGATGTATATATCTGATCTACTTTACAGTCTTCTCCATTTATTCCAGCCTATTCCGATTATGCTCCTCTCTTCTATCTATTTTCTCTTGAAGTTACCATCACACAGTTTAGCACTCACATTGTAGATTACTCTCAATTTTTGTCATGTGTGGTGCTCTAGCAAGCTTTATCATGACTGATCATTATTTTCTACTTCTATTTTCAGTAGTGCCTGAGTTAGTGCTGGAGCTGGACAAATGATAGACCCTCAATTAGCAGTGGATAACTTCAGATGATCCCAAATCTCTCTGAATATCTGCTCTGTTCTTTGCCCTTTCAATGACATTGTGCTCCAATCTCAGCATTCATCCAAACATTTAATAAGTCGAACTAAATGATGCCTGAAAGCAAAGCACTATGCTGACATCATGCAGACTGCAAGGTTGTGTAGGTCTCATTTTACGCTATAAAAAAGTTTATAGCCTCTTAGAGGAGGTATATGAACAAGATAGTTATTTTATATTTCAAGGAAATATGGGGTGAATGCCGTGGAAATGGCCATAGTATGTAAATTCCAAGAGAAGAAGGGATTATATCTGCCTAGGCTGGTCTGTCTGGAAGGGCCTTTTGAATAAGTGGCATCTGAGATGGGTTCTGAAGATTATAATAGGGCATTCCAGGCAAAGCGAAAACCAAATGAAATTTTTTGAATTGGGGCATTATATTTCCTGAATAACTGTGCAAATAGATTTCTCCTGAAATAGTTAAATTGACTTTGAATAAACAGGAAGAGAGCTTGAGACCATGAGGCAGTTGCTACTGAAAGAACAGAATAGATAAAATGGTTGCCTCTGTGTGAATACTATGGCTTTTAAATGCTGGAGGATTAGGTTAGCACAAACGCTTATCTTTCACATATGTGAGATGTCTCTTTTCTGTTGGTCCCTTCCAGCTCAGGGGAAGAACCTGCGTTAGTGTTTTTTATGTCTGCTACAGACTTCATGAAATTGAATTAAGAAGTTGCATTGTATTTTTAAAAGAGTTGAAAGAAGAAGTCAGAGCAATAAGAAATCCAGATTAGCCTTAAGATTCATGTCAGAGATTAGTGGGAATTTAGGAAGAGATGGGAGGGCCTTGAGTTCCTTGGTGTTACTATAATATAGTGCCTGGGTTGCAAACTCACATGGAGCATGAGGATAAAAGAAGTGGGTGGGTGAGTGGACTAACTGTAAAAGTAGAAACAGCATTAATGTGATGAGAAATGGCAACTAACAGTTGGACTGTGAAAAGACAAATTCTCATGCCCTACCAAAACTTACTAAATCAGAAACTCTTGGCTGGGGTCCAGCAATCTCTAGATGGTTCCAGTCAACAGTAGCATCTGAGAACTACTGCAGTAAGGAATAGTGAAAGAGGCAAACTGGTGTGCTCATGGCCCATGCAAAGGGCTGGCAGACATTTCTTAGCTAAGTTGATTTTTATCTCGCAGGATATGGAAACTATGTTGTTGGACCTTCCAATATTGTAAGGAAAAGTCACACATCTGAATTTTTATGTTACATCTTCTAATTTTTAAGTATTGGCCATCTTTAAAAATATTCTGGGCTGGGCGTGGTGGCTCGCACCTGTAATCCCAGCACTTTGGGAGCCCGAGGTGGGTGGATCATGAGGTCAGGAGTTCCAAACCAGCCTACCCAACATAGTGAAACTCTGTCTCTACTAAAAATACAAAAGTTAGCCAGGCATGGTGGCGCACACCTGTAGTACCAGTTACTTGGGAGGCTGAGGCAGGAGAATCGCTTGAACCTGGGAGGCGGAGGCTGTGTTGAGCCCAGATCGTGCCACTGCACTCCAGCCTGGACAACAGAGCGAGACTCCGTCTCAAAAAAATAAAAAATAAAAAAAAATATTTTGGTGGCCAAATGTAACTGTGGCCAACATTTTACCAGGGGCTATTAATTTGCAATCTCTAATAATATAGTGATTAAAGGCATAAGATCTAGATTCAGTGAGTATAAGTTCAAATCCCATCTCTTCTTGCTATGTATATGACCTCAAAGCAAATTGTTTAACCTCTCCAAATCCTTGATTTCCTCCTGTGTAAATGAGCATAATAAGTACCTGCTTCATAGGGTCCTGGTGAAGGTGGAGTGGGGTGCTGCATACAAAGCACTTATTCAAGGGTCTGGCACATAGCAAGTGCTCAGTAAATGATACATTTACAATTGTCAGCTCAAGCACAGGATATGCTGGGTCTGCTGGGGAAAGGAAGGAATCTGAGCCAGGGGAGTAGGGAAATAGTTGGTTTCTCTAGGCAGAGCTGAGTGGTCCTACACACAGTGTCCAGAGCATGTGGCATGGCAGTTTCATGCAGAGACCAGGCTATGCTAGAAGTATGAAGGAGATTAGTTTAATGGATGTGGCCCAGTAGTAGAAGATTCACATAATCTTCAACATCATTATGGGCAATGCGCTCATATATGGCCAGAACCCATCCTGGGCCAGGAATAAGGAGTCTGCCAGTTCTTAAAATCCTGGGAGCCCCAATAAATAGGTGATTTTCAAAGCATGAATGTAAGAGCAGACAGGTAATCTGTGGCAGCAGCTCAGACCTGTCCATGGGTCAGTATGTCTGAGGGTATGAGGAAGGGGGAAATGAGAAAAAGATTACAAGTGGTGTGACCTGGAGGCTAAGTTGGCACCCAGGGCTTATGCGAGGCACAACAGATACCAAGTCTGTGGGCAGCCAAGATAAACTCCAGGCCCCACATCTGGAGGGGCTGAGGCAGCTGATATGCTTCCTACCCTAGTCTAGACTAGCTCAGCTCCCAGGCATGAATGAGCCTAAATGTGGAAGACATTGGAGAATTTTGCCGTGAGTAGCAAGAAAGATGAAGCTTGACAGATGCTGGTGCAGGCAACCAGGTATCACTTATTATTTAGGAGGCAAGATGTCATAATGCTATATTAAAAGTGTCAAATTTGGGTCATTGTATAGAACGCATCGAAAGAAGAGTCAGGGAAAAAACAAGACTGTTGCATTTATCTTGGCCAGAGATGACAGAATCTCAGCATTTGGACCACAGCTACTTTCTCCTATACCCATGACAGACACCTCTGATTGATTAAAATATTCTCTCCTGCTGATCCGAGACAAGGCATCAGAGTCTTTTCAAAACTCTATTCTGCCTAGACAGCCACTCTGACAGATAGAAACTGGCATGCAAAGCCCCTGGTCTAGGTGTCAGCTGCTACGGGGTGATGACAATTGGGAGAGGTGAAAAGGGAGAAAATTCTGTGGAAATAATCAGTAGAAGTCAGTGCCTAAATTTTCTGTGGGGACAAGATAGGGCAAGTTTGAAGAAAGTCAAGCTCAAAGATCATAGCAAGGCTTCATTCAAGTCTTAGGATGTAGGAGAATATGTGCCATTAAGAAAAGTACCCTTTCTGGAAAAGCAAAAACATAAACCACCACCCCTCAAGGAATTCAGAAAAATGAGCTGGTTGACGGAGAAAAGATGACTTGTTCACTTTCTGAGGTCCTGGCAACACGTGCAGGTAGAGGTGTCAGCCCAGCAGTTCGTGTTGGATATTCTTCAAACAGTAACTGCTTTTAAACTTGCTGTCTCAGTGTGTGGATGGGTGCTCTGGGAAGACACAAAGAATGTGTTGGATACTTTGTCCTTGAGAAGTTCAGAAGATAATAGCAGCACAGGGACACCCACACATGACTAATAAGGACATGTAAAACCCAAACAAATCAAACAGAAACCACAGGCACATACTTAGGGAAGGGATGAATAATTGGAGAAAGGAGGCAAGTCATGGAAGGTGAAGGTAGAACTCGAAGAAGCTCTGAGCACGAGCACACCACCGGAGCCAGAAAATGACCTGGACTATTCCATGTGCATATCTAGTTGTCCAAAAAGGGCATTCCCATCTTGAGAATGCAAAACCAGTCACTGATGTCATTATATGATGTTTACTTATTGTCAGCCATATTCTAGGCATTATGGCAGTGGTCAGAAACCCTTTGCTCTTAAGGATCTCACAGACCTGTGGGTGAGAGAGATGTACCAAGTCATTACACTATAACACAAGAAATGCTGAGATACGAGTATGCAGATGCAGAGAACAATATAGGTGCACATAGCAGGGTCTAACACAGCCTGAGGGGGCAGGGCTGGCACCCTAGAGAGGAGGAAGCTGGAGGTGTACTTTCAAAGCAAAATAGAAAGATTGATTCATTTATCCATCACTGTCCATTCACATGCCAAGTTTCCCAGGTCTCCTGGGCAGCACCAGCAGAACAGAGAAGTGTGTAGGTGTGGAGTACCACTCAGGGTGGGCACTCTAATGCGGCTCCCCAGGCTTGATCCTGGAAACAGGCCAGAGAATTTTGAATCACCTTTTATTTATTTAGTCATTCATTCTTTTTTTTTTTTTTTTTTTTTTTGAGAGAGAGAAGCATAACAGAGCATTTATATCTTAACTGTTGTATTTTTTGTATGTTGGCTGGCTTCCAGAATAACCTGACTAAATAGACTCACCAGCCTTTAGAGCAGGCCCTCCAAGGAATCCTTCTCCTGTGCTGATGTTCCTAAAAGTCTTCTCTACCAGGAAAATGAAAGGAAAGCTGACCTCATAAAGTTGTTAAGACAAGGGTTTATTGCTGTTGTTTGTTTGTTTTATCACTGTTAAGGTCTCCTATCTTTAAAAAATCAATTTTTTGTAATTTTTTAAATGTCTGATTATGGTAAAAAAGACACACACATAGCAAAAGGTACTGTCTTCCCTATTTTTAAGTGTACAGTTCAGTACTGTTAAAGACAATCACATTGTTGAACATCCCATTTTTAGAACATCCCATTTTTAGAACTTTTTTATTTTTCAAAACTGAAACTACATATACGTTAAACAACTCCCCACTTTCCCCTCCCCCCAGTCCCTGTCAACCACCATTCTACTTTCTGTTTCTACGAATTGGACTATTCTAGGTACCTCGTATAAGTAGACTCATACAGTATTTGTCTTTTGGCGACTGGCTTCTTTCATTTAGCGTAATGTTTTCAAGGCTTATCCGTGTTGTAACATTTGTCAGAATTTCCTTCCTTTTTAAAGCTTGATAATATTCCATTGTATGCACATTCTGCATTTGGTTTATCCATTCATCTGTTGATGAATGAGTGCCTTTTGCCTCTTGTCTACTGTACATAATGCTGCTGTGAACATGGGAACATGGGAGTGCAGATGTCTTCTCAAGATCCTGCTTTTAATTCTTCTGGGTGTATAAAATGTGGGATCGCTGGATCACATACTTCTCTTTGAATTCTTTGAGGAGCCCCCACAATGTTTCCAAAGTGGCTACACCATTTTTCATTTAGGGCTCCCTTCTTTTTAAAGGAGGAGTTCATAACTTCTGATATCAGTCAGGGCTGAGCGGACTCTCTGAGCTTCTGAACCCCCTTTGCCTCCAGAGCTGGTCAAGGCTCATCTTTCCATTGGTCCTCAGTGGAGAAAGAGGCAGCTGTCCTCACATACGGACACCGTTAATGGACAAGGTAATAATCTTGCAGAGTAATTGCACCATAATGTGAGGTCCAAGCATAGAATGAACTCACCTACCCAGCAGCATTTCTCTTGCTTGATTGCCAGCTGATATCTGTTTCTGCCAGAGAAGTCTGTCCCTGTGTCTGGGAACCCTGCTCCATTTGAGAGCTTGCTTCAGCTATGTCATGCCCTTAGCACTGATGATATCATGACCCTTGATTTCCAGTAGGATCTCATTAAATTTCCTTTTTGCTGACCCTCCAAGGCTGACCCCTACCTATCTCTACTACTGCCACAGCATCTGTGATGACATTAATGTCCCTGGAGGGAGATTCCTCTTCGCCTTAGAAATGCCATTTTAGAAACCCTTGAGTTATGCCCTGGGAAGGAGGAAGGAGCTCTGCCATCAGGATGAATTAGGCCTTCTTTACCTGGGGGGAGGGGAGGCAAACGAATTAAAAGCTAGAGAAACATGAGATATCTTTCCCCAACAAATGCCAAAAGGCTGAGAATCTCATAATGTTAGACATCTTTTAGAATGGGATACTTTATAGGACAATTCAGGGTTTGGGGCCTTTCAAAAATGGCACATTTGCCCATGTAATCTGATCAATGCAAGAGGAAATAGCAGACCTGGAGGTTATGCTGAATTGCCAGAGAATTTTGTACCTGGGACGCTCAAAGACATCTCAGTCTGGCCCACCTTTCTGACAAGTCAGACCTGACAGTTTCCAAGACAGCTCATCCTTCAGTTGAGGCCTCGTAAAACCAGGTTAGAAACTGACCCACTCACACAATCTTTTAGAACCCACAGCAGCAAGTTTGAAATAGGCAAATTGTTATGCTTTTCCTGATCCTGGGGGCTCTGTATACACTGTATCTCACAAAGACTAAAAATCCCTAGCATGTGGCTTTCTGCTCAGGGAGGGTGTAGGTCCTAACATGAGTATGAGGTGGGGATGTGTATCCACCAGTCCTGCCTCAGTTTCAGTTCCCAAGTGCCTCTGACAGGGCGAGCATCTTCCTATAGCAAATGTGCTTTTCACATTTAAAGACATGTATTTTTTATTTAACCTGGTCCCTGAAATGCACTGAGGAAAGAGCCATTGGTTCCAGTACTGGAAGAAAAGCTGTTTGTGCAGGATTTTTCAGAAAGCATGTGTCAGTCTCCAGCATGGAGCCCTCTTAAGGGGATGTAAGCATAAATTTCATGTGACTTCTGCCTGCTGATTGGATTGGACTTTAGAACGGATGCTTCATGTTAGTTTCAACTGCTGAAATCAGCTGTGCGACTCTCATTGTTATTTGGTTGTCCTGAAGCTCAGTTTTCTAATCTATGTATGGAGAATTGCACCAGGTGATCTCAGATATTCCTTTAAAATTCTGTGAATCCACTTGAGTAGGAGATGGAGGAGCTATAGGCAATATCATTGCAAGAGCACTGCTGAAGAGCTTCTGCCCTTTCTTTCTTTTATCCCCTCCTTGCATATGCCTTCTAGATAAGCAAAAGGGAGAGTCCTCAATGAGAATACACACTAAATAGCTTTAAATATGGGGTCAAGGGGTCTTCCAGCATCTGCAGAGTCTCGTTGTTAGATGATTCATTGTTCCTTCTGTTAGAAAAAGTCTTCTTGACATTCATCCCGACTTGCCCCCCATCCCCTTCACCTCTTCATCTAAATCCTCTCCACAAAGACTCTGTGGAACTAACCTACTTGCTTAGTGTGCATCTTGGTGTGGTGTTTTGGTACACTGCATGTGTGTTTGTGCACATATTAGTACCTTCATATTGCATCCCTGCTTTGTTATGAAGTCGATATCAACACCCTGGTGTGTTCTACAACGCCAAAAAGACCAGTGTTGTGAGTGAGGCCAATGTAATTTGGTGAACTATGATTTATGCAAACTATTTACAGGTTAAATGGGAGAATGAAGGAAATGGTTAGCAAAGACAAATTGTCAGTGCACACATTCTTCCTTTTTTGATTGACTCATAATAAGCCATGCATTTATTGCAAAAGAATGTTCATTTTCTCCATAGTAGGAAAATTTCTTCTCAACTTTCTCTTTCTCTTTTTTCTTTCTCCTTGTTCCTCTTCCTATTTTCAGATCAGGCTTTGGCTCAAAGCTAGTCTCAGCCCCACTACCTAGTAGCCATGTAACCCTGGGCAAGTTTCTTAACCCTTCTACTCCTCCTTTTCTTTTGTTTGTTTGTTTGTTTGAGAGAGGCTGGAGTCACCCAGGCTGGAGTGTAGTGGTGACATCTCGGCTCACTGCAACCTCCACCTCCCGGATTCAAGCAATTCTTCTGCCTCAGTCTACCAAGTAGCTGGGATTACAGGCACCTGCCACCACACCTGGCTAATTTTTGTATTTTTAGTAGAGACAGGGTTTCCCCATGTTGCCCAGGCTGATCTTGAACTCCTGGCCTCAAGTGATCTGCCCACCTCAGCCTCTCAGAATGCTGGGATTACAGGTGTGAGCCACTGTGCCTAGACGACTCCTCCTTTTCTATCTACAGAGGCAGAATAATGGTACCTCCAAATATGTCACATTTGGAGACTAAATATGTGAGGCGACATGGCCAGGGGAAATTAAGAGTGCAGATGAAATTAAGGTTGCTAAGCCGCCGGCCTTGAGGTGCAGAATTATCCAAATTATTAATGTGGATCTGACTGTAACCAAACAATGTAGGTCCCGATGCTTGCCACTTGCAGAGTCCAATTAACAAGAGTGAAGTCCGGTAGGAAGAAAGTGAATTTATTAACCAAAACTAGTAAAGAAGAAGCAGCTGGATTCCTATCCAAAGTAACTGCTTTGATTTTGGGGGGAAGGCAAGGGTTTAAAATGGGAAAACTTGATAAGGAAGGCATTCAAGCATTGGGCTGAGTACAATGTCTGTGTGTCTTGTTCTGGTGGCTGTCTTGGGTCTCAGTCCACCTGGGACCTGGGACCTGAGACCTCAGGCTGACGTCATCACAACAATGGCCAGGTTGTTAATGAGCCACCTGGAAGTAATCTCTGGAACTTTGCAGCTGGGTCTCCAGACTTGGTCTCCCTGTTTCAAGATTAAGCCCCTGGAACTTCCAAGAAGACACACAATTAGATACTAGCATACAGTGCGATAAAAGTGAAGGGAATATATAAGGTGAGAAAAGCATGGAATCTATTTTAAGGCTAAGGAAAAAGGCTTCTGCCAGTTGCCTCAATATTATATCTTGAAACCCAAGTGAAAGGAAACAAAAAGTTTAAAATGCATTTTGAATTAAGCTGCCCAGTTATACAATGTAATCACCCCCGTTCTTGCAAGTGGAAGAGGGAAGCAGAAAAGGTCAGAGTGATGTGATGTGAGGAAAATTCGGCCAGCTTTTGCTTGCTTTGAAGATTTGAGAAAGGGGCCACAAGCCAAAGAATGTGAGTGGCGTTGGCCAGGCACGGTGGCTCATGTCTTTAATCCCAGCACTCTGGGAGGCCAAGGTGGGTGGATCATCTGAGGTCAGGAGTTCAAGACCAGCTTGGCCAACATGGCAAAACCCTGTCTCTACTAAAAATACAAAAATTACAAAAAAATACTAAAAATACAGTGTGGTGGTACATGCTTGTAGTCCCAGCTATTCAGGAGGCTGAGGCATGAGAATCACTGGAACCTGGGAGGCAGAGGTTGCAGTGAGCCAAGATTGTGCCACTGCATTCTAGCCTGGGTGACAGAATGAGAATCAGTCTCAAAAAAAAAAAAAAAAAAAAAAAGAAAAGAAAGAAAAAAGAAAAAAAAGAATGTGAGTGGCCTTTACAAGCTGGAAAAGGTGAGAAAATTCTTCCCTGTACCCTCCAGAAAGGAATGCAGCCCTTCTGATGCTATGATTTTAGTCCATTGTAGCCAGTGTCAGACTTCCACAGAATCATAAGATAATAAATTTGGTTTGTTTTAAGCCATTAAGTTTGTAGTAATTTGTTACAGCAGCAATATAAAACTAATACAGTATCTATAAAATCCAGTCAATAATAGTAACGTAGAATGATCACTAAGACAATGCAAGTAACATACATTACTTAATACTTATCAAATACTCAGTATATAGATGCTATTATTTTCAGTCCTCCTCCCAACTTTCCATACCTTCTTCCTTCAAAGTCAAGAATGATGGTACATTGGTGGCCCCACTGCAAATCCTTCTATGAATGAGCCTGCCAGCAGTAACTCTCCCAGAGCCAGTTGACAGCAGGAGAAATAACAATCCTTTCAAATCCATTTGGCCAGGGCTGAATGTCTGGCAGTTTTCTAAAGGGATTTTCATTTTTAAATTAAAGTGATAGATCTACCTGTCTGTATCTTTATGACTGTGGAAGCAAGCTTCTGGCCAAAGAACCAACTTTGCTTTTTCTATGTATTCATTTCTATTTTAATTTGTATATTACAGAACAAGCCATGGGTATCTCAGCTTTAAAGCAATGCCTTGTCTTTAAAACTACATGGGGAGAACAACAGCTCATATCATGGACAAGTTTAATGAAAAGAGATGGAATTTCCAGGAGGGTAGAAAATAGATCCAACAGTTTCTGGGAAACTTCTCTCTTGGCTCTGAGCCTAACCACCAGGCTCAATACCCACTCCCCCTCTTTTTGCAGTTACCCCAATATTACAAGAAATTGCCCAATTCTAAGGACTTTCAAAACTTTAATGCCCAGTCTAGTTCCATGTGCCTTAGGTTTAAAAAAACAAAAGGACAAATCCTTAGAAGAATAACTTGTCTCCCATGAGTAATACAAAAAAAATTGATGTAACATTTATGGTTAAGACTATGTGCATAAAAGTCAGAAAAGCTTTATTTATGTCCTGCACAGCTGTTGTAAGGTACTTGTCTCTCTCTGGTTATTTGGAGATTATCATATAGGCAGTTAACCTTAATGCTATGCTAGCACTCACTTGGGTGCCTCTAATGCCAATTATACCTCACCATTTGCATTTGTTGTCTCTGGCACAGATGATAAAAAGAGAAAGAGAAGTATTGTTGATTGTACATTCAAATTAACACAGCATTCACAGGGACTTGGGTGTGGTGGCAGATGCAAATCAAAAAGTCTGGTTCTTGATGGGTTGGGGATAGAAGTGGAGAGCTGCAGGCTAATCTACGTGGGGGATTTCTTTTTTCTTTTTGGATGGGTCAAATGTTTCAATTCCTTTCATGCTACTGATACATGCAGGTGCATGTTCATGCAAGAGCAGCATTTCAGAGACAGGTGTGATGATTTTTACATTTTATTCCTGGTTTTTTTTTTTTTCAATAAGGAGAAGCAATAAAAAAAGTCTCTCAAGATCATTTGCTTCTTTCCCCCATCAGCAGCCTATTTAGAGGGCTGTCAGAGTCACAAGGGACTCCTCATCTCTAGTCCCAGTCCATGCAATCCTTATTTGCATTTGCACACCGTGTTCCATATCTGGGACCCATAGAGAAGGCAGGAGGGAGCCAACTAGGACGAGTCAGGGAAGTAGATAGCAAAAGTGAGGAAAGACTTTGGAAATGAGCCATACCTGGAAGGTGTATGGGAATGGGATGCAATTGTATAGAAAGAGAAGAGCTTTTGTGATGAGGGCCTAATTATAAACTGGAGGGAGAAGAGGGTGTTTAGCGTGTATTGTCTGAGGGGCAGAGCACATTCATGCTCACTCTGTCCTCCAGGAGACCTAGCCAGAAGAAAAGGACTTCCATGGCAGGAGAATGGGTGGAGTTGAGACATAAAGACTTTCCTGACCATAAGGATTGAGAAAGATTGCTTCAATTCTTTTTCCAGACCATTAATATACTGTGTATTTTAGATGAGCAGTTTTCTTTCCATTCTGTCAGAACGCATTTCAAACTAGATATAGGCAATGAATTGGTCTCTCAATAACCCTTCCAAACTTTTCAGCCAGAGCATGCATTCTATCATGTTTAACTTTTAAAAAGATTATATACATATATTTCTTAACTAAAGGAAAGTAGAACATTTTACCAACACAACACACTGAAATATTTTATTATCTTCATTTTAAGAAAAGGGAAACCAAAACCTTAAAAACTTAAATATTCTTCCTGCTGTCCCCTACTCCAACATGTAAGCAGAATAAAAAAAAATTTGTGCAGGCATAGAATTTTCTATCATTGACTCTAGATTTGAGCTCTGTAAGTGGAGGCAAATATAAAATATAACTTAAATTTTAAAATTACCATACCTAAATCTTTCTTAGTTATAATCACCTCTATATCAAATTATTTTCTTTTGCTAAGAATGAGTAATATTCAAGGCAATCTTACAGCTAACCATTTCCTCTTTTCCAAGACAAATCACAATACCTGAATGGTAAAATCAATATTGTTCATTTCAATCATGTTGCTGATTATGGAGGGATATAAGATAGAGGGATAGGTTCTGAGATGGTGGGAAGGCTGGTAAAACTCGAGGTGTTCAGAAAAATGATGTACCTAGTGTAAGATAATATAAAGGGTTTGTTTTTAAAAGTGGCTGAGCTTCAAAATCAAGTCAGCACTTACTTATTAAGTCCCCATTGTGTATTTTCAGAAAAAAAAAAAAGTATAGCTGCTGCTATTAGAAATCTCAGTCTGTGAAACAACTGAAGGCCAATCCAGGATTCGATTCAGGGGATAGGTTGGAAGAATTGCCTCTTCTTCCTGCTCTGCACTTATAACTACAGTGTTACAACATTATATAGATTTGCCTCCCTGCCATGAAAATCGGAATGCAGTGGCCCTTTGCTTCCAAAACAAATATGAGTTTAGTTTCCCAGCATTTCCCGTCTTTTCCAGGAGCTCGGTTTTGAACAAGATTAAACATGCACACAGCTGAAATCAAGCTGGGTACTATGGAAATGTTGAAAGAGTGGACTTAAATCCTAGCTCCTCAGGACGGTCTAGATTCATTCCACAGCAAATATTCCTCACAGCTGCTGCTCTTCTGGTAAACAGAAGAGAGAAGAAGAAATAAGTTATTATCTGCCTGTTTAAACTGTCCCAAACTGAGAGACTAACACGTAGTACGGGTGACATGCAGCATGAGTTTCTTTTTCTACAGGATTTTGTTTGTTTTGTTTTAGTTTTACCTGACTGGAACTTGCCTTCTGGGGACCTTAAGTTCTAAATGAAGAAAAAATAATTTTATTTATTAAAGATTCAATTTTGCTTCTAAGAGTTTAATCAGAGTCTCTTTCTCCAACTTGAATTCCCCATTCACCAAGATTCCTTGTACTGTTGGTAACTGTCATATAAGAGAACCGTTTTTATATCTAGCAAGACCTCTTTGTCATCTTTAAGGATAAGATTGATTAAGAGAGAAGAGAACCAGGCAATGTGCATTTGGGAACTTATTATTACTCTCAAAGTTCTGGTTGTCTGAACCTCTGAAAGATGACTGATGCCCCGATCTCAGCTCAAAATACACAGAGACATCGTGTTTGGTGGAAGACACCTCAGAGATCTGCTGACTAGCCTCTTCATTTATTATAATTGAGAAAGCTGAGGTAAAGGGAGCATCATATTCTTTCAGCATTTTCCTTAGAGTGATTTAGTTTTGCTTCCCACTATGTGACTTAAATGACTCAAGAAGTCTTGCAAACAGATGTGCGCAGGTAGCAAATCCATGACTAGCATGGCTACCAGCACTGACCACAGAGCAACAGAGAAGGCAAATGAGGTGGTCATCGTTGAATTCAGTTTAGAGGTCAGAATAAGGGCATTCTTATCATAGATTGCTGAAGGAAAATGATATATCCGCAAAGTCACTACTCTACAATAGGTTATTTTTAAGGTCCCATAAAAAAAGCCCATGATTTAGAAACAAGGCTAGATTGCGAAGTACTCTTATTTTAAGAGGTTCCCAGGCATTTGGTGGTGCTCTTGATCCCCACATCCTGGGTTTTGAATGATTTTTCCCAAGCAAAAAATTGGCTTGCCTACATGTGTGAGCCACCATATCTTTTTTTTTTTTTTTTTTTTTTTTTTTGGCCAATAGTCATATCTACTGTTACTGCAGGACCTGAGATTCAAGCACAATAAGAGGCTATACCAGGCTGACAGAGAAGGACAAGAAGTGGTAGTCAACAGAGATCCTGTGGCTGAGCTAGCAGGAAGCCACAGAGCAGCAAAAGAGTGGGGTCTGATCCGGCCTTGCTATTCACTGTATCTTCTACAAACAGCATCTGCCTCTTTTGGGAGCTCTGTAGAAAGGCAGAACTTGCATTTTAACAAGCTCTTCAGGCGATTCTTATGCACATTAAACTTTGAGGAGTAGTGCCTGGTCCCACTCCCAGAGAGTCTGATTTAATAGGTTGGGTTTGTGGCCTGGGCACAAAGACTTCGAAAAGCTCCCCAGGGGATTCTAAAGTGCAGTGGTGGTTGAGAACCACTGCCCTGGAGCTTGAGGTTATGGCCACAAGCACTGGATATGAGAAAGCAATGGGCAAATGAGCTTGACCTGAGTAAGGGCAGCTTATATTCTTGTTCTGTTTTTGATGCAGAAATCTCCATAGGAATTTAGAGAAAGGGCTTCTTCAAAAGAAAATAATGGAGAGAAAGCAAACCCAAGAAGAGCTGGGGAAGCAGACAGGGAAAGGTCTCTGCAAACAACAGTAGCTGGGATTCAATGAATTCATACATGCAAAGAAGTTAGAACAGTGGCTCACACATAATAAAGGCTTTATAAATGTAGGCATGTTGGCTGGGTGCAGTGGCTCATGCCTGTAATCCTAGCACTTTGGGAGGCTGAGGCGGGCAGATTGCCTGAGCTCAGGAGTTCGAGACCAACCTGGGCAACATTGTGAAACCCCATCTCTACTAAAATACAAAAAATTAGCCAGGCTTTGTGGCATGCACCTGTAGTCACAGCTACTTGGGAGAATGAGGAAGGAGAATTGCTTCAACCTGGGAGGCAGAGGTTGCAGTGAGCTGAGATTGTGCCACTGTACTCCAGCCTAGGCGACAGAACAAAACTCCATCTCCAAAAAAAAAAAAAAAAGAAGGCATGTTTTTGTTATTGGTATTCATGGAAGATATGGGCTTGAATAGAGAGATACTAGACAATACTGGTCTTCATTTAGTATCTCCTAGGTGCCCAGCCCTTTATATTCATTATCTCATGTAATCCTCATAAAAGTCCTTTCAAGAGAGTATTATTATACCCATTTAGCAGGTAAGAAAACTGAGACTTACAGAGATGAAACATACTACCCAAGGTCACAGTTCAAACCCAGATCTTCTTGAGTCTAAAGCACCATTTAACTTCAACCAGGAGGAAGGTTATCGTTGTCGTCCCCAAGAATGTGGAGATTACCATGTGGTTGGAGAGTAGAAAATGGAGGGGAAGTAGGAATGATCTTGATAAATCCCAAATGCTATGTGTTTACTAGGTCCTGCTTCCTCCCAGTTCCCAGGCTCTCATCCAGACTGCTGCCCAAAAAGCAGTTATAAATTATTGCCTTTGGAATAAAGCAAAACTCAGTCATGCCAGCAAAGCTCATGGCTCTATTCAAAGGAGACATCTTGCCCCTCCCTGGCTTAGCACATTAAGGCTGCACTCCAGCTAGTAAGCCTCCCCAGCCAATTGCAAAGGAGGGTGGAAAAGTTGAGAATTACAAAGGGGTGAATACTGAGCCCAACACATTTTATTACCAAACTGTTAGAATTAGAAGAGGGTGTATATCAGATGGGCTAAGAAAACACTAGTAAGCACTTGGACTGCGGAACTGCAAAAGGATTTGCAGTAACAAAGTCTGATAAGACGTAGCTAGTATGGATTTGTGAGGGCAGGCCTAGCTTGAAAGAACTCACTGGGTTTGTTTTAGTTTTTTTTTTTTTTTAGAGGAATTACTGTTACAGGAGATAAAAGGAAAAAAAGGCTAGGATTATATTTACCTAAAATGACAAAACATTATTTGATAAGGTTGTACCTTAAAGTCAATTGCACCAGGTAAGAAATTCTGGTAGGGGGCAACTGAGCTTAACGGGAAGATAAAATGCTCCCCAAACAGGAAACAAAAAAAGGGGAAATAAAAGGTAGCATCTTCAGCTGGAAAAAAAAAAATCTACCCGTGAGCCTTCTCCTTCCTAATTCTTCTTTCAATAGCTATTTATGGGATGTCTCTGTTGTGCCAGGCATATCTCAGTGTCATAGGCACTGAGATAATCAGTGAACCAAAGAGACAAAAACCTCTGTCCTCCTGGAGTTTGCATTGTAGTGGGCATACAATAACCTGTGTACCCAATGCTGTTCAATTTGGGGCATGAACCTCTATGTCATAAACGCAACTGTATCCCTGAAATGTTGCCACAGTTCACTTAAGAAGAATCAAATGCAAATAGTTGGACAAACTCTAGAATTATTTGTCAGAAATGTCTCCTACCCCACCAGAGGCTACATGGCAAGTCTTCTTGAATTCCTTCATTTCCAGGTTATAATTAAGGGATACTTAAAAATACAGTTGTCCCTTGGTATCCTTGGGGAATTGGTTCTAGGACCTCCCACAATACCCAAGTCCAGTGATGCTCAAGTCCCTGATATAAAATGGTGTAGTATTTGCATATAACCTATACATTCTCTCCTATACTTTAAATCATCGTTAGATTTCTTATAATACCTAATACATTGTAAATGCTATGTAAATACTTGCTATAATATATTGTTTAGGAAATAAGAACAAGAAAAAAAAAGTCTGTACATGTTCAGTAATGTTTTCATTTTGCATATTTTTGATCTGTGGTGGGTTGAATCCTTGGATGCGGAACCCACAGATAGAAAGGACCTGTGGTATTCAGTCCTTTACATATTGTATTCATGCACCTTTGTCCCATTGGAACTTAAGAGTCCTTGAAGGCAAGAATCATGCCACCTCTTTTGTTTCCTACATCTCTGGGCTTGTGGGAAACAATTCTCTACCCTGCAAATGTCATTGACTCAGTCACCGGTTTCCATAAACTAGAGGAAACCACAGAAATAGTCACAACAACATCTCTAAGCAGATGAAAGATTATTACGATAAGACTATGGTAAACAGCTCTCCATCTTCATGGAGGCCAGAAATGGACAAAATGGATGTGAAGATTGCTCTGTGCCAACAAAGTTCTATAAGGACATCTGTAGATTTTTTTTTTCTACAGATGCTTAAAATGGAGACAATTCTCACGAGCCAAAGGAGGTTTGGGGATGGAGGCTCAGGCTCATAAAACCAGATCACGGTAATAATTTCTCATGCCAATTCAAACTTTTGATAGCTACTTTAAAAAGGTGATGTTAGCACCAGGAATTTGAGTTTATGGCAGATTGTTTGGGAATTAAGCCCTCTAAAGAGGAGACTTCCAGTGAGGCAGGCATGAAGTCTGTCTGGAAGACGGAGC
The DNA here is from genome assembly GCF_000001405.40 of Homo sapiens. Classification (NCBI taxonomy): domain Eukaryota; kingdom Metazoa; phylum Chordata; class Mammalia; order Primates; family Hominidae; genus Homo; species Homo sapiens. Next base: position 68,381,667 of record NC_000005.10, read on the forward strand.
TTTGGCATGACTGAGCCAGACTATGCAGTGGATTAAGCAAGCTTTGATAAACTATGGTGACCCTGAAGCCCTGCTGGCCAATATAGGATGGCAACTGTAATGGGGTTCTGAAACCATCCTTAAAGTTAGTCCTGAGAATATCCAGCCTTCACTTTGGAAAAAAATATCCAAAAGAATGTGGATATGATCCACCATTGCCGTAGAAAAGTAGGCAACAGTACATGGTCTAGCAACTTAAAGCAAACAGATGAGTGCCCCCAAAGACAGAGAGGATTTTCCACCTAGCATTTGTATGGGCTGTGATAGTGGAAGACACGCAAGACTTCAAGTGATGCTGCTCAGCTCTGAGCCAAGTGTCCAAAGGCGTAACTGTCAAATGTGTGCCTTTTCTCTCTCCCCCCATCCCTGCTGAACTCCTTGTCCTGCCAAACACCACACACAGTCAGCCGAGCAGTGGAATTCTTGAGAAACTGACACTTCCTTGTTCAGTACACTCAAGCAGATTTCCTGACCAGTTATGACACTCTGATATCTGTTTGTACCACACTTCAAAACAGCAAGTCTGTCCACAATGATCTTGTCTTTGAAACTGTCCACTTTAAATATTGCCTTATAATTTTACTGTGTCTACTTTTGAAGACTGAAAACCTCCTAAAACAGGGTATGGGAAGTACATTGCAGTTATGATTGGTGCCCTCGCCTAGATTACAAGTGTGGAAGTTACTTCTTGAGGCCTCTCTTCTGGGCATCTCATGTATCATGTCTTCCATATATCAGAGGCAGAAATTGGATCCCGAGTCTTGTAACCCAATGGCTGGTATTCTTTTTGCAATATCATAGTGCTTTCAAAGTTAGCAACATTCTCCTTAAATTCTCTGCTAAATCATAGTGCATTTCTTAGTTATGTCTGTATAAGCTTAACATTCTCCTCCCTATATATCGATTTTTTTTTAAGTCTACATTGGCAAGCCATCTTCTGCCCTAAGCCCTAAGATCCTAGAATCTCATGGCATTTCACCTTCACAGGACTTTCCTTGTGCCATCCTTCCAGGCCAGGAACAACCATCACTCTGGACCTTTCTGTTCCTGAAGTCATGGGATGCCTGGGCTGGTGAGGTCCTCAGACATCATCATGCCAAATGACCCCATTTCACATTGGGTAGAAATCAAGTACAAGGAAATACTCAGTTGCACAGGGCCCATGACTCACAACTTACATCCTTTCTACTTTACCAGGCTGTCTTTTACAACTCCAGTCTCAACTTGAAATTACCCTGAGTACATTCTCTGTGCTCTATTCTCTGATTGCCATGATAGAGGTAAAGTACCCAGAGAAAAATTACCCAGAGAAAAATTCTAACTGGTACATTTCCTCAATAATATATTGTCACTCTGAAATGACAATGTTTTAACCCAGTAAAATGTGCTACTGCACAGATGAATAGTGTGATTAATGAGTGGTAGGAATTCTGGGTCCTGAGGCAGATGGAAGAGAGTCTACAGATTGAGTGGCTCTTTTCAATCCTTGGTTCACACCCTTTGGACTTGCAGAGGATTGATAGAGGCCCCCTAAACCAGAGGTTTCCGTGTTACTTCTTCCTAAATGTAGAGAAGGCATGATGTGCTGGGAAAGGGTAGTGACCCCAGGAATCTCAACTTCTCTTTTGCCAAACATTTGCTGTAGACTTTAGACATGTCTCTTAATTTCTCTGGGACTACATCACTGGACTTCTATAATGAACTTCTATAATGAACTAGTGTTCATTATAGAAGTCCAATGTTGCCAGATCTTCTCATATTTTTTTCCCAAGAAAAATCCCCCAATTCAACGTGAACAGTGTTGATTTTTAATGTTGGCAATTCAAATTTCAACAACAACAACAGAACTTGTGGGGACACAAAACATCCCCTGTCCTCAGGCTGTGAGCAGTCCTGACTGGCCACCAGGAGACCCTTATGTGACTAGAGTAGTCTGGAACTCTGTGTCCAAGGAATGTTGGCAGGTGCTCAGAGGTGTTACAGAGAAAGTCTATGTGCACCTTGGAAGTATGTTTCTGTGCAGGAACAGATAATTACTATACCATAATTTCCCATGCAGAGGCTAGGGATTCCTGGGAGGGCTCAAGAGATTTAAAATTCCTTACCTGGGTGGTCCAAAGATCTCAGACTGATTGGGATCTACCATGTGCCCAAAGGCTCCTGGTGCCCACAGTTCAGGGAGCACCTGTTCTTAGATTATAGCTCTGCTTCGAGGAATGTGAAAGTGCCTAGAGGTTATCACTTTACAACCCAGAGAAAGGAAGAGGATGCCATTCCCTCACTGCTTTTCAGGGGAGAAGCTGGCAACAGCCCAGCAGTGAAACCTGGGCACAGAGAAATCTGTTCAGAGAGGCAAAAAGACACTGATGGGGTGGGGCCCATAGATAATTAAGGCACTAAGGACCAAGCCCAATAATAATAATGACACTAATCACAGCTACAATTTATTGACCACTGGCTCTGAGCCAGATACTGTGAGAAGTATTTTACAAGCATGATCTCATTTAATTCCTACAGAGACTCATCGAGGATTAAGTAATTTGCCCAAGGTTACCCAGTAAGTGGGAGAGCTCAGGTGCAAAACCAAGTGTGCTTAATTTCAAGCCCAGGTGAAGAGCTAGTAGCCAGTGTAATTTAGAGGAGCAGAGATGGGCCAGGTACAATGAGCTGGTATCTCAATGAGGGAATACAGGCTGCATGTTTTCATAATATTCATTTTTCTTTTTTCCACAGAAAAAAACCCCGTAGATTTCTTTCTGGCCAAGTTGAGGCTGTTGTCTTCCCAAAACTCCCACAGTTCTGTTGCCTCAGAGAGTAATACTTAGTGAAACTTTTGAAAACTGAACTTTCTTGTCTGTTTCCCCAGATCTGTGAGGTGGCATTTTATTACCTGTGTATCTAGTGACATGATTCCAATCATAATAAAAGAGCCATGGACCATAGAATGACCTGATTTTTCGGAAAAGCTTTTGCTGATACAGTAACTGATTTTATTTTCCTATTAAAAATGAAATTGAAAGTCTCCTTTAGCAGCTTGCTGCATGGACAACCACCACCTTGGTCCTACTCAACAGCCATATTGATCAGAGTAAAAAGTGCCAGTAATGACTGCAAATGAACCCAGTAGATAGGCCTGGCACCTAATGGTATATTAAATTATTTGACATTGCCAAGGTCACCACTTCCTGACATAGAATCAATCTTTCTCTTAATCAGAAGAGGCATAAAGGGTCACAAGTTCCATTTGAGACAATGGTTAAGGGGGCAAAGGAGGAAAGGGGCAGATGATTTAACTTTATGTGCATTTATTAGATGGAAATTTCCATGTATCTTGCTGTTATTAATCCACAGTGCAGACAGAGGAAGGGGAGGCTTTGACAGGAAGAGAATGAGGTAAATGGAACCTAGTAAACACAGCTTAGCCACAGAGGGCAGTAAAATAATTCAGTGAATCCAGGAACATTATCAATCATCAACCCTACAGTTAGTTCTGCCTTTGATTGTTTAAATGTGGGGCCTGGAAACTCAGAATTTGTTCACAATCAGGGCAGGGCACCTTCATCTTGAGTTTGGATGGGCTTACGCTTATGGGCTCAGCCCTGGACTGAGCTGATTCCTTGGAAGGAACATTCTCACTGTAGTCAGTACTGCAAAAGCAGATTCTTTCATCACTGTAAGTGCTCAGTGACCACTTAGGATGGCGCTAGACTCTGTGTGACACTGGAGTTGAAAGGAAAAGGAATTACAACACCATTATATCTGATCCCTGCTCTCAAAAAATTTATACTCAGAAAAGAAATACCAACACAGGAAACAGCCAGAGGAACCCATTTGATAGTCTGAGGATATGGACTGAAGAGTAGTATTTACACAGTAAATGCTACCAGCCAGGGGAAGAAGAGGAAGATGTGTGTGAACCTGAGCAGTCCCACAGTCCTGTCGGCTCAAGAACATAATGTTTAGTGAAAAGTTCCACATACCATCTTTTTTGCCTTTTTCCCCAGGCCTATGGTGAGGCATTTCAGTATGTGTGCAAACAGTGTAAAAAGCAAGAGGTTCTAAAAATAAAATACTTCTTATTTTTCTACTGTGAGTTGAGAAGCCAGCAGTTAGTTATTGACCTGTTGCTGTTTGTAGTCATATTAGTTATTTGCAGAGAATGAAAATGTGGGATCCAGACAATACATGATTATTTGGGGCTTCTAGCTTTCATCATATTTTTTAATAGACTTTATTTTAAGTCTTTTAACATACATTTTGCTTTATTAGAAAAAATTAAATAGTACTCTCTGTAGAGATTATCTAATCTAAGAGTTGCCAACATCTGTACCTACAAGAGCCAGGCAGTTAATACGAATGAGTCATGATGGTAGGGACGAGTAGGGCAATAGGTGGAGCCTCTAGGGTCATGGAGAGGAGGGCAGGATCCACCCAAAGAGGCACCCATTACCCAGGAATACCACTGCTGCCATGTAGAGATATGGCCCAGTATTGCCAGTGTCTCTGATTATGAAATGGTAGTTTCTATGTGAAATTTACTGATTACTGTGGTTTGAATGTGTCCTCCAAAGATCATGTGTTGGAAACTTAATCCCCAATGCAACAGTGTTGAGAGGTAGGACCTTTAAGAGGTGATTAGGAATGGATTAATGCCATTATCTCAGGAGTGGGTTAGTTATCATGAGAGCTTGGCTCTATCTTACTTGTCTGCTCTTGTGCTCTCTTGCTCTTTTGCCTTCTGTTACAGAATGATGCACAAAAGCTTTTTCCATATGCTCTTGGACTTCCCAGCCTCAAGAATCATAAGTCAAATAAACCATTTTTTTAAATCAACTACCCAGTCTGTGGTATTCCAGTCTAAGGTATTCTGTTACAGCAACACAACATAGACTACGACAATGATATTTAAGTCATTATTTAGCTCTTATACACACACTTATACACACATACTCAAGCTAAATAACAACAAAAAAATTTACGTCTAGATCTGGTCCTTGCATCACTGATTTAGAATACCTGATTTACAGCAATTGTACATTTAACAGATGGAGAAACAAGATCTATAAATGTGAGATGACTTGCCTAAGGTCATACAACTAGCTAGTGAGAGAGCTGAGACTAGAACTCAGCTTTCCTGACTTTTCAATCTCAGTTGATTTCACTACACCATACTGCCTTACAAGAAATGTTTTTGAAGTTACAGAAAAGTTCAAACTACAGAATACCTAAGGGAAAATCGTTTTATTCTCCTCTATTCCTCATTTCTCAGAGTTTTAATGATTAACCACAGCCATCAAATACATGTCTGAGACTGCCATGTGTCTGCATCTCAAGTCCTTTTCAGCTGATTGTACCTTTAGGATTTTTCTTGACAATGGCAATGAGTGAGCATTTGGGCCATCTACAAAGGGGACAAAATACAGTGCCTTGATTTAACATGTTGGGGAGTTTCAAAAGAAAAATCCCCAGTGCTTAGGCTTGCAGGCTGCTATAGACTGCACTGCAGTGCTCGTAGTCCCAGGGCCAGCAAAATCTTGACAGTTTATCATTTGGAGTAGGAATCAGCAAGTCCTAGTTTCATTTCCTACCAGGAATAGACAAAGCCTCCACAAGAAAATCATCCCTTGATGGCTGATAAAAATAGAATTGCAATTTATGTTTCCATCTACTCCCTCTATCGTCAGGCTCTTAAGGTGTACTTTCTGTCGTAATGGCTGATTTAGATGGATTCTTGGGGTGCTGGATCACTGCTGATGACATTAATGGTCTTGGGCTCCTTGAATCTTGATTGATTGCTATAATCTGTGAAACTATTTCAGGACATAGATTTATTATTATTAAGCCTATAAAATGGTGTCAGGGTCAAAGCAAACTGACGATGTGTGTTGTGATGCAAACATGGCCAAGGTGTGGATGCCACCATTTAATAGAAGTGAATGGCAGGAAGGAACAGTGTTTCATCCTCCACTCATGACCTGACTCAGGCCTTCTCCAAAAGGGGTAGTGAATTTGAGCTCCATTTGCACTGGGCAGGGGTTGAGAAGGGGGATGCAAAGAAGATAAATGTATACTATCAATTATTCTCCTACATTTTTGAATTCCTTAAGGAACTTTTGATAGAATTTTCTTTTCAGTTCACTTAAAACTGAAATGAAAATTTAGAAGTGGCTAAAGATTTTCTCCATTTTTCTCTGGCCCCCAGATAGTGTCTAGCTTTCGTAGCTCAAACCTGTTGTTTTTGGACTCTGAGAAAATATTAATATCCCACTTAACCTCTATCAAGGAGAGAAGAAAAAGCTAAGCAGGGAATTATATTATAGCTATTTTATCCTTCCTTTCTTCTCTCCTTTCAGAAAGCTTCTGGTTCCTCTATTAAGGGCAAGGAAAAGGATTTTATATTAGACTGGGTTCCAGAAAGATATTCTCAGAATCACCATTTCAAACTCCTCTTTAGATGGGAGGGAAGTATTCAACAAAATAATAATTCATGTTTTCAATTTACCTGTGGAATGTAGAAAGCTAGGAAGAGCTCCAATCTCATTCTTACAGCAATATAAAGTCAGACAATTGTATATTTATAACCTTTTATAGATTTCTCAAAAAGCTGAGGTCATAAGTCAACCAACTAACTCACAATTTAAGGAAGACAGGTGACTGCAAGAAGAGGTGGATTGTGAACACTCTCCTTTTTCCTAGGGCTCATACAATGAACACCCACCAGCAAGAAGAATTCAGCTAAAATTACTAATGAATTGATTGAGAGTGGCCAATGTAGACTAATGAGAAAGTATAGAATTCTGGGGGCCACAGATAGAAGGTGAATTCATGAAGGATTGTCTCCACTGACCTCAGTGGATGCTCACATAAAAGACTGAAAGAGTCCTGGGAAAGCATCCCTGGGGGTGCAGGTTGGGAGAGGGGAGGAAGCCTTTCTCCAGAAAGGCTTCACACTTTGCCCAGCTTTTTTCCCCAGAGAAACAAGTTTTAAACTGCTGTAGGGGAGGAGGAGACAAGAAACTCTGGAGCCCATTGCAACTGTGGTAAGAAAAAAACCCTCCTACCTCTGGGATAAAAGGAGCATTGCATAATAATAAAGGAGTCAGTTATCTAAAAAGTCAATAGTCCTAAATCTGAATTCACCTGACACCAGAGCATCAAAATACTTGAATCAGAAACAGATAGAAATGAAAGGAGAAATTGACCATTATATCTGAAGACTTCAATACTCCACTCTCAGTTATTAATACAAAAGTAGGTAGAAAATCAGTGAGAATAAAGAAAAATGCTGTCAACCAACTTCACCTAATTGACATTTATTATACTCCATTTAACTGCAGCAGAATAGACATTCTTTGCAAGTGTATATGGACCATTCATCAAGAGAGGCAATATCCTGGATCATAAAACAAATCTTAACAAATTAGGAAGACTAGAAAATTATGCTAAGTACATTCCCTGATCATGACAGAATTAAACCAGAAATCAATAACCGAAAGATAGCTTGGAAAACTCACAAACATTTGAAAATTAAGGAACATATTTCTAAACAATCCAGGGCTCAAAGAGAAATTTTCAAGGGAAATTAAAAATATTTTTAACAGAATGAAATACAAACAAGACATATCAAAATTCATGGGATAGAGTTATTGAAGTACTTTGAGGAAAATGTATATAGCATTATATGCTTATACTAGAAAAAAAGAAAGTTCTCAAATTGATAATCAAAGTTTCTGCACCCCCTCCCCCAAGAAATTAGAAAAGGAAAAGTAAATTAAACCCAAAGCTAGAAGATGGTAGGAAATAATAAAGAGGAGAAACCAGCGAAATTTAAAATAGAAAAACAGTACTGGAGAAGATCGTTTCCCCCATTGCAGTGCTTACTACGATATATAAGTTCTGTCATTCTAAAATACCCTGAGGAAATCAAGAATCACATTTTTTTTAGAGTGGCCAAAAGATTCCCATGAGACTAATCTTCTTTGGAAGTCAGCCAGGAAATAAGAGTTTGGATGTCGATGTCCAGGGCTGGCACTGTCCTCTGTGGTGGTGCCCAGGAGAGAAGACAGCCAACAGTGTAGGTCTTAACCAGGACAGCTGCAAGAAGATCTCCTCAATAATCCCAAACACAATGTACTCTGCCCACAGGAAGCTGTCAATCTGTCATGGGAGACAGGCAAACATTGCCTACTGTCGTGATTAAACTACAAGGTGCTATGATGGGTATCAGCACTGAGTCCATGGAAACCAAAGGAAGAAGCGTCACAGTTGACCAGAAGGTGAGGTTCCTTTGACAGATACAGTGCCTGAATACAGTGCCGGATAATGTTCTGAAGGTGGAGAAAACATTAATATGAAAGTAGAAGAAGAGCTCATATAAATCAGCCAGAATTACTTTCATGCTTAACATAATAAGAGCAGTTGAATGGAACAAAATATGTGGAACTGAACTTTTTTTTAGTTTAGATCAAATACCTGCTCTAAATTCTATAAGTAGGATATTGTGCTATTCACTCAAGCCACTGCTACCGGTCTATGCCTTGAAATTTTATGAATGCTAGCTTCTTAATAACTGCTAAATCTATTTAATTTTTCTATTTTTTCTGGTAATTGTGTGAGAAAGAGACAGGTATAAATGAATAACAAGAATTATCCCTTTCCAAGGAAGGGGGCTATTGAGGACATAAGGACTCTGAAGCCAAGTTAAGGTAACAATTCCTCATGTTTCAGTAGATTGAAGAATGGATACCTGCATAATGGCATGCACATATTAATAAACAAAGAAGTCATATATCCACATGAAAATTCAGTGTAAAAGACATCTAAACACTCTGAAATTATCTTGTTAGGCACTATACATACAGCAAACCAGATCCTGATACACTAAATGAGTTCAAATTTCTTTATATCCAAGATTATTGATGTGAGATGCAGTTATATTTAGACTTATGCCTATGTTCAAAGCATTGCACAGAAGTTGAATAGTCAGCTTTTATAATAACCCCATGTAAGTGAAAATTCTATGGCTGTGTGTGTGTTTGTTTGTGTGTATGTGTGTGTGTGTGTGTGTGTATACGTGTCCTGGAAAGCCTTCCCCAGGTAGATGGTTTGCCCCCCGCAATAAAAATGAGGGACAGTAACAGGAGATGAGACTCAGGGAAGCCAAACACCTACCTCGGGCTGAAACAGGTATTTGTTCTGTCTTGAGAAAAGCCAAAAACTAAAAGCTCATTTTACAATCATTTTGAGCACTCCTAAAGGGAAACTGTATGAGGGGTAAGGAACTTGGGAAAGGAAGAGGGAGGTTAGAGCTGAAATTTACCGTTTGAGCACAGGTTATGGTTCAAAAAGGAAATCAAATGCCTTCTGGAAACGAATGTTCCTCCTACTCCATCTCTATCACACCAACATGTTCTAAAAGTTTTTGGTTTTTTTAAATAAGCTTTATTCTTGTCCCTTGAAAACAAAAGTTTGTTGCCCTTTGATGAGCACCTGGCTTCCAGGTCAAGTGGCTTTTCTCCTGAGGCCTCTTTAGGGCACAACCTAGCCCCAGATTTGCTGGCCTATGTAGTCAAAATAGAGGATTCAGCAAAGGAGTCTAAGCAAAGTGTGGTATGTGTGCATTTCCTGAAGAGTCAGAGACATTGTCTCAATCCTAAACCTTATTGAGCACTATCTCCTGATCTTTTCACATTTCCAGTGGTGGGGACAGACACCTGTATTTTAAAACATTTCCTCCCATCATTCTGCTCTGCAGCTCCATGAACACCACTGTATAAGAAGAGACGTCCGACAGGGCAAAGACTGTGTTGCTCATCTCTATTTATTTGACTAATATTTACTGAGCATCTACAATAAGCCAAGAACCATTAGGATTTGGCCATAAAATAGTGAATAAGAGAGACACCTTCCCTACCCTCATGGAGCTTTTACTGGGGGAGTCAGATGTTAAACAAATAATTATAGTTAATTAAATATTTGCAACTAATTTAAGAATTAAAAGGTGAAAGAAAAACTTCCATATCTCAAGCATCTGGCCAAGCACAGTATAAATACACAACAAATATTTGTCAAATATCTGCTATTTCTTTGGGTTATCCCATGGGCAATAAATGCCCAAATATATTCTGTTAATAGTTACTAGGCAAGCAAAAGACTATCCGTCTGATAACTTTGAGAAACCTGGTTTAGACCAAGTCAAATAGGCTTCTTTAATGCAGGGATTCTCCAGACCTTAACACACTAATATGCATTGACTCTCTAAGTTAGCTCTCAGATTTGCATAGGATATGTATTAGTTCATTCTCAAATTGCTATAAAAAAACTACCTGATACTGGGTAATTTATAAAGAAAAGAGGTTTAATTGGCTCACGGTTCTGCAGGTTTTACAGGAAGCAGGGCTGGGGAGGCCTCAGGAAACTTACAATCATGGTGGAAGGTGAAGGGGAAGTAGGCACATCTTACATGGCTGGAGTAGGATGAAGAGAGAGAAAGGGGAGGGGCTACACACTTTTAAACAACCAGATCTCATGAGAACTCTCACTAGCACAAGAACAGCATGATCCATCCTCACCCCCATGATTCAATCACCCCCCTACCACACCCCTCCACCAACATTGGGGATTAAAATTCAAACTGAGATTTGGGAGGGGACACAAATCCAAACCATATCAGTATATCACAAGTACTTCTGTCCTGCAGCATTCCAGGGAGCCTAACCATCTTGAGATATATATATAGATATATTTTTTTGGAAATACTTTCAATGGATTTTCAGGTGGAACTTCAATGCTTCCACCTGAAGGGGGAAAATGCCTTTCTTTTCCATTGCCAGCAACTGGGCCCTGGAGAGTCTGATGCTGACCTGGGTTTTCTCTGGTAACACAGTCCTGCCCCTGGCCTAGGAAACACCCTCTTTGTGCCACCCAGATATGCAGAACAAGGAATAGCACACAGCCAGATGATCACTTACTTAGGGAAAATGAAAAGGCCTTGATGCATTCAAGATCTGAAGATGCAGAAATAAGCACTGCAATCTGAGTGCCTAGTGACTTTGCTTGGTACCACCTGGAGTTCAAGGTCAGGGCAAGGGTACACACTCAAGTCTGATGACTTCCCATAAGAACGTTTGCATACTTGGTGGTAGGAACAGGAAGTATTTGCTAGACTGTGCAAAGTGACATGAAATTTAGCTGCAAAAGCTGAACTCAAGATTTATCCACACTGAAAACGTAAATCCATTGTTCCTATTTAGGGTTGCACTGGGCATACTTACACTAAAAAGTTATTTGTTGTTTATCTGAACTTCTAACTTCAATGGCCATCCTGTATGTTTATCTGCTAAGTCTGGCAACTCTACTTTTGTGCCTGTTTGCTCTGGCTACCATGAGTTCTGCCCATGAGTGTGAGCTTTGAATACAAGGGGCTAAGAAGGCTGTGCTGTGGGTGCCAACCTGTCAAGGTAGTACCCAGTCTAGCTGCTGTGCAGATGTGCAGGACAAACTTTGCTGAGAAGCACTCCTGGCGCTATCAGATTTGGCTAGTTTCTGCTGCTGGTAAGCTGGCAAATTCCACTCTTATTTCAAAACCAAAAAAAAAAAAAAAAAAAGAAGAGGTGAGTTTTACAAGCAGTCTTTTGTGGTACAGAACAGAGTAGAGCAGTGATTCTCAACTGGGAGCAAGCTGGCAACGTCTGGAGACAGTTTTGATTATTACAGCTGGAGGGAGAGGGGACAGTGCTACTGGCTTCTAGCTGGTAGAAGACAGGATAAACATCCTACAATGCACAGGACAGGCCCTGCATCAAAGAATTATGTAGCCCAAAATGTTAATAATGCCAAGGATTAGAAATCTGGACCAGAGGAAACTGAGCCATGTCCTAGAAGCAAAGCTAACCCTGAGCAAATTTGTTAAGAAGAGAAAGTTATAGTTTTCTATCCCTAACCTTCTTTCAACAATCCCCACCCTCAAAGAGTCCAGTGTCTCTATGTTGTCCTTGGTTCCTTTAGTTGAGGGAAAACAATATCTGCCTACTATACCCCAATTATTTATTAACAACTTAATATGCTAATCTCCCAAAATATGTTAATTTTCTAAACCATCTCCTGTTCAAAAGATGGTGTGGCTGACATTGCCAACTCCCTACTTCTGAGCTGATCTCTCCTTTTTCCTTGCTAACAGAGCCCCCAACTTTGTCTGGGGAAGCATTGTGTCCAGTTAAAAATACTGACCCTCTTAAACTTTCTTTCACAAGCGAATATGAGATGGAATTGGAGTTTCTGGGAAGGAAATTTCCTGCCTAATATACAGACAGATTTTGCTGGCTCTGAGCTTTGTTGCTTTTGTTCTTTCTCCCCACTCTCCTGGAATGCAGAAGTGATGGGCACAAGAGGAGCAGCTGCCATTCACAACCATGAAGCCAAAAGCCACACACAAAAGGCACTTGAGTAAGAGGCTGGAAGGGTCCTGGGTGCTTGGCAACTTTTTCAAGGTGGTGCACCATTCTGCACTAGTTATAACAAGATTTCTCATTACATTGAAAAAAAAATAAGTAACTTGGTTAATCCTCTGAAGTTGAGTTTCTGTAACATGCAACCAAGCTCAGCCTTAACTGATAAAAGACCTGGAGAGGAATATGCTTAACCCAAGCATTGAATCTAATGGTGAAATCCTAGGAGTATTGGAGATCCTAAGGAGTGATGAAATATGCAAGAACAGAGGATTTTCCCATCTCTCCTTAGCTCACCCAATGTAGACACTTCTGTACTTATGTAAATGCCCTTGTTCTGACCCAAGAAGCAGGTTAGATATTAGAATATTACTAGTGCCGGTCATTGCCACAAATAGTAGAGAAAGTTCCGAGGGGATAAATGATTATAGGAAGCATTCTTGGGTGTCCCCCAGGAGGCCCAGCACGAATGACAAGTGGCCAGCCTTCATTTGGACCATATCTGTTCACTAGGAAAGATGCTTTTGACCATACTGACTGCTGAGAGAAAAGGGCCAGCATGGCTCCAAAAAGAGTCTTAGGTCCACCTGAGAATTGACACAAAGCATTTTATGTATAATCAAGGTAAGGATTATGATGAAGAAAAGATCATCCTCAATATTAATGGCCTGTTTGCAAAGAGAAGAAAAGGTCCATGGTCACTCCTACTTTTTGAAGAACTTGCCTAGCCATCTAGCCTCATGGGGATGGAAGCTGTGGTGAGGCACTACTTCATCTGTATATTCTGGACTTAATCAGAGAAATAGCCCCTCACTTCCAATTCATACCTGCTCCTTGGCCTCTTGCCCTTTCCAGGCACTTGTCAGTGTGTCCCAAATAGGGTAAGGCTTAGCCAATGAGAAAGTGGGCATAGCAGTGACACCGGGGATACTTGCAGTGAGGCCAGTCCCCTCTCCTGTCTCTATGTCCTTTCATGAGCCTTATTAGGATGTGACTTAGACCATGTTTCTTGATCTCTCCATACTGTAAGATTCTTCCTCTGCATAAATGCTGTCAATCATAGTACCTACTGTTAATCAAGTTTAGCCTAAAGCTGCCGCCTTACATATTTAAGATAGGCCTAAAGGTTTTTCCATACATCGTGAACTATAACAAGTAGAGGTGTAATCTGACCGTAGCCCACATCTATGCCATTCACTGAGTTTGGGCCAATCAAATGTAGCCAACTGTTCAAACCATGTTCAAATGAGGCAGACACCAAGCTGTAACCAATCCAGTTGCTCCTGTACTTCACTTCAACTTCCGTATGTCATTTCCCGTTTTTTTTAACCTATAAATCTTCTTCCACCACGTGGCTGCGATGGAGTCTCTCTGAACCTGCTGTGATTCTGGGTGCTGCCTGATTCTCGAAACGTTCATTGCTCAATTATACTCCTTTAAATTTAATTCGGCTGAAGTTTTTCTTTTAGCACTACTTCATAAGGTACTTATGAGGATTGATTGGGATTATCCCCATAAAGAGCCCAGCCCTGGCCTTGGCCCTGGGCTGGACAAGTCTGAGAACACTCATTGAATGTCAGCTTGCATGATCCTCATATTATCCCACTAGAGTTTCATCATGTGGCAAAGAGGTGAGGGGATTTCCCCCATCGGTGTTAAGGAAGGCAGCTTGCTTGTATTCTCCTGAAGGATACATGAAGAATCAGACAATGTGTTATTTTGTTATCTGATTGTCTTCTTGGGCAATCTGTAGAGAATATACAACAATCAGTTCTAGCTCTCAAAGAGCTAGAAAGTCACCCCTAGCAGCCACTGAAGCAGCTACTTCCTTGGGGGTGGGAGAGGTGCTGCTCTGGGCTGTTTACTCACCACCTACCCTCCACCCCTCAAACCTCGTGATGCTTGGCTAGACCTGAACCCTGAGAAGGGCCCTGAAGGCTCAAAGTCACAGGAGAAGCCAGCCCAGCTCCAGGGGGAGGAGACAGACAGTGGAAGAATGAGGAAGGGGGAGGGGAAAGGAGGTCCTCTGCACCCAAGTTTTAAGGTCTCCTTGAATTCAGACCATCTGCACAGATGGCCAGAAGCAGCCCTGAGGTTTTTCCCACCTAATGGAATGTGTAGGTTTAAATGGGAGGACTTGGGCATGTAAACCATTAACAGGACTCCCAGCCAGGTGACAATGATACAATATGCCCTTGTTTGGGAGCCCTGTCTGAATTATGCCTTTGTGTAATATAATCTGTGCAAACTGCTTCTGGGCCAGAAGCCACTGTAAGCAGGCTGTGTCTCACCTCAGGTTTTTATCTAAAAAGCCTTACCTAAGAAACACAATAGCCCAAGTTGACCTGGCGTGATTTCTTTTAAAGGTGAGTGTGCACATGTGCATTGAGGGGGAAGGGAAGTAGGTAAATGAACCAAACAACTCACTTGCATATTAAACTCTCACTTGTAAAACTCGCAAAGAATAAAGAAATGGGCATAAAACGTAGCATTGAAATCATACATAGAGGGAGATTTCATCAAACGCTGCCTTCATGAGGCAGTGTTCTGCACACACGTACAGATTGTGTGGTGTTTGGGCAGGGCATTTGTCATACTGGCAAGCACTCGGTTAAAAAGTAATCAGGTTCCAGGCCCTCTGTTCTTCCCAGAGAGAAGAGGCTGCTCCTGGATGTGGGCGTACCTGGCTATCTGCACACTAAGGATCCCCAAGCAATCTGTAAATATTACCTCACTGGTTAGGCAAGCTCATGCCCCCTGCAGTGTTTAAGAATGATGGCAAAGAGCCAACCAGGGATCTACCCTATTTCCTGGTCAGAGAGTGACCTTGGGTTCCCTTATAAGCCTGAATAGAATCCTGCTGAAATACTCCCAGACACAGCACCTCCTTCACTAAGAGATCATCTCCAGTTTAATAACAGCACGGGGCATACCCGAGAGCCTCCCTGAGGTTCCTTTGTGTAATTCCACCCATGTGCTGGTCTAAATGAGCCCTCATTTTTCTTAAAGTTTACACCTTTATGAAATTATGTAAGCCATTTCAAATATTTTGACAACCAAATGAAAACCCATAAGTAGAACAAACTTATCATCCATCAATATGATACCTGTACAATATATTCTTACCAAGAACAACTACGCAGTTGCTTAAAAGAATAAGGCTACATGTATTGATACAGAATTATCTCCACAGTGGGTTGAATGAAGGCTTCCAAAAAGATATGTTCATATCCTAACCTCTGAACACGTGAATGTAACCTCATTTGGAAAAGAGGTTTTGGCAGATGTAATTAAGTTAAGAACCTTGAAATGAGATCATCCTAGACAATCTGCATGGGCTCTAAATCCAATGACAATTGTCCTTATAGGAGACACAAGGGAAGGCACAGAAGAGAGAACACAGAGGGCAAGGCCATGTGAAGACAGAGACTGAAATTGGAGTGATGCAGCCACAAGCCAAGGAATGCCTGGAGCCACCAGAAGTTGGAAGAGGCAAGAAATAGACTCTCTTCTAGAGCCTGTGGAGCTCTGCTAATACCTTGATTTTGGATTTCTGCCCTCCAGAACCATGACAGAATAAAGTTCTGTCTTAAGTCACCTAGTTTGCGGTAAATTGTAAAAGCATCCCTAGGAAATGAATGGACTCTCCAAGTATTTAAGTATTAAAAAAGATACAAGACACTGGTAAGAGTCTTGTCTCTGGGAAGAGGGGTACTTATGTTCTCCTTTGAATGGCACTCCCTAAAGTTGGGCACTGCTATGGACAGAATAATTGCCCCCCAAATATGTACTCATCATAATCCCCAGAATCTATGAATATGGTAGGTTACATGGCAAAGTTGAATGAAGATTACAGATGGAATTAAGATTAGTTAGTTGAGCTTAAGACAGGGAGATTGTCCTGGACTGTCTGGGTGGGCCTGATGTAATCACAAGGATCTTTAGAAGTAGAAGAGAGATACAATAGAACATTATTTGGCAATTAAAGGGAATTAATAGATGCTACAACATGGATGAATCTTGACAACATTATGCTGAGTGAAAAAAACTAGTCACAAAGGACCACACATTGTTTGGTTCCATTTATATGAAATATCTAGAATAGACAAATCTATAGAGGCAGAAAGTAGATTACTGGTTGCCCAAGGCTGGAAATGATGGAGGGCTGGGCATGTGGGTGATGACTCAGAATAAGGGGTTTCTTTTAAAAGTGATGAAAATTACCTAAAATTGGTTGTGGTGATGAATGAACAATTTTGTGAATATACTAAAGCCACAGGATTATTATACTCTTAAATGGGTGAACTATCAGTATGACAATTGTATTTCAATAAAACTTTTTAAAAAGTGGAAAAAAAGAGAGGCAGAAAAAGAAAAAGCAGTGACAATTTGACATGTCAATTGATGGCCTTAAAGACAGAAGGGGGCCACAGACTAAGGAAGGCCAGCTACCTCAAGAACCTGAGAAACAGCAAGGCAGTGAAGTCTGTCCTAGTGCCTCCAGAGAGATGCAGCCCTGCTGATGTCTTAAGTTTAGCTCCCTGATATAGTTTGGCTCTATGTCCCCACCCAAATCTCATCTCAAATTGTAATCCCCATGTGTCAAGGGAGGGAGGTGACTGGATCATGGGTACGGTTTCCCCCATGCTGTTCCCATGATAGTGAGTGAGTTCTCATGAGATCTGATGGTTTTATAAGGGGCTCTTCCCCCTTTGCTCACTCCTTTCTCTCCTGCTGTCTTGTGAAAAAGGTGCTTGCTTCCCCTTCTGCCTTGATTGTAAGTTTCCTGAGGCCTCCCCAGCCATGCAGAACTGTAAGTCAATTAAATCTCTTTCCTTTATAACTTACCCAGTCTTGGGCATTTCTTTATATAGTGTGAAAACAGACTAATACACTCCTCGAAACTCATTTTGGACTTCTGATCTCCAGAACTGTAGAGAATATATTCGTAATGTTTTGAGCCGCTAAGTTTATAGTAATTTTTTTGTAGCATCATAGAAAATGACATTTCTCGCACCGTTTTTCCTTTCGAATTGTGTGCTCTGTACATACATTACCTACTCAAAATTTAAATGAAAACAAAACAACCTATTCAGGCAATGATTCAATGTCATCTGGCAAAAATTTTAAATACCTGTAACATTGCTGTTCAACAGAAATACAGTCGAAGCCACAAATGTGCATGATATATTGTAATTTTATATTTTCTAGCAGCCAAATATTTCAAAAAATAAAAAGAAACAGGTGAAATTAATTTTAGAAATAAATTTTGTTTAACCTATCTAAAATATTCCCACATATAATCAATATAAAAATTATTATTTTACATTTTTTTCTCATGCTACATCTTTGAAATCTAGCATGTATTTTACATTTATAGTACATTTCCACTAGAGTACAATCATGGCGGAAGGGGAAGCACCACATTGGAAGTGCTCAGTAGCCACATATGGCTAAGGGCTACTATATTAAACAACAAATATTTAAACATCCAGCAGGAGTGAGGGGTAGGGAAAGGGGCACTTAAAAAAACAATTCAGTGAGAATGGGAACTGCTAAAACTTTTTTGGAAAGGCACTTTCTAGTACTATTTGAAATATATATCATTTTAACTTAGAAATCCATCTTAGAGATTCATGCTACATCATTATACAAGGATGCAGCTACAAAAATATTTATTGCTCAAAAGGCAAAACACTGGATACAACCTAGATAATCACAAATATGTTACAGGCACACCATGGATGTTATGTAGGTGTCACAGAAAATGAGCTGGAGCTTTATGTAATGACTATAGAATATTGACCATGTCCAGGGTATGCCGCTATGTGAGAAAAGCTTAGGTGAGAAGTGTTTTTTGTATATTTTTTTGGGAAAAAGCCAATTAAGATATAGATATACAGAGAATTATTCACACCAAACTTAATATTGGTTACTCTGTGAAGTAGTGTTGAGGTGTTATAAATACTATTGTTGACTTTCTCCTTATAGACATTTTGTTGTGTATTTCTTTGTAGCTTATAAAGAAAGTCAACATATACATGTGATATTGATATGGTTTGAATATTTGTCTCTTCCAAATCTTATGTTGAAATGAGATCCCCAGTGTTAGAGGTGGGGCCTAGTGGGAGGTGTTTGGGTCATGATCATGGATCCCTCATGAACAGCTTGGTGCCCTAGGAAATGAGTGAGTTCTCACTCTGAGTTCACATGAGAGCTGATTGTTTAAAAGAGCCTAGCACCTCCTCCTCTCTTGCTCTTTCTCTCACCATAGGACACACTGCCCCACTTCATTTTCTGCCACGATTGTAGGCTTCCTGAGGCCTCACCAGAAGTAGACGCCAGTGCCACGCTTGTACAGCCTGTAGAACTGTGAGCTAATGAAAGCTCTTTTCTTTATAAATTACATTTATAGCAGCACAAAACAGACTGACACATGTGTATATTATATATATTATGTATATTATATACACACACATATATATACACATGTATGTGTATCGATACTTTAGGAGACACCCCAATGGTTACACCATCGGCAAATCATCAGTGACCACATCAAACACCTCTCCCCAACAATAACCTTAAATGGGACTGACCTTTCTTTGACCAGGTACTTTTTTTTTGCTAATTAGAGGGAATATCTCAAATATGTTCTATGAAACAGTACTTCTTAACATGCACACTAAATTGCTATGCCTTTAGAGTCTATCAGTCTGTAACAGAAACCCATATATTCTGCCATTCAGAGAAACATTTCTTGTTTATCCAAGTTCACACCCCCACAATCCTACCCAATATCCAGGTAATAAAAAGAGTTTTTTAAAAGCTTGAATTTGCAGGAAAAATTAATTATGGACCAAGGAATTATCATGAACTGAATACTAAATATAAATTGAGAGTTTCCACACATGGATTTAAAAGGAAAAATCTCAGATGGTTTATAAAACATTTCAGACTTCAGCGTCTCTTCCACATTCAGTGTTTGGTCAGTATTATTTGTTAGACAGTGTCAGCTCTGGTTAGCATATCTGTTAGATGGTATGTATTAGGCTTTCCTGCATTGCTACAAAGAAATACCTGAGGCTGGGTAATTTATAAAGAAAATATATTTAATTGGCTCACAATTCTGCAGGCTTTATGGGAAGCATGGTGCCAACATCAGCTTCTGGTAAGGCCTCAGGATGCCTATAATCATGGCAGAAGGTGACGGAGAGCCAGCATGTCACATGGTGAGAGCAGGAGCAAGAGAGAGAGAGGGGGAGGTGCCAGGCTGTTTAAAACAACCAGATCTCACATGAACTCACAGTGAGAACTCATTCATTATTGTGAGGACAGCATTGAGCCATTGATGAGGGATCTGCCCCCATGACCCAAACACCTCCCATGAGGCCCACCTCCAACATTGAAATCACGTCTCTACCTGAGATTTGGAGAGGAAAAAACATCCAAACTGTATTAGTCCATTCTCACACTACTATAAAGATATGTCTGAGACTGGATAATTTACAAAGGAAAGAGGTTTAATTGAATCACAGTTCCACATAGCCGGGAAGGCCTCAGGAAACTTACAATCAAGGCAGAAGGTGAAGGGGAAGCAAGGACCTTCTTCACATGGTGACAGGGGAGAGAGAGAGCCTGAGGGGAAAATGGCCAAACTCTTTTAAAACATCAGATCTTGTGAGAACTCACTCCCCATCACAAGAACAGCATGGGGGAAACTGCCCCCATGATCCAACCACCTCCCACCAGGTCCCTGCCTGGACACATGGGGGTTACAATTTGAGATGAGATTTGGGTGGGGACACAACGCCAAACCATGTCACAAACCATATCAGATACATAGGTGATCGTCAGCTGTTTACTAATATTAATTTATTCATAAGACATCTCTACCTTAATTACATTTCACAAAATAATCATTTTAGAAAACTTGCTTTTTTCTTTACATCTTATAAAGTAATTTTATTCAAACCTTTTAAATCCACTTTTGATATCCCTGACTTTGTCATTATGTAAACCAATTTGAATCATCTCACACTGTTTCTGGAGGGTGTCGTGTTCAATTCTGTCCAACTTGTTTGAGATAAATGTATGACGCTGAAACTAGAAATGTTATTGCAAGCCATAGATACCTGTTTCTGTTAACATTAGGGGAGTATCTTCACACATTTATTCTATGGGTGTGTCTACTACTTACTATTTGACTTTTCAAAGTGATCTTTAAAATATTTTCAGTGGCCTAGAACAGTTATTGCTGTGAAGTCATATTCCAAGAATAACGACCAAAACTTCTTCAACTTGGCCAGGCACGGTGGCTCACACCTGTAATGCCAGCACTTTGGGAAGCTGAGGCAGGTGGATCATGAGGTCAGGAGTTCGAGACCAGCCTGATGAACATGGTGAAACCCCGTCTGTACTAAAAATACAAAAAAATTAGCCGGGCATGGTGGCAGACATCTGTAATCCCAGCTACTCAGGAGGCTGAGGCAGGAGAATCACTTGAACCCAGGAGGCAGAGGTTGCAGTGAGCCGAGATTGTGCCACCGCACTCCAGCCTGGGTGACCGAGTGAGACTCCGTCTCAATAAATAAATAAATAAATAACTTCTTAAACTTTCTTTACTTCTTTTTGACTGATCACATCAGATGACCTCTCTAAGCATTCCCAAACAAGCAAATATTGAATTTGTTTCAGGTTTATATCTTACACAAACAATAGTAAAGTCATCTATCATATGCAGACTCAACTATAAGGCCACTCTCCTTTTTGAGGGCTAATTTTAGGGGGAAATATGTGCTTCATATATTTAGGAACATACATTCCAGAGCAACTTAAGATTCTAGCTGGCGTACAGGAAATGTACATTCACATTGTTCCTGAAGCTAAAACACGTTCTTCACAGGACATGTGGCAGATTGTATTTTCCAAAGATGACTGCACCAATATATTACATTCCACCTGCTCTTCTTAAGATGTGATGTTGACACTCCCCCATTGAGAAGTGGGGGGCTTATATTCCCTTCCTTTGAATCTAAGCAGGCCTGTGACTATGAAGAAAATGGCACTATATAATTTTTAAGGCTAAGTTATAAAGATGAGTTCCAGCCTGGGACACTTGCCCTTGGAACCCAGCCATCATGTCGTGAGCACACCAGGCAACCACACGGAGAGTCCACATGTAGGTGTTCTGATTGACAAGCCCCACTAAAGTCCCTCCAACAACCAGCATCAACCTCCAGACATGTGATGTATGAGCCTGCAGATGATTCCAGCCCCCAGTTTTTAAGCCGCCCAGTTGATACCGAGTGGAGCAGAAATGAGCTGTCCCCACCAAGCCCTGCCCAAATTGCATATTCGTGAGCAAAATAAATGTTGTTTTAAGCCTCTAAATTTTGAGGTGATTTGTCATGCAGCCATAGATAACCAGACACCACAGGTTTTTTGCAACTTGCATATGCAAAAGTTATTTTTACAGACTTAAATGAAAGACCTTTTAGTTATTTCTGATAATGTTCATCTTAGTAGTTTTAGGATGAAAACTGTTGAGATTATGGGAAGTTTTTATAGTCATCTAATATATTACTTCTCTAGTTTGTATTTTTTGTAGATGTTACATATTTAGAAAGCATGTTAGGCATTCATACTATGTGGGCAGAAGCCTAAATTGGGGCACTCTTTCTGGAAGGCAATTCATGCTCCCCCCAAAAAGTACAAAAAACATTAAAAATGTATATGTCTTATGTCCAATAAATTCTGCTTCAGGAATTTATCTTGAGAAAATGCAATGGATATGTGCAAAGAATAGCTCTAAGGATATTTGGATTATTTTTTTAAATATTGGAAATAATCTAAATATTAACATAGAATTAGACAACAAATTATGGAATATTAGTTAGCCACAAAAGATGTAGAAGATGAAGATTTACTAACGTGGAAACAGGGTGAAAATAGAGTGGTCCCTCCATATCCACAGGGGATTAGTTCTAGGACCCACCAGGAATACCAAAATCCTTGCATGTTCAAGTCTCTAATATAAAATAGTGCAGTATTTGCATATAATTTGTACACATCCACCCCTATTCTTTCAACCATCTGTAGATTGCTTATAATACCTAACATAATGTAAACTCTATGTAAATAGTTGTTACCCAGTATTGTTTAGGGAATGACAAGAAAAAAAGTCTATACATGTTCAATATAGACACAACAATTGTAGGCCTAGCTACATTTTCAATCCTTTTGTTGCTTAAATCTGTGGATGTGGAACCCATGTGCACAAAAAGCTGACTGTGTATTATTAAGTGAAAAAACTAAAACTGCTTATAGAAAAATATAAATTATAATTCCATATTCACAATACTAAGTATGTATAAACATATTAATATACACAAAGATCTAGAAGGATATACATTAAGGTTCTTAAAAGGGGTTAAAGTTGGGAGGATTATGGAGCTTGTTATTTTCTTCCTTCTTTATCCCTACCTCCCCACCTTCATTTTTTTATTTTTGGCTTTTCACTACCTTCCACTCAATTTTTTTTTTTTAGACACTCAGGCTGGAGTGCAGTGATACAATCACAGCTCACTGCAGTCTTGACCACCAGGCTCAAGTGATCCTCCCACCTCAGCTTCCTGAGTAGCTAGGACCACAGGCAGGTGCCACCACACCCAGCTAATTTATTTTTTATTTTACTTTTTTGTAGAGGCATGATCTTACTATGTTGCCCAGGCTGGTCTTAAACTCCTGGGCTAAAGTGATCTCCCTGCCTTGGCCTCCCAAAGTGCTAGGATTACAGGTGTGAGCCACTGCACCTGGCTTCATTTTTAATAAAGTTACTTTGCTTTTTATAATTAAAAGAACATTAAAATAACTTTAAAACATTTTTATAGCAATGTGTTAGTCAAGGCTTTCCAGAAAAAATAGAACCAAATGATATGTATTTATATATTCTTAGAGAAAAAGAGAGAGAGTATAATGAATTGGCTTGTGTGGGTATAGAAGCTGACAAGTGTCAAGATCTGCTGGGTGAGTCAGCAAGTTAAAGTCTCAGGAGAGCGAATGATATCATTCCAATCCAAAGGCCAGAAGGCTTATGACCCAGGAAGGGCTGATGCTTCAGTTCAAGACTGAAGGCAGGAAAAAGGTGATGTCCCAATTTGAAGGCAGTCAGGAAGAAGAATTCTCTCTTACTCAGGGGAAGGTCAGACTTTTTGTTCTATTTAGACCTCCAACTGATTGGATATAGCCTACTCATATTAAGGAAGGCAATCTGCTTTAGTTAGTCTATGGACTTAAACATTAACCTCATTCAAAAACACCCACCCTGAAATACCCAGAAAAATGTTTGATCAAATATCTGGGCACTCTGTGGCCCAGTTAAGTTGACACATAAAATTAGCCATCACAAACAAGAAAACAAAAAGCTATGTAAACCCCATTGAAAAAATCAAGAGAAATCAAGAGAAAAAAAAGAGATTCTTTTTGGATCAAATCTTTTTTGAACCTCTGACATCACTTGTTAAGTCAAGCTATTTTCATTTTTGTTTTAGAACATCATTTTATTGTATATGCAATACGGTCTGTATATACTGGGGATGAGCAAAAGAATATGTACATTGTTTCCATCCCCCTCATTTTGATTGTATTCATAATTTGTATTTTGGGAGCTTTCCCTAAAAGTTCCCAAAACAGTGCCTGACTGGTCTGCATTGTGAAGAGTGCACACCTTCTTCTTGTGTACTCCCATGGCCCTGGTGCTGACCTCTGTCACAGCATTTAACCTCATCATACTGATTCACATGTTTGGGCTCATCTGATTGTGAACAACCCCAGCCAGAGAATGGGACTCAGCACAGAAGCTGTGCTCAATTAACATGTCGAATGGGAATAAAACGTTTTTATCCAAATAATTGATGAAACTATTCAAGCAGGCAGCACTGAGTATTGAGCCCTGTCTTGCATCACAAAACACTTCTCTCCTATTTTACAACTATTCTTACAATCAACTGCCTTTGAGCAAGATTTTTCAGTTAGATAATGGACAATATTTCAAAGTTTTAAAATGCAAAATGCAGACTATTATAATCATCAAGCTATCAACTGGCACCACTATCTAGCCCAGTGTTTTCCAAACTGCAGGGTTGCAACTGATTAATAGGTTGTGAAATCAGTTGAGTGGGTTGTTAGTAGCCTTAAAAAATGTACAGAAAATATAAAAGGGCTGCTCATGTGTTAATTACAAGTATTGTTTCAGGAAACTTTCATTGCAGAGGTATACAGGTGTGTGTGTGTGTGTGTGTGTGTGTGTATTCTGAGTCATAATGTAAAATGTACTCATATACTTTTTACTGTGGTTGGAATCTAAAACGTTTGAATGCCATTGATCTGGCCCATATTTTTCACAGCAGACAGATGTCTTTCTAAAATTAAGATAAAGCCAGGGCCAGCTTCATGGGTGTGATACCTGTTCCATCGATCAGTGCAGTTGCACAAGGCTCTGCACTTGCAAGGGCCCACACTTGGTTTAATGCTCTTCTGTCACCACTGTAGGATTCTTAATAATTCTATCTGAGTATTTATGTGAGCAGAGAAGATCTACCAGACAGCAGTGAGCACTCACAATTGCGATCCAGCAGCAGCTGTGCCAAGCACAGCAAGCTGCATGCTCCAGCAATTGGCCTGTTTGTCCAGCACATGAGTAGCCTCCAGGCAGTCCAGGGCACCGAGGGGTCAAAGGGGTTGGCTGGGGCTCGACTTAGGCCCAGATTCATGTCATCAACAGCAGCAGCAAAAGTATCTGCACAACGGGTCACAGCCCCGGGAGAAAGGAGAAGCTTCACCTGGGGACAGGATGGGGACCCGTGACGGGAGGCTAGCTTGTCTGTCTGACCACGCCTTGCCTACACAAATATTAACTCTTCCACTTCTTAATGCTGAAACAGGAACTGCCAGTGTGAAAGCAGTAAACTCTGAGAGTAAGTTTTTACAAAACAAAAGTGAACACAGGAACATAAAGCACATCAGGGAGTTACAGGAATTCTTCAAAGCATTTAGAATCTTTGGTTTTAAAAACTGCCACCACAACATTACAAAGCAAATCTCTATAGAGATTTAGCAAAGAAATAGAACAGAAATATTATAGTGTTAAATGAGAAAAACAAACAAGCAAACAAACCAACCAGCCACTATTTTCACATGACACTTTAGATGAACCAATTATTAATGAAGAAAGCAATTTTAATACTAAAAATTTCCTTGTAATTGAAGATATGGCAACAGAATGCATAAGTATGTGTTTTCATTCATATACAAATCATGAAGTAACTTGTGGTTTCTTATACGACCTCCACAGGTTTACAGGAAATGTCAGAGGAAACGTTTAAAGGCCATTGTATAAATTTACATACATAATTAAATTTAAACTTACACAGAACTAATATATATGAAGAGTTAAATCATTTTAGAAAAAATATTCTAGAAAATCAGTTCCAGATGTGTTAAACAATTTATATTTTGAAATTATCAGAAAGTGATGCTTATGTTATCATAGCCTATAAAGAACTCTTAACTCCAGTTAGTTGTATCCAGATTCTTCTTAAAATTAAAAATTATCAAAAATTCTTTTTAATCTTGAATTTGTCAAGATGACATCATTTTCAATATACTTTAAAATGAAGTTACTGAAAGTATAAATTTGATAATGTATTAGTCCATTTTCACACGGATATGAAGAACTTCCCAAGACTGGATAATTTATAAAGGAAAGAGGTTAATTGACTCACAGTTCTGAAGGGCTGGGGAGGCCTCAGGAAACTTACAATAATGGTGGAAGGGGAAGCAAATACATCCTTCTTCACATGACGGCAGGAAAGTGAAGTGCCGAGTAAAGTGGGGAAAAGCCCCTTATAAAACCAACAGATCTCATGAGAACTCACTCACTCTCACAAGAACAGCACTGGGGGTCCACCCCCATGATCTAATTATCTCCCACAAGGCCCCTCCCCCAACACGTGGGGCTTACAATTTAGATTAAAATTCAAGATGAGATTTGGGTGGGGGCACAGAGCCAGCCCATATTAGATGACTTAATAAATTTGCAAGAAAGTGAGCCAAAAACATCTTGTAAGCAGTCAAAATATTAATTTATTAAATTACCTTCTAATTCTGATTAATTTGTTGTATTTATTGATTATATAAAATTAAGGCACCAAAAATACTTTTTTCAATTTGTAAGTTTGTGTTGTTACTCATGTATCAGTTACTCCTATGTTTTGCAAGTAAAATATTTTATAGGAAAAAGCTTTATACTTTAGAACTTTGGCAGGATTCTCCTCCCCGCCCCCTTCAATAAGCTGGTCTTTTTTTTTTTTTTTTTTTTTTTTGAGATAGGGTTTTACTCTGTCACCCAGGCTGGAGTGCAGTGGTACAATAATGGCTCCCTGCAGCCTGGAACTCCTGGGCTGAAGTGATTCTCTGACTGCAGCCTCCTGAGTAGCTGGGATTATAGTCATGAGCCACTGTGCTCGGCTATAATGACACTTCCTGTTTTTTGAATATGAGTCCTACATTTGCATTTTGCATTAAGCCCTGCAAATTGTATAGCTGGCCCTGAATACAAAATTGCATTTAAGTCAACAAATTATACTGAGTTGCTAATTTTACCCAGAAATATGCGAATTGATCAAGAAGAAACAGGATAAACAACTTTCAAGGGCCTCATGTTCTAGGATTCTAAGTAATTTTAATATGTGGCAGGATCTAAGGATCATATAAGAAATGAAGGTTATGGGAGTGTTTAGATAGCTTAAATTAATTGTTTTATTTATGACCTCCTAGGATTATTAAGTACCTTTGTGGGATAACTCTAATATTTATCATCTAAATTCTGACTTCATCAGGAGTTTTAGGCCTGGGTCCCAGTTTCCATTCACCTGCATTCCCAGTCAATTTGCAATTGTGTGGTTGGTTGTGTCAGAAAGGACAATGCCCTTATTGAGCCCTTCTCCATTACCAATAGAATGAAGACAAATTGTAGAATAAGTTCAGATCTGGCCTATTCTATGCTTCAATAATAGGTGTATGATATGCTATTTGATACCCTTCCATTTAATGTCATCAGAAGTTTGGAAGTGTCCTCAGGTCCAGTTCATGCATCACTCTAGGTCTATTCACTTTCCTTGATTTTGGCCTTGAGTGGAGCAAAAGCTTGTGCTCATGGAGCCCAGTCATTGCTGCCTCAGCCTTGACTGCAGGCTGCTTCATTGACTGCTCCCCCAGGCCTGCAAATGACTCAAGGACACACCCCAACAGCACCATACTTCAGTCCACGCTTCAAGCCTCTTGCCTCATGTTCTAGGAATTTTCTGTTGCTTCTGAGACATGAGATGCCTTGGACCCACTTGGCATCCATGTAACCGCAACCTAAAAAGTACAGGCAAGTTAAATATCCTTTGGAACAACGTTTACCAGTGGGGCCAGGAATTAGCAGAGAAATTCTCCCTACCTTCTGTCGAATGAGGTATTCAGAGATGAAGTATCTTTGTACAGTTTTTCTGAAAACATTCTGAGACCAAGCAGTTTTCTGGGAGCTATGGGCAGCTCAGTAGGGGTTTTACTTCTAAGTGAAATGAATAAAATTGATGACTTAATACATTTGCAAGAAAGTAAGCCAAAAACATCTTGTAAGCCATCAAAATATTCTATTGATATTAAAAATTATATTAATAGAACTTCTATTCCACTAATACATGCTTTTGGCTCAGGCTTGGCTTTTTAGGGAATGTGGGCTGAGATATTAATATGCTACAGTGGTATTTCTGACATGAACACTTCAGAAGCAGCATGGAAACTGACTGAAAGCAAAGACTCAAGCCAGATTGCTTGCGTTTGAATCCCAGCTCTTCCATTCAGCCCCTGTGTGACATGGAGTCCGTCACTCATTCTCCTTTTCTCCGTTTCAATTACCTCACATAAATACATTATACCTTCTTCAATTTGTGTCACAGGCTTGTCTAAGCATTCTCATGTATTTACTCTCACTTTTGAGAATTAAGTATATAATTCTGAGAGACGTGACAGAGAAGATGAAAAGGTAATTAAAATTAAACAATGAAAAGATGTTGAATTCCCAAGTGGTTGGAAATTCCAGCACTAAGTCGTTAATAGTGATTTCATCTACTTCCTGCCTACCTGAGCCACATTCAGCTCCTTGTTCTCCATCCTCATTCTAACCCCCTTTTGCAATCTGCTCATGTCTCTTCTACCTTGAGCACTCTTTCCTCCAATATACTTGCCTCCTTTCTCCCTAGCCCTACACATTGCCAAACTCCTTTTTATTGCACAGATCTCTGTTTATATATCACTTGGGAACTCTCCTAATCTCCAGAATCAGGAGGCAGTCCCCTTGCACATATTCCCATTGTAACCAACATATTTCTTACTTCTCTATCAGAAAAGCCAGCTCACTGTATTTTTTGTTTATTATTGAATCTCAACATAATTTTTAGTTCTTGGCCCACAGTAGGTGTTCAATAAAAACTGATAAGTTATAGCTTTATTTATTTTTTTAAAATAGATTTTCAGAGCAGTTTTGGTTCACTGAAAATTGAGTGAAAGGAACAGATATTTACCATATACTCCATATCTCCACACATATATGGCTTCTCCCACTGCCAACATCTGTGCCTATATTTGTTAAAACTGATGAACCCACATTGGCATGTCATTATCCCCCAAAGTTCACAGTTTACATCAAGATTCACTCTTGGTATTGTATATTCTATGGGTTTAGACAAACATATAATGATATGTATCCACCATTATAGTATCAAAGTAGATACAGAATAGCTTCATTGCCAAAAAATTCTCTGTGCTCTGCCTATTCATCCTTCCCCCAACCCCTGGCAACCACTGATCTTTATACTGTCTCCATAATTTTGCCTTTTCCAGAATGTCATGGTGCTGGAATTATATAGCATGCAGGATTTTCAGATTGGCTTATTTCACTCAGTAATATGCATTTAAGTTTCCTCCATGTCTTTTCATGGCTTGATAGCTCATTACTTTTTAGCGCTGAATAATATTCCAGCGTCTGGATGCACCACAGTTTTTTTTTTACCCATTCACCTACTGAAGGACGTCTTAGTTGCTTCCAAGTTTTGGTAATTATGAATAAAGCTGCTATAAATATTCCTGTGCAGGTTTTTGTGTAGACATAAGTTACCAAGGAGCATGATGCTGGACCATATGGTAAGAGTATGTTTAGTTCTGTAAGAAACTGCCAAACTGCCTTCCAAAGTGGCTGTGCCATTTTGCATCCCCACCAGCAACGAATAAGAGTGCCTGCTGCTTCCTTCACATCCTCACCAACATTTGATATGGTTAATGTTTTGAGTTTTGATCATTCTAATACGTGTATAGATAAAAAATTATTTTTATTGCCCATAATTTCTAATATTTATATTTTAAATATTTATATTTTCACAGAAGGCCTATTTTGCTACAGAACAGCATACTAGTGCAAGTAGAAAATTCACAAATGTATCATGAATAGTTCAGGAATCTGCAAGGCAAGGTCTAATGAATGACATAGATAGGTGCATACACTGTCACTAACATTAATCACCCACTCAGGATTCTTAAGCTAGAGTATTCATTTCCTAGAAAATAACGGGGAATAGGGCAGGCTGAGAGCAAAGGGCCCATTTCTGAAGTCTCTGAACACGTATTTATACAGACGGGTCCTCAGACAGCACTGTGATACTAAACTCACTCCATGGCAGAGTGGCCATTATTGTCACTTAGGCCATGTGGTCCTCTATTCCAGAATATTTCAAGGAACATTTTATGCTTTTATCAGATATGAGTTAGCTGTGCATATCGGAAATTTAATTCAAGTAGACAACGCTTTCATATACTCTGGCTTTGAACCAAGGAGTCAGTCACTAATGGCAGTTATACTCAAAAAGCTATCATCAAACCTAAACACTTGAAACTCAGAGCTAAATGTATATATTTGCACTAAGATTTTCTCTTCGTCATTGGGCTTTTATTTTGGAGGGTTTCCTCAATAACATCTTCTCAAAATAACCTCCCTCCCTAGAATCTTCTCTAAAACAAAGCAGCACTGGTGTTTGATGTCATTTTAAAAATCGCATTATACCCTTAGGATCTTGTCATCACATTTTTTTTTTTTTTTTGAGACGGAGTCTTGCTCTGTTTCCCAGGCTGGCGTGCAGTGGCGTGATCTTGGCTCACTGCAAGCTCCACCTCCCAGGTTCACGCCATTCTCCTGCCTCAGCCTCCCAAGTAGCTGGGACTACAGGCACCCGCCACCACGCCCGGCTAATTTTTTTATATTTTTAGCAGAGACAGGGTTCCACCGTGTTAGCCAGAATGGTCTTGATCTCCGGACCTCGTGATCTGCCCGCCTCAGCCTCCCAAAGTGCTGGGATTACAGGTGTGAGCCACCGCACCTGGCCTGTCATCACATTTTTTACTGGAATTGAGACATGTTCATCTTCATTATCCACTTCTTACCAGAACATAGAAAAACATATAATTCTCTGAATTAAGTAGAAAATTATCCTATGTAATCTAAGCAAGTGTCTTTTTCAAAAACGATGCTTATCAGTGTAAATCAAATTATTTAATTCCCCTGCTTAAAACCCTCCAATTAAAAAAATTACCAAGAAGAAAACCCCAGATTCTTACTAAGTCTATAAGGGCTACATGGACCCTCATGATCTGGCTCCTGCCCAGCTCTGACTTCCTCCCTTTCAGCCCTGCCCTCTGCATCTTCTATCATGCCATCTTTGCAGTTTCTTAAATACATCAAGCTTATCCTTGCTAACCCTGTGCTTGGAAAGAGCTACACGGTTAGATCCTTCTGTATGTTTACATCTCAGTTCCAATCTCCTCTTTACCAGGGAGGTCTTCCATGGTACCCAATTGAAATAGTGCCCACCTCTCCTCCCAGCACCACTTGCTCTCTATCACAACATGCTGCTTTAAGAAAAATCCCATTTATCGTTATCTGAATGCATCTTATGCATTTATTTTTTATCTACTTTCCCCTTGGTTTCCATGGATAGACACTATAATCCAGAAGATAGAAATCATGTATGGTTTTCATAAGAGCAGGAACTTTGTCTCTCTTGTTCACATTCCCAGAGCCTAGAACATACATAGTAGGCACGTGGGAAATACAAATGAATGGTTGAC
The DNA here is from genome assembly GCF_000001405.40 of Homo sapiens. NCBI lineage: Eukaryota > Metazoa > Chordata > Mammalia > Primates > Hominidae > Homo > Homo sapiens. The sequence continues at coordinate 68,413,376 of NC_000005.10, forward strand.
TCAGTTGAGGCCCAAAGTCCTTACTGCATCATGGTCCGCTATCTTTTCACAGAGACAGATGCAAATGATGCAGCTTCACCAAGCCACAAACTTGCCTTAGTAAACAGCAACCCCACCCATACACTTCCAAGGGAACCACTGTGTTACAAAATGCTCCTAATGCCCCAAAGTCCCAGAAACACAAGGAGACCTGAGATGATAAAAGGCTCAAAGGTGCGAAAACCTTCCTTCCATGTCCTGGATAGCGTCATCGCTTTGGGTTTGGAAACTATTCTTGGGAATCTCGTTTGTGGTCAAGATTCAGAATGTTCACCAATTTCATGAATAGGCTGTGTTTTGGGCTGTACCTGTGGATGAGACCAAGAAGTAGAACTGAGATGCAATCCTTCTCTAAAAGGGAGTTACTCACATTTCTTGGGAAACAAGATAAATTGAGGTAAACAATCGGAAGGAGGAAGGTGTCATTACTGACATTTAAAATGCTTTTTTCACATGACTTACATTCTGTCTAATAAGCATCATTAACCTCAACTTGAGAATATTGAGAAGAAAAGCCACACAGAACAAGGTTCAAATCCCAGTTTCTCAACTGGGATGTTCTTCAAGACTCTCTGGCTCCAGAGCCCTTTCTTCTGCATCACAAAAGCCTCATATGAGTTGCTTGAATAGCAGCGATAAAGGGTTCAAGAGAGGGACCCGAACAATTACACCACTGATCCCTTAACTCTTGACCCACTCCCAACGTATGTTCTATGCAGGTCATGTTTCAAAGACTCCATTTCTCTCACTTCATGTCATCATCTTATTTGATAGGCTTTTGGGCTAAGCCTGGCATCTCAAGGTTTGAAAGGTTCAATGAAGACTTCACTGTTGACAGTAGCATGTTCTTCATTATAAGAACTGTGGTTTTGGCCCCCTGCTCTAATTTATATTACTCCTAGTTTAATTTCAAAATTAGGTTCATGTTACCATATCATTGTATTTGTGTTTGCTATAAGCTAACAAAGTCATTGTGAAATAAAGTATAAAGAAATATAATTACATGACACAATATATGCTTATTTTGGTACATGACAAAAATGGCCACGAATTTTCATGCCTCCATTATCCATGTCCTTTGCCATGTGACTTCTCAGCTCCTTCCAGTAAGAAGTGAATATCTTGATCACCTTTTGAATCTAGGCTAACTTTATGACTCACTTTGGCCAATGAAATATAGTAGAAATGATAATGTGCCAGTCCTGAGTCTAGGCTCAAGGTCTTACATGTCTTTCTTTCTTTTGGACCCTTGAAATCCCCATGTGAATAAGCTCAGATTGGCTTGGAGGTTGAGAGACCTGTGGGCCGTTGGTCCCACTGTCCCAGGAAACAGCCAGCCATATCCCAGAAGCCAAGATACCTAGTTGATCTGTCACTGACTTGTGATTCCTGAGGGAGCCCAGCTAAAACAAGAAGAACCACTATGCTGATTGCGGCCCCAATAAGCTGAATAAATGGCTGTTTTCTCAAATAACTAAGTAAGCAAGGGCTCCCTGATACAACTATACTCACGAAAGCTATTCATATATGCAATATTGTAATAAGTGACTCACTTACATAATCTCAGCCTTCAAGTTTAATACTATCTTCATTTTATATCTGACCCTTACAGAGGTTTATTGACTTATCTTTTCTCTTCTCCTATATAAAGTAAACCTATCTATTGTACTGTCACTATAGGAAATGTTAGTTAGCGCTCCTTAGCTGTGAACTTTATATTTTTATTGTTATACTTACATATAAACCCCTTCCTATTTGGCGTCCAACTAAGCAGACTAAAAAATGTAAAGCTTGAAAACCCTTGTTACAAATTCTTCTTCATATTTTTTTGCTTAAAAGGCAACCTTAGAACATTGAAAGGAAGAAACAAGCTCAAGTTACACTGAAGAGCCAACTTATCAGGGGAGGTTTGCCCATATCCTGACAGACTTTGATAAAGTGCTGAGGAAACCATGTGCCCTCTGAAAAATCCAGCCTGGCCCTGGTTGCCTTAACATCCCCAAAGGTTACTCTGTAGATCACTCCTCAGAAAGCCTTTGATAATACAAATTACTTGCTTGCAAATTTAAGGGATAGTGTGTCTTGAGAATGTCTTTGAAGGTACACAAATGAATGCTCTGTTTTCCTCACTACAAAACTCAGACAGTACCAAGTCACGGGCCAAATTCTGTTTGTTCTACTTGTCTTTGTCAACTAAGCATCCTTCCCCAGGGGACTGATATAAATCAGCCTTCCCAGTGTCAGTGTGTAACAACTTCCTGCGAGGGCGGGAAAAAGGAAGTGTCCTCTCATGTTGGCTCTGCAATTCATAACCTGTAAGACTCAAGATCTCCAGCAAAAAAGACAATTCAGGCAGTCCAGCGGTTGGCTGAAGGTTGTATTATTTCAGGATGTTAATAAGGTGAGACAGAAGAGAAAGCTGCTCAACAACCACATCTGTGTTCCAGAAGGAGAAAAGCAAAGTCATGAATTAAAATATGTAATTAAAAAATTTCTGCTTGGTATCCAAAGAAAATAAAATGCATTTAATTTTTCTCTCACCTTGACTTCAGTTTTTTTCTGCTTCTTGTTGCTCCCAAGTATTTTATACACTTTATCAACACCTTCTTTCCCCAAGGACTGTGTGTGCCTGTGTGTGTGTATGAGTTTAAGTGTACACATATAGAGGTAATGGGCTTTGGGGACAATAAAGGCAGGAATGGGTATAGCCAAAGAATGAGAGGAGAATGGGCCCATTAAAGTCAAGGAAAATGAAAAGCTGTTTGATAGTAAAATATATACACAAATGGATAACAAATTTAATTTGTGAGCCTTAAGAAAGACTCAAAATTATAATAGGCCACATTAAATTTGATTATTGGAAACTTTCAAAAGAACCCTTCTTATGTGCCCCAGTTGCTACAATGACATTTCCAATTCAATGTATTAAATGATCACTCTATAGGATTGGCCCTCGGCCGACTGACACCTGCTTCATCTCTGCTTTCTGGTGTTGAATATAAATTAATGTTCTTCATTTATTGTACCTTGTTTATTAAACTAACCTTCTGACATTTCACCAGTGCTCATTAGGGTTAAAGTCTGTCTCCTACTCAGAAAGGGTGACTTTGAGTTAGGTGAGGCTCAGGCTGGTTGGGCTCAGCTGTGGGGCTCCTTAACAATTGTGGGAGGAATTGTGGGAGGGAAGCAGGTGGGTCTGAAAGTCCTGGTGGGAAATGATGCTGAAATGTAGACAAAGGAGACACTGAAAATTACCCTTTTGGTCTGTGTTTTGCAAACTATTTGTATGGTCTCTTTTTAAAGGAAAAATTTGACATTTCAGGATTTTCAGTGTTTTATCATTTTACTTAATTACGAAAATGCTTATAGGTACTGAACACATGTACACACCTGTAGTACAACTCTAAATCCCAAAGAAATAAGCTATAAAAACTATAAATTCAAATTAGCAAAAGTAATTTAATAAGGATGGTTCTGTTTTACTGAAACAGAGTCATCTAGATTGATTTAATAAGACAAATGCATTTGCATGCTTTATGTCTCATTTTTTGGACTTGATTCTTTTGCTTTTGATAAGGCATTATTTAAGACATTATTGTTATTTTTCTTTAAAAAATTAACTCATTTTAAACCAATTAGGTTCATGGGCCACTTAAAACTGTGTTTCAAAATGCAATACTAGCAGGAAAAAACCCATTGAATTCCACTGAATAAGGAGTTTTCCACTGTCTTTTTGTAACTACCTGTACTGCCCCCTTATGAACTGCTCGATGTGCTGGAGTACAAAGATGGGTGCCCACTAACATGTTTGCTAGCCACAGGGTCTTGATGCTGACCACTGTGACTGAGTCTTTGAACAAGGCATGACTGGGCTGCCAATTGCTGAGGGTATTCAATTTCTTCACTATTCAGTTTCCTCATTTAAATTGTGAATGCTGCTTCTACTCATCATGCTATGATGCCGTTTGGTCTTCAGTAATGCTAAAGGGATAGGAACATAAATGCAAATTCAGACATAGAAACTGAGTAGCGGAGCTCAATTACAAGGTAATTGTTTCATGTCCAGAACTGCTTGTAGTAATGTACAAAATTACAAAGCCAAAACTATCACAGAAATTCTACACATTAGAGAACACATCCATGTTTGCACAACATCTTCCTAGTTTGTTGTTTTGCCTGGGACTATTGGACCTTGTTAATAGATTCGTCTAAGCACAGTTAATAAAATAACTTTTTGGCATTCAGAAATGTACTGTAGAGGGCTCTTATAATGGGATTATGGGACTGTGGAGAGATGACCCTTATAAAAGCATGTGATCATCATAGGTAAAAAGATTTTTTTTTTTTTTTTTTTTTTTTTGCTAAGGTGTGCTCCTAATTGAATTTTACTTTTCTGCTTTAGCTAACAAAGTTTTTTTAAAAAATGTAATGACTTTTGAAAATATATCATTACTTTTAACTTAACATATGTGCAAACCAACATTCACAGTTTCAAGTTTATGTGTTTCTGGTCAAGCCAGAGGCTGCTCCCTTGCAGCATTTTAATACCTCTGGTGGAAAAAAAAAAAAAAAAAATCATTTCTTGTTTGATACAGAAAAGAGAAAAGAACAAAATTAAATAAAAATGTTTTATGCCCCTTTAAAAAAGTTAACCTGAAAACCCAAAAGTTTATTTTGATTTCTGTTGGATAGAGACCATCACCCAAGGGATAGGTTTGCCGACAAAGGCACCAGAAATTTCTATTAAGTGCCTTATTTCATGCAGTGCTTCATTTAATTCCTGAAGACAGATTTCCAGTCTGCACAAGTACCAACACACATGTATTCATACTTTCCCCACAGCTTGCCGAAACTTAGGTGTCAAAGTCTCCCGCAATAGATTACTCTTCTATGAGGGAATATGCAGACTTGCTAGTCCATGGGCCATTGTTCCCTAGCACTAAGTTGAAATGATTCTGCCAACCGGGACCCCAGAGATATCAGAGATTTCATCATCTGGTGCCTAGCTGAGCTGCTCAAGGTCATTGACTAACTTAATGGCTCAGAAGATTATTGCAATCCTGAAGGAAACATTCCAGGACAAGTCATTCCTATTTATAGAAATAGCTTAAAAATGTTCCCAATAAACTCTTTACTCTGTCTACTTGACTTAAAATATAATTCTATTGCTCAAGTATTTACATATATATAAATTCGTGTGTTTGTATCTGGACAGGTAATGATGTGTACTTTAGGGACAAATCTTTGGTTTGCTTCTTAGAAATACATAGTCTTCATTCCACCAAACGCCCCCCAAAATTTATTTTTTTAAAAAATTGTGGCAGAGCCTGCCAGTTGTCCTCTACTATTCATTTTCACCTTTTCTGGTAATAGAATTTTCAGCAGACACAAGATTGTCCTAAATAAAGACCATGTTGCCACGTTACCCTGCCTCCCTTGTAGCTAAGTGTAGTCATGTGACTAAGTCCTGGTCAATGAGAAGTAAGCAAAAATGTTAGAGCAACTTCTGGGACCCTCATATGAGAGTTGGCTGACATATGCTCTTTGCCTTTTCAACATTTCACCCCTCCTGCTGCCTGGAAACAGATGCCACCTTGGACTATGATAATGAGGCCACACTATACAGGTAACAGCACGGTGAACTATTTTCTGAGGATTTCCAGGAGCAGATCCCCCTTACCCACCCAGTGCTGCTTTTTTCCACTCTTTTACACGAGAGAAACCCACTCATTTTTCTTGAGCTATTTTGTTTAAGATTGTTAATTTTGGATTTTTCTGTTCCTTGCATACAAACCTAAAATTACAGAACGCAATTTGGTATGAAGCAAATTGCTTAACTCCCCTCTTCCCCCACCCACCGCCCTCAATCTGTCACCCAGGCTGGAGTGCAGCAGCACAATCACAGCTCACTGCAGCCTCATCCTCTTGGGCTCAAGTGATCCTCCCACCTCAGCCTCCTAAGTACAGGCATGTACCACCACATCTGACTATTTTTTAAAAAAATTTTTATAGAGACAGGATCTCACTATGTTGCCATAGCACTGATATGGATGATTACACAAAGATATACTAACATATAAAAAGAGAGATTACATCTATGCACGAACAATAAAGAATTTATAGCACATGCATATTAAAGCTAGGTAGATCATTTAGATAGAGAACAGAGAAAGAAACTATGTTCCAAATCTGCATAAGATAGGGTGAGGGAAGGTCAAATGTTAAGAGCTGTTTGAACAGCTTGGTGGACTAAAATGAGATAATCCAGACCCATAGTCTCTTGGGAATAAGCTTAGAGGTTGAAAGGAAAGAGCAGACGGAGGGGGCTTTGAGAAAGTATGTGGATCAGGCTGACAGCAGCCCAGCTCACTTTCCACGGAGCTGACTCAGCCTGCCCTGCTCCACCCTAACCTCTGACCTCCTGTGCAGTCACACATGGAGGAAAGCCCTGGGCAACTGTACTTCTTGTTCCTTTAATGCCCCTACTGCAAAAATAACCTCCAGCTGCTCCAGTAGTGCTAGAGGCCGTGGGGAAGAACCCGACCCCACTCTCAGAGCCCTTAGAGGGAAAGGCAGCCCACTCAAGCAAGCATCTGATGCCTGAAGATTCCTCTTCCTTCTCTGAGTGTGGCAGCTGCAGCAAGAAAGGAGGAGACCAACATGAGACTTGGTAAACACATAAGAATGGCAGCAGAGGAGGTAGCCATTCCTGGGGGCCCAGGCTCCCCTCGGGAGGTTGTGAAATTGATATGGGCATCGAGCTAAAAAAGTCCCTGGAAAGCCCCCACCTATGGGGAGCTTGGGATGAAGCTGGAGCAGGCTTCTATCTCTCCCAGAGTCAACACCAGGAAGGGACAGCTGGTGTGACCTGGGCATGATAAGGAGAAACAAAGCTGAAACTAAAGAAGCAGGAACTGGAGCCTAGAAATGTCAAATAAGTGTAGAGAAGCCACAGGGTCCCACTGGAGACTGGGGTGGGATGCAGGAACGGCTAAGCGATTTGTCCAGATAATCCAGATGAAATACAGGTGTTTACAATTCTGAGCCATTTCAAGGTAAAAGAAGTTTATAGAAGTTGATTCAAGTCTCTGCCTCATGATTTTCTTAATGGGGCTTGGCTATATTCCTCTCTGCAGGAGTGACACACATGTGTGCTCCAGCACATCTTTTTAATATGGGAGACTCCTCAAGTTTTGGTTCTCTAGACTCTCACGCTAAGGACATAAATCCTGACAACTCTTTACATTTCCCCACCTGATAGTCCCCTACTCACTAATTTGTACACTGCTTCTGTGGAAGTGACCAGGGCGTTTCTGCCTGGTAGGCAGAGGAGTACTCAAAAAACAGAGGGCGATGCAAGGCCACCCAGCAAGGTGTTGGCAGAGTGCCTGACTCGGGGTGCCTGTGTCAGCCTGATAAGCCCTCCAAAGCACCACGCTGTCACTGGAGGGTAGGGCCAGGGTTGTTGAGGTCAGGGATGATGCTGATGAAAATACTGTTAACCGGACTCAGCCGGTTTTTACATGAATTCATCTGAGTATCTAGAGACTTTACTGTCTTTTCTCTCTCTCCTCTCTCCTCCTCTCTTTGGTCAGCTTGTAGCTTTGAGGTACCAGGCCACCTGACCACATTCTTTTAGATTCTCTCCAACAAAGATATTGAAGAGATCGCTCATCCAATGCTATACAATATCAGATCATTTATCTGTCCACTCCTCACCCCAAACTAAACTCTCAAGTTTTCTGAAATTAAAAAAAAATACATTTACCAAACACATGCATCATAGGTATCATGAGCACAATGAGATTAAGAAGATGCAATGGCTATCTTCAAGGAGCTCATATTCTATTTGGAGAGAACACACATACATGCACGTCCACACATGCACAAATTGTTCAAAGACAACAACCAAAGAGACGCAATCAAGGCTTCATGTGTCCTTTTTCCAAATGAATGGACAGGGATAGCTGTATTGTTTAAACGAGGGAGAGAACTTCAGCCTGTGGTGCAGAGGAGGAAAGACAGCAGTAAACAAAGAGGACTATGATAGGCTAGTGTTACAGGTCAAATTGTATCCCCCCAAATTCATGTTGACAGCCCAACCCCCTGTACCTCAGAATGTGACCTTATTGGGAGATAGGGTCTTTACAGAGATAATCAAGTTAAAAATGAGTTCATTAGGATGGGCCTAATCCAATATGACTGGTTAGTTATAAAAATGGGAAATTTGGAAAGAGACACATATAGAAAGAAGATGGCCTTCTGCAAGCCAAGGAGAAAGGCCTTGGATGGATCCTTCCCTCACAGCCCTCCATAGAAACCAAACTTGCTGATACCTTCATTTCAGACTTCTAGCTTCCAGATCTGTGAGATTATACTTTCTGCCATTCAAGTCAACCAGTCTGATATATCACAGCAGCCTGAGGAAGCTAACATGTCTTGACACCAGGGTTAGCTCTGAGTAAGCAGAGCAGGATGGGAAAAGGCTTAACGTTGGAGAAACAGGACCAACAAAATAAGCCCTTCCAAATGCCAAGTATATTCTGAGAAAACCAGTTTACCTGAAGCCGAGCGTTTATGTGGGAGAGCGGTAGAGCATAACGTGTCTGTAAGGAGTCCTCATGTCTGTGCGAGCTGGGCTGTGTTCTAGGCTGAGGAGTTTGCGATGTGTTCTAAGGGCAGAGGGGAACTGTGGTGGCACTCAGAAGCATGTCATAAGACACAGGGTGTGTGAAGACGATGGCTAGCAAGAGGATTGAGAGACAAGCACGGAGAAAGGATGCTCAGTCACAAAAGTAGTTCTCAAGCTTGGTTGCCAACTAGAGTCACCTGAGGTAACAGGCTGACACCAGCCCCCAGGGTTATCCAGGACTTAATCCTGGGAACCTGTGAATGTTTGTTTCTGTGGCCAGAGACTTTGCTGATGTTGTTTAGGATCTTGAGAGGAGGAGAGTACCCCAGGTTATCCAGGTGGGCCCTAAATGTAATAACAAATATCCCTCTAGAGGGAGGCAGAAGGAGATGTGACTTTACACCAGAGGAAGAAGGCTGAGTGACAAGGGAAGTAGGGGGAGAAAACGCAACGAGATGGGGCTATGAACAAGCATGGGGAAAGAAAGGAAATGCATTCTCCACTAGAGCGTCCGGAGGACAACACCTTAATTTTACCCCAGTGAAACCCATTTTGGACTTCTGGCCTACAGAACTACAACTGTAGGAAAATAAATTTGTGTTCTTTTAAACCAGTGAGTTGGTCGTAATCTGCTACAACAGCCATAGAAAGCTAACACACCTGGGGAGACTTACAAACATCTGTGGCCTCGACCCCATCTTGGAGGGGCTGAATCTGTTTTGAGAGTGAAGCCCAGGCTGTAATGTCTCCCAGGTTTGTGGCAAGCTCAAGGACCTTAGGAGGCTGCAGTCCAAGTGTGAGGCCACAGGAGCCCGACCAGTGGGAGCAGCCAGAGAGAGAAAGAAAGGAATGCAAAAGGTATCATGAACAACACACTGGGACCAGGAACTACTCGGTTACTTCATTTAGGGAAAAAAAGCAAGAGTCAAAAATGAAATGGACTCAGACCCCATATCTGGAGAGCACCAGACCCTTCATACCGGGGAGGAAGGGCAGGTAAGCTGGGGTGGAGGTGGGCCTGATTTTAATTGTCTGTCTGGGGTTGTCCAGCAGGCAATTGTAGAAATATGAGATGACAGCTGGAGAGAGAGAAAGCAGGCCTGAAGGTAACATTGGGGCATCATCAGCAGAGATGGAAGTTGAAGCCTGACCATGAGTGAGATTTCCAAGGGAGTTTTAAAATGAGAAAATGAGAGTGAGGAAGAACAGAACCAGGCTTCCCATACCACTGTGGAGAATGAGATGAGTAAGCAGACAGAAGCAATAATCAGAGATTCAGAGAAGTACAAGAGAAAAGCTCGGTGCATGTGTGGGGAGGGAGACGACAAAGCCACATGCTACAGAGAAGGTCAAGAGAAGGATGACTAAGAAATGATGGCAGATTAGAGGCCATCGGTGACCTTTGAGAAAGCAGTTTCCCTGTTGTAAAGAGGTGGGGACAGATATCAGATGACTGGTCTATGGGAGAGAGTGGGTGGGGAGAATGTGGAAGCAACAATAGAGGCTAACTTTTGGGGCCCTGGGAATGAAAGCAAACTGAGGAATGAAGTGACAGCCTAGCCAGGTAGACACAGAGCTTAGCGGCATGGGCTTTGCACTCAGACAGACCCGAGCCACCCCCAGCTCCTCCACTGTACTACCTCGAACAAACTCTTTAACCTTGCATAGACTCAGTTACCTTGTTTATAAGACAGGCACAATAATTAGTGCCTACACCAAAGAGTTGTGAGAGTTAGATGAAATACCATAGGTAAATTGCCTATTTTTACTGCCTGCAACATAGTAAGTTCCCCAAACTGATATAGAAATGAATAGATAGATAGAGGCAGAGATGTACAAGAGCTCTGGAATCTCAGGTTCCTATAAAATGGATTGCCAGGTAAAATACAGTATTCAGTCAAATTTTAACTTCAAAATAGAAATAATTTTTAGGATAAGCGTGTTCTAAATATTTCATGGACCAAACATACTAAAAAATTCTCTGTTGCTTGTATTCATTTTCTATTGCTGCTCTAGTAAATTATCACAAACTTAGTGGCTTTAAACCAACACAAAGTTATTGCCTTACAGTTCTGTAGTTCAGAAGTCTAATACGCATTTCACTGCGCTAAAATCAAGGTGTCAACAGGGCAGGCCCCCATTCCTTTCTGGAGGTGCTAGCAGACAATGTGTATTCTTGCCTTTTCCCACTTCTGGGGCCACCCACACTCTTTGGTTCATGGCCTGTTCCTCATCATCAAAGCCAGCAATGTTACATCTCTCTGATCCTTCTTCCTTAGTCAGATCTCTCTCTGATTGCAGTTGGCAAAAGTTGTCCACTTTTAAGACCTTATTTGATTAGATTTGGCCCACCTGGATAATCCAGGCTATTCTCCCCATTTCAAGGTTCATATCTTTAATCACATCTGAAAGTCCCTTTTGCCAAGTAACATAATATAGTCATAGGTTCCAAGGATTCGAACATAAATATCTTTTGTGGAATATTATTCTGCCTACAATATTGTTTATCTGAAATTCAAATTTAGCTAGGTAACCTGTTGTCTCTTTGCTAAATCTGGTAACCCTACCTATAAAACTTTGATTAACTGGAAGGAAAAATACTAATTTTCCCTTTCCATAGAGCCTCAACTATATCTTTTATTAATTCTTATTTCCATTCTATGATTCCTCCATATGCATCCCCCTTTATGCTGTATTATGTGTATTTCTGTTTCAAATTTTATTTTTTTTTAAATAAAATTTGCGCCTTGAACACCCAGGCTCATGTGATCCCCCCACGTCAGCCTCTCAAGCAGCTGGCACTACAGGCATGCACCTCTGTGCCTCGTTAATTTTTTCTATTTTTTGTAGAGACGAGGTTTAGCTATGTTGCCCAGGCTGGTCTCAAATTCCCGGCCTCAAGCAATCCTCCCACCTTAATCTCCCAAAGCACTGGGATTACAAGCATGAGTCACCACACCTGGCCTAACATTGCACATTTTATGGAGGTCTGTAGCTGTTTGTAAAATGCATATGTGTGTGTAAAGAGAAATTCTGTATCTTGACTTTCATTAAGTCTAAATGAGATTTGGACTTATATAATCAGAAGTAGGAAGGGAAAACAGAAACCACTCTAGGTATTTCAGGCAGGAAAAGAACTTAATACAAGGAAGTGGATGCATACAAAACTTCTGTAAGGGCTATGAAAGGTCAAGGGTGAAAGTTCAAGGAAGGAAGTTCAGGGAAAGCCACAAACTTTCAAATTTGCTGCTAGCTTTCAGAGACAGAAGGTTTCAGGGACTACAGGAAACTGCTGGTGATGGTATCATCTGTTTCTAACACTGACGTTGATGATTCACAGGGAGATGTCGGGGAGCCAATACAAAATCTGGTATTTGCTGAAACCCACACATTTGCTCTCTTCTGCAGAGTAGCATTATGTGGCTTCTACCTCTCTTGTACCTTCTTAATCTCATGTCAGTATATGATCTGGAACTCTGTTGGCAAAGATGCTGGAAAATGTGGTTTCCAGGCATCCAGCCCCCAATAATAAAAGGGAAGAGGGTAACAGAGAAGCTGTCAGATACAGCTAAAGAAAGAACTCCAAAGGCTGGAAGGGATAAAACTTTTGCCAAAGGAAGAGGTAAAAAACATTACCTGTGCATAGATTCCTGATTATTGTAAAATACCTCCCACTCTAAGTCTTCTGTACTGTATGCAACTTCTCTTTTAAGGCGATACTTTGGGCTTGACATAGTGGCTTATGCCTGAATTCCCAGCACTTTGGAGGGCTGAGGCAGGAGGATCTCTTGGAGTCCAGGAGTTCAAGATGAGCCTGGGAAATCTGGTGAAACCCCGTCTCTATAAAAAAATACAAAACTTAACAGGGCATGGTGGTGAGTGCCTGTAGTCCTAGCTACTTGGAATGCTGAGGCGGGAGGATTGCTTGAGCCCAGGAAGTTGAGGCTGCAGTGAGCTGAGATTCCACCACTGTACTCCAGCCTGGATGACAGAGTGAGATCCTGTCTCAAAAATAAATTTTTAAAAATAATACTTTGTTAATTTGTTGTGGCTGCCTCATTGTTTTCTGGGCTTAGCCTAGCCGTCAGATTTCATTGACTACATACTCTTGACCATCAGAATTTTGTTTTTCACATTTAAGGTGCCATCATGTAAAGAGAGAAATCTTGATAAATATGTTTGTCTCTAGGGTTAATTACCAAACTGTAAGAATATGATCGTTTTGTTATCTATTGTTGTGAAACAAACCACACTCCAAAACTTAGTGGCTTAAAACAATAATTTACTCCTTCTCATAATCAGTGGCATAGGAATTCAGGCAGGGTTCAGCTGGCTCTTCTGTTCCAGTGAGGATGGCTGGGTCACTCGCTCAGCTATAGTCAGGTGGTGGCTAGCTGAGCTACAAGATCTAAGGAGGATTCCCACACCTGTGTGGTGCCTTGGTGCTCCTCCACATGGCTTCTGTCCATCCATGTGGCTAACTTAGGCTCGGCACAATACAATCTCAGACAGTCAGGCTCCTTACACCGTGTTTATACACACACACATTATACACATGTACTACGGACAATCTGTTAAATGGTAGTCAAGCCTAATGTCTTTTATTTTTTAACGAACATAAATAGAAAGAGAAGATCTTATATTGCTTTTATTACACTCTACTGTGGCAATCACTGATCTACTTTTCCATTTCAGTCTCATCATCCCTTTCTTAGTTTTCTTGTTAACTCCCTACCCTGATCCCTTCTACCTCCCACGAGGTGACACGGGGAGCTTACTCCATCTTTGTATCCTCTTCCTGTCACCTGGATTTTTCAAATATGTAATAGAACTTGGCTTTGTTCCACACTTCACAGTAGGTATCTAGGAAATAAATACATCATGTACTTAGACCTGAGCATTGTGAGAGCTTACAGCTTGTAGTTGGGTAAAGTGGATTTGTTCTTCTTTTATTTTGTTTTTGTTTGTTTGTTTTGAGACAGGGTCTCACTCTGTCACCCAGGCTGGAGTACAGGGGCGCAATCAAGGCTCACTGTAGCCTTGTTACACTCGACATCCCAGGTCCTCCTACTGCCTCAGCCTCCTAAATAGCTGGGACCACAGGTGTGCACCACCATGCCAGCTAACTTTTTAATTTTTTGTCTAGAGAGGGTCTTGCTATGTTGCCCAGACTGGTCTCAAACTCCTGGGCTCAAGCAGTCTGCCCACCTTGGCCTCCCAGAGTGCTGAGAGTACAGGCAAGAGCCACTGCATCTAGCCTGTTCTTTTCTAAATGCTGCCAGCTACACATTTAGATCCCTGACACTTGTATAGATGTATACAGATACTCACACATCCTCATTCCTCTAAAAAATTCATTTGGGAATTAAACACTGTTAAGAATCATTTGTGTTCTCACATCGAGTGGAAGTTTGAGGATAACTTAAACTTTTAGGAGGCAGGCATGTGCCTTTTCATCTTTGTGTCTCCACATCTTTGTGTTCTCCCACAGGGACTGGCAAATAGTAGGTGCTTAATAAGCATTTGTTTTACTGAAGGCTGGCCATTTCCATTTAACTAATCCAGCACATATTGCCCTTTTTTTTTTTTTTTTTTAGTTTGCAAGCTGAAATGTATGATTTGTTTTGCAAATACTTATTAAGAAATTCAGAGACACACAGTAGATGCTTTTTTTTTTTTGAGACAAAGTCTCACTGTGATGCCCAGGCTGGAGTACAATGGTGTGATCTCGGCTCACTTCTACCTCCACCTCCCAGGTTCAAGCGATTCTCCTGCCTCAGCCTCCCGAGCAGCTGGGATTACAAGCGCCTGCCACCACACCCAGTTGATTTTTGTATTTTTAGTAGAGACAAGGTTTTACCGTATTGGCCAGGCTGGTCTCAAACTCCTGACCTCAAGTGATCTGCCCGCCTCAGCCTCCCAAAGTGCTGGGATTACAGGCATGAGCCACCACACCTGGCCCAGTAGATGCTTTTTATAATATACAAATAAAAGTCAAATCATCACAGAAAATATCGGATAGAAAATGAGGCAGAAAAAAATACTGACCATTGCACTTATAAGTGCTGTATCCTTTTAGTTATAAATACAAATTAATTTTCTTCAAGTCTAAAAAATCGTGCATGGGCGTGTGGAAACAGAAGGGAAGGACTTGAGGCACAAGCCAGGATGGAGGGATTCTAAGTAATGCATTGTGATCCCCTACGCATGTGTTGGCCAGGATGCTCTCCAAACAGGCCTCAGTAGAAAAGAAGAAGGAGCCCAGCTTCCTTTCTAATCAGACCTGAAGCTCATGTGTGCAAGCCCCAAGGTCCAGGCTGCCTGCAGGCTCCTGATAGCTTAGGCAGAAGCAAGGGAGAAGCTGATAGTGGGGCAGAAGACCTGGGAACCGCTAGGCAGCCTAGGGCCTCCCTTCTGGGCAATTCTTGTGCCAGATGTAATGCACACCTCAGGGGCCTGAGCGAGGGCCAGGGAGGGCCTCTCCCTTTTTCCATCATGTCTAATTGAACCCAGTTTCTGCCTGGCACCTCTCAGCTTCAAACGGGGGACTGAACAGTTTGTCGACGTGACAGTCCTGTGGCACTTTCTCAGCAGTATTTTGAAAGAAGCACTGGAGGCAGCGCCTCATGCTGAGAAGCATGAAACAGGCGCAGGGGTGTGTGTGGGTGTGGGTTTGGAAGGGAACCTGGGCTCTGACTGGATGCCATTTGTTTCTTTTATTTCAGGCTGCTGTTCTTGTTGTTTTTACGAAGACATTTTTCTCTCGCAAATGCAAAAGCTCGAGCTGTGTGGGCCATCAATTTCTGCCCCTTCATACAGACAAATCAGGGCTGCATGGTGGCTCGGCCTTCCTCTGCTGGGAAGCAGCCCTGGCTCACCTCACAGGGTGCCCATGGGCCGGCCAGCAGGGAAGGGAGTCCTGTAGGTGGCAGCTTCTGGGGGTGCTGCCAGAAGGCACTGGGTGCTTACCCTTATTGATATTGCAGAGAAAAAAAATCAGAATATTGCTAAGTAGTTTCAAGCCTGTCTAGCAGTCACAGAAGAGAATTCCTGTTAGATTTTCTGAGCTGAAGTCTGTATTCCCTAAGCCAGGCCCTCTTTCCAAGCCTCAGCCCCTCCACTGCGAAATGAAAAGGCACATGCCCTGGTTGCTCCCACTTTCTATCATCCCATGACCTCCTCTGGACTGGGAATGGTGGAGGTCGTTAGAAGCCTGGAAAATCCAAAAGAATGGAAACCCCCAGTATATTCTTTTCGACTTAGAGGAGAATGTGTGCATCTACATACTGAAGCCACACCATCAAGAACTGACCCAGAAGCTTCCCCCATGTCTCCATCCTGCCCCCCTGAAATCCTGAAAATGTCTCTGCTCACCTGTCTAGAAGAATACACATGACTGTTTCTGCATTGGCTGTGCTCCCATCCCATCCCCGACTTCTCTTTCTCATTTGTCTATCTAGTTAGCCCTGTCTCTGATTGGGAGAGTGATGCTTGGTTTAAAAGACATCTCTGCAGGAAAACTCAAGAGGAAACAGAGAGGCTAATACATCAAGCATGTTTTAAAATAACCAAGGTGATACATATAATAACATCATGCCAGCTCACATTCTGTTGCTCTTACAGCTCCGTGTAGGTAAGACAGGTATTCATATCCCCACTGTACAGATGCAAATACTGACTCCATGAGATAATTGAGTTGCCCAAACTTTCAAGACCAGTTAAAGGCAGAATGCGAACTGAAAACCAGATCTTCTGAGTCTTAGTGCCCCATTCACAGAGCTGTTTAAAATATGGATCATCTTTCTGGAGGAAACAGCTTTACCTACTCTGCTCACTTGCTCTAGGATTGAGAGGGTAGAGTGAAAGAAGCGGGGAGAAGTCATCTCAGAGTTAAAACTTTTTTCAGAACCATTTGACTCTTGCTCTGCTATGCTTAAAAGCTGCTTCTGCATCTAGGGTTTACCCAGAAACCCATCATCACAAAACCAGTAGCTCCTTTTGTCATACGTAACTACTCGAAAGCATGCAAGCAGGGGTGATCATCCAATTACAAGATCAGCTTTCTGTTGTCCAAGATAATAAAGCCGCAGTATTCATGGGTTATGATTTGGATGGGCACCCGCTAGAGTGGCATCATCTTGTTGGCCATCTTCCCTGCTCTGATCACATCCTTTAGTACCTGTAGAAATGTTGCAGCTCTTGCTACTGACTAATGGGACTATTTCATGTTGAATGTGAACAGAGAGAAACTAAGAAACTTGAATATTATAACTGGAATATGAATTTGGAAAATATTTAGATGTTCTCATTTATTCTAATTCAATACTTTAAGAAAGGGCATGGCTTCAGTTCTGATTCTGCACAATTTACTGGTAGATTTATGGGGAGGAACCCGTTTGGATTTGTTTCAAAATTTAACTTAAAATATTGCTGACTGGGTTTTTTTGGGGTTCATGTCAAGGTTTTTCTTCATGGTTTTGTTTTGTTGAGGTCCTGGGAAGGTCCATGAATATTTGGAGCATGAAGTAGATCTGTTGAAAACAAAAACAAATCTTGAGAATGCTACTATTTTTTGAAAAATACTAAACAATAGGCTTCTGATGTTCATTATTTAAACAAGATGAACTGAAAGAATGTTTGTCAGTCCATTTTGGATTGAAAAATGTCAGGTTCTTCTTTTTTAAAGTTTGAAAAAGCATCTCCTTTACAATGGATTTTTAAACCCAAAGTGTACCATTTCATCCTCTAAAAATGTAACTGACACCTGAGGTTGGGAGTTCAAGACCAGCCTGACCAACATGGAGAAACCCCGTCTCTACCAAAAATACAAAATTAACCAGTTGTGGTGGTAGGCACCTGTAACCCTAGCTACTCAGGAGGCTGAGGCAGGAGAATTGCTTGAACCCAGGAGGTGGAGGTTGTAGTGAGCCAAGATCATGCCACCCAGCATGGGCACCAAGAGCAAAACCCCTTCTCAAAAAACAAAACAAAACAAAATGTAACTGATGTGAACTTGGAACTATTGTGGCAGAAACAGTTTCTGGTTGTGCATTTTTGATTGGTGGGGGAGGTTTTTAGAGAGGTCACATTGAAAAGTCTGAAATATCCAAGAGTGCTCAGCAGAGCTTTTCCTGTAACTTGAAGGTATATAAAGCTGAAAGGCAGAACATAAAGAAGAGGTGCCAATGGAAATTCTATTTTAGGGGCATCCCTACCCTTCACCAAATGGGTAATTTTTAGTACACTTACCAGGTTATATTACTGTGCCAAAAACAGTGTGGTGGTTTTGAGTGTCTTTTTTTTTTCCACTTGGTTAACTACTTCTAACCTAATGTTTCTAAACCACAAGAATTCAACTAAATGCTTTAGACTATGAATACCTCTTTACCTTTCTTCATCACACGCACATGCTCATTCCCTAATGGCAACCTGCTCATTCCTTTTAGCCTTCACCCCAGTAAAGCTGGTCATTTGGATATTATCTTTAACTGAATTGCTTCATTTTTGTTAAAAATTATTTAATGCAATCACAGAAGATGTCTATTTATTAGAGATCTATTAAAGTAGCAGCTTTTAAATCAGATGGATCTCAAAGGCTCTCTGTGCTTCAGTTTTCTCATCTAAAAGATGGGCATAGTAACAAGACCTTCCTTAAAGGAGGCTAAGAGAATTACAACCAGCAGATGCCAGTGAAATCCTTAGTAAGTGTCCAATAAGCAAACCATGGGATTGTCCTAAGTTCAAACAGGCATCTTTCATTGTTTGGACCAGGGCTTTGCTGGGGCGGTAGGGTTAGGCAGGGACACTGAGATGTGTGTCCTTGGAGAACTCTGAGAAGGAGGGGGGCAAGAGCTCAGTAGCTCACTCTCAGGGAAGCTTCCAGTCTCCTTTAGCTTGTCACAACTGCAGAACCGTGTTTTCCTTTTCAGATCAAGAAACAATGTCTGCAGTCTCCCTTTCTCCTGTGCCTATGCTCAAGCTCCACACTGGCCCAGAGCTTCCTCCTTCAAGTCAATTCAAATAGTTACACTCAAGTAGCAGACAGAAACAAGCTTTCTCTTCATTTGTTAAACTTTTAAAATTGCTTCATCGTGATAAAATACACACAACATAAACGTTACCATCTTAACTATGAAGTGTACCATTAACAATGTGTTAAGTATACTCACATTATTGTACAACCAATGTAATCTCCAAAACTCATCTTACAAAACTGAAACTCTGTACCCATTAAACGACTCCTCATTTCCCCCTCCCTTATAAAAGTCTGACTGTTCTTGATATCTTACGTAAGTGGAATCATACAGTGTTTGTCTTTTTGTGACTGGCCTATTTCACTTAGTATGATGTCCTCAAGGTTCATCTATGTCAAAGCATATGTCAGACTGTCCTTCGTTTTTAAGGCTGGATAATATTCCATTGCATGTGTATTTCACATTTTGTTTATTTACTCATCTATCAATGGACACTGGAGTTGCTTCCATTTTTTTGGCTACTGTGAATAATGCTCTATCAACATGGTGTACAAACATCAGTTGGAGTCCTGCTTTCTACTCTTTGGGGTATATATTATACCTATAAGTGAAAATGCTGGGTCATATGGTAATTCTCTTTTCAATTTTTTGAGAAATGCCATAAGTTTTTCCACAGTGGCTGCACCGTTTTACATTCCCACTGACAGTGTTCTCTTCACTTTTATGAGGTGGCCACTCTTTCAGAAGGAGAGGCACTCTGGGTAAGATATGTGTCTAGAAATAGAATAAGATCAATCAGCCTTGATTCACGGAAGTGTCCTGTTCCAGCACCACCTTGCCAGGTGAAGTGAGTCACAAGCTCCCTTTCCGTTTCATTGTCACTGGCGGAAGGAAGTGATAGAGGTGGCTTCCAGCCATGCTGGGATGCCACATGCGTTTGCTGCTTGAGGAGGGACTTCCCATCTTTCCCTTGCTCTCTTTTCGCACACCTACTGCTAGGGCGCCTCTGACATAAGCCCACCTGCAACTTCTTCCAGGATCTGCTTCCACTTTGCCCCAGGAGCTACTTTTCTCTTTATCATTTTCTTTCATAGGATCTGAAAATGGTCTAGCAAAAGGTTGTTTCTTTGTTAGTCTCATGTTCTCGTGTCCATGTCAAATAGGGAAAATGAGGAAATTAATTGCTGTCTCTCTCAGGAACTCAGACCAACATAAAAATAAGACTCCTGAACTTAGAGCCTGTTTTGTCCACAAGATTATCCAACCTGCAGCAAGCACCAGAACTTGCCTGAGATCCTGAGATCCTAGTCACCTGGACATACACCAAGATCTAGCATGGAAGAAGGGAAATCTGCATCAGGAGTTCAGAGAAGGAAGAAGGATCAGTGAACTAACCTTAGCTCCTCCCTTTCAAATATCCACCTGGAAAAACAAAAATCTGTTCTCACCCTGGGCCACAAAGCTTGATGCTTAGGAGGCAGGCAGCTTGGAGGTGTGTTTCACCACCTGCTGGTTGCATGACTGTGAGCTCAGGACTTCACCTTTTTGTGCCTCAGTTTCCTCATCTGTAAAAGGGAGACAAGAGTTGTATACCTTATAGCATTCAAAGCAGTTTTATCACCTCACAACAACAAATTCTCTCACACTAGAGGCTATTAATCATCCTAGCAAGAGAAAAAGAGAAGGATCTTCAAAATTCAAATTTGGTTCCGTGTTTAGGTTCCTGTAAACAAGTCCGACACATTCTCCCTCTGCATCTTTGTTCAAGTTGTTTGCCTCTGTTGGTTCTTTCTCATGGTCCTCCTCCCGATCTTCTGCCTCTTTCTTCCCTTTCTTTTTGTGGGTTTAACTCTCCAGGCCCATAAGGATCTGTCCTGCCACATCTCTTATTTGAGATGCTCATTTTTGCTCTTCTTTTTACTGTGTCCTTCTCAGAGCTCCAGAACGATTTATTTTGCATTACCCATTAAGGCAGGCACATTGCTAGGCGCTCGCTGGAGACATGTGGTTGACGCTTTTTGAAGAATGCAGAATGCCTGGCTTAAAGAAACCTACTTTCTTAGAAAAGTTCCAGCTTAGAGCAAACCACCTCGTGATCACCCGCGTGGAATCTCGGGCTGAGCAATGTGGTTTGCAGATCCCTGAGCAGGGGCCTGTGAAATCTGGGAAGCAGGCATGTGCTGTGCGCAGAGGCATTCCAATAATAGTTTCAGATGCAGAGGACGGGCGGGCTGCTGTGACTCATGTCCCCAGCGCACGCACGTCTCCAGGCAGAGGGGACGTGGGCGGGGACGCTCACCCTTGGCCGAGGGGAATTACCTGGGGAGGCCAGGAAACAGGCCCCGGAGCACAGACAGGAGCCTGGCGTGCACAAGGGCAGCCACGCTGACTCACACAGGAAGGCAAGAGGGCGATGACCAAATTTGAAAGAAGCAAGTCGTCTATGTCAGGGAAGCCCTTAGAGAAACAGGAAGCATGATCAGCTGGTTTCAAGCTCAGAAAAGGAAAATTCAGTGTGTCCCCATGCCTTTGTTCTCACAGAAGTTTATCAAGATGAGACTCTGCTGAGCCTAGCACTGTGGTTCTGAGAAGTGAGAGTCAGCTACCTCCTCCAAGGGGGCCTCCACAGTGAGAGCGCACACAGTTGTCCGTCTGCAAGAACTGTTGGTACTTACCATAGCAAACATGTACGGACAGGGCCTCCACCTTCAGTTTTGTGGGTTGTGACCAGCCAAAGGGTGGCCAGCCGAGGGAGGAACTCTGCTTCCCAAGTCAGGCACCAGCCTGAGCCAGCCCAGAGGAAGGGACATCTTTTTCTAATGTGTCTACCCAAATGAGCACACCCTTTTCCAATTACCACAAAGACACCCTGCATGCTAGCTGTGGCCCTGTCTACAGAACACTTATTATATTCCAGACTCTGTTAAGAATTTGGTACACATTGTCTCATTTAATTCTTACAACGAACCTAAGAGACGGATTCTTTTTTTTTTGAGACAGAGTCTCACTCTGTCACCAGGCTGGAGTGCAGTGGCACGATCTCGGCTCACTGCAACCTCCGCCTCCTGGGTTTGAGCGATTCTCCTACCTCAGCCTCCCGAGTAGCTGGGAACTTCAGGTGCGCACCAGCATGCCCAGCTAATTTTTGTATTTTCAGTAGAGATAGAGTTTCACCACGTTGGCCAGGATGGTCTCAATCTCTTGACCTCGTGATTTGCCCGCCTCAGCCTCCCAAAGTGCTGGGATTAGGGTTCTTTTATTAACTCTGTTTTATAGATGAGGAACCGTAAGTACAGAGAGGGAATCTGCCTAACGCCACACAGCTATTTGTATCAGATTTGAAATTTGTACAAGGGCATGCTGCCTCCTAGGATGATTTTGTTTAGAACTAGATGATGATGATGATCATGATTTCAGTCATAGGTAGTTGAAGCTTCCCTGTGTTCTCAAGGATGTCTCAGTCAGCCTAATATGCCTCTGGGGTAAACAGAGAATGGTGGAGTGTTGGAAAGTTCTTGGAGAGGTTGGCTCCACCTGTCCAGGGCCAGGCTGCCCCAGGGCCATGTGCCCTGGCTGAGTAGCTGGCCTCTCTCCTATGCTAGAGCTTGGTATATGCCCAGCTGGCTAGGCTCTCTGGATTTCAGGATCTCAGACAAGTTCTGGTGCTTGTTGCAGATTGGATAATCTTGTGGACAAAACATAGGCTCTAAGTTCAGGAGTCCTATTTTCATGTTGGTCTGAGTTCCTGAGAAAGACAGCAGTGAACTTCCTCATTGCAGCACAGGGCACTTCCTCCGGCAGCACAGGGCAGGGATCCCCCTAACTGAACATAGGCTTGCCACCACCCTATTTCCCCAATGCCCTGAGTGTGGTGGGACTTCTTGCTATGCAGAAGATTTCTGTATAATTCTCCAGGTAATGACAGACAGGATAACCTGCCACTCAAATGGAGTTGCCACTTCAAGAGAAACAGCAACCTTTAGTCCAGAAATTCTAAAGCATCAATCCCCTTAAAATCATATTCTCAGCCCAGGATTGGTATGCTAACAAGTTCCCAGGGAGTTTGATACCCGTAGTTCTTTGGATTATTCTTCCTGAAACATCGCTTTGGGCCTTTCATGCTGAGAGATGTAGGTCGCCATCCAAGCTAAATGAAATAAGCAGAGCTGACACTGAAAGTCCTTTTGTCCGATGAAAGCTAACAACTCTAGTATCTTGGCTGACCATCACATCCTTTAAGGATCATTTTATTTTTAACAAATAACTGGAAAGTTGGCTTGCAATACCTTCAGGTGAAGGCTTTGGGGGGTGGGGCCACCTGTGACGACATGAATTGCCCTGAGGAAAATCATAGGAAGAAAATATATAGGTTTGAGTGACCTGGGCCATATTTTTGGGGCCCAATGGTTCAGCAAATCTAAAGATTTTCATATAGAAACACAAAACATTTGGAAAATGAGAGTAGATAAGGATTTGTGTTTCAGAAGGGCAGCTTACACCTCTGAGTTCAGGGATGAAAGGTTCTTCAGGACAGAGGGTGCTGTACTTTCTCTAATTTCCCACCCAGACTCCCTCCTTCCTACAAACATAGCAGGCACGACCTGGGTTTTGATCTGAAAAGCATCACACAGGCTTGTGGCCCAGAAATGTCTGTCTAATCTTCCTGACATTTCATGCTTCTGTGGCTTTCCTTTGGCTCTGGAAGAATTGGGAACTGTGAGACAGCCCACCCGAAGGGCTAAGTCCCTGAGAGGGAACCCCTTAATCTGTTAGCCCTCTGCCATTTTGGGACAGATTTCTTATCAACCCTGGCAGCTAGCCGAGATAATCAAGGCAGGTAAGGAGGCAGTGCCTGGATAATGGAATGGGAGAGGGTTAATGAGATCTGATAGGACATCGGGAGGGGGGCATGTGGATGCTGTTTCACATGCCAGAGGCCAGGTCTGCTGGTCTGCTTACTTCCTTTATCCTTCTGATTAGAGCTGGAATGGTCCCTGCCCTCCCCACCAAAACCATAAGTGCCCTCCCCACAACTTGCCCCATTACTTAGACTCAACACTCTCTAAGAATCCAAACAGCTGACCACATCACATGTTCTGGCTTCTTTCTGTTTTAAAGGAATGAGGGCAAGTGTGTGTGTGTGTGTGTGTGTGTGTGTAGAAGGCATGTTGGGCTCTATAGCTGCAGATTCCCTTCCCTTGGGCTCTCTCAGCTTCTACCAGTTTGAACAATCCCAGGAACTGCACACAAAAGAGACAGCTGGCTATGAACATCTTCCCCATGGGGAGACAGCTCCCAGGTAGAGCTGAAGCTGCAGCTGTCATCCTCAGAAAGGAGCTGTCTCCCTGCCAGATGTAAAGCCCAGACCTTGACCATCTCACAGCAACCTGAATTTCATTTATTGGGTTAGCTGGGCCACAACAGGCAAAAAGTAAGGAGAACTGGCCTTCCTCTGCTTTCCTCCTAGCTGTGAGCAGACACACAGGCT
The DNA here is from genome assembly GCF_000001405.40 of Homo sapiens. Lineage (NCBI taxonomy): Eukaryota > Metazoa > Chordata > Mammalia > Primates > Hominidae > Homo > Homo sapiens. The sequence goes on from NC_000005.10 coordinate 68,437,509, forward strand.
CCCAAAGCTTGTTGGAAATGAAGGTAGACAGTGAAGTTGGGCAAGGGACAGCCTCTTTGTGCCTCAATTCTGTCAAATGTAACACAGACCACTTGACCATAGAAGTTCCCTCTGGTTTTAAAGCTGTAAAACTCTGTAAGATGTTACCACTGTTAGTCTGGCACACATTTAGAGGTATGCATGTGTAGAGAGACATTATACAGGTGTTTAACTTACATGAATTCAACTAAACAAGTTCTGTCTCTTTTGCATACTTAAAAATAAAAATGCTGTAAAATTATATTTTACGTACACATACACAACGTTATATACTTATACAAACATAATACGGGGCAGGGTTATATGCCCAAAACCTTGTATAACTAACTATACTTTATCAGTGACTTAGGTTTTTTCTAATTTACCTTTGATTGCACTTAACTTTATAACCTAACCCCACAGAAGGTGAGATTCCACTGTAATTATTACTGTGTTGCTAAGGAGGCAGTGGAGTATAAGGAGAAAGATGTGGGTTTAGGAGACAGATTGAGCTGGATTTGAGTCCTGGATTTGAATCTCGGCTTTGTTCTGTATTAATTGTGTGATCTTGGATAAGTTACTTAAGCTCTTCCAAGCCCAGTTTATCATCAAATAGGAAGAATAATGCCCATCTCGCAGGATTATTGTGAAGGTTAAATGAGATCATGTATGTGACACTTATTACATGCCTGGGACAGTGTATCACTCAGCATATGACATTTATTACACATGATTCAGCCCACATACATTTACATATCTAACACTATTTTATACAGCAAAATCAAACACTTCAGTAGTCATTTACGCACAGCAGAAAACTTCTCTGATGATCTGCAGATCACACTTTCCCAAGATGTGCTCCAGATTTCGCAGATGATTCTGTGGCCATATAAATTTGAAACATTTTACCTGTTATATACTTCTCCTCGAGACTCATGATATATTAACGTTAAAGGGTCTGAGAAGTCCCACAGCAAAAACACTTGATTAACTTGGTTTATCTCAGCCCTCTAACACTTATTAAGATCCCTAGGATCAGGTCCCTAGAGTCCAAAATACACTTTGGGAAGTGTTTTCAAGTGACCTAGGTCACTGTGGGCACAGGTTACTCTAGCTTCCAGAAACCCCTGGCTAGGCAGATGGGCTCAAGTGTGGCTGTCGGGTATCTGCATGAAGAAGGTCAGTATTTCTGGGTTTCACTGGTATCACAATCACCTGGGGAGCTTTACAAAAATGTAGATTTTTTGGCTCCACCTCAAAGTTGCTGAATTAGACCAGAAGGTCAGAAGTGTGCATTTTAAATAGGCATTACAAGCATCGAGCTAAATTTTAAGATGCACTGGGTAGGTGCTTGGAGTTAAGTTCAAGCAAGTGGTAGGAAGAAGACCTCACATACTTCTCCCTCTCATTCTCCAAGTTTCTAGAACTAATTTAACATGTGATTCAATGGACTAAAAGGATTTTTTCCCTGCTTCTTCACATGAACAGCACTAACGGGCAGGTTGGAGGGCTGCCATCAACAGAGTTTAATGTAGGTTCCTTTAATCAGATTGCTTTCCTCTTTCTAGCTTGCTGAGACCCTGGGCCTCAGGGAATGGCCATCTTGATCTCTAAAGGAGCTGTTTCTGCCAAAGGAGGGTGTCACTTGGGAAAACCACACTGTGTGACCTGACTCTCAACTACAGATGCTTCTACACAGAAGTATTCAGATAATGGGTGGCATTGAAGGAGAAAGCCACAGAAAGCCACAGAGAGCCTCCAGGCTGGAGGTATGAAAAGGGACAGTATGTTTTCTAACTATGGGAGAGGGGTATATTAGAAGTTGATTCTATGCTTACGAACCTTTCTGTTATTACTATTAGTAGTAGTAAGACTCTCCTTGAAAACCAGTAGGCTTAAGTCCTTGTTCTAGCCTTTCGGAATGTAAACGGGTCTTTCCAGAGGCGAGATAAGACCAGTCTCCAGTTTTACAGAGATGTCTTCAAGGTCATGGGTCCCATAACCCAAATGCAAACATGTGCCTCTGGAGCTAACCTGAGAGCCTGTCTCAAGATGTAATTGTTTGTTTCTTAAGGTTGTGGGAGATGTATTATTGTTATTTCTTCTGTTTTGCTGCATAAATTGTGTAAAATTTCATTCTGACCTTGTAGCCTTTTGCCAGCTACCATATGTGTGTGCTGTGTTGTGTGAATTCATAAATCAGTGTTGCTGTTGTTTTTTTTCCACAGTGATGTAGAGAGGTCTCTGTTTTTTGGCTAGACTTTGAATTCCCTAATAGTAGGAATGGTAGGTTGGACTTCAATTGTACTATTCTAAGCAGTAATGTGAGGTTCTTAAAATTATGAAGACAGCGTAAATTCTACCTTTGCTACAGCCAATGGGAGCTATCTTGGGGGAATTGAGGGGGAAGGAAGAAGGAGCTTGTGAGCCTGGAGCACATTGAGCAAGAGCATTAAGAGTCATGGTGGGGAGTGGGGATGTGAAGACCCTCCCAATGTAATTGCCCAGTGGTTTCTTCCTGCCCACTGCATGGGCAAAATCAATTCACTGAGACTGCAGTATTGCAGTAGAGAAAGTGTTTAATTGATGTGAGGCTGTCACATGGGAGACTGGAGTTACCACTCAAATCAGTCTCCCCAAAGGCTCAGAGGTTACGGATTTTCGAGGATAGTTTGGTGGTCAAGGGACTAGGGAGTGGGTATGCTGATTGGGTACACTCAGTGGGTATTGGGGATACAATGATAGGGGTGTGGAAAATGGTCCTTATGTGCTAAATCCATCTCTGGGTAGGGGGCCATTCGACTGGTTGAGTGATGCATTATGATTCTGGGTGAGGTCAGTCTGAAAAACATCTCAAAAGACCAATCTTAAGTTCTACAATAATGATGTTATCTACAAGGGCAATTGGGGAAGTCACAAATCTTGTGACCGCTAGTCACATGACTCCTAAGCAGTAAGAGATTATAGAAATTATACCTACATTTTAACAGAATTCAGCCCCTTACATAATTGTAATCTTGTGGCCTTTCATTAGTCTTACAAAGACAGTTTCAGCCCCTGAATATGGCACAGATCAGTTTCAGGGAGGGACTATTATTATCCTTGCTTCAAACCTAATTTATAAACTAAATTCCTCCCATGGTTAGCTTGGCCTATGCTCATTCCTGGTCTTTTTTATGTTTAACAAATTTGGAAAAGTTACTGGAGATTCACAGGAATTTGATTCCTCTCCAGGGATGATCTGCTTTGTAAAATGCAGAGGGAATGGGACAGTGGGAAAGGCTGGGGCCCTCAGACCACTCCCTTGCCATCCTCTTCTGGCCTCTTCAAATGCTTGTCAAGCAAAATTTCTGGTTGAATCATATGGCTTTGATTGAAAAAAAGGAGGTTGGTATGTGGGAAAAGAGCAAAATTTTTTTTACAATGGCATTGTTACAAGCTTGATCAAATATACCAAGTAACCTTCCCTTCCAAGAGTAATTAGTCAAACTCTTCTCTGTTTGACCTCCACTTCACTCCACCACCACACATGCTAGCTGTTGTGTTTCTCCATTTGGCATGACACAGGACAACTGGTCAGCTTTCCATATAAAGGAAAGATAATTTTTTGCTTTTAGCTAACATTTCCCTTTAAGGAACAGAAAGAAAAAAACAATTGGGGTCCCATGTTCCCATGGCTTCTATCCACTTTTCATTAGGCACCCCATGCACCTGCTAACCAGAACTCAAGCAACACTTTTGGACCGCCATCGTGTTGCAGCTGCCCCCCATCTGGGTAGCTCTGTCTTGAGTTTCTTCCTGTTCCTTGGCTATCTTTGACACAGTGACCCATTTTACCTCTTTCTGGCCAGAAGTGGCTGTTCCTCAGTGGGGATGAATCACTTTGTACCCATAACAATGCTGGCAATCCCCAAACAGCAGACACTTTCCACTTGTTCAAAGTCCCTGAACAGCCTTTGAAGGAAACTTAACAAACAGTTACCCCTTGGTTAACACCTGGTGTGAGGCTGCATAGCTTGAAATATAACTTTATAAACCACTTCAAAGTTGCTGGAGATACAGGTTTGGAACAGAAAGACCATTTCCCTCTAACCACTACAGCATATTTCCTTCCAGCCAAGCAGTAAGCCCCAGTGTAACAGCAGAATTGCAGAGTCTTCCTGATTTAGCACACTGCCATTTTGTCATGGCTCGTTTTGATCCCTCTCATTAGTCGGCCCAGTGTTACCATATCCAATAAATCAGGTATAGACTGGTTGCCTCCCAAAAGAAAGAATTTGCCTTTATTTTCTGCACCACACAGAAGCAAGCAGTAATTTATACACTGCCTGGAAACCAGTAGCACAAACACTGGTAAGTAAATGTTCAGCTGAAGCCAAGCTCCCCCTACTATTCGTGAAAGGAACTTGGATGCCCACTCTCAAGTGTCAATCATCTTGAATCACGCCGCTGTTGAATTTAGCTAATTTTTTTTTTTTCCAGAGTAGCATCTCTCATTAAGCCAAATGATGCCTTTGGGCACATTTTTCCTTTAAAATGTTTTACTGTATTTGAATAGAAAATAACTGAAATAGGAAAAAAATGTAAGTCTATTTGGGTGGTTGGTTATATAGCCAGGGTTAAGTGTTTATATTTTAAGTTACTATTTTTAATCAAAAGTTTCCCGATAATTACAGCCTAAAGGAAACCACAGTAAAAATATTAACCAGAAATTTACTCAATGTAATGGATAATTACCAAAGAATAAATAAATCATATTTAGGAATAGGAAAGAAAGAAAAGTGACCTTGTTAAAAGCTGTCAGCTTCACAGAGGTGAACGTCTTCTCCCCACTCTCCTCCTCCACCCTCCTTGTCTCTCCTTCCCACCTCAGCCAGGAGCTCAGTGACCTTCTGCACTTCCCCTCTGTTTCTATCGAAACTTGCCCATGGGAAAGATCCAAAACTCTTTCCATTATGACATAAATGATTGATAACTTACATGTTCCATGTTTTCAGATTATTCATTTATTTTAACAGACTGGAGAATACTTTTGACTAAAGAAAGAAGCTGTAACAGATGTCTTAGCAGCCAGACGATGGGTAAAGGATAGTTTTTGTCAGTAAGGATGGTGGTACTGGGGCATTGTCTTCCAAACCTAAGTGAGATTGTAATAGAAGTTTTGAAGCTATTAATGAAATATATCAATAAACATGAGATAAAACTACATGGTTTGACAGGTATATTGTTTTTTTAAAAATGTGTTCTAGGAATTTCAGTGGCTTCACCAAATGGAGTCAGTCCGACATGTAAGGTTTGGGCATTTGGGAAAATGAGCAAGAATGAACATTGAGGAGATACACACACACATGAACACTTTAAAAGAGTGTACTGTAGTCTTACAGTAAGTGGGTAGGAGAGGAATGGGGCAGAGAAAGCATCTGAGGTTCTTGGAGGACCTTGAAGGACCTGGGAACTATAGGACTATCAGACCCAAGGCCATTGCTCTGGGGTGCTCCAGACATCTGGGGAGGAAGAAACCTGGAGAAAGGCTGTAATATTAGGTAACTGGCAGGACATGGTGACCTTTTGTGAAGATAATTCCCAAAGCTATTGTTCTCATGTTAGAGACCAAATATCTCACTGTTCTGAAGAATCAGCCCCTGCCTTCCTCTCATCTCTCTCCACCACCTCCCATCCCCACACTAGCACTTTGCACTCCAGCCAAAGGCCTTTGTACTTGAATCACCCAATTTGAGACACTCTTACATTCCCCTAAACTTCTCTAGTTAACTCCTGCTAATCCTTCAGGTTTCAGTATGACAGTTACATCCTCCGAGAAGCCACTCTGTCTCCTTGCACAAAAAAGACTTCGTTGTTCTCACAGATCCTGAACTCTGCCTTAAAAACTACTGGTTTATTTGGGAGGCTGAGGTGGGCGGATCACGAGGTCAGGAGATTGAGACCACCCTGACTAACATGGTGAAACCCCGTCTCTACTAAAAATACAAAAAATTAGCCAGGTGTGGTGGCGGGCACCTGTAGTCCCAGCTACTTGTGAGGCTGAGGCAGGAGAATCGCTTGCATCCGGGAGGCGGAGGTTGAAGTAAGCCGAGATCACACCACTGCAGTTCCAGCCTGAGCAACAGAGTGAGACTCTGTCTCAAACCAAACAAACAAACAAACAAAACCTACTGGTTCTGCTTTGTAATTATGTGTTGATATGACCATTGATATATGTCTGTCTCTCCCACTGCTCTGCACACACTGCAAAGATGGGATCATATCTTGTTGGTTTACCTTTGTGTTCCCAGTGTGAAGCACAATGTGTGACATATAATATGTGCTCAATAAATGTTAATTAATTATTTGAATGAATGAATGGTACTTCTCATCAAGGCAGCTCAGGAGAATCAACAAGCTGTTTAGCCTTGAGTAAGTGGCTTAATCGCTCTAAATTTCAGTTTCCCTATCTCTAACACAGCATTAGTAATAGCACCTATTTCCAAAGTTGTTTTGAGAATTAAAGGAAATAATGCATGCAAATCACTGAGTACAAATCTAGTATGTAAAACACAATAAATGTTTATTATTATTACTGTTACTACCTGCATCTTTGCACCAGCTTTCTCATCTATAACTGATTGTTTTAAAGTTTCCTTCGGCTTTAAACAGGCTATGACTCCTACCTAATCCTAAAAGAAAAGTTCTTTGTTCTCTGGATTTGTCAATCTGGCAACTCTAACCATCAATATATTAACATTTTTTTTCCAGTTACAAAAATTCTGCAGGAACCAGCAATGATTCATCAACTTGTAATAACATGCATGAATTTAAGACATGGCCATAATTATTTTATGAACTTGCATTTAATGTACCAAAGTCTTCACTGTTCTCATAAGATTCTGGGAAGTGGAAAGAGAGGGTGATTTGGAAGGATAAAGCTCCTTTTCATCTACATACCTAAAGAGGGGTGCTTTTATTTTCCTTTTGATGATCTTATAATAGGATATCCTTGAAAAAGAAAACCAAAAGTAAGATATTTGTATTACACAGCCAAAATATTCAAGAGACCTGTGTTCCACTTGGCACTTTCTAACTCTATTCTGTATCTTTCTGGATTTCAACCCACATGAAAGAAGCAATATTTATTACCTAGTAACTGGATAAACTATGTGTGATATTTAACTTCAAGTACAAAATATTATCTTCTATGATCTTACAGTGTACTGGAGAGCTTTATGTCCTTTTTATGCAAGAGAAAGCTGAGGCTTCCTGGAGGAAGAGAATGACGTGAAGCCCACACAGCTATCCAGAGCTGAAACCAATGCCAAGCAAGCTCAAAGGTTTGGGCTTTATGATTAGACACCCCACTTCGCTTTGCTTACCTGCCAAATCCTGTAAGTGTGAGCTATACTTCATGTTTGTTTCCCATAAATACATCCTTATTGATAATGTCAATAAAGTAAATTTCATCACCCACTTGGAATGGCTCCGTCCTCGTCCCGGCAGTGTTTTGCCTTCCAGAAGAACAGAACAATGCACCATAGTTTCCAAGTGCCTTTCATTTGCCACTGGGACCTTTGCTATTTGGATCATACTTCCGCCTTCTCAGACCTTAACAAATAAAATATCTTGGTGCAAGCAATTTTCTCTGTAATGGAGGGAATTGCAATGATAAGCAAATTTTACCCAAATTCCTGTGAGTTTTCAATGCTTTATTTTAGGTTGACTGATGCTGTGTAAAAATGTTTCAATGACATCTAAAGCCAGAGGGCAAAAAAGTATCAAGAAAAAAAATTATTAAAACCAACAACCAATGTGTGTGTAAAGTAAAAAGTTTATATATAGTTCACCAAGCATCAATACTATAGACTTACTGGACTTTCAGCAACCCAGTAAGGTAGCTATGGCAGGTCTTATGATTCCCATTTTACAGATGAGGAAATTGAGGTCCATTCCGATTTTTTACTCAAAATCCTATGCTAGAGTTAACAATCCCTCAAAGTTCTTGAGTACCTTATTTATTACTGTTATTGTTACTCTTACCATTTGAAACCAGAGGGGCATTCACCTAAATTTTCATTTGCATGAGCAATCAAAGAAAATCAGAATTGGAATCACCTGCCAACATTTACTTAAAATAAATGTACTTATTATTTTCCAGACGTACTTCGGACAAGTTATTTTAAACACAATTGTGCATCAGTAAAAATCCACAGGAACAATGAACACTCCACAGGCTTCTGACTGAGAAAGTGAATAGGGAGCAGACCTTGTTATGGTGTCAGAATGAAACAATGCCTGGGAAGGCTCCAATACTGTTCCACAAACAAAACTAAGGAAATGGGAGAAGAAAGAAAAGTAAAGTATATTTATGTGCTGCAGGTCTAGCACTCCAGCAGGAAATTCCGAGTGAGAGCTCTCACCAGTGCCCTAGCCCTTGACCCTGAGGTCGTGGGGTTTTTGGGTCCAGCCAGGCATTGGTTGGCCACATCCACAGACTCCAGAGTCTTAAAGGGCCTGGGCCTCACTTGCCTCTCCCGTGTGCCCCAAAACCTGGCCACTCTGTCTGAAGGGTAGCCTCCCTTCTTGCTTTCACAAGCCTGTGGATGGCTGGTTTAAAGCAGGAAGAGCTGCCACTCTCCCTTCACACTTTACATCACCTCTACACAAGTCATTCACTGATTCCTGCCTTAGTAGGTGTTTAAATGAAGTGGTTGTTGCCTATTGACTGAGAATGGACACCTTGAAGAAACATACGATGTGCTTGACACACACTGCAAGTATTCCCTAACTTTATTACCTAAGAATCACTTGGGAGGCTCATTTACAATGCAGATTTCTGGATCTTATCCCTGGAGATCTATCTGGTAGGTTTGGAATGGGGCTGCAGCCCAGGATCTTAATCAAACAGCCCAGGTGATTTTATGTGGGGAATCTAGGTTCATATTTGAAAAATACCACAGTAATTGTGAAATAATTAAAATAATGAATGAATGGTAGCATTATGAATGTCAATAGTTGTTTCCCAAATTTGTCTTATCAAAAGAATCACTGGGACTACTGTCAAAAATACTGATTCCTAGGCCTCCCCTAGACAGACCTAGTAATCATAATCTCCAGAGAAGGTACCTGGGAATCTAAATTATTAAACAACTGCCCCCAAATGAGTCTTCTGATCAGGCCCATTTGGGGAATACCACTATAGGCTGTGGTCTCTGCAGTTCTCACAGCATTCGTTTCTTGTTCTTTGAAGCAGTAACTTGGTGTGACCACATTCACACAGGTACCCAAAGCTCCTATTGTCTCAGTAAAACTGCTCCTTCTGTGCAGTACCATTTTAGAAAAACTTGGACATCTCAGTCAGACCCCAAATGATACTTCCAATACATAGCCTATAACTGTAGATCCAAATGAGTTTTAATAAAATCAGATTTCAAAATATTCAATAATTGATACAGCATGAGTGCCAACCAATGTGGATAAACAGTAGGTTGTAAATAACCTGTACTTACCTTCTATTATTAGCCCCCAGTATATTTTAAATGACAGTTTTCAATTGTGTCAGCCTCCTAGAGCTTAGGAATACTGATTTATTTTCAAGATCCCCTTCTACTTTATCTCTCCCATCCCTATTAAAAGAGCTTGAGATTGGTAAATATCTTCAAAGTAATGCTTGGTAATTGTGCCTGGGTTTGGCTAATATATTTTCCCCTGTTTAATTTGTTGCATGCTCCATGCCCTGACATCTTATTCCTTACCAGACCAGAAGTTTTCAAATGTGCAAGCCTATTGTGCCTGGGGAAAAATGTTGAACTTTTGCCTTTGTAATAAGATATGCTCCAATTACCAACTTTAGCAATTTAATATAGTTGAATAATAACTGAATGGGACACTTTGTCACTCAGTCATTATTCAAGCTCCTACTAGGGGTGGAATGAACAGTTGCTGGAGGTCAGTCTATTCCTGAGGGAGCTCAGCCTCGCAAATCAACACTCTTGAGAATTTTTTAAAAAGCGATGTTATAAAAAAATAATTCTAGGAAGTACAAATCAAACTATAGATTTGTAAAATGCTATAAGAGCTTGGGTTCCATTTTTAAGAATGGCACAGTGTTTAATGTTAAGATAATTTTATATGTGGAATGCATGGTGGAGAGATAAAGCAATCACCTGGATAATTCAATCTAAGAAGCGCTTTGTGGGTGGAGATGATACAGATAGATGAGGTCATTTTCGCCTGGGCCACAGATATTACACATTTCCCCTCACCCTACATTGCACGTAGCCTCACATCCAGAAGGTATTACAGTACCCATGACAAGCTTTAAGCACCTATATCTTGCTTTGATGTGCACAAGACATTTCTGCTGAGAATTGCAAGGTCTCTTGTTTGTTTATAGCAAAGTTTGAAGACGCCAAGGGTGTTTATTTGTTTGGTTTAGGCTCAGGTTTGCTTGTGTGTTTTTTTCAGACGTACTGTAGGGCAATATTTTTCCATTTTGGGACTAAGACTTATTTGCCTATTAAGAGACTATTACATGCAGACTTTTAATTTATGTACTTAGTGCATATAATGTTCCTAAAGTCTCAGGGAAGTTAATCAAGAAAAAGTCAAGGGCAGGCTTCAGGAACTAGAATGTAGTCATTCAGGAAGGCCGTCTCTCCCTCTAGAATGACACTTTGTTGGGACGTGGCTGAGCCACAGGGTCTGGGGCCAGTGATGGCCACCTCAGTATCAGAACAAAAAGCAGCTCTAAGGAAAGATGTGGCACTCTTCCAGGACATCCAAGCCCTGCCTCCTGCAATCCAACAACCTCGTTTTACTCTCTGTGTGGACATTACTACCAAAGAGGTCATAGAAGCTTCCTGACCTCATTTCTCTAAAGCAAAGGAAGGATCTCACCTGCTATCTAGACCAGAAACGTCCTTCCTAGGGATGCTTAGAGGACTCAGAAGAGTTTCAGAATAAGTTCTGGAAAGAGTTCTGGAAGATGTTGGGGCGTCCTGAGAGATATGTACCCCTTCAACAGGGGGCTGAAGATCTCATGGTAGTGCCTCCCCATCATTCACCTGCTCTCCTCCCCCTGACCACTATATGCCATCCCTAGGGTTCTATAAGCCACAAACCAGGTGGAGGGACCAACTACAGGTCAAGAGAAGCTCCAGATCTGGGGCTAATAAATTGATTTAGGGGTTTCACAATTGTTGATATACTCTAGGACAGTGATTCTTCCTCCTCCTCCTCCTTCTCCTTCTTCTACTTTTTCTTCTTCCTCTTCCTCTTCCTCTTTCCTTCTCACATGGATACAGATGTAAATTGAAGAACACTTTTCCTAAATCACTAATTTTCTCATATCCACATTCTGATTAGATATCGCATGGCAGGGACCTTTCTCCAAGCCCTAAGAATGAATAGAAATCTAGATTCCCTCAGAGTCCAGCTCAGGAGACAGCACTGCTTACCCAGACTCAGTGGCCCTGACCCAAAGAATACTCAGCTTTTGTTCCAATGGAACCAGTATCCCCCTTTCCTTGCCCTGGCCCACTGCACACCAGGTCTTAGAGAAAACAGGTAGATTGATTTCCCCATAGCGGAGCTGCTGGGAGAAACTCTAAGCCATGCTTCAGTGAATGGAAGCCTCCATCAGCACCACATCTCCCTTGAGAAGCATCTGGAATGATCTTAGTTATTGTCTTTAGCTATATCCAAGCTGTGGCCTTACCTGACTCCTCAACTTCTATCCTTCTGAGCCCAGCCTGGTGGCCATACCCACCTCAACAATCAGTGCCAACCCAAGTTCCCCCTTCTGACCCATCCCATCTTTCCTTTCCTAGGGCCGCTCTCAGCCTTCGCTTCTGATTTCATATACCCAGCCAAGCCTTTGTCTAGCCCACCATAGCTGATTATTCAGGCTGAACATATATCCACTGGCTCAATCCAGGCCTATGCCCATCAGGAAGGCCTAACCCCATCCGAGGCCCTTGTGCTGGCGCAGAGCCTCCAGTGTCTGTTGCACAATTTGGGCACCACAGGGAACACATGACTGGCATCCACAAAGACAAAGATGGAAAATATGAGCCATCCATTTGGCAACAATGTTGGCATCTTCCTAAATTCGTGCTGCCAAGCTCTGACCAGAAAGATCTTGGCCTGTTTACTGCCTGATGCAGTCAGTCCAGACTCAGGGTGGCTCAGGTCATGGTGATAGAGCCAGCTATAATGAGATTTAGACATGCAAGAAAAAGACAGAGAAAGGGATCCAGACTCCATATCAGACACAAGCTAAAGGGAACACTAGAAAACCTTCATGAAATCAAAGAGGGAAGGTTTTTAAAATTTAGTAATTGGCCAAAAATAAACGTTACGTTCTGCTTTTCTTTTTTATTTGGTTTTCATAGGAGAAACTGTTTTCTGTCCACATAAAGTGTGTACGATCTTTTTTCCAGAATAAGGGAAGCAGGAAAATAGGTGAAGAATATCAAGTAACTGGAGGATGGTGTGTGTTATAATGGGGGAACAGCTGTGTCATTTGCTGCCTATAAAGTATTATTAATAATTTTGTGGCCAAAATAATTTCATAAGAACTTTAAAGAGAAGACGGAAAGAAAAGAACCAGTGCATACATTGATCTCATCCTATGCTCCCCCCAAATCTTTCAAGTTAAGTGTTATTTCTCCCACCTTGCCAACTGAGGCAGCCTCAAAAAGGCTAAAGGATTGCTCAAGATTACAAAACTAAAAAGTGATTGAGTTAGGAAAGGATTCCAGTCCACCAGACACAAAAGCTCACAACTGTCAAGGATTGTCATTAATTTAGACAACTGTCTTCTCCCTAAAGTGTATACTAAAAGAAGTTTATCAGCATTCCAAGACGATGTCATCAGAGAGACAGCATGGTCAAGTTACCATTGAAGGAGTCCTTCCAGTCCATTTCCCAAAACTAAGAGTTGAAAGGTGAGTTTTGTAATTGGTTCGCTTTGAATAGATTATTTATTTTAAGCCGCCTGGTCTGATGATGCAATAAGCAGGGGAACAAGCTTGGTTTGAAGATAGATTTCTGATCTTCTGGGAAGTGTTTCTACTTTAATAAGCTTTGATTCCCCAAGGAAATTCCTAAAGGCATTCAGTCACAACCCACTGGGCTGCCAGGTCTCTGTAAATACACACATGCGTGTGTGCACACACACATACAGGAATAGATAATTTTGTAGTCACGACAGAGAATGCTGCTGACAGTAAGCAGAGAGGAAACTATTGGGGGGTAAATTTTTCTTCTTGCAACTTGAATCCAGTGGTAGGGGGTTCACAAATTAAGTGATGATGGACAGATTAAGAGGAGAAAAGATGGCTGGGCATGGTGGCTCACACCTGTAATCCCAGGGAGGCTTAGGCAGGTGGATCACCTGAGGTCAGGAGTTCAAGACCAGCCTGGCCAACATGGTGAAACCCCATCTCTACAAAAAATAAAAAAAAAATTAGCCGGGAGTGGTGGTGCATGCTTGTAATCCCAGCTTCTTGGGAGGCTGAGTCAGGAGAATAACCTAAACCCGGGAGGCAGAGGTTGCAGTGAGCCAAGATCGCACCATTGTACTCCAGCCTGGGCGACAAGAGTGAAACTCCACCCCCCACCCTCCCCCCTCCAAAAAAAGAGGAGAAAAGACATGATTTATTTATACTTACAGGCAGGAATACTCAGTAATAAGTAACTCACCCATTAGCCAGAGGAAAAAAGGTTATATACCAAACTTAACCAAGAAGGAGGGAGAGTGGTTAGGGAAAGTATGGAAGGTTCTACTGGACTTTTTTTTTATGCTAGTGGAAACGGGCAGTCTATTTCCATGTCAGCTGAATTTGTAGGACACTTCCTAGGAGGAGGGTTAGTGGCAGCTGTATTTTCTGGAGACTCTAACTTAATCAGATAAGAGAATTTCAGATAAGATTTCTTTTTGAATCTTCTTTAGCTCCAACATTTTCATTTAAAAATTATCTTTATATCACGTCTAGGGGTCCAAGTGGGTCCCCACATGTCCTTCATCTGAAACTATTCTGGACATTTCACCAAAAAAAAAAAAAAAAGTGAGTTTGATTGCTGTGGAGAGTGATTGATGTTGGAAATTGTGAGGTAAGAGATCTGCAAAGGGACAGAAAAATGAAGATTAAAGGTTGGAACCGAGCAGAACCAATTTCTGAGTATAGAAGGCAGCCAGTCCAGTTGAGAAGTTTTCTAGATGTTGAGTCTGAAGCCTCTTGAGTGAAGATGGTAGTGAGAATGTCACAATAATGGTTATTTGCTGGAGCAGGGCATGGAAGATGCACATGTTCTGGTAAACTTGCTGGGTATCCCACATTGTTGTGGTGGTTATCAATCTTTTGAAGCTATATCAAGTTGTCCAGCTTCAGCACTCAGAGCTTCAAGAAATAGGCAGTGCTAGTTCTCAGTGATAACAAGTCAGGAGAATGGGGGAAAAATGAAAGTGTTAATTATTGACAAAATGTGCAAGATGGTAGAATCCAGTTTAGAAGAGATGAAAAATAGCTCAAAGACAATCAACAGAACGACAATCTGCTAACTCACAAGGGGTGTTATAATTTTCCATTGAAACATAAAATTTCTCTCTTCAATCACCTCCATTTTTATAAAAGATAAAGTAAGATTACTCTTATTTACAAAATAAGCCTAGCCTCGTTAAATATGTCCTGATCATGTAATAAATGAAGCAAGAATTGTAATTGACCACACAGGCCTTTTAAAGTTTGCTTTGCTGGAAGTTTTATAAGGAATCTCAGACTGGACTTTTAAAAGCCTTTCTTGGCTAGGAGGCCAAGCCAAGAACTTGTCATCAGAACTTTATCTGCAGTACCTATAGATTTGGGTGAAATCCTCTCCTGTTGAGGTATCCAAAGCATTCTAAAGCTCCTGGGCCTGCCAGGAAGTGATCTTCATTACTCATCTGTGAGGCGGGGGACACTGTAAGCCAGGTACAAGGTCAGTTTTGCTAAGAGGGCTTTGTGAACACTGGCTCCACAAAGTCAACCTTAGTTCCTTAAAACTGCCTAGTCATGTCTGTTTCTATGCACATCATTCTCAAATACGACATTTCAGTTAAAGCCTTGGTGATATAACTAATTTCCTCAATTATGTCCGGTTACAAGGAGAATAGATACTTATGGAACCTGTGCAAAAAACTGTATCACCATAAAAATAAGAATATTCAATATGAGTTTCTGAATTCTGTAGGGATTAGGTAGGGAGAAAAATATAAATGTTTCATTCTTGTTTATAAGATATAATCTACTAAATTGTCAATTATAAATAGGTTAAGAGAAAAGAGAAAGGAATTCTTTATATTCAGAAAATGGAATATTAAAGAACCAGCAATGTTCCAAACAAAAATAAAACCCATAAAAATTATAATCAATCTTCATCAGTTCATTCAGTCCCAGATGATAACTTATTTTTGTTCTGCTCTATCTTGGGTTAGCAGTTTTATGAACCCATCAGCCTCTCCACTAGAATTCTGGAAATTCTTACTCAGTCCAGTGGTATGATCTCAAAGTCATTTATGCAGAGCCATCAGAATCCTTTACCTTGGATAACCAGTCATTTCTATGGGTCTCTAAAATGTTCCCTGTTCTGAAGATGATGCATTCTGCCTTACAGCTGATTGGAAGAGCTTTCAGGAAAGCATCAGAATAAAACAATAACTCCCTGTGAACGAAAAAAGACAAAATGGCAATGGCTAAAAATTTGATGAGAGTTTGTTATAAAAATAATGCAATTGACAAGGATATGTGGTTGTTCTGATGACATAAAACATTTAAGATAGTAACTGGAATTATGACTACTAACATTATATTAGGACATATGGACAATAAGCGTTTTAACTCATATACTTTCTGATGTACTTATATTCATAGCATTTACCCATACAAATATAACATAGGGAAGGTTAAGTATATCTTCTCATTGGATAATTCTTCCCTTTTCTAATGTCCTGACTTCTTTAAAGTATCAGCAAGCATCATGAGATAAATAGGAGAGGCTTTGGGATTGATAAGAAATATAGGTGGGCTTTGGGTTATCCTTAGAGCCCTATTACTGTCTTTGTAAAGACTTAATTAGTAAGGTGAGGGCAGTATTTTTAATTCTTCAAAGAATTAGGGGACAGTGTGTTAGTCTATTTTGTGTTGCTATAACAATATCCGAGACTGTAACTGCCCAAAGGGTTCTTCTTACCTCCTGCTCAAATAGTGATGATTTATCAAGACAGGATAATTGCAAAGGAAAAAGGGTTTAATGCACACACAGCTAACCAAATGGGAAACATGAGTTTTATTACCCAAATCAATCTCCCTGAAAATTCAGAGACTAGGGTTTTTTAAGGATAATTTGATGGGTAAGGGGCTAGGGAGTGGGGAGTGCTGATTGGTTGGGTCAGAGATGAAATTATAGGGGGATCCAAGTGGGTTCTTCTTGCTGTCTTCTGTTTCTGGGTGGGATCGCAGAACTGGTTGAGCCAGATTACCAGTCTGGGTGGCACCAGCTGGTCCATCAGAATGCAGGGTCTGAGAGATATCTGGAACACTAATCTTAGGTTTTACAATAGTTCTCTTATCCATAAGAGCAACTGGGGAGGTTAGGAATCTTGGCTGCATCATATCCTGAACTATAATTTCGAATCTTGTGGCTAATTTGTTAGTTTTAAGAAGGTGGTCTGGTCCCCAGTCAAGAAGAAGATTTGCTTCAGGAAAGAGCTGTTATCATCTTTGTTTCAAAGTTAACCTATAAACTAATTCCTCCTATAGTTAACTTGGCCTATGCCCAGGAATGAACAAGGGCAGTTTGGAGGTTAAAGGCAAGATGGAGTCAGTTAGGTCTGATCTCTTTCACTGTCACAATTTTCTCACCATTATAATTTTGCAAAGGTGGTTTTATAAGTGAGTAATTAATAATAAACAGAAATGTATCGTCACACAGTTCTGGAGGCTGGGAAGTCCAACATCATGCTGCTGGCATCTGACAAGGACCTTCTTGCTGCATTATCCCGTGGTGGAAGGTGCAAAAGCAAGAGAGAGGACAAGAGGGGGTCATACTCATGCTTTTATAAGGGGACCAATACCACCCATGATGGCCTAATTATCTCTTAAAGGTCCTAACTCTTAATACTGTTACAATGGCAATTACATTTCAACATGAGTTTTGGAAGGAACGAACATTCATACCATAGCAGATAGCCTCAATAATAGCATTAAGGAATTGGCCTACCTATCCAACTACAATATTTTTAAATTTGTTTCTTTATATTGGAGATAAGATTTCCAACTAAGGTGGAAACCAAGAGATTTTCAATGATCCAGGACTCTGGATTTAGAGCTATGTGTCTTTGGAATGTTTTTATAAGTCATTCAACAAAGACTTTAGGATGTATTCCTTTCCTCTGAGTACATTGCTCCACTTTAGCCCAATTAACCTTCAGAGTGGGAGGGAAGACGGAAGGGAAAACATCTTTAATAGCTCCTCTCAGGCCCTGAATATCAGCCTCCAACTGGGCCATTTGCAGGAGGAAGATAGTGGTGCAGGGGACGGGGAGAGTTTATGGTGAGTGTGAATTTCAATTTTTGTTCTAGATCTGATTTCTGTTCTTTAGTTTTGTTAAGGGAGTCTTTTAGGCTAGCTGTGATACTTTTTTTTTTTTTTTTAAATGTCCTTTCATTCTGATCCTCCCATATTGGTAACAGGACATTTGTTTAGGATGAGAGCTTTCTGAAAATCCTCTCAAATTTAAAAGTTGTTCCAAATCAAAGGATCTGCTGTGTGGCCATTGATGATTTAGTATCTCCAAAGGTACACTTTTTCCAAAATGTGACTCATAATGAATAAACATATTTTACGGCTTAATCGTGGACACAGGAAACACCCCCATAGAGGGTGCAGAAGATGCAGCTCCCATGATCCAAAATCAACTCCAAAGACAGCCAAAGAGAAGGAAAGCAAAGATCATCATTGCTATAGGCAGTAAGAATGATACTTGTGAAAACTCCTGTCTCCAGTTGCCCATAAAAATGATATGACTTTGATCATGTACCTGCGAATCCATGACTCTGGGCAGGTAATACTGAGATGGGACTTCTCTCCACTAGCAAGACAATAGGAAAGAGAACTTAGACAAACCCCCTTAGCACTGGCAACAGTCGGCACGGTGCCAGCTGAAAATGGGATGCCCAGGATACCCAAATTTCTCTTCAGTCAACTACAAATGCTTGAGCCCCAACCTGACAATTGGCTGCTTCTGAGCACAGAACAGACAATCTGCACCCCACAGCATGCAGAAAGCCAGAGAGTGAGCACTCTGACTGAATCCAAACCAAACTATCAGGACACAAAATGAGACAGAAAGGATACAGGAGCTATCCCTGGGAAGGAAAAGATCTATTTTAAAAAGTATTCAAACCAAGTCACAATACAGTAAGTATAAGTTCTGAGTGTTTTCTCCCGGAAATCTAAATCTTGGGAAGAAAAGACAGAAAGATGGTCTTACCATCCTCACTTGACGGGATTCTGAGCAGAAATCTGGGAACCTGGCTGCTAAGAAATTTATCTTTGTCAGCATAGTCAGAGATCCTGACATCTTAGCTGCACTTTCTGGAGGAGCAGAGAGTCCCAGCCATCCCATCCTCATCACCAAAATTATTGGGAGAAAACTTTTCCTCATCCAATTTAGTTCCAGTGGTTGAAGGCCCATGAGTTAACTGACAATAGACAGATTAACAGGAGAAAAGATAGGCGATTTACACATACACAGGAGTTCTCAGAGATAATAACTCACTCAATAGCCTGAGATTAAAGGGTTCATATACAAAATTTAACAAAGGGTAGAGGGGTTAGGGCTTCAATAAGAAGGTATGGAAGGTTCTGTTGAGGTTTTTGATGCTAATAGCAATGGACACTCTGTCTCCCTGGCAGCGAAATTCCAGGAAACCCCCTCAGATGGGGGTTAATGGCAGCAGTATTTTCGGGAGGCCCTGCTTTAGTCAGGTAAGTGCAGTCGAGATAACACTTTTTTCTGTATCTTCTTTAGCTCAAATGTTCTCACTTCAAAAATCTTTATGCCAGCTCCAGGGATTTGAATGAATCCCCACAAGACTCAAGACATATATCATCTCAAGAACTTTCAAAAAGGAAAACTTCCTGGTTCCTTTCTAGGGCAAATTTTGAGATGGACAATATTTCTATGACATGCTTGAGAGCTTCAGGAAGGCTCAGTGAAGTTCCTGGTGACAGAGACATCACTGCCTAATACAAATGCACTGTGGGGTTACGGATAAGGTCTCTGCCCAGGATGACATCATCCTGGGCCTCATTCCAGTACTGTAAGCTGTGACTTCTGTGCCCAGAGTGAGGACTGCTGTTTAACTTCGTTAGGTTCTCAAGATACAAAGCCTGCTACTTACCTTCAGAAAATCATTGCACAATATTTCAAGAGTGAAGTCATATCAGGTTTCTTTTTTCTGTTTACTTTTGCCTTTCACTCATCACAAACAGGATAAAAGGTAGACCGTTTATATTTTTGGGTCACAAATTGATCTTATAACTCCAAACACTGACTTCCAGGGAAATTTTGTTACCAGTGGAAATATCTAGACGAAAAGGTGAAATTCAAAGTGCTAATTTCAAGAGGCAGTATCTTTTATAAGTAATATGAATTCGTGCTATTTGTCTATAAGGAAAACATGCTTCCTGTTCAGTAAAGTCATTTTCACAACCTCAGGAATGCTGCCATTATTAAGATAGTTAACAGCATCTTCTAAAAAAATTGTGGACTCAGGTTCATCATTTCAAACAGCTGATACACAATACACAATGTAGAAATTAAAGATAACTTGGCCAGGTGCGGTGGCTCACATCTGCAATCCCAGCTACTCGGGAGGCTGAGGTAGGAGAATCGCCTGACACCCGGGAGGCCAAGGCTGCAGTGAGCCGTGATTGCGCCACTGCATTCCAGCCTGGGCAACAGAGCAAGACCCTGTCTTAAAAAAAATAACCGAGCCACCAAGTGATCCTATCTTAGGAGATGGAAACCCCCATCATAAGAAGAGTAGGTAAATGTCTGCAGTCTAGCCTCTGGGAATGAAATTTCTTAAGGACGGGCTTCATGGATTTGGGGCTCATGAACCTGCAAGAACACTGGCAATCAAGAGAGTAAAAACATAACCAGAAGGGTTCAGAGTTTGGGAAGCTTCTTCGTAGCACTAACTGAGATATTGCTAATTAGTGGCTCTCCAAAATATTATTAAAATAATCTGTTGATTCTGGACAGTCTTTATTAGGGGAGGAGGCTGTCCTGTGCATTATAGGATGTTTAGCAGCATTCCTGACTTCTACCCTCTAGATGCCAGGAGCAGCCCCAGTCATGACAACCAGAAATGTTGCCAGACATGGCCAAATATCCCCTGGGAGGCAAAATCATCCCCAGTTGAGAACTGATGGCTTAAAGTTAATGGAGAACACTATTTACAAAAAATCTCACTAGAGTCTCGGGGTGCAGGTAGGGGATGGAGCAAAGTTGGGAGTATTTTTGAGATTGTGAAGTCTGGATTTTTTCCAATGTGTATCTTTTAGTGTGAGAGCCAGGGAGCCCTGGCTGGGGTCTAGTGAGGACCATAATCTAATCACTTAGAATGGGCAAACACAAGATGAAGATTTTGAGGGCAAAGACTCGGAAATGCTCAAATTTTAAAATTTTCCTTGAATGCTTTCTATTGACGAGTTGATGTGTCTTTGGGGAAATTCCTGGAATGAACAATACAGTTATTTGTAACTGTTATCTTCTTGAGGAAGAGTTTTCTGGAACAGTAAAGTTATGCTGATGAAGATCCTGGAATAGTAAAATCATGTTAACGTAGACTGTGTGGATATAAATACGTTTTAGATCTCAGTGAATTCCTTAAGTTCCTTGATTTTTTGCCCCTGCCCTTTTGCCCGTTATTACCACATTCAGAAAAGCCAATAAAATACAAAAAAAAAAAAAAAGAGACTAAAGAGGCAGCAGGAAGAAGGAGGGGCTCGGATGTTGCTGCTGGGCTCCATCCTGGCTTCACCACACTGACACCTGCATGACCTGGGTGAGCAACATACTTTCTCCAAACCTCAGCCTCTCCATCAATATATGGAAGTTGATAATAGTGACTCCTTCATCAAGTTGTGGTAGAGTTTGAATGAAATAATACATGACCAGTGCCCTAGACATACTATGCACTCAGTGGGTATAAATCAACTGTGTAAAACTAGGAAAACATGCCATCACTATGGTGCTTCTATGCTTAGACCAACATGCCTTTGGGGACTGCCTCATTCTTTCTGAAAACTAAGCAAATACTGGGTTTAAAAGGAAGCAGAAGTGTTGTCTCTGCACCCTAGAAATATTGTGTAGGGAGAGGTGGCTAACTCTCCTAAATCCTTCCACCCATGTTTTTAACTGAGCATGCTCTTGGATCACCACTAAAATGCATGGGGGAATTTAGGCTGTAATTTAGTAATGCCACTGTTTATAAAAGTAGAGGAACAATGAGAACACCATGGCATTAGTTTGGAGTAGGTTAAAAATTACTTTTCTGAAGCTTATCTACTAGAATGTTTATCTAAGCTATTTTTCATGGGACGTTTTAAAGACAATACCTTCCTTCAATAGCCATGACCTTGAATTCATTACATGGTGGAATTCTACTGCTTACTCTCTCCTAATTCTGAAAGCCAGCCATATTCTTCAAGTGGGAGACTCATTTGTACAGTGCCAGGTGCTGATCTAGGCACTTCATATGAACTTTCTCCTTTAATCCTCAGTCTGTAAGGTAAATACCGTGATGAGAAATCTGATACTCAGAGTCAAGCAATACAGTGAGGAGACCCAGCTGACACACAAGTGGAGGCAGAATTTAAGCCTTGTCTAGTGGGCTCCAAAGTCGATGGTTCTACTGCAGCATGTTACCACCTACATGTCTATTTCTCAAAACAGCAACAAACAGAAAAACCCTAAGATAACACATCAAACATCCTAGTCATGGTTTTACAGAGTCTGGGTCCATATGCAGTATTTGAACAGATAAACTGGTTTCTAGTATGTTGGCAAGGAAGGGGCAATCTTGCAAGGTGGATAGATCTAATCTGATTGTAAGGTGACTGAAATAACCAGACACCAGCCTCAGGGAGCCTCATTGCCAGTCCAGTTGTTTGCCTAATTTTAACCAGTGAATGAAGTAGATCCAATCCATTGGTTGACACTTAACTGCTGTTGATGGGGCTGAGAGGAAGAAAAACAAGTCCGTCCCCTCTCTTATATACCATCCTGTCCCCCAGTGCAATCTGAGTGCCGTGTAAATTTGGCAAAGGGATGTTTAGACAGCAAAGGTTATCAACAAAATGGTTATGGGCCAAGGGAATTTCACTGAATAACCCTGTGGCTGGGAGTGACACTGGAATTAATTGTCTCCTAGTGTCCTGAAGAGTAGGCTTCCTAGGATGGTCTCCTTTTTTATGGTGGTGGTAATCTTTTTATTATTTTTCACGGTGGGTGATTCATTAAAAGAACAACTAAATGCAATTCAATTTCTAGGCCTTTGTAAGGTTTTTGGGTTTGGTTTTTGTTTTTTAACATGAACCAGAGTTCTTTTTTCCATCTCAGCTCTGTGAAAATGCCAACTGTGTGATTCTGAGCAAGTCGCCTAATCTCACTAGGGCTCAGTTTCTTCTCTGTAAGAGAGGGATCCACTATGTGACCCCTAAGGTCCTTTCTTGCTTTTAAGTCAAACTGATTCAGATGTTATTAACTGACTAGTGCCCTCTACAGGCAACTTCCTCCACCGTGTAAGAATCCAGGAAGAGGATATTTGCAAAATTCTCTTATTATATTTAATGTTGTGACTTAGTGTGCAACATAATATTTTGTTATGTAATGAACCATGCTGTGAAGCAAATAAAAATGTTAGACTTCATCTAGACCTAATTTTACAGATAAAGAATATAAGGACCACCATGGCTGGGAACTTTTCCAGTTCCTTTGGGATAAGGCTGGGGCTTGGTTACAAATCCCTGATATTCAGCTTAATAGTGTCCAGTGGTGACCTTTCTAGTCTTTTATGGTTTTCTTCAAAACTCTCTTTCCTTCACTTCTCAGATAACATTGGAACTCCGCATTTTCTAAATTTTCTATGTACTTACTATCCTTAACAGTTGATGAACTGTGGATTTTTCCACTAGAGTGGGAAATGGCTGTGTAGAAGTTGCCTGGTAATGATGTGAGCACCTCCTGTGAGGGTTACTTTCTTGCAACCTTTCCTGCTACTGATGTGAAGGTCCTTTACTGACATTGCTAGTGGAAAATGTATGCATGCTCAATATCTGATTGATTCACTTTTAGTTCAAGGACTGCAAAAATTTTTAATCCTTCATGCGGAGACCTACTCAGAAGTTGGGACACATTATTCATTTCTAAGGTGGAGGACGTAGAAAAAATGTCCTGGACAGCTTTCAGTGAAAATCTGGGTCTGCTTAAGCCTGCTTTAAAATTTTCTAAAATGAATTCATGTTTTAATTTTTATTATTACAAAAGCAGCATTTGTGCCTTGTCGAAAGTTATAAATTCAGATAAAGAAAAATAAGAAAACGATAGCACCATATTCCTACCACCCATAGATTACCACTGTTAACACCTGTGTGTATATCCTTAAAGCTTTTTCTATGCGTGTATAAATATACATATACATATTTTTACCAAAATGAGATCATGTTGTACATGCTGTTTGTAACCTGCTTTTTTTAGTTAATGATCTCCATCTTTCCTTGCCAATAAATTTTCATCTTATCTAAAACCCAGTCTGTATTCAAATTCCTCCTGCTCGTCCCCAAAAATGTCCTTTCCAGTTGGTTTGTCCAAACCGAACTCAAACCTAGGGCCCTGCATTGCATCTAGTATTATGTCCCTTAAAGCTCTTTAATCTAGCATGGTTTCTTCCCTCCTTTTATTATTTTTTTCATGAAACTCCTTGTTGAAAAAAACAGGGAAGCTTTCTTTTGTTTTTTTCTCTTTCAGATTTTGTTCTTTACATAAACCAGATTTTTTTTTTAAAATTGCCCAACTTTTTGCTGTATCTTCACCTGCAAGAGATACTGCCTTAATGGTATGACAGATGGTCAACTGCTGAAATGTAAAGATTTTCGTCTAAAATGAAATCTGTAAACCTGCTCAAAAGCCTGGAAAACATCTCTATTTTTCTTTAAGTTTCCCCTCTGCCTGTCCCTCCAGCCCAGAACAAAGGATAATCAGTCAAAACTTGTGTCAGGCCCTATGATAAGCTATAGTGGTGAACCAAACAGCCATGGTCCCTGTCCTCATGGAGCTTATAGTCTAGGGAGGGAATCTGACCTTCAGTTAATCATTAACATTAAATGCTTAATTAGGTGATGACAAAGACAAATGCTGAAAAGGCAAAGGATAGAGTATAAGGTGTCCAGGTGTGAGAGGTGGCTCAGGAAATAAAGGGGCCTTGTCTGGTATATTACAGCAGCCTTTTCCAGAGAAATGGCATTGAGATTAGAACTGGTTAAGAAGAGAGGAAGGAGAAGACTGTTTCAGGCAGTGAAACCAGCATTTGCCAAGGTGCTGAGGTTTAGGAGTAGTTTCTAGCATGGCTGGGATAAAGGGGATTAGGGGAAAAATGGAATGAGATAAAGCTGGAAAGGAAGGCATGCAGCAGCTCATTCAGAGCTTATAGGCCATGTGAACAACTTTGGGCTTAATTATGTGGGCAAGGGGGAGCAATGAAGAGCTCTGAGATTTATATTTTACTAAGATCAGGCTGACTATTGTGTAAAGAGTATGTATTAGTTCGTTTTCACACTGCTGATAAAGACATAACAGAGACTGGGTAATTTCCAAAAGAAAGAGGTTTAATTCAACTCACAGTTCCATGTGGGTGGAGAAGCCTCACAATCATGGTGGAAGGCAAGGAGGAGCAAGTCATGGCTTACATGGATGGAGCAGGCAAAGAGAGAGAGCTTGTTCAGTGGAACCCCTCTTTTTAAAACCATCAGATCTCATAAGACTTATTCACTATCACGAGAACAGCACGAGAAAGACCTGCCCTCATGATTCGGTTACCTCCCACCAGGTCCCTCCCACAACACATGGGAATTCAAGATGAGATTTGGACAGGGACACAGCCAAACCATATCAGAGTACATGAAAGAGATAGGACTGGGCACGAATTACCAGTTAGAAGGCCACTGTGGTTGCGCCACTGAGAGATGATAGCTTGGCCTAAAGTAATGGCTGGAATGGATTGAAGAGGAGTGATTTCAGAGATATTTAGTGAATCAGCAAGTGGAACCAAAAAGACTTGAGGACTGATTGGATGAGGAGAGGTTAGGGAGAGGTAAAGGAAGGAGAGGAGCTAAGGATGATATATCTGTCAGCATTGTTTCTGTAGGGGTGATTGCAATCCCATTCAAACTGGCTTAAGCCTAAATGAAAATTTATTGATTCAAGTGAAGGAGAAGTCCTTGGGGTAGATCAGATACTTCATATATGGCTGGATCCAGGAGTTCAGATGATGTCTTCTAGAGTAGCTCTCTTTTGAATTCTTTATCTGGTGTAATGGCTTCACTCTCTGGAAAGCTCTCCTTGTGGTGGCAAAATAGCTGCTGGCAGCTCTAGGTTCACATCCTCAGAGGTTAGCAACTCCAGAAGAAGGCAACTTCTCAATAGTTTCAGGAAACTTCCTAGAATTGAGCCTTATTGGCTAGTCCTGGGTAACATGTTTACCCATGGAGCTAACAGGTAGGATTAATCTCACCTGGAGTAAAGACATTGTGAGCAGGAAAGGAAATTTGAAGAGCTATTCCCAGTACAAAGGTGAATGAGTGCTAAGTAGGCAAGAATGACAGTACTAATAAGGAGTCCAGGTAACTCTGAGGATTTTTACAGGCAAAACTGAGTGGATGGCGGAGGGATGGGGGTAGGGTTTATTCATTGAAGGAAGGGTAGAGTGTTGAGGGGAAAGATCACAAGTTCAGGTTTGCACATGTTCTTTTTGAGGCCTATTATCACATGGGGATATCAAGTGGGCAGATGGATCCATGAGTCTGATCCATGAGTATCAGTAGAAAATTCTTGGCAGTAGTTCAAGTTCCTGGAGTTATCACTGCACAGGATATGGACAGGATCATCTGAGGAGCGAGTCAGATGAGAAAAGGAAATTTAATGTCTGGGTAGAGGAAGAGGCTGCGGAGCCCAGAATAAAAGAAGGTCCTATCAGCTAGTTAGAAAGAAACCTAGCGGGAATGGTGCCATCAAAGTCAAGCCTCTGTCATGACAGTGAGTATGGAATGATTAACTATATGCCATGCCTCTGAGAGAGAAAATCAGATGCAGAAGTGTTCCTCAAATGTAGCAGCACTGAGATTGTTGGTGACCTTAGTCAGTGGAACAGGTGTCCTTAGAGCATTGGGGAAGGAAGCCAGGTTTGGTAGGTGGTGGAAGGGTGAATCAGAGTTGAAAATATGGTAAAGATTAGAAATTTACTATGAAGAAATGGAGATTGACAAAAGAATGGCAAGAGTAGGCAAAGGGGGTCTAGGAGGGGTTTTTGTTTTATGTTTTAAAAGAGACACTTGAACTTATTGAGAGGAAAGTTGGAAACACAAGCTAAAAGACAGAAGATGGGATCCACGGCATGGGTGGATGGAGAGATGTTGGAATTGAGAGGGACCATGTCCTCCACTGTACCTGGAAGCAAAAGGATGAACACAAAAGCAGGAAAGTTTGTATAGATCTCATGGCCAGAAATTGAAGTTGTTTCCATGTAATGGTTTCTATTATTTCTGTGAAGTAGGAAGTTACATTGTCTCCTTAAAGCGAGCAAGAAATCCAAGGTTTGAAGAGAACAGAGAGATTTGAAACAGAGTGTAGAAAAACAAACCAGAGGTAGAGTAGGATTTCAGAGCAGTGCCTGTGGCCCAGCAGGGGAGGAATTGGCCTCATCAGATCGGTTGGTGATTTCCCGCAGCAGTGCCCAGCAGCCTGAGCGCTCAACCTGAGAAGATGAACAGTGAGTCATTCAGATATGATGAAAGAGCACAGGAAAAAGGAGCTGATGGTAGAGTCAAACCCCACCACAACATTATATGTGAGATCCAAAAACTGAATTGCATAAAATGGAGAGCCTTGTTATAACTAGGTTAGTGAAATGAGGATAGGGACTGGGTGGAAGGTGGGAGCCAAACACCAATTACAGGCTGCTAACTTCGCACTGCAACAGGAGGTACCATCATGGGGGTTTTACTACATTTGCAAGGGAAAGATTGAAAGGATGAACCATAGAGTTCATGTTAGGAAGGAAGGGAGTGAGGAAAGGTGGGTGCTAAGGACAGGAAGAAGGAGGAGTTGACAAGAGAAGGTTCCAAAGAGGTGGGGGAACAGGCATGGAAAACATAGAGGGCTGGCCAACAGTGACACAGAATCAGGCTTGGGAAAGAAGGGCAGCCCTGGGCCATGGAAGCACACTGACCTAGGTGTTCAAAGACCTAGGTTCTAGTCCCAGCTCCACCACTTATTACCCATGTGGCCCTGACTCCAGATTCCTCATTTAAAAACTGGGAATAATGGCATCTTTCCTGTTCACCTCACTGAGCTGTCGTCACCAATTATCTGAAGTGCTTTAAAAGTGTGAGCTCTATTAGAAAACAGACCCAACAGTCTCTGGTTTCCTTTGTGGCAGAGAGGGGGTGTATGGAAAGGGAGGTGGTTACCCACAGACCCACCACCAAAAAGTGCTGGCCTCGCATGCGTGCAGTGCTTAGGTTAGGGAAGGAAAAACAGACACTGCATCTTCTGCCTTTAGCTGCTGCTGTTTACCAACAGGCTGTTCCTCAGCAGTGCTGTGGTTCTATTTTAATTTTTAATTGTTTGTTTTTATTCCATAACAATCAGACCTTCCTGGATCATTCATACACATCAAAACATCAGATGAGAGACACACAGCCCAAAGCCCTGATGCTTGCAGTGATACTCTGCAGGAGGCTACCCTATGTCTCCCCAACATTGGCCCTGTGTTTTTAACCCTTTATTCCTTTCCTTTTCTCCTTATTCTCCTTTTCCTATTAATCCCCCACTCTGGAAAAAAAAACATCCTTTTCTTTCTGTGGCCATCCATGTTTCAGTAAATGGCACTACTATCTGCCAAGTTGTTCAAGTCAAAACGTGAGAGTCTTTCATAATTCCAATCTTTCCCTCATATCCAATTCATTGTTACATCTGGTTGACAACTTCCAAGAGAAAGTCACTTTTTACCACCTTTATGGCCATCACCACAGTCCAGCAACCAGCATCTCTCTGTTTTTGTTTGCTTGTTTGTTTTTCAGGGACAGGGTCTCTTGCCCAGGCTGGAACACAGTGGAATGATCACAGCTCACTGGATTCTTGAACTCCTGAGCTCAAACAGTCCTCCCACCTCAGTCTCCCAAGTAGCTGGGACTACAAGCACACACCACCACATTTGGTTAATTAAAAAAAATTTTTTTTTTGTAGAGACTGGGTTTTGCTATATTGTTCAGGCTGGTCTCGAACTCCTGGCCTCAAGCAATTGTCCCACCTTGTCCTCTCGAACTGTTGGGATTCCAGGCGTGAGCCACCGCACCCAGCCAGCACCCATTGCATGGACAACTGTGATAACCTCTTATCTGGTCTTCCTATTTTTGTGTTTACCTGCCTACAATCCATTCTCCCCACAATCCGTTCTCTAAAGTCATCTTTTAAAAACACATGTCAGATGCCACTGAAAATGAAATCTGTCCCTCCCCCCGCCAACTACTTCAGTCAAGCCACCTGGGTCCTTTTTTGGGTCCTTGCTCTTGCCAAGCTTGTTTTAGCCTTGGGCCCTTTGCCACAGCTGTCCTCTTGCTTTGGAATGTTGTTCTCCCTGATCCCAGTTCTTTCTTGTTATTCAAATCTTAGATTTAATGCTACCTCCCCAGAGAGAGTCTTTCCCTGGCCACTCAGCCAAAAGTAGGTTGGATTATTTCATCTGTCTCACAGAAACATACACATCTTTTATCCTGTCCTGTCTCGTCTACCTCTTTCCCTGTTTCATTCTTTAAAAGGTTCTCTTTAACCCATTTCTTAAGTTAGCCTGTGATGTATATTAGACATCACTTAGAATCCTCTAAGCACCACCCATGGGGCTAAATTCATGGAGCAACCATATTGGCTTGGGGGTCACACATACTCCTCCCTTCCTACCTCTGTCCCTCTCTTCCTTCCTCTTGCCCTCCTTCTCTCCCCTTTTCCTTCATTCCTTCCCTCCTTTCCTCCCTCTTGTTGACATAATTAATTTGTAGGCTCTAATGAGCTGTTAGACTCGTGTTTTTAAACATCAAGGCAGTTATGGCCTAAGGACGGGAGGACCAAATTTGAAGTCCAAAGACTCAGGAGACTCAAGGGAAATTCTGTTTCCCTCCTATTTGTTTCTGAGCCCCAGTTTTCGTATATTTGAAGTGGTAGTAAAAACTACTATTTTACAGGTTTTTGCTGAGTGAGACAGTAGGTGTATCAGTTATTTACTGCCACAATATGTAATAACCACCCCAAAGCTTAGTGGCTTAAGCCAGCCATTTGGTGTTTCTCACACCTCTGTGGGTCAGCTGGGAAGTTTTGCTGATCTGGACTAGGCTCAGTCATGTATCTGCAATCAGCTGCCCACTCACCTGGGGTCTAGCTGGCTTAAGATGGCCTTCAGCTGACGCCACTCATCTCTGTTCCATATAGTTTCATCTCTCCCAGCAGGCTAGTCTGGGTTTGTGTTTCTGGTGGTGGCAAGGTTCCGAGAGAGCAATCAGACACCTTTAAGCACATTTCAAGTTTCTGCTTGCATCAAGTTTGCTACTATCCCATTGTCTAAACAAGTCTAATGGCTAAGCCCACTGCCAAAGGGCATGAATACAGGGATATGTGCAAAATCCTTGTCCAATAACACAACCCACCAAAATTGAATTGAATAATAGTGATGTGGTGCTTCCTCTCTTCCTTAATCTTCCTCAGCAGCCTTGAGCACTCTTTCTGATACGCTTTCATGATAGAAGTTATTGATAATTCCTAACATTTCCTAGACTCTATGTGCTGGGGCGCTCCAGATACAGCAGTGAATGTACAAAGTCTATTACATTTTAATGGTGGGGAACAGAGAGTGAATAAGTAAAGATTAAAATATACCCAATTCCACATACTGATGTGTGCTCTAAAAATACTCCTTTATATTTCTTTATGAGTGTGTTTTCCACACTATACCAGCATCGATCTCCTTTAGGACAGAGACTAAGTTTTCATCTTTGCACCTCAAGTCTCTAGTATGGTGCCTGGCTCCATAAGTGTTCAGTAAATAATAAACCTGCCAGTGGGCAGGAGAGCTCTGCAGAAGGCTTGGCAGTGAGGGGTGTGGAGCCATGGACTCTGCCCTGGCAGTAGCTATTTGTTTTCAAGAGCTCATTCCTGTCAAGTCTTATGTTTTCCTATGGGAAGGACTTCCCTTTCTCCCTGACGTGCCCTTCTCTCAGTAAGTCTCTATAGGGATGCCCCCTGGCTCCAATGTCTATCACAATGGTGATTCTGACCAATGGCTTGGTCAGCATTTACCCAGAACTGCTTCTCTCCTATAACCCGGGTGCAGTGGCTCACATCTGTAATCCCAGCACTTTGGGAGGCCAAGGCGGGCAGGTCAAGAGGTCAGGAGATCAAGACCATCCAGACCAACATGGTGAAACCCTGTCTCTACAAAAATACAAAAAATTAGCCAGACATGGTGGTGTGCACCTGTAGTCCCAGCTACTCGGGAAGCTGAGGCAGGGGAGTCACTTGAACCTGGGAGGTGGAAATTGCAGTGAGCCAAGATGGCGCCACCAGACTCCAGCCTGGTGACAGAGCTAGACTCTGTCTCAAAAATATAAATAAATAAATAAATAAATAAATAAATAAATAAATAAATAAATAAAAGAAGCTCTTGCGCTCCTCTTCTCGGGCACTTGTATGTCTCATCATAGGTCATTGTAGGAAAGTCAGAGAGGACAAGGGATAGGTAGGCCTAGGTGTTTTCCTCACTTCCATTTGGGATTGTGATGGTGGAAATTAATCATCTTAAGTAGAAAGGCTCCATGGTATCCCACCTCTCTCAATGTGAATGAGAGATAGACTAAAATTTATGAGTTTTGCCATTAAGCATTAGCGTTCCTTCATCACCTGGCTTGATTCTAGACCCTCTATTTACATGTTATTCAAGGCCAGGCATGGTGGCTCATGCCTGTAATCCCAGCATTTTGGGAGGCCAAGGCAGGAGGACTGCTTGAGCCCAGGAGTTTGAGACCAGCCTGGGCAACATGGTGAAACCGTGTGTCTATAAAAAGTACAAAAATTATCTGGGCATGGTGGTGTGCACCTGTAGTCCCAGCTACTTGGGAGGCTGAGGTGGGCATTGCTTGAGCCTGGGAGGTTGAGGCTGCAGTGAGCCAAAATCACGCCACTGTACTCCAGCCTGGGCAATGGGAGTGAGACCATGTCTTAATAATAAATAAATAAATATATTTAAAAATTGTTATTCAAGGCCTCTTTCCATAGACTAGTATGCCCACTTGAAGACATTGACTAGTTTAAAAAGTACAAATGTGGCTACTTGGCGGGTTTCTGACTGTTTAGCTGCTGAGCCTCCTCCTCCACTGAGGGCAATCCCACAGCATGAGTCTTGGTAGAAGACAGAACCTGCCTCCTGCCCTAGAAACTGAGAAAGCCAGAGTCTAACTTTCCTTCTCCTCACTGGCAGAGTGTGTGTGAGCAGCCTAGCCAATCAGATGCTCCAACCTGGGGCAGTGGAGCATTCTTCTCCCAGTGACCAAGGGAGCAGGGGTCACAGCACCAGCAGGAAGCAATATCTAACAACCAGCACCCAGAGGGACTATCTGTTATGGGTTGAATTTTGTCCCCTACCCCCTAAACTCATATGCTGAATATCTAACCCCAAGTATCTAAGAATGTGAGCAGATTTGGAGATGGGGTCTTTGCAGAGGTAATCAGGTTACAGTGAGGTTATTGGGGTGAGCCCTAATCCTACAGGACTGATTATAAAAAAGGGAAACTTAGACACAGAGACATACACAGAGGGAAGACACTGTGAAGAGACGTACAGGGAGGATGCCAAGTGAACATGAAGACACCATCTCCAAGCCAAGGAGAGCAGCCTGGATCAGATCCCTCACAGCCCTCAGAAGGAACCAACCCTGTGGACACGTTGATCATGGACTTCCAGCCTCCAGAGCTGTGAGAATGTGCCTCTTACCTAAGCCACACAGTCTGTGGCACTTTGTTACAGCAGTTCAGGCAACCTAAGACACCATCCTTACCAAAAAATTCTTGTGGTATGATTTTAGCTCTGATCCTTCATGATTCTCCATTTTCAGGCATTTGTGAAGCTATTAAATATCTTTTCAAGAAATTATGTTTTAGTAAAATCTGACCAAAGTTTGTTTTGTTTCTAATTAAGAAAACCAACAAGTACAAATACCATGTTCTGAAGCATTCTTCCTCTATAGGGACCTCTGGGTTCTTTTTTCTTCCTCTTTCATTGAAACAGCCCATGCTTCTGAGCTCCCTGGTCCAGCCAAGGTTTTGTAGGATTGGGATATCTGCACTTCTTCTGTGCTTAGTGGGCTTTTAACTAATCTAGTCCTGCTTCTCCCTTCAAACTTGATAATAAAAATGCAGTTTTCTTATACGACTCACCTCAGGGTTGACTGATTGTTGACCGTCTTCATTTAAATCATCCAGGATCAGTTATCATTCAAGTTGTACCACAGAGGGCTAATGTGCCTCCTGCAACATGGTACACTCTGCAAATATCAACAGGTTATCCCTGGCCCCAGTCCCTCAGGTTTTCCAACATTAAATGGAACACCAATTTTATTCCTGTGCCAGGATGTGTTTTCTGAGTAATTTACTCTGCTATCTTTACTTTGGGTTTGTTCACATTAACACCCTAACTTGAACTCCCCATTGCTGATACATTTTGATACAATGTCCAGATTAATAGTGTTCAATTTCTTGTAAATATTTGACACTGAGGATGTGAAACCACGGGGTAGCTGGGGATGTCTTGTGTCATCATTGGGTTGCACAGGCTCAAAACGCTGGTGAATTGAAGTTTTATTTTGTTGGCTGCTGGGATATCTCACAATTCAAGATATTTTTTAAAGAGAAAAATAACTACAATAGGAGTGGAAATTATTAAGCTCAGGTTCTCTATTTCAAGTTCAAAGGAAAGAAGGAGGAAAGAGGAAAAGACGGAGTGTGGTGTCAGTTTTTTCCCCCACTTTTATTTTCCAAAAAAAAAAAAAATGTAGAGAATTAACCTCTTTCCTAACAAAGAAAGAACCACGTGCTAGGCATGATGTTGACTGCTTCACAAATACTGTCCCATGTAATTCTTGCAACTGTCCTCCAACATAGTTACTAGCATTATCATTCCCATT
Source organism: Homo sapiens (assembly GCF_000001405.40). NCBI lineage: Eukaryota > Metazoa > Chordata > Mammalia > Primates > Hominidae > Homo > Homo sapiens. The sequence goes on from NC_000005.10 coordinate 68,471,070, forward strand.
TTCCAGATGAGCAAACATGTTCTCACACTGTTAGTTAGCCAAGTCAGCATCCTATATTATTCCAAAGCTTTCTCTTTCTACTGCACAGGTTAAAGGGGGACATGTTTTCAGCATCACCCAAGAAACCCTAGAAGTAACAGTAATAGTATTCCTTTTGTTCAGAGTAGCTGGAGATTCAACAGGACAGGAAAATTGAGTGGCTTCTGAAAGAAGCCAACAATGCTGGATCGCGTTATCACTCTTGAGACCCTCCCTCTTCTTTCAACTCATCCCTGACAACACAGGTAGAGAAACGTGTTCTGGTGTCCTCTCCTGCCTGTTCAAGCTCCAGGCTTTGATTTGTTTTGTCTATTTTGAGTGTCCAAGCATTTTGCTTCTTTTCCACTCTTCTTTTTTTTCTAGCTGCCTATTTTAGAGTTTATAGTTTAAGAATATTTGGTATATATTCTATAGCCATTGGTGGCTGTGACCTCTTGTTTTTTTCTGGGGGAAAAGACTGCATGGATGAGTGATCTTGAGCAAGTCACTTAACCCCTTGAAACTCTGGTGATTTTATCTGTAGAGATGAAGGTCCCGGACGTGGCTGACAGCAGGGGCCACCTAGACCCCCTGTTCCACACCAATGGAGATATGTCACATATCTTGCTTGTGACATGAATAGTGATCCACTATTACAAATATATGCCTTCAAGAGAGCCATCTTATAGTGGGAATTCTGAATGGCATTTGTGGTTGGTAAACAGCACCAATTTTGGGAGGTGAGGGAGATCAGACATCACGGCAGGCCCACTATGTACTTGCCACTGGCCACATTCACTCAAATACTATATTTAAAAATTAGTCTCTTGAATCTTATTACATAGGAAGAAAGTTTTGCTGTAGCACCTTTAACACCAGGACATGAAGTACACTTTGACCTGGAAGTGCAAGGCTAGGTAATTTTATAAGTGGAGTTTGACCTAATCATTCATTTTTAAATCAAATCCTTCCATTTTGGAGGTTTCAAAGGCATCGTGGGATATTCTCTAGGAAATATTCTTGAAATATTTGAACTTACTGTTGAATAAATGAAGCAAGAAGCTATATTAGGCCTCTCTCATACTACTGTCCAGAACACAGGAATAGCCTTCCCTTTGGGGCACTTATTTGAATTGTAGATTTGAGCCTATGAACTTGAGAGAGGTCTCTGTTAGGGGTGAGAGGGAGCTGCATCTTTAAGGATGCTGTAAGTTACTACCATGGTGTGAACTGAAGACTTTTATTCCCCTTCTTTCCATGGGAAAGAAAAGATGGAGCCAACTGATGGATAAATATTTCTCTAGGTAGCAAGGGGAAAAACCTACTCTTATGGTTGAAACTTCCTTTTATTACCTCCTAACCAGAATTTTTAGCTTCCAACAATACTAGGTTTCCTAGTGAGAAAATGTTATTGTCTCTTTAAGAAAGATTGTGGTCACGGTAGTAGTAGTGCTAATAATGACCATAGCAACAATAATAACATGTAACATTAACTAGGTATTTACATGTTCCAGACATCTTTAAGTGCTTTACATATATTAACTTACATAATTCTCACAATAATCATTATCTAGATGTTACTATTATTTTATTAGCAAATGAGAAAACTGAGACACAGAGAAATAAAGTGTCTTCCCCAAGGTCACACAATTGGTGGAGTTGGGATTTGAACCCAGGAAGTACAGTTATATAGCTCTTTGTGTAATATTACTTACTACACAAAAAGCCAGTGGTACCCATTTCCTCTGGAGTCTTCCCAGCTCCACCTCTGATCTGTGACTGAGAGTGATTCCTGCTAGGCTCACTGAAGTCACTCCTAGTGGATCCTCTCCTTGGACATAGCTCTATTCCAGGAACCACTCTCAGCTGCTGCTTCATTGAGGTAGTTTCTGCCATTAGAAGTGGCTTCCATCATCACCTCTTGGCTGTTGCCAGTGAATGGTGGCTCTGGTCATCCACTCCTGCCAACATCAGTTTTAGTGCCCTCTTAGTTTCTGCTGCTCCTATAACAATATCCATGTATCTCAGTCCTCAGTGCCATCTCTGGAGAGTAGCTTAACAAAGCTACAATGTTTTAGTGCAGGATCTTAAAGATAGCATCAAGGAAACAACTCTACCCATTCCCTTACATCCCCTTTGTTCTTTGAGAACAAAGGGCTATAGGACCCAATAATTATATATACCTGTGTGTATATTACTTTTGAATTTACAAAGTTCATTTAAAATGTATTAGCCCGTCTAATTCTCAGACTAACCCTGCAAGTGATACTATTATAATCCCCAGTTTACAGATGAGAAAATCGAGGCTCAAAAAGCTTAAGCGGCTTTCCTAAGATTTTATACTAAAGTAAGAATGAGGAATAAAGCTAATCTTAGAGTGTTCATTTCACCGCATAATTACCAAGGCTATTATCAGTCTTTTAACTGACTCTATAGGCAAAACAGTATTTCCTTGTTTTAGTTTACGCTGCTTTGAGTATCTATGAGGCTCTTTTCCAGTTCTTTCTTACCTGTTGCCTATACCTATTTCTCTATTTCTTTTTTTTTTTTTTTTTTTTTTTTTTTGGTGGGAAGAATGGTTATCTTTTCTGAGTTGACTAATAAGAACTCTTGCCATAATAGTGATATTATCTTATTTTACAAATATATTTTCCACTTAGTCCTGTGGTTTTTTTCTGTTTGTTTTGTTTTTGTTTTTGTTTTTGTTTTTGAGACAGAGTCTGGCACTGTTTCCCGGGCTGGAGTGCAGTGGTACAATCTTGGCTCACTGCAACCTCTGTTCTCCTGCCTCAGCCTCCTGAGTAGCTGGGATTACAGGTGCCCTCCACCACACCCAGCTAATTTTTTGTATTTTTTAGTAGAGACAGGGTTTCACCACATTGGCCAGGCTGGTATCGAATTCCTGACCTCATGATTCACCCACCTTGGCCTCCCAAAGTGCTGGGATTACAGGCGTGAGCCACCGTGCCTGGCTGTCTTTAATTTTTTATTGTTTTAGGATGTACAGAAAAGTAAAATTTTTATGTTGTCAAATCTACCAATCTATTTCTTCACGGTTTCTGCCTTAGAAAAGCCTTTTCAAACTAAAATTACATACATTTTTAAACCTAGTTTACAGTTCTATATTTCTTTAGTCTACCTAGAGTGTATTGAAGTGTATAATGCGAGCTAAGTTTCAATATGCAGTTTTTCCAATGTGTAAGCTGTTATCCCAACACTATTACTAAATAACGCATTTCTCCCTACCAATTTGTTCTTCATTACGTTTTAAGTAGTATAGATATTTGGTTTTGACTCCAGGCTTTCTATTCACTTCCTTTGATATGTTAATACTGATTCTAGTTATGGTTTCTCCCTTCTCTACCCCATGACCACCCCAGGTGCTAAAGGTAGAATCCACATCTATCTCAGCATCACTCTGCTGTGGGCACCCAGGGTCTTGGCAACAGCATCTAATGCCTTGTCACTTGTGCCCTCTAGGCAGAAGAAGAGACATGGATTCTGGGTCCCAAATCAGGATGAATGAGCTGAAAAAAAAAATACTTCCTTCAGTTATGAATGTGTGTGTGTGTATGCATGTGTGTGTCTCAGGGCTATGTATCCCATGGCCCATGGCTCTCCAAACCAGAAAGCCATTTTCTACCTGTAACTTGTATTACCAAATAGAACGTCTAGAATCTGGGGCTGACTTTGTGACTATTTCCATTCAGAAAACTCTTTCTTATTCAAGAAAAGTTTTGCTCCACTTAACGTGGGATTTTTTGCAGAAAATTTTGCAACCTTCATTTTCTTTTAAGGTGTGTAGGTCATAAGGAAATGTGGAAACACATGAACATTTAAGACCTAAGCAACTGGATGTGTAGAAGTTAAACACTGGTCTGGGAAGTCAAAGAACAAATTTCCTGTTCTTTTCAATCTCTGTGACATACCCATCTCTGTGCTTCTGACAAACCCATTTATGGTTTGTTCAGGCCACTTAAAATGATAAAATTTTACAACCGAAATGGACCCTAGAGATCTTCTAGTCCTACCTCGTTATTTTTACAGATGTAGAAACTAAGCCCAGAAAGCTTACATGGCCTGCTCTACAGGTCAGAGCCAAGGTTAAGAGAGGGTGTCTCAATGCACTACCCTCTGCTCCACCTCCTCAATTAATAGGAAAAAGTTAATTAAATCAAGCAATTCAACCTGTAGTGATTGTATTAAAATCCAAAACTCAAATCAGGACATATGCTGAAAGTAGAACAGTCTTTCAAATGAATTGATTTAAATACATCTTAGATTGAAAAAAAAAACTATACTGTAAATAGTTATAAGCAAACAGTCTCCTCACTCTTTCTTTTTCTGTCTTTGTTACACCTTTCTCCACTCTCTCCCACTCCTTTCTTCCCCTACCTCTGGAGCCTCTCCTGCCAGAAATAAAACTTGTGGCACAGGCTTCTCATTGGAGCCCCCACAGTCCATTTGGTTGTAATGAATGTGCCTCTCTTGTGTAGGTTGCAATCGTTTTGCAGCCTCTGCTACCAAGCTGTGGTTCTGAGTTCCAGAATTCAGGCAGGAATAGGCAAAGTGGGTTAAAGCAAAGTAGGCCGTGGACAGGACGTGCTCATGGACACAGTGAGTCTAAGTCTGCAACCCAGCTAACCAGGACTTCAAACAAACTGGATTTAAAGTCTTCCTCTCCAACCCCCACTGCCCTCCCACACATTCTAGTCACCCTTGAAAGGAAAGACGATGATGACTGCAGTTACGCAGGCAGAAAAGGGGACCGATGCAGCTTCTGGCACAGAAAATGAGAGGAATTAAAATCTTGGGTTCACACACTCTCTCATATTGGTCTTTGCATGGTCTCCTTTTATTCTGCTAGTCAGTTCGTTAATCAATTATTAGTAACAAGGTAATAAGAACCCAGAATTGGCCATTCAAAACAAAATCTCAGAACTTGATGCTAATCTACATGTAGCCCACCCCACACCTGTGGTCACCATCATCCTTTTAAAAAGCTTTTTATGGGCTGGGCGCGGTGGTTCACGCCTGTAATCCCGCACTTTGGGAGGCTGAGGCGGGCAGATCACAAGGTCAAGAGATCGAGACCACCCTGGCCAACATGGTGAAACCCCGTCTCTACTAAAAATACAAAAATTAGCCGGGTGTGTTGGCGGGCGCCTGTAGTCCCAGTTACTTGAGAGGCTGAGGCAGGAGAATTGCTGGGACCCGGGAGGTGGAGGTTGCAGGGAGCCAAGATCGTGCCACTGCACTCCAACCTGGCAATAGAGCAAGACTCTATCTCAAAAAATAAAATAAGATAAAATAAAAAGCTTTTTATATGTTTTAATGGCATCTATGTATTCATGAAAGTATTTCTTAATTTTTAACTGTTTTCAATATTATACAAATGTTATTCCACTATGTCTGAGATTTTCTTCAAAATAATAAGGGAGGAGAAAAGCGGGTAAGAGGTATATATGGATGAAACAAGATAGGCCAAGATGGAAGCTGGATGCAGGATGCCTGAGGGAGGTGACAGTATTCTCTTTTGTATGTGTTTTAAATTGTCCATATAAAATTTTTAAAGGGTATCATGCTGTATGTAATACTTTAGGAGGTTTTTTAACTGAATATTATATTGCTAAGATTCCTGCCTATTGTGTGTTTTGATCTCGTATAATACAGTCCCTATTGCAAATAGATCACTGTTTATTTTTTACTATTAAGGATTGAAGCAAAGGAGATTTTTGGTTAACCCAAAAATCCAATGTAGCAATATTTTCCCTTTTCCCACTGACTGCAGTTTCCTCGATTTTTTTCATGCTCCTCTCCAATTCTGTCCTGCTCCTGAATATATCCATCCCCTCCACCACCCCACCCCAGAATTCCATGAGGCAGCTGTAACTCCAGTTGAACTTTGGCCAGAGAACTTTGGTGTTTCAACTTTTTCCCATTGGATTTGGCTGTCAGTCACCACTTAGACCTTGGCTTCCCTGAGGTGTAGCCCTACCACTAGGAGGCCTTTCTCCCTCTCCTCCCTATGTGGCCTCTGGCCTGGCCATGGAGGGCCCAGCAGAGCTCTAAGGGAGGGCTGCGAGGGGTGCCTCCTTTGCGTTTTTGAGTCTCTGAAGTTGCACTCTATTTCTTTGGCCCTTCTGCAGCAGGACAGACTCACTCTTCCAGGGACCATCTCTGAGGGCTTTCTTCCAAGTGGATGGGCCTTAGCTGGAGCTAAACTTGCAGTCTTTCATGCAAAGTCTGCTTTAGAGTCAAAGCCAGAGACAACAGAGTGTGTCTCTATTTTGCCTTGCTTAATGATGTTTTCATCATTTTGATTTTTCATCCATGTGACATAGAATGCCACTTTCAAAGTACTTCTAAGCTGCACAGAGGTTGACTTGCTTGGAGCCTTAGCAAAAGCCCTCTTTCCAGGGCTTGTTCCATGTGACTTAAAATACTAATCATTTCTTTCATTCATCAAATATATAGTTGTTGCCTATGATATGCCAGGTACCATGCTAGGCTCGGTGTGTACAATGGTAAATAGGATGCAATCTTCTGCTTTCAAAGGGCTCCCCATTCAGTTAGGAACACAGGAAAAGACATGAGCAAATACAACAGAGGCACTTGCAGTCTGGGCTACATTATAACTTCCTAATATTTTGCCTTTGTTGACCCCTTCTTCCATAAAAATATTAAAAACTGTATTTCATGTTTATACGAAGTGCCTAAAGACAAATGTATTAATATTATATATTAAAACACTTTCTTCAATCTGAAAATTAACTTTTTCTTCCGGTTTTAAAGGAAATTAAAACATTTTCATGGGCCTCTGAAAGCATTGTGGGCCCTAGATTCTCTGCCTACTTTGCCTAATAGAGAAGTTAGCCCTGCTTGCCATACATATTTTCTTCCCTATTTTAGGATAACTCAGCCCCCCTGTTTTATTTCTTTCATTCATTTCTGAGAATGAGGACTCCTCTGTTATGACAATTCTGTGTTTGGTTTCCATCAACCGAAACTGTGCATATTGACAAAGAGTAACAATGAAATCACATTTAAATGAAAGTATTTTAATTTATCATGACAGCAGCTTCAAATATGTCTGTCAAACAATAAGAATGGCTAAAATGCACCGAGCCCTAACTATGTAAGCAGCACTGTTCCTCAGATATTAACTCATTTAAGACAACAACCCTGTGAGGTGATATTATCACCATTATCTCCATTTTACAGATGAAGAAACTGAAGTATTCAGAGGTTAAATAACTTGTTCAGGGCCACACAACTAGTAAGAGACACAGCCAGCATTTGAACCTAAAATGTTAGTCTCCAGAGCCTTCCTTGCTATGTTAGATGACCTAGGACATAATTATGTGAAACCTTACCCAGGCTGTTTTCTACCCAGCTGTGAATTTCTCGCTCTTTACAGAGCTGCAGCTGCCAGGAGCCCACAGTCCACAGGCTGGGAACATGTACTTAGGGTAAAGGTTCTAACCCTTCTCATAGCATTAAGCTGTCATGGGACTCTGTTAGTACCTGAAATGTTTCTATTTCAGGGAGCCTATTATGGGTGCCCTAGGGCTCCCTCTGGTAGCTGTACATGGGCCAACTGAACAAGAAGCTTGTCTCTTCCACCTCAGTTCTCTCTACCCACAGAATGATCTAGGAGCTCTGGACTGCCCTAGACCCTTGCATTGTCCATAGACTTGAAGACTGGAATTATAGCCACTACCTCCCTGGGTTGCTTCCTCACCAACAATGTAGATTCACAGAAAAGGAATTTAGGTTAAAAAGATGATGTCTTAAATTCTAGGTCCACAACGCCAGAACAGTCCTTGTTTGCCAAGTAGAAATTTATGTAATCACAAGACTAAAGACACTTTTTATTTCCAAAATGTTTTTGCAACCAACATAATAATTCCCCCTAAGTAAGTGCCAAAATACTTTTCCCTGAGTCCTCTTAAGTGCTTTGAGTTGCTAGAAAAATATGCTTCTGAAATTTTACAGTTAACTCTGGAGCTGAAGCTGTGCTATATAAGAAAGAAAGAGATGAAGGGAACATTTAAACTGTGATAGACATCATGGGAGAAGGGGAGACAATGGTCTGACTCGTATATACAGTTTTCTGGTCCACAAATATCATTCGCTCAACAAGACTTTTAGTACAGAATCAAAAGCAATGGTAGAAAACTATGATGGTTTTTCTGTATTGGAGAGACAAAGCTTCAGAGCTTGTCATTTTTTTTTTCATTCATGCAGGTTGGAGCCAACACGCATGCTGTGCCTAAATAATAACATATACAATTAATGGAGGGAAATATATGAGAGCTGGCCCAGAATAGTCCTTTAGACTGTGACATTTGGGCAATGAGCTGACAGATTAAAAAGATCATGTGGCCTTCTAATACAACATTGCCTCCTTTCTTAAAAACAACCAAAAAATGATGTTTTTAAAAATAAGCTTAAATACCATGGGAGTCTATCCCTAAGTCCCTGGACTCTGCATAAAGAAGTGTCTAATCACTGAGCTGGAGTTTCTGGAATGGGATTCCAGGCAGAGGCAAATGCTTCCATCAGGGCTTGTGGACAGGTGACAGATGGTGGATTTTCGCCTTTCAGCACATAACTGTAACCTCATGCACTGTCTGAGTTTATTTTCAACCCCCTACACAAGGGCTTATTGTTTATAATAAGCTGTCCTCTAAACCCATTTCCAGGAAAAGATTCCCCATGTGTGTCAGCCTGCATCACTTCCCGGGCTGCACAGTGACCATGAAGACTCCAGGCCAAATGTCAAGAGCCAACACAGGGGAGGGGGCAATAAATTTTCCAGTCTTTGTTATAATTTATATTAGTGCCCAGTCAGTCTCAGGTGCATCTTAGAACACATTACTTAGAATTTGCAGCCTCACTTCTACTTTCTCACCCAGAATGAAAACCAACACACATTTCACCAAGCCATTTCTACTTGTTATAAAAAGAGGGAAGAAAATAAAATTTTGTCTCACAGGTCAGGTTTCTATCTCAAGGTGGGAAAACTCAGTAATTTATACTCAGAAAGTAAACAAGCTGCACCCACCCCCAGCCTACAAGGTGTATAAACATTAAATGAGCAATTCTAATTTTATTCTCAGAACTGTTTGTGTTCTGAGTCAACTCTTGCCTTCTCTTTATTTTGAAGCTAGAAAATACAGGCCTCTGATTTTATCTAAGACCCTGTAATTCCACTGGGCTTTTCAGAAGGATTGGGGTCAACACAAGGACATGAATCTGAATGAGCACAAACTCTAGCTATACGGCCCCACCTAAAATGTGAGGCAAAGAACAGCTCTGAGATCCATGAACATCAATTTACTTCAGGGAGAAGCTGGATAAAACTTTGAGTTTGGTCTCAAAATAGCCTGAACAATTTTAGTTTTCTGACAGCATTTGGTGGCAAGCCTGTTAGAGAACAGCATCTTGAAATTTCCCATTTGTGTGCTGTAGATAGCATATCATCTGGGCACACCCAGAGCTTCAGAAGCATTAATCACCAAGGTACACCTGCCATGGAACACAGGTCTCAGGAGAGAAAGGGAGAGAGTTTTCTATGGACCCCCATACCTTGTGTTGCGTACATTTTTGCCTACTTGATTGACTAACAACTCACCTAATTGCTAACCCAGGGAGCCACTGGGGTGCAGTGGTTAAGAGCGTGGACACTTGAGTGAGGTCTTGATTCAAATCTCAGCTCTGCCATGTACTGGCTGTATGATCAGAGACAAGTTTCTTCTCTGAGCCTTAGCTGTCTAATGAGACGAAGTCTGATGGGACCTAGCACAGTACCTGCACATTTAGGGACTCAAGTCTCTTTCTCTCCCACACTTTTCTTTCCCTGAGCATTAATAAGAAGGATAAGTATGAAAGTACTCAGCATCTATGTATTCAAACTAGCTCACTAGACATAAATGTGGCAGATATTCTTGTGATGGTACAGGAAGAGGCCAAGAATAGAGACCTTCATCCTCACTTTGCTTAATATAGGCTCAAAGTTCCCATATAAATGGACTGGTTATACTACAAATATGTCAGGTTTGGTATAACTTGAAATATATGGCCCAAAGCAGGAAAAAACCTTTCTCCTTATATAAAGGTGCTTATTGTAATAGAATCAGCCATTTTATAATCTGATCCATATTAGCATTTTTTACTTGACAATCTCAAAGAAATTCTTGGCATCAATACTGACTTTTTATAACATTGCCAGTGGGTAAAGAAGATAACAAAACATTTGCTCACCAGTTATGCACCTTAGCTTCCAGCATCAGCTGTGTGAGTGAACCAAAAGGGCAGTTGCAGAAACTGAATATAGACTCCCATCCCTCACTCTAGCATTCCCACCAATAGGACTTACGTCATCCTTCCTGGGCAGTTGGGTGGATGGGGTTTAAGGGAGCGTGTGAATTCAGGAGACCTGCTTGGCTGGTTCATAGAATTTGCCCTGGGTGGAGCTTTAATTTTAAGGAACACCTTCCTTCTGTGGGCCTGAGGAGCTGCAGTGTATTTAAGCTCTAGTCTGCTGGACTTGAATGAGCCCAGTGGAAAGGAATGGCTAGTGTGATCATAGAGCCTTTAAGACATTGGACACTCACTCACTCACCTATTAAAGGAGGAACAAGTCTTAGGAATCATGCTTCCTTGGTGCCCATTCACTCACTAAGCTCTTTAGGAGATTTAGATTAGACGCATAGATCTTAGCAGTCCTCCAAACCAAACGCCTTGTTTTACCGATGAATGAACCAGCCTAAAGTCACACAGATCATAAGTGGCAGATCCATGACCAAGGTCATGATTTGATGATTTCTAATTCTCTAACACCCTACCCTTCCTTATGTAAAGACAAATTAGATGAGACTTTGTCCTCAAGGAGTTCACAATCATGCAGGGGAAATGAGACTGTGCAAATGAACAATGGTTATCCCAGCATGAAAGCGTGATAGGGAGGGGGCAGAGATTTAACATATGCTGAACACCTACCATGTGCAAAGGGTTTATTATACATTTTCTCATTTAATCCTCACATCAAACGTATGAGGAATACATTATCATCCCATTTTATTGATAAGGAAATGGAGGCTCAGTGATTCTGCTGTAGCCTGTCTACATATCCACTGCTCTGGAGACCCAGGTTGAGTGGACTCCTGAGGAAGGGTGGTTCAGGCGGAGAAGGCTGCTTGGAAAGATGAGGCTTGAGTTGGTGCATTGCACTTGATTAGGTGCAGAGAAGCCTCAACAGATGGAGGAAACACAGATGGTCTCCCCATGATTACATCACCACCCAGAGAAGGTTGGAAGCAGTTACACGCCCACTGCTTTGCAGTCTCAAATGTAAACTGCCTAGAAAACTGAGCATGCTGATGAGAAGTTTTGTCTTAAACCTGCAGCACCCCTATTTACAGATGGTCTATTCTGAGCAAGGAGCAACACAATATATAGTGGGGAGTTCCTGAGGATGTAGAGGACCCTGATGCCCCTTTTGTGAGTTTATCATTTCATGAAGAACTAGAACCGGCATCAGTGAAGGGCAGAGAGACGGACAGTTGGACGTAGCCATATGCAAGTGCTGAGGGAGAGTCAGGGAGAACAGAATAATGACAGGTAGCATGGTGTGGTGTGTGGCGAGTTTAAGAAGGAGGAATAGCCTGAGCAATGGTTTGAAGAACTGGCTTGGCAGAGAGCAGGGAGAAGCTCCTGAGGGAAGGTTTTGAGGTGAAGAAGGAAAATTCCATGCTTAGCTGGAGGAGAGAACACAAGACAGAGTATGGCAGCTGGAGATGAAGCAGTTTGGTAAGGAATATATGTTGGGAAGTTTAGAAACTCATAGATTCAACCACATTACCCTTGATCACCTGTACACAGAACCTCAAAGACCTCATCCACTTCAAATACCTTTGGTTATTACTTTGGTGTTGTCATATCCCCTGTGTACATGGGGGTCCTGAGTCAGAAAGAGAAACAGAGAAAGGCCTTTCCAGAACTGAGATTTGTATTATCCCCTTTCCCTAACAAAAGTAGAGGCTTAATGCAAGAGATCAACTAGATTCAAGTAAACACTTAATTTACATTTTATAAAGGGGCTTCAGAATGCACATAGACCTTCAATTGAAATGTGCAGGAAAATTAAATCACTAACTATCAATGGGCATGAGTTGCTCTTTGAGGAATCTCTATTATACATAAGCTTAAGGAGATGCTCAAATACACTGGGTGCCCAATTTTCTGAACTCTTTGTGGCTGTAAAGGTGAAAACTGGAATTTGTGTTTAGCAAAGCCTCTCATGCAGTAAGAAAGTAAAAACATTCTTCTTGAGGAAACACTGGACAAATGGAAATACCTAAAGGCGGGGGCTTCAGACTGAGATGATAAACATACTGTTTGACAATAAAAGACTTGCAATAATAGGTCATTGTGTTTATTTCTGCAAAAATAATATTCGTTGCCTGATTTTTTAAACTTCCTCTAATGGAGAGAGAGACAGAAGACTAGAACGTTGGTCTCTGGGGAGTGACCACGGTTACCATAAACAGTGGTGCAGGGAGTGCCCTGCAAAATGTGCCTGCTAAGAGGACAACTGGGGAGAGAAATACAGTAACCTCCATTAGAATATGAGTTCCATGTAAGGTAAGGGTCTTGAGATCTTGGTTTCTTTCATATCCCCAATGTCTAAAACAGTACTTAATGCATAGAAATTGATCAAAAAGTGTTTATTAATTGAATGAATAAAGAAAAAAAAACCATGATCTCAGCAATATGGTATTGGAGTGGAGGATCAGGAAGAAGGCACCCAGGAGGCTACTCCTCCCAGGAAGAGGCAAGGCCACTACTAGGGTATTCACGTCTCAGATCTAGTTTTAAATTTTTCCTATCTCATAGTTAGGAGATGACCAGACATGGCCAGCGTGGAGTGGTTCAGGACGAGAGCTGGGAAGAGTGGCAGACACTGCTGGGTACTCAGCAGCCCAGCTCCCCTTTTCCTTACCAGCCATATTCATATTTTGTTTTAGATGGGAGTGCACTTTGCTATAATCCTTGCCTTCCCAGGCTTCAGAAAATGCACTGACACTCATTTCAGGTCACTGAGATATAATTAAAACTTGGCTAGGAATTTCTGGGAAAGTTTCACTTTTCTGCTTCAGGGGTTCCCCCTTGGTCCTTTGCCCCTTATTCTTTCTGCTGAGAGTAAGGACATGAGCCTGGAAAAAGGGCAGCCATTCTGTGACCATGAGGCAACAAGCATGAGGCAAAAAGTCACATGTTAAGGATAGAGGAAAAAAATGTTGATAGGACATGGAGCTCCTAAGACTTTACAGAGCCCTCGTACTGCTCATGTCCAGACTTTGAATACATGAGAAAATCACCCCTCCTCCTGTTTGGTTAAACCACAGCAGTTGAGTTTCTGTTACATGCAGCTGGACCTAATTTCTAACTGACACAATAAGCAACCACCAGGAATGTAAACTCTACTGGGATGCTTAGAAATACTTGAGCAGGATGCAGGACTTCTTGTATCCAAAACGGAGACTTGGACTAAGACTGATGGACTTCCAAGGACACAGTGGCTCCTCAGGAGGTTGGAGAACTTGGGTTACAAAGTAAAGAATTTTACAACAGTGAAGCCTTTGGAGTTACTGAAATATACTATGAAGGCAGCCTACAGATTCTAAAGTATGTGTTTTGGGAATTTCCGTTCTGACAACAGCAGAAATGACCCCTTAGTTGAACAATGCCTGAAAGAGCCATCTGTCTAGAACTGCAACAAGCTTGAGCTGCAGTTCTCATACCAGTTTGAGAACTTCACATTCTTTCTGTTGCCTAATACCACTGAGTCGAAATGACCCAATTTACTTTGAATGGTTGCTGTTAATTTGATCTCCAAATTACTGGTTGGTAATTTTAGTGTCCATGATCTGAAAGTACCCTGTGATTGTAAGGAGGAACAGTTGATATAATCACTATCATCAAAATAACAACCTCATTTCACATGCTAACACCTTGAGTTTGTTGACATTGTTGGTAACTGTGGTACACATCTATTCTGCTTTACACAATACTGGTGTGAATTAGTGTCCTGGAGAACTGTGGGCTCTTTGAAGTATATTTGGAGACTACCCTTAGCATCCATGCAGCTAGAAACAACAGAAAGGTGTTGATTGGTAGATATATTTTTAGTCAGATTACTTCAGCCCCAAACAGAAAGTGCTTAAGGCAGTAAGTACTGAGGTACATCTGATTAGGGCTCATAAACTTTATTCAGAACTACTTCTATAGCTAAGTGGCTGGTGTGACATGGTGTGTCTACATGTATGTGTGTTTTGGTGAATGCCTTTAGGTGATCCACTCTCATATTTAAAAAAATAGATTCCCACTTTTATCCTATAGGGCTTCAAAATTTACTTAAAAAATAGCTTTTTGCATTCACCACAGCTATGTGAGCTAGTTAGATGTCTTAAGCAAAATACCTCCACCCCTTTCAAATGAACAAACTAAAAGTAAGCTTTGATATGAGGCCGGTTCTCAATTATTTCTGAGAAAGGTCAACAACTTAGATATTATATTCAGATGTACAAAAGTAAACACAGATTTTCTCTTTCACATTTCATCTTGTTTGGGAGCTCTTCATTTCTAAAGACAGCAAAGAAAAGTTGATATTTTCACATTGCCACTCAGGGTTACTCTGTTTCTGCTCTTCCTTGAACTGTTCCAGACCTCTTTGGCTCTTGCCTCTGTTGCCTTCACTTGTCTCCAGTGTGATGCAGCTCATCTTATTTGCCCTGGCATTTGAGCTAGAAGTTTATAGTTTCTGTCATATTCTCCTGTCACGAAGACCTGACATCATGAAATGATCTCCTCATCTCCCCTCTCAGACTGTTCTCTGTCCCTCTCTGGTCCAGCGCCCTATGGCACTTCTTGATTCCTTTATTGAGGAGCATGGGGACACTGAATGCCTGTCCAGGCCACACAGACTACCTCCTTTCTAAACTCCTTCCTGGGTGGCACCATGTTGCTCCGTGCCAGGAAGAAAACAGGAAACTCCCCTATAGGGAATCAATATTATAATATTTACGTTAAAACATTTGGAATATGTCAACCTCCCCTCAGAGTTTCTCGAAACTTTATTCCCCCAGGGATTTTGATCCAGATAATGAAGTCATGTTCCTCAATTCTGACATCTTGCTTCTCTTTCTTCTCCTTCCTGGGCTCCTCTCTCTGGAATCTGAAGGGCTTTTTTACTTTTCCTTTCCGTCAAGTAAAATTTTTTCTTACATCATATCCTCCTTCCCCTTTTTACTACAGTCTACAAATAAATCTCTGGAGTTCAAATCTACCAAGCTTCACTCTTCTCCCCCACCCCCCAAAAGCTCTATTGAAGGACAAGTACAAATAAAAATTAAATATATTTATGGTATACAACATGATGTTTTTATATATGTAAACATTGTGAAATTATTAAATCAAGCTAGTTAACATATCTACCACTTCACTACTTATCATTGTTTGTGGTGAGAACATTTAAGATCCATTCTCTTAGCAATTTTCAAGTATACAACATATGATTGTTAACTATAGTTAACAAGCTGTAAAATAGATCTCCAGAACTTATTCATCCTGTCTGACTGAAACTTTGTATCCTTTGACCAACATCTCTCCATATTCTCCCTTTCCCACCCCGCAGTCCCTGGCAACCACCATTCTACTCTCTGCTTCTGAGTTTGACCTTTTCAAGATTCCACATTTAAGTGAGATCATGAATTATTTGTCTTTCTGTGCTTGGCTTATTTCACTTAGCATAATGTCCTCCAGATCCATCCAATTGTAGCAAATAACAGGATTTCCTTCTTTTTTAAAGGCTGAATAGTATTACATTGTGTATATATACCACATTTTCTTTATTCATTCATCTGTTGATGGCCACTTCAGGTTGATTCCATATCTTGGCTATTGTGATAATGCTGCAATCAACATGGGAATGCATATATATTTCAACATACTGATTTCATTGCCTTTGGATATATACCCACAAGTGGAATTGCTGGAGCATATGGTATTTCTATTTTAAATTTTTGAGAAATCTCCACACTGTTTTCCATAATAGCTGTACTAATTTACATTCCTACTAATAGTGTACAAGAGTTCCCTTTTCTCTACTTTCTCACCAACACTTGTTGTCTTTTGACTTTTTGATACCAGCCATCTAAAAGATGTGAGGTGATATCAAACTGTGGTTTTGATTTGCATTTCTCTGATGATTAGTGACATTGAGCACCTTTTCATATTCCTATTGGCCATTTTTATGCCTTCCTTTGAGAAATATCTATTCAGGTCCTTTGCCATTTTTAAATAGGGTGGTTGTGTTTTTGCTATTGAGTTGTGGGAATTTCTTATCTAATTTTGGATATTAGTCCTTTATCAGATTTATGGCTTGCAAATATTTTCTGTTATTCCATAGGCTGCCTTTTCACTCTGTTGATTGTTTCCTCTGCTGTGCAGATGCTTTTTAGTTTTATATAGTTCAACTTGTCTACTTTTGCTTTTTTTGGCCGGTATTTTTGAAACCATCTCCAAGAAATTATTGCCAAGACCCATGTCAAAATTTTCTCCTATATTTCTTCTAGGATATTTACAGTTTCAGGTCTTATATTTTAGTCTTTAAGTCTAGATTAAAGAGACTGTACTTTCTCCATTGTGTAATCTTGACACCCATGTCAAAGATTAGTTGGACTATATGTGTGTGAGTTTTTTTCTGGGCTCTCTATTCTGTTCCATTGGTCTATATATCTATCTTTATGGTAGTACCATACTGTTTTAGTTACCGTACCTTTGTAATATATTTTGAATCAGGAAATGTGATGCCCACAGCTTTGTTCTTCTTTTTCTAAATCACTTTGGCTATTGTGGGTCTTTTGTGATTCCATATGAATTTTAGAATCATTTTTTCTATATCTGTAAAAAAATCTCACTGGGATATTGATGGGAATAGCACTGAATGTGCAGATTAGTTTAGGTAGTATGGATATTTTAACAATATTAACTCTTATTATCCTTGAACATGGAATGTCTTTTATTTATTTGCGTCTTTCTTTCATCAATGTTTTAAAGTTTTCAGTGGAGAAGTCTTTCACCTCCTTGATTAAGTTTATTCCTAAGTATTTTACTCTTTTTTGTGCTACTATAAATGGAATTTTTACATTTCTTTTTTAAATAGTTCACTGTTAGTGTACAGAAACACAATTGATTTTTGTACTTTGATTTTGTGTTCTCTACCTTTACTGAATTCATTTTTTAGCTCTAAAGGTCTTTTGTGGAGTCTTTACCGTTTTCTACATAAAAGATTATGTCATGTGATGATTTTACTTATGCCTTTCCAATTTAGATTTCTTTTATTTCTTTTTCTTACTTGATTGTTCTGGATAGGACTTCCAGAATTATGTTGAGTATAAGTGGCAAGAGTGGGCATCTTTCCCTTGTTCCTGATCTTAAAGGAAATTGTTTTCAGTTTTTCACTACTGAGTATGATGTTAGCTGTGGGCTTATGATACATGGTCTTTATTATGTTAGGGTATATTCCTTCTATATCCAGTTTGTTGAGTGTTTTTGTCATGAAAGGGTGTTGAAGTTTGTCAAATGCTTTTTCTGCTTCTACTGAGGTGATCATGTGATTTTTATCCTTATTCTATTAATGTGGTATATCACACTTGACTCTTAACAAGTAAAGGGAAGTTTAACTATGTAGAAGATTCTTGTATTTTTCAAAAGCTTGGCTTTCAAGATTATTGTGCCCACCATCTCTTTCCCTGTGGCAACCAACTTTAAAAAGGAACCCAGGTAAATAGGATTTGTCAGGGAATTTCTTGAAAGGAAGAATAAGAAAAACTAATTTAATATTTTTAAAATATCCTCCACTGAGTTTATGGACAGCAAACTGTTGTGTGCTAACCATACGCGAGGCACTATGTGCTTCTCAGGCTTTTTCTCATTTAATTCTCACAGTGCTCAATGAGTTCTTCACTTATGAGGACACCAAGTCTTAGAGAGGTTATAGATCTTGCTGAAAATCATATAACTAATCAGAAATGGAGCCAGGATTTGAGCCCACGTGTTCAACTTGACCTTGAAAGAGTCAAGACAACTTGTAAGAGTACTGACATGTGTCACAGTGTTGTAGAAAAGACAGAGGGGCATGGACAAGAAAATCCATGTCATGTTCAAGACTGTGTACCACAAATCTCATTATACCCTGTTTTCCCATGCTTTTCACTACAATTTTCATGCCCCATGAAACACAAATCAAAGTACTGCTCACTGGAAGAGTGTTCCACAAAGAAGAACCAGCTGAAAGTTTGGCAGGAGGAGATAGAAGGAGGAAGGCATGGAATGTTTACAAAATATCAATTTCTAGGAAAAAAACCTGCTTAGTGAGTTCATTAATTTTTCACCTACACCACTTTGAAGAGAATTTTAATGAGCCATTATTGGAAATTTGTAAGGGGCCTATATTTTGGGTGCTATATTTTTATTGGTTTCCTTTTTATAAAGAGGCAAGACCAAAGTACACAGTGTTCAGATGACTTGCTTAAAATGGGAGGCATCTGAGTCACAGAAGTAAAGTTAAATTCTCTAAGCTTCCGGTCCCATAATATCTTTCCTTAAATACACTTTTTCCTCCAGCTTCACTTTTTCAATATCACAGGATGATTCTGTAGGAAGAAGAAAATCCATCTGACCTGCCTACACTCTAGTGAAGCAACCTCCTTGAAACCCATTTCTTTTCATACTCCAGAGAAATTATGTTTGAAACAACAGAGGTGGTAGAACTTTGCAAAAAGTGAAAATCCATTGATCTTTTAAAGATCCAGAAAGCAATGTTTCTTAAAATACAGATCAATAGCATAAGACCATATTTTAATATTGTCATGTTTACCCACTCATACTATTTATACCTTAGTATGTGCTATTAGGAGTGAAGAAAAGCAAATAGTCAAACTTGTCTAAAGAGAAATGACAATAGATTCCGGAATAGCAGTAAAAACAATTAAGATTAGTAGCTGATACAAATGAAAACATCTTAGGTTACTTAAGAAGGGTTCTTTTATATAATCAAAGGTAGTAAGAAGAGATGGAATTAAGACTCCAAACAGAAACAAATTAGGGGAAGCATGAAAAAAATGGAGCAAGAATAGTTTTGAATACATAAAGAGGAGGAAGACATAGGAGTTCAACATGCCTGTTGAGAGAGAACTCAAGTAAATTTTCATAAAAGTGGGAGAAATGGCTTGAGAAATGAAATTACTTTTTTGTCTAGGTGTGTGATGCAGGATCAGTGGGGATGGATGCCAGATACAGGCATATTTCCCAAGGGAGGAAGAAATAGAAAACAAAGTGGGTTTCCTGCCGGAACAGGTGGTGTGTTGACATGTACACATCTGACAGCCGGGCTTTTGAAGCTTTCCAAGGGTCTGACCAGGCCAGTCTGAGTTGTCTGTAAGACTTCAGGGAAAAGCAACACAGGGGAGTCTCAGTGATGTGGTTTCAAATGTCTTTGGACACATGAGACATAGCAGTTGTGGGTAAGGAAAGTAATGGGGCATCCTGCTATTGAGCACAAGGCTGAAAGCTGGGTTAGACTCAGTCACAGCTCATGATTTGATATTCTCAGCCATCCATTATAAGAAAGGAGCCAAATGTCTGTTTAAATCTAGGTGCAGGCAGATATTAACTCACTAAACTCCCCTTGACCTTCTTAAATACTGGAAAAGCTTTATCAGGACTTTCTCTTTCTTCTTCTTTTCTTTTTGGGGGGCGGTAGTGGTAGTTAGTAAGTAGGAGGGTGGGCCTGAAATTAGGAATGAATACAGAAGGTGGGAGTGGAAGGCTAATGTGCAATGTTTCTGCAAAGTTTAGAATCTTGTTTTGTTTGAATAACAGGCTTTCCTATGCTCTGTGATTGGGACTCTGTAAGTGACATACTTAAGCAATCACAAAAATGACAGTTTGGGGCTAGATTTGGGATGAAACTATCAAACCAAATAGTGATGACTGGCGAATAATGTTTTTGACCCTGAATTATAGTTGAGGAGCAGTAGTCATGGTATAAGCATAGGCTAAGGATAAGATTGCTTGCTGTTTGAATCCCTATCCTGCTTCTTGATTGGGTGATACTGGATATCAAACTGTGTGATCTTGTGTAGTGGTCCCTTAATTTCCTCCATTATAAGGCATGGATAATAGTAGTACCTATCTGTGGCAGAAACATTGTTTGTGCCTACTCTCCTGGTTCTTTTCTTTCCTGGAACAATGGAAAATCATGTTTCCCATTCTTTCTCTGCATCTATGTGGGACCATGTGACTAGCTCTGCCCACTGGGATGTGGGCAGACATGGCTAGCTACATCAGTACTAATTTGACCCCTAAAACTTTCCACAAGATTTTCCATGCCTTTTCTCTCTTCTCATTGTCTGCTGGCCAGTTGTAGAAGATCCAGGAGAGGAAGATTTAGGACTCTGAAGCTGTTGCTGCCTCCCTGAAACATGGCGTGAACATTTGTCTTCCAATCATCAGATTTACTGTGATGTAAGCAAGAAATAAATCTTTTCTTGTGGGAAGGCATTAAGATTTGGGGGACATTTGTTATAGAAGTCAGCCTACTCTAATACTATTTCAAAGTATTAGTCACTCTTGACTAAAAACTATATATTGGGGTTGTAGTGAAGATTAAATGAGTTACTGTATATAAAGAGTACTATTATAGAACGGTATCTGGCATATAGTAAGCTCTTGATAAATGTTATCTTGCATATTATAAGTGTAGAATTGGTTGGTTGGGTCAATCCAAGAACCCCACTTGGTCCATTAACTTGAAGAAATGCTATTTGCATCTTCTTAGCAAATTTGAATATAGACTGGGCCACCCATCCCTCATAGTTACTACTGGGTTCTATGATGAGCTTCATTTAATCACTTTGGGTCAGATTAAGCATGGCACTATGTTCGAATGGTTGGAAATCTGTGAGGACTTCTAAGTATCAGACATTCTACTATTCATAGGTGCCTTTTCATAGGGGCCTAAGATTCAGATGGACAATAGGTCTTTTAGGTTCTGTTCAGTAATTTTACAGAAGTCATCACATAAACTGAATACTTATGCTGAAGGGCTCTGAGAAGGCTTAAAAATGCTATATGCAAAGGGCTTAGCACCAAACCTAGCCCAGTTTTAAACTCATGCTAGGAATGTAATAAATAGTAGTTATAACAATAATAATAAATACATAAACCACCACCACCACCATCATCATCACCATCATTTGAATACCTCTTTTCTTCTGAGAACTTCAAGACTGTATCTATATCATACTTTCTACCTCTGGCATGCCATTTTATATTCTGACACTGTTATGGCCTTGCTTATTACATAATACCATCTTTTTAAATATTTTATCTACCTCTTGCCTACTTTGACCAGAGGCCATTACTTGTTCTTATATTTGCTTGACCTAATGAGGCTAACTTGTCCTTGCCCTCTTTAAAACAACCTTTATGTATTTGCAAACTCCACACTGGTGTGTTATTGGATATCATGCATTAGATATGCAATATTACCCATTGAGATCTCAGTGATAATTAGTCAGGGGAAGGTGATTTTTTTTGAAAGAAATGTTAGTTTCAACTCTGAAATTCCCTTTTCTTTAGTAGGTGCAGGTCGATAGGTAAAGGCCTTAATGTTTCTTTAATGTATAGATGAGCAAATCTAACTACTTTTAGGTTTGGCAAACTTTATCTGGCTATTTTCAAGAATTATATGGCTGGCAACTCCTCAGATGTATTCTGCCAAATGCTTTCTCTCCTTAACCTGTGTGTGTGTGTATATTTCAAAGGGAATTTAAGCCACAAATTTATTTATTAATTTTATTACAATTAGATTTATTATTTATTATTACTTAGCTGATTTATTAATACTTAGCTGATCAAATATGTGGTATTTGTCTTAGTCAACACTTACAGGTTCCAAATTCTGTTTCTCTGACCCAGGAAACCCTGAGAGGTTGGCAGCAGCCACCCCCTAAAGAACAAACCAAACTGGTTGTCTGAGCCTGGGAAGAAGCTAGCCCACATCTTTCCTTTAGATAGGGTTTTAAATGATATTTTGTCCCTTGGAATTCTCAGAGGTGAGGAAAAAGATATGTTTCCAAATGTCTGTTAGTTGATATCAACCTAAAATGGAAGCAGCCCCAGGTATTCTAAATGGAAGAGGTTTGGGAGCAGCAATGTAATTGAAGAGTGTCGATGTGTCTTGTCCTGGAGCCCAGTTTACATAACTCTTTACATAAGATGGAGAAAACATCTACTGTCCATATCGAGGAATGAGTAGAGGTAATGGAGTGGGGAACTGGGAAGGAGTGGACTATGGCAGTCATGGAGAATCTTGGCTGCCACTACTTCACTGCTTTTGACCTAACAATATCACACTTTGGATCTAATATCTTGAGGACTGAAGTCTCCAGAATCAACAGGAACCACTCAAATACTGGGTAGGCAAAGAGTGACAATTAAAGACAAACCTTTGCTAAAAGGTGTAAATCAAAAACAAAATTCTAAGCCCCCCAGCCAACTGAATAGACCCCTTCTGTCAGCCAAGGGCATTCTAAAGTAAACCCGAAACACGAATTTGGGCCATGATGGGAATGGGTGGTAGGACATGCCTCATTACAGCTTTCTCCCCTTGGAATTCAGACACATCTGACCAGCATTAACATTAAAACAGAGACCTTAGAACTAACAGAATAGACTCTGTAAGACTGATTAAAAAAAAAACATTTGTAATCTATTCTCTCTGAAACAGCCACCTGGAGGCTTCATCTGCATAATAAGAACTTTGGTCTCCACAACCCCTTATCTTAACCCAGACACTCCATTATATTGATTCCAGGTCTTTAGATAAATTATTTTAACCAATTGCCAATCAGAAAACCTTTGAATCCACCTGTGACCCAGAAGTCCCCCACCCCACCCTTTGAGTTGTCCCACCTTTCCAGATCAAACTAATGCATTTCTTACATGTATTGATTGATGTCTTATGTCTCCCTAAAGTGTGTAAAACCAAGCTGTAGTCCAACCACCTTGGGCACATGTTGTCAGGACCTCCTGAGGCTGTCCTTGGGCTTGTCCTTAACCTTGGGAAAATAAACTTCTAAATTGATTGAGACTTGTCTCAGATGCTTTTTGGTTTACGAGAGATATTGACTTCATGCCATACTCATGGACTAGTTAAATGCCCAGGTTTTTTTTGTGATTCATTTTTTCTTTTTTGGTAATTTTTATAATATTGGATTTCTTCTGAAAGATGACAGAGCACTTTGTGTGTGTGTATATAGGACATCCACTCTGCAAATATTCCAGGGGCAGGCTTGTCTCCTAGAAAGGTAGGTTGGAAAATTCAGTAGATTTATTTTGACTATTTGCTAGAGAATGGCATGATCTTACCTGAAAAAGATAGGAAGCAGTCTTGGGACTGTTGTCAAAACTAACAATGGTGCAGTTATTTGTGAGTTTAAAAGCCAGTTTTCAACTAGTGTTTTAAAAGATGCACCTCCCTCTCTACCTCCAGAAGATACCCATGGAGAGCAAAGTAAATGTATAAAAGAAAAATGTTTGAGACCTGCTTATGGGGCTGAGGGCAGCTTCTAGGTCTGAGGGTGGCCTTTG
Organism: Homo sapiens; assembly: GCF_000001405.40. Classification (NCBI taxonomy): domain Eukaryota; kingdom Metazoa; phylum Chordata; class Mammalia; order Primates; family Hominidae; genus Homo; species Homo sapiens. Next base: position 68,494,815 of record NC_000005.10, read on the forward strand.
GCTGAGAGTTGGCAAGTAACTGGAGCCTTCAGTCCTACAACTGCAAGGAGATGAAGTTCGCCAACAAATTGAGTGATCTCAGAAGCAGATTCTTCCCTAGTTAAGCCTTGAGACACTGACTGCAACCTTGTGAGACCCTGAGCTGGGGACTCAGCTAAGTGGTACAGGGATTTGTGACTCACAGAAGCTGTGAGGTAATAAGTGTGTATTATTTTAAGCTGCTACACTAGTGGGAGTTTGTTATGCAGCAATAGAAAACTAATACACCATGTAGCTATCAAAATTGTTTCTGCTACTTATGAGTTTCATATTGATGTATGAAAAGAAAGCTGAGTTATAGTCAACTGATATTATTAAACAGTACAATAAGCCATAATTTTACTAGTGCCAAGTTACTACCAGCATAAAATGAGAAACATTAAATTGGGGCTTGCCTTTCCCCTCTTTCAGCATAGTTAGAAAAAACATCTGTCCCTCAGGCATTTGGATGCTGCATCAAGGGACATGTTTTGTTAGAACAAATAGAACCCAATACACTGCACCTTTCCCTACCCTAGAAGTCACTATCAGAATTGTCTTAAGGCCCCCATCCAACTGTATGAAATAATTAGGGCAGCCTATATGCCTTTGCATTTGCACCGACAATTGACTATGATTTGCAATTGGGTACATGCAGTTTTCAAAATCTCATGCTCATAATGAAATACACACTTCTTACTGTGACTTACAAGGCCTACAGAATCCAACACACCCTTTTGTCTCTGGACCCCTCACTGGCCTCCTTGTCAAGTATGTTTGCCCTACCTGACACACAGACTGAGATCTTATGCCTACTTCCAGGGCTTCTGCCTGGAATGTTCTGCAGAATTCTCATGGCTGACTCCTCTGATTTCAGTCTCACACATTCCCTCCCTCAGCAAGGCCTTCTCCAACTTCCCTGAAGTCCCCTTTCCTCCCGGTCACTCTCTTCCACATTAACTTATGTTTCCTTCCAGACCCTTATAGTATCTGAAATGACTTGGTTGTACATTTATTTATGTGAGAAATCAATGTCCCTCTCACTAGAATATAAGCAACATGACAGCAAGGACTGTCTGGCATCTGTGGCAAACTAAACAAGATTACCACTTAGGAGATGCTCAATAAGTATGATGTAAATAAAATGTGATTAGAACAACAAGACTGCCATAAGACTTGACTTATTTTTCTTCTTTGCCCCTTGCACACCCTCTCACAGGTTCAAAATCCACAGCAGTTTTGCCACTAACTCAGCCAGCATTTTTTTGTATATCTGCACTCCCAGCACCATGGAGGGTAGTTTAAGGAAGACAGAAGTTGTAGAAGACATAGTTCTTCCCTTAAAGACTACATAAATTAACTGGGTCGGAAGATGCCGCTGCATAAATTGATCAAAATCTAACTACAAGGCATTTACTACACCAGTATCTGGGCCAAACTAAATATGAAATTGCTTAGGGAATGAAGGCAGGGAGTGATTAGAAAATTTCGTATAGGAGCTGATTCTTGAAACAGGTGCGTCAATGGGAGATGTGTCATGAGTATTCAAAGCAAGGTAAAATAAGATAAGAAAAAGCTATGAAACTCTTAGAGTTTATGTATCCATCTCCCAGAGCAAAGTATTTCTAATCCAAAGTTTGTGCTTTAGAATCACTTAATTGAAAGACCAACTCTGGCCTCTATTTAACTTTTGTTAACTTTTGTTAACTTTTACTTTTGTGTTCAGTCTCAAATCAGAATCTCTAAGGGGTGGGCTTGGAACTGGCATATTTTCCAAGATCCCCAGTGAGTCTGATGTGCATCCAGGTTGAGATCCTCTGCACATAGCCTGAAATGGCATCACAGGGTTAAACAAAGGAGAAATGCCTCATAACAATAAGGTGACACACGGTGAAACACAGTGGTTAAGGCTCTAGCCTAGGTTTAAATCTAGACTCTGCAAGTTACCTGCTAGGTGACCTTGGGCAAGTGATTCAATCTCTCTGAGTGATATGGTTTGGCTCTGTGTCTCCACCCAGATCTGATCTTGTAGCTCCCATAATTCCTATGTGCTATGAGACAGACCCAGTGGGAGATGATTGAATCATGGGGGTAGGTCTTTCCTGTGCTGTTCTCATAATAGTGAATGGGTCTTATGAGATCTGATGGTTTTAAAAACAGGCGTTTTCCTGCACAAGTTCTCTTTGCCTGCTGCCATCCATGTAAGATGTGACTTGCTCCTCCTTACCTTCTGCCATGATTGTGAGGACTCCCCAGCCATGCAAAACTGTAAGTCCAATAAACCTCTTTCTTTTGTAAATTGCCCAGTCTCTGGTATGTCTTTATCAGCAGCATGAAAACAGACTAATTCAGTAAATTGGTACCAGTAGAGTGGGGCGCTGCTGATAAGATAACCAAAAATGTGGAAGCAACTTTGGAACTGGGTAACAGGCAAAGGTTGGAACAGTTTGGAGGGCTCAAAAGAAGACAAGAAAATGTGGGAAAGTTTGGAACTTCCTAGAGACTTGTTGAATGGCTTTGACGAAAATGTTGATAATGATATGGACAATATGGTCCAGGCTGAGGTGGTCTCAGTTGGAGATGAGGAACTTGTTGGGAACTGGAGCAAAGATGGCTCTTGTTATGTTTTAGCAAAGAGACTGGTGACATTTTCCCCCTGTCCTAGAGACTTGTGGAACTTTCAACTTGAGAGAGATGATTTAGGGTATCAGGCAGAAGAAATTTCTAAGCAGCAAAGCATTCAAGAGGTGACTGGGGTGCTGTTAAAGGTATTCAGTTTTATAAGGGAAACAGAGCATAAAATCTCAGAAAATTTCCAGCCTGATAATGCAATAGAAAAGAAAATCCCGTTTTCTGAGGAGAAATTCAAGCAGCCTGCAGGAATTTGCAAAAGTAACGAAGAGCCAAAAGTTAATCCCCAAGACAATGGAGAAAATGTCTCCAAGTCATGTCAGAGGTCTTCATGGCAGCCCCCCTGCCCAATACAGGCCTGGAGGCCTAGGAGGAAAAAGTGGTTTCATGGGCCAGGCCCAGGATCTCTGTGCTATGTGCAACCTAGGGACTTGGTGCCCTGCTTCCCAGCCACTCTAGCTGTGGCTAAAAGGGGCCACTGTAGAGCTTGGGCCATGGCTTCAGAGGGTGCAAGACCCAAGCCTTGACAGCTTCCACATGGTGTTGAGCCTGAGAGTACACAAAAGTCAAGGATTGGGGTTTGGGAACCTCCGCCTAGATTTGAGAAGATGTATGGAAATGTCTGGATGTCCAGGCAGAAGTTTGCTGCAGGGGCGGGACCCTCATGGAGAACCTCTGCTAGGGCAGTGCAGAAGGGAAATGTGGGGTCAGAACCCCCACATAGAATCCCTACTGGGGCACCACCTAGTGGATCCGTGAGGACAGGGCCACCATCTTCCAGATCCCAGAATGGGAGATCCACTGACAGCTTGCACCATGTGCCTGGAAAAGCCACAGACACTCAATGCCAGCCTGTGAAGGCAGCCAGGAGGGAGACTGTACCCTGCAAAGCCACAGAGGCAGAGCTACCCAAGACCATGGGAACCCAACTCTTGCATCAGTGTGATCTGGATTTGAGACATGGAGTCAAAGGAGATCATTTTGGACCATTAAGATTTTACTGCCCTGCTGGATTTTGGACTTGCATCAGGCCTGTAGCCCTTTGTTTTGGCCAATTTCTCCCATTTGGAATGGCTGTATTTACCCAAGGCCTGTACCCACATTGTATCTAGGAAGTAACTAACTTGCTTTTAACTTTACAGGCTCATAGAAAGAAGGGACTTGCCTTGTCTCTGATGAGACTTTGGACTGTGGACTTTTGAGTTAATGCTGGAATAAATTGAGACTTTTGGGGACTGTTGGGAAGGCATGATTGGTTTTGAAATGTGAAGATATGAGATTTGGGAGGGGACAGAGCGGAATGATATGGTTTGGCTCTGTGTTCCCACCTAAATCTGATCTTATAGCTCCCATAATTCCCATGTGTTGTGGGACGGACATGGTGGGAGATGATTGAATCATGGGGGTGGGTCTTTCCCATGCTGTTCTTGAGATAGTGAATGGGTCTCATGAGATCTGATGGTTTTAAAAACAGGAGTTTCCCTGCACAAGCTCTCTTTTTGCCTGCTGCCATCCACGTAAGATGTGACTTGCTCCTCCTTGCCTTCTGCCATGATTGTGAGGCCTATCCAGCCATGTGGAACTGTAAGTCCAATAAACCTCTTTCTTTTGTAAATTGCCCAGTCTCAGGTATGTCTTTATCAGCAGTGTGAAAACGGACTAATACACTGAGCCTCTGTTTACACATCTTTAGGCTAGCAATAATAAATGTAGTTACTGCCTAAGAACAATGGAGAATTAAATAAGGCACAAAAAGCACTTGTTACAATGTGTGGCACATAGTCAAAGCCCTAGTTTTTTTTCATTATCATTATCTTTCTACGTTAAAAAATTTCTAATCTTTATAAAGGCACTGGAAATTCCAATGTACATTTCTAAAGTTTTTGCATCCATCAGCTTCACAAATTATCATAACTTTGAAGCACAGCCTTAGCCAAGCACATTGATGAATTCAAGCACCTTTAAGAAGGGCCCCAAAGAAACAAGGCTGAGGCTGAGATTAGTCAATATGGGAGCAAATGAGCATTTTAATAGAAATTAAAATCATATACAAAAGCAGAAAATGGGCCAGGTGCAGTGACTCATGCCTGTAATCCCAGCACTTAGGAAGGCTGAGGCAGGCAAATTTCTTCAGTACAGGAGTTCAAGACGAGACTGGCCAACACGGCAAAACCCCATCTCCACTAAAAATACAAAAATTAGCCAGGCATGGTGGTGCACACCTGTAATCCCAGCTACTGCTCCTGAGGCAGGAGAATGGCTTGAACCCAGGAGGTGTGGAGGTGCAGGTTGCAGTGAGCCAAGATCGTGCCACTGCATTCCAGCCTGGGCAACAGAGTGAGACTCCATCTCAAAAAAAAAAAAAAAAAAAGCAGAAAATTCATCTGTAAAAACTGACAACATTAAAAGAACAACAACAATACAAAGAAATTAAAATAATGACTGATGAGTTCAGCAGCCTTGCCTGACAAGGCAACAAGCGAGGAGCTTGCAACTTCAGAACAACCCTTTCTGTAAAACTTTACAGAGCATTTAAATAAAACATAGTGAAGCTTTTTTCACATCATTTGGATTAACAGTACCATCTTTCTCCCTCATTAATGTGGACCCAGCCCTAGAATAAACTGAAAATCATCAACTGAATCATTCTACCTCACCCTGATCACTTTACTCCATAGTTTTCTAATATACGTCCTGCCAAATATTTTTAGGACAAGTCATTTAAAAGTTTTCTAAATGTCTCAAAAATTAGCAATGTGCCAAGAATGAGACCAATTAGGTCATTTATGCTTATCAGAAAAGCAGTTTATTCCTTTGCATAAGTACAGAGAATTCACTGTGCAATTTTAACTTTGCTGTATTAGGATTTTTAAGATGCACGCCTTGTATATTGCTAAACGCGTGGAAAATAAAGTCTGGAAGAATATCCTCCAATCTTTCGACAGTGGTTGTCTCTGGAGTAAAATTAAGGATGACTTTGTATTTCTGCATTGTTCTCTTTACTGCCATTTGAAATTTGTATAATAAGCATTTATTATTTTCCTACTACTAAAAGATAAGTTTTTAGATGAAATAAAATGCATGTTTTACAAAAAGACTAGCCCTTTTGAAAGTACCAAAACGCTTCAACTTAGTAAAAAAAGGGCTGTCACTGAATATGAATTTTAAATATTTAGTGGGGTGGAAAAAACCTTCTGCAGTGGAAAGAGATGATGAGCAAGGCTCCTGGTTAGAAAAGGATAGACTTTTTGGCTCCCACTGGGTGGTTTTGAGCATCTCAACTCACCTTTCAAAGGCTAACCAACCAGGTGATAGCAAATACTACACTGCGCATGTTTGTGGAGAACAGAGTCCAGACCTCCAAGGCTGGCCTAGAAACATTCTCCCTAGCAAAGACTTAAGTCTCCGTTTCACAAACTGAATCAGTGCTTTTCATGATTCCAAAGGACTCCCGTTCGACTTTTTTTTCCCCTTTCGTCATTCAACTTGGAAACATTCCTTTTTGTGGATTTTCATGAACTCCAGCCCAACACCAGGTGCAAATTGAAAAAATCCCACTGGCCAAATTTAGCATAGGGAGGCCTACTGTTCTTTCAACAGAGCCTTTCTTTCAGGCCAGGAGTTCAGATCTTAGCCCCTGGGCACACAAGTCAGGGGTTTTGCTTTCATCCACAACCATCACTCATGAAAAACTCCTTCTCGACGGTGCCTGCCTCTCCAGACCCCCCAGCCTAGAGGCTCAGATGCATGTGCCTGTGTGAATCTGGGGATTTGTAGGAGAGGAAAGCCAGAGAGATTCCTCATTGATCTTGACCTATAAATATTCAACTGTCCCCAGATCAGACATGTAATTTTCCACACACTGCAGTTTCTGTGTGGTCGCCATTATCATTTAGCAAATACAGTTGGCCCTCCATATCTGTGTGTTCTGTATTCATGGATTCAACCAACGGCAAATAGAAAATATTTGGGGAGGTAATCCCAGCACTTTGGGAGGCTGAGGCAGGCAGATCAACTGAGGTCAGGAGTTCAAAACCAGCCTGACCAACATGGTGAACCCCTGTCTCTACTAAAAATACAAAAATTAGCCAGGCTTGGTGGCACACACCTGTAGTCTCATCTACTTGGGAGGCTGAGGCACAAGAATCGCTTGAACCCAGGAGGCAGAAGTTGAAGTGAGCTGTGGTCATGCCACTGCACTCCAGCCTGGGCAACAGAGTGTGAGGCTCCATTTCAAAAATAAAATAAGAAAATATATGGGGAAAAAAATTGCATCTGTACTTAACATGTACAGACATATTTTGGTCATTATTCCCTAAATAATACAGTAGAACAACTATTTACATAGCATTTACCTTGTATTAGGTGTTATATGTAATCTAGGGATGATTTAAAGTACATAGGAGGATGTGGTTAGGTTACATGCAAATACTATGCTATTGTACACCAGGGACTTTGAGCATCTGTGGATTTTGGTATCTGCTGGAGTTCTGGAACCAATCTCCCATGGATACTGGGGGATGACTGTACTTTACATTGAGTTGCTCTCCTTGATTTGCAATTAAGAGGCTGTTACATGGCATTCCCCAACTTGGGGCATTCCGCCAATGTCCAAAGAAGAACATGGTGCCTTCAGAAATTCTGGCTGGTTCAAACAGGAATTCAATTCTGGTGTCAAGTCAGTGCTCCACAGAGCTTGTGGCTCAAGCAATAATCTGATTATATTCCATTTTACAAGCATTTATTGAGCATCTAATTTGTGATTTGGTTTGCCATAGATAATTAATCTAAATGCCTGCTATTTAATTGAACTGCTGCCTTCTTATCCTGTGGTGGGATTGCACTACCAGGATTGGTTCTCTACATTTGCTGCTATATTTGTCTTATAAAGGTTTCATCCTCTGCTAATAAGTGTGAAGGACACCCAGCTACTGAAGTTCTAATGTTACAGTTTTCCTGATCTGAATTGATTAGATTTGTCTCTATGGACTTTGTGAATGGCATTCGAACACCCCATCTGAGGTGCAGTTATGGGGGCTTGAAATAATGTTTTCTGGTGTTATCATTGGGCTTGGTCTACCCATTTGACAGCTCACAGAAGCAGTGCAGAGAGCATCTTGGAAGAAAGACACAAAACTATCAGACTATAAACATTACAAAATGTTCTTGATCTACTCTCCAAACTAGGTGTATCAGTCAGTCTTATAGGACATGGATGGTCCACTCATACTGAGCAATTCATGAAACAAATTAGTGACTATTCAGAAAGGCATGGCCAGGGTTTCAGGAAACAAGGGCAGTGAAGTAAGGGCTAGCAGCAACTGAGAACTGCTGCTACCACCAGAGGCCCAAAAAAACATGGAGGGGAGGGTATACCAGAACAAAAGCAGGCAGCTACAGAGGGCTGCCTAAAAGAAATTGTAGCTCCTGGTATAAAGATCTAGACAAACCAAAGCAACTAGAAAGGAAGGGAGACAGCCAGGAAATAAATACCATAACTCTCTCCTTCTCCTTTATGAACTCCTGCTGGTATTTCACATTAGCCGAACCCCACTGGGAGCTGGAGAACAAGAGAGCCAAAAGTCCATATGGACCAGCTCCTGGGGCACAGAGGAGGACGTAGAAGGGTGAAGAATGAACCTGCAGAGACAAACAAAGACACCTGGCATATCGAGTTTTTGTAAGGGAAGTGAGGACACAACAAAGCGTGCAATAAATGTATTCTTTCTGGAAGCTAAACACAAATGTATAATTAGAGATTTGATGCTTGAGCTGATTCTAGCACAGGTAAAAGTCTGATATAGATGGAAGGGGAAGACATTGTGGGCTGAAAAAGGCTATAGGGAAAAGAGCTTTAGAAAACAGCTATGTGGCCAGAGCCAGGGGCGTAAATAGCAGCGGCAAGAGAGCAGCCTGTAGAGACAGAGGGGTTGGGCTGTGAAATCCCCATATGCCAGGTGAAGGCATGCAAGCGTCTGATGGACGTAGCTTCAGATCCACATTTTACAGAAAGTCTATCAGCTCCCTAGAGACAGGATTAATGATGATATGGAGCTTCAAACCCCTTTCCAGAAACAGGTAGGACAAAGAAACTAGGTAATCAACATAAATAAAATAATTCTTCTTGACCATGATAGTCCCAAAGCCTTTGGTTTTGGTCACATCTGAGAAGGAGTCAGTACAATCATCTCCCTTTATAACCTAGACAGTGATTATGCTTAATTATCTTCACAAGATCGTCTTCCTCTATGTTCTTTGTATCCTTTCACAGAATCTATGGACATTCTTTGGCTGCATCTGGAACATACTGAACATATTGCATAGGAGCGCCAAGTTCATTTTTGTCTTAAACTTCTAAGGAGCCTTCCTTGGCATGAGAAGACTGACTCTTCTGCTGAACTCCTACACCACTTTAAATAGCTGCCACATTACTTCACATGCAATTATGTACACATTGTAATTTTCTCTGAGTTTGTTGTTAATTTTGATTAATTAGATTTCAACCTCCTTGAATGCACCATGCCTAATCCTGCGGTGTGCTCCTCACCACCACCTCCAGTGCTAAACATGCTCTGAACACAGACAGTATTTGTTTCTTCAATAGCAGGTAGTCACTCTCTACCCAGGAACCAATTTGTGCTTTGGAAGGAGAATTTCCTTACAACTCACTGGAGTGTCTTTCTATAAAATAGCCTATGCCTTTAAGCATCCATGGTTCATACTTTCTGAGCCCACAACAAGTATTTATTCAATCAGAAAAAAAGTATATTGAGCACTTACAGTACACAAGAGCTAGCAGATAGTTAAATAAATATGATTATTTGGAACGTAAAAGAAGAAATTTTGAGCTAATGCATTAGTCACTAAAAATGGACTACTGTGTTACCCTTTGCAGATCATATTTACCATTTTGCAGAGTCCTACAAAGCCTATTCAAAGATTAAATACTGTAGGAGTGTTAAACACTATAGCAGGACTCACAAGGGAAGTATTTTTGGTTAGGGAAGTCCTTTAGCATTTGTCATCTTATACCAATGACAGCATGTCAGAAGCCTGGATTTGGGAGCACAAGCTCCTACTCTTCTTTCAAAGCCTTGCAGAACTGTGGAGCTCTCTGGAGGCCTCTCCACAGAGTCCCAGGGAGTCATTCCAAGCTAGTTATTCCTACAGCAAGTGTTTCTTAAAATGCTGTTCTCATTCCTATTCTTTAGAATAATCTGGGTGATCTTGTTAAGCCTGCACTCCATCACAGATCTGCTAAGTCAGAGTCTTTGGACATATGGCCCTGGGGTATTCCATTTCTAACCCACTCCTTAGTTGATTCTTACACACACTGACGTTTGAGAATTACTGCTATGGCCCTTTGTACCATCATTAGCTTAAATCTTGAAGTTTCATGTACATGTCTTATTATTTCCATTAGACTGAATATCTTGCAAACAGGAGCCATATATGAATAGCCATATTCTCCAAACTGGGTACAATTCCTGGAACATAGTAGATTTTTGCTAAGAGTTCTCACAACTGTAAGAGTTCCCTATATATGACCATATCCAGATGAATATGTTGGTTGAACCCAAACAACATATTCTATTTCTCTATTGCCGTATAACTACTTACCACAGAAACTGGCACAGTGTCACTTCCAATTAATTCCATTGGTCAAACAGTCATAGAGCATGTCCAGATTCAAGGCTTGGGGGACAAAGACCCCACCTCTCATTGAAGGAACATTGAATTTTTGGCCATCTTTAATCTACCACACAGTCCCTGCCAAAGTCTATTAAAAACAGACTGGGTATAATTCTTTAATCTGACTTTATGAGCATTTCAAAGAGGCAAATAAACCAATCATGTTTTGTGGCCTAGGAAATAGAGTTCAGAAGACATGAGACAAGGTATTTAAAAAGAAAGAAAGAAAAATCCAAAGATATTTCTAGTGCCTATGGCCCTTTATAGTTTAGTCCAATTAAATTGGTCACAGGCCTTTTGAACTACATTTGAGTCCCATTGTGGCCTCCAGTAGTTCCTTCCCCAGAAGGTAAATGGACATGTCAATGGTGGTGAATGAAATAATTGATACCCTTTATCAGTTTTAAGACAAGGTCAGAAATTGGAGCTGCGAAAGTTTTAGAAAGTTCTAGGAATAGGCCCAGGGTATTTAGCCCAGGAATCTTCTACTATAGGAATACTCTTAGTTTGCCTTCTTGGGGTTTGCAACTCTGGATGTCTCTTAATTGCAAATTCTTTTCTCTCTCTCTCTCTCTCTCCCCCCCACCCTACACACCCCCTTCTCCCCTCCCTTTTTTTTTTTTTTTTTTTTCTATTCTATCCACATGGCTAAATAAGACACCTGGTCTTTCCCTCACCCATCCAATTCTATGGCCGGACAAAGTACATGGCCTAGAAAATTGACATGAAGTCAACCAAGATGGTAAACTATAAGGTAGTCAAAGTAAAGAACTTTAATTGGTCAACACAGAAACTGAAATAAGTAGTCCTTGTGAAGCTAGGTTAACAAATGGCAATTCAGCTAAAAGCTCTTTTGTTGAGCTTGAGAATTCTTGACTAAGGGGTAGGAGTCATAAAGTGCTTTATGAGTCATGAGAAGGTCAAAGATCACCTTTCAACTTTTCAAACTAGCCCTGGCTACTTATGGTAGCTTTTCTTTTTTCCCTCCACACACCCTCCCCCACCCACCAGTTTCATCGTCTATGTCCACTTCACAGTGTATCTGTAATGAATTTGGATCCATTTCAAAGAATACATAGAAAATCTTCAGCTCCCAAAGCAGGCTGCTCTGTAGGAGGGAAAGAGTAAGGAAAACACCCTAGGGCAGTTCTTTATTTCCAAAAGATTAAAAATAATTAAACATTAAGATATTCAACATGGATTATTGCAGACAGTGATGAATGGCTCTTCTCCCCGTAATGATGCCCTCCTCTAAGCTAATCTTACCCAACCTCATTTCAAAGAAAATGTTGGTTAATGCTTTATTTGTTTCATTCCATGTACTCTTAAGTAAATCAGGGTTATAATTGCCCTGAATTCATAACAACTAACTGCCTCCCTCTTTGCCTTCTTGGAATAACTGAGTGTGAAAGAAAGAAGATATTTTCAGAGGCATTAGTACTTATCTGAGAATTATCTATCTACCCAAGTCAGTAAAGCAAAGGCCAGCCACTATGCCACTGTTGGAAGCCAGAGGTCAAAGCATGAGTATCTCCCAGGCAGTGTGTCTAGCACTGTCTCCACCACAAAATAGGTACTCAAGAAATATTGGCTGCCTGTAGAAGCAATTTGTTTCCTCTTTCAAAGTGGGAAAGTGAATCCTGTTCATAGGGACAAAAACTAAGATAAAGCAGAGGCAATATTTTTGCTACTGCTCCCATAAGAGTACTCAGATTTCAAAGGAGCTTGTACATTTATTCAACAAGTGTTTACTAAGCTCCTACTATGTGCTAGACTCTGGATTCCATTGTTCTAATGGCAGTGGCAGCAAATTGTAAATAAATAATTACTCCATTAGACAGGAGATAGCAGTTTTGTCTCACTTAGATAGTGCTTAGAACATTGAGGTACTCCAGAAATACTGGTTGAATGGATAACAATACTAAAACAACAACAGCTACAGATTATTCAGAGCATGACACCCCCAAAACTCATGACCTTTAGTTTTAATGCAGCAGTCCCTTGGAAGCCCAAGGCATTTTGAAGGAATGGTAGGTATTCTTGGGTCATTTACTTTCAACTGTAGAAATGTAACAAAAGCAAGAATTTTAGCCCTACGTCTTTCTTTCTCTTAAGGTGGTCATGCAGAGAACTTTTTGCACTGGGAAAGTCAGGAGGTTCATTTGAAAGATGACAATTTACCAAAACCATGTAGAGGTTTTCCTAAGTTCATGATAAATTTCATTTGAAATAAACCTTGATCTTTGATTTAATGATGAGATTGACATTAAATTGAGCAACTTTCACTGCATATTTTATGCTATTTCCCTAACTTATCAGCTTCCAATTTGAATTTCCCAGCATGAAGAAACAGGTTTTATTCCATATCCCCGCCAGTGGAGCTGCAAAAATAGGGGTTCATCCTTAATCAAATCCACTTGGTTACATCTTCCTTTATTCACTCAAGCTAGAAGTTTTCCATTTGGGTAACTGTGATTCCCCTTTCTAACTTGTAGGAATGGAAAAAGCCCTTGCAATGATGGGCTGAATGGCCACAGTGTATGTAAGTTAAAACACACACACACACACACACACACACACACACACACACACAAACAAAATTCTATCCTGTTCAGTTGCTGTCAAAAAGCAACTAAATGCAGGCTGTATGTAAGTTGGAGCTGGGCCCCTGAGCATCCTGTCCGGAAATATAACTCCCTGACCCTCTGACTAAAGTTCCTGTCCCTACATAAGCAAGAAGCTGATCCTACAACCCAAGGAACACTCTGAGGAGCAAAAGAAAGATCTACTCCAACAGCTATAGCAAAGACTCTCATGGAACTGTCTTCTTAATAACTAAGAAGCACTAGGCCAAGTGTCTGTTGAGAATATTATCAGTACTTTCATTGATCACACAAACCAGATTTCATAAAGGATCAAGCTTCTATAAAAAGTAATCTTTGTATGTCTACGCAAGTGCCTACTTTATTGGCTGCTACCAGTGCTTACCCAATTTTTGGAATTCAGTAGGTGGGTCAATAAGGGAAAATGAACACTTCTGTAACAAACAACCCCAAACTGCAATGGCTTAACATAATCAATGTTTAATTCCCACTCATGCCACTGTCTATGAAGGTTGGATGACTCTCCTGAGTAGTTCTTCTCCATCTGATGACTCAGGGATCCAGGCTCTGGATACTGTAGGAGTGTTAAACTCCTGTGTCACTATCATTCCAGCATATGAACTCCTTATCTACATGGAAGGAGAAGAAAGACCAAAGAAAATTACCTAGAGAAATTTATGTGAGGCTTGGAAGTAGCATATATCACTTTTTGTCCCCATTGGCCAGTACCCAGCAAATATCTCCAACCTAACTGCAAGGAAGGGTAGGAAATTTAGATTTCCAGTGTGCCTAGCAAGATGAAAGGAATTGGTGGGCATTTCCCTAGTCTCTGCAATCAGGTTTATGCCTTAAATAACAGTACATGGAGGCCAGGCATGGTGGCTCACACCTGTAATCCCAGCACTTTGTGAGGCCAAGGTGGGCGGATCACTTGAGGCCAGCAGTTCAAGACCAGCCTGGCCAACATGGTGAAATCCCCTCTCTACTAAAAATTTTAAAATTAGCCGGGCGGGGTGGTGCATGCCTGTAATCCCGGCTACTCGGGAGGCTGAGGCAGGAGAATCACTTGAACCTGGGAGGCAGAGGTTGCAGTGAGCCAAGATTGCCCCACTGCAATCCAGCCTGGGAGAGAGCAAGATTCTGCCTCAAACAAACAAATAAACAAACGAGTATATGGAATAGCAGAAACAGAAAGATTGTAACATGTTAAAGAAAAGATCATATTATGTAATGTTTCCTGTAGTATACTAGCAAAAGAATAAAAAATAAACAAGAGGAAGGGTAGTTTAGTGGTTAGGAGTATGCATTCAGGAATCACCCTGACTCAGTTCATATCATGGCTCTACTACTTATTAGACATGTGATGTTGGGTAAATTGTCCCATTTATTTTTGTGTCAGATTTATCTGTGAAATGGAGATAATAGAATCTACCTCATAGGAACTTATTATAAGGATTCCATAAAATAAAATCTTTGAAGCACTGGTACTCTGGAGGTAGAAAGAGAGGGCACTAAAGGGGTTTTGGAAGGACCCAGCCTCTGGGATGACATGAAATAGGAGGTGCTAGTACACACATGGCAGGGGAAGGGGGTATTAGGAAAGCATCCTCAACTTGGACCAGGAATTCCCTGGATTTCCAATAACACAGCACTGCCAAGTCAACAATGTCAACTCAACTTGTAAAATATGAAATTGCTTTCTTCAGAAGCAAGCAGAAGTGCACTCTTGTATGGATGCAGTAAAGTCTCATGCCCCTCAAGGACAGGGAGAAAATTGAATCTCAGAACTACTGAACCTAGAGACTAGAGCCCATTAGGGAACCAGAGAGTCTCTTCTTTCCTTCTCCTATCTTTGCTTCTCTCTTCACATTTGATTCATATTTTTTTTTCCTTTCTGCAACTGACCTTCTTTGCTTTGTCATGGTAGAAAATGGTCACTACCAATATTTACATCTATTTTATAAAGGAGGAAAACCAAAACAAACTGGAACTTACACAAATTCCAAGTTCCTGTGGGAGAATCTAATTGGCCCAGCTTGGTCAGGTGCCACCCTGGGTCCATTCAACTTTGGCCAGGCAGGCAGGTTTATGTCCTAGGAACATGACTTATACAGTAATCCTGCATATCAGGACGGGATGTGATATTACTCAAAAGACAGACTGGGTAGACCCTTTCTTCAGGTTTGTGATCACATGTTGTCTTCTGACATCTTTTATGTATTCCATGATTTTTTACCTTAGTTTTTTGAGTGCTTTTATATCTTTTCTCTGCAATTAGGTTATAAATAACTTAAAGAAAAGAACTATGTGCTACAATTTTTCTTTTTCTTTTTCTTTTTTTTTTTTTTTTTTTTGAGATGGAATCTTGCTCTGCAGTGGTGCGATCTCAGCTCACTGCAACCTCCACCTCCCAGGTTCAAGCAATTCTTTTTCCTCAGCCTCCCGAGTAGCTGGGACTGCAGGTGCCCGCCACCACACTCAGCTAAGTTTTGTATTTTTAGTAGAGACAGGGTTTTACCATGTTGGCCAGGATGGTCTCAATCTCTTAACCTCGTGATCTGCCCACCTCGACCTCCCAAACCACTAGAATTACAGGCATGAGCCACCGCACCCAACCGTGCTACAATTTTTCTGTTCCACCTAGTATAATGACCTATACTGGATAGAAAAAAAGTTATTGAATGAATACATGATTGATCCCAGAGGAGTGACTTGCCAACTCGACAGCTTTAAGGGTTAGTGTAATACCTATGGATGTCTAACTTCCTTAAGGAAAGTGGTGGTGTCATAAAGAGATGGGGCAGAAGATAATCTCATGATTCCCAGCTGATTTTTTTAGCCCTCCTTGCAAATGACTGTTTTGAGTCTCTAAAAACTACTAACTACTGCCACTACTAATTACTTTTGCTCATCAGTCCTTGATGTTGGCAACTTCACTGAATACTTTGACACTTACTTCTTCTTGTCATCCCTCACTCCTAAAACTGAACTTCAACTGTAAACTATAAAAAGAATATTTT
Source organism: Homo sapiens (assembly GCF_000001405.40). NCBI lineage: Eukaryota > Metazoa > Chordata > Mammalia > Primates > Hominidae > Homo > Homo sapiens. The sequence goes on from NC_000005.10 coordinate 68,510,779, forward strand.
TTACCTGCATGTCACCATTATGGATACATGTAGTAATAAAACTTACTGCTCACTTAGTGCATTTGTTGCTATAGCACTCAATTCCTATCTCTTCAATTCTCCTTGCTGCTAATTCATTCATTCACTCACTCATTAACTATCCGAGCATCTCCCATGCACACTGGGTATTCAGCAGTGGTTAAACCCATTGCCTCCCTCAAGGAGCTTACAATTAGGAGAAGCAAACAAGTCAGCAGGCAGTTACTGAGAAAGTTAATATCCACCTTTTCCACATTTGTGGTTCTGCAGACATCATCTGGGAAATGAAGAAATTTACAAAAAAAAAAAAAAAAATCCCTTCCTTCCATAGCGTCTAAGTAAAGAGAATCATTTGGAAGGCTACAAGTATGTCATGGTAAAAATGTGTACCTAATTTAACGAATGCAATTTTATGCATTCTCTATTTGTGGTAACCACAGTCTATATTCCTTTCCATCTGTTTTCAAGTTGAAGTGTGACCACTGCTAAAGTGAAGGCCCACTTCTTTTTTGTTCTTTCTAGTCTTTTTCCTCCATTTGATTTACTCTCATTGACCCAGAGTTCACTTCCGAAAGGGCGTATTAATGAAAGTGGGCTCCCCATAGGACTAGGGAGCGGTAAGCATGGCAAGGAGAGATAACAGCAGTCTTAGAGGTCAGCAAAAGAGGGATGTACAATTAATTCCACTCCCTTCCCTCATTACAGTGAAAAGTCTGAACACCTTGGAGAATACCACTTGTGGAGGAGAGAAGCTGGCCCTTTACCTTGGCTATTAGCACTTATTCCTATACCATCATCGAGAGAAAGATAAGTCAGTTACTAATTCTGTCTACTCCCTTCACCCCCAATAATTGACAAGAGATCTCTTTGGAAACTCAACATGATACAGCTAGATTCAGGTGAAAGACAGAGGTAGGTGTCAACCTTTTTCCTGCAAATCTATGCAAATACTCTATTGCCCCATCCCTTCTTTAAAATGTAACTGGAAGACACAACCAACCAACCAACCAACCAAAAAACAATACAACACCCTAAGTGCAAATGGAACAAAGACTCTTGGTGTTAGTTAGATGAAGGATTCCAGTGTGAGGGGTTTTCAAGCTTCTTGCTGGACTTCGAGATCTCCTAGTGCGTATAAGCACAAACTGGTTTTTGCAGTAACTTATGGATCTCAGAAGGCTGTAGAATTAGCAGGCCTTGCGTGAGAATGTTGTTCCATTATTTACTCACAGTAGTCACATAGAAGCCCACAGGAGCTGTCAAGGCCAGCATTAGACTGAGCTTGCAAGCAGAACTGTTCTTTCTTACATCTTGTTCAGAGGCCCTTTCTAAAGAAATCATCACCACATATTTAAAATATGATGGGCTTGGTCTGACTTCATTTTGGGTGGTGCAAAACTTTGTCCATTTTTTTCCAATTTGGGAAAATTATAGTACTGGCATTGCAGTTAACCCTGGGAGGCTCGCTCTTTACTCCCCTCCCACATTTATAGATTGTTCCATTCATACTTAGTTTCCTCTTCCAAAGAAGCATGGATTCATTGTTCCACCATTACACTATTCAGTTTCTGCCAGTTAAGTGGTAACAATTTTCAACTGTTTCAGTGATGGCTCTTTTCTTTTTAACTTCTAGAGCCATATACCACAATTCTGAGGTTGGTCATCATTGGATTACAGCTGGGATTTGTCTGGTCTAGACTTAGGTGTCAAATACATGGAGAAAAAAGAGCAGCAACAGCCAAGGGCATTCATGACATCTTTGTACACTTCTAAACCTCAGTAATTTAGGTTGTAACCCTGTTAGAAATAATCTGCAAGTGGTTTTCAGAAAAATATTTATTAAATTTTAAACAACTACATTTGTTAAGTTTAAGACAAGCATACATGATGTGCTTTTTTTCCCCAGAATCTATGACAAATAACAAAGGATGCCATAGATGACAAGGTAAACCTCTGTCCTATCATTAGCAAGACTGAAGTCCATATCAGTTGTGAGAAAAGAATGTAATTTGCATTTAAGTGCCATTTATAACTTGTTTCTTTCATACTTGCAGCCTAAGTTGCAGAACTTTGAAGGTTAAATGTTTAAAAGCTGCTCAAGTATTTTATAACATCTGAATTTTAGGAGAGTATGCACTTTTTTCACAGTTATGTTTAAGATATCACTTTAAAAAAAAAAGGACTTGTAAAAGGAGTTCTTCATATACCCCAGGTAAGGTAAAAGTCATTTAATGGCTGGGGACACTGAGTCAGAGGTCTCAGTGGACAATTCTCTCTGCTTTCCTTTGAGACTCTGTTTCTGGCATTGTCCTGGCCTTCCCAGCATCTCTACTATCAAGCCTGGGGACAAGCCCTACAATTCAGGAATTAGCTTTTTGGCCAGCAAACACCTAGATCTATTCCATACACCATCTGGACCTCAGTTGAACAGCATTTGGGGGGAGCTTTTGAAAATGGGAAACGAATGTTGCTTTGTCTGTTCTAAGTCAAAGAACTGAAGAGACCAGGTGCAATGTCTCATGCCTGTAACCCCAGCACTTTGGGAGGCCGGGGCGGGGAGATCACGAGGTCAGGAGATCAAGACTATCCTGGCTAACATAGTGAAATCCCATTTCCTACTAAAAATACAAAAAATTAGCTGGTTGTGGTGGCACGCATCTGTAGTCCCAGCTAGTCGGGAGGCCTAGGCAGGAGAATCGCTTGAACCCGAGAGGCGGAGGTCACAGTGAGCCGAGATCACTCCACTGCACTCCAGCCTCTGTGACAGAGCAAGACGCCATCTCAAAAAAAACAAACAAACAAAAAAAAAACCTGAAGAGGCCACCTTCAGCAAAGGCTAACAGTCTCCCTGCAGGAATGATGCACCCTAACCCCAGGGGGTATTTACACTTCAATGCTGCCTGGATCTCCTGCCCGAGGTATAGATGAGGATACAACCACATCCCAGCTCACTCTATAGGTCCCTGAATTCTCTTTTGAGTGGTTCCTCATATACTCAGTGACTGATATTAGACAGACATGAGTTCTAATTGCAACTCTACCACTTACCAGCTGTGTGACCTTATGCAGGTCACTTCTTTCTGAGCCTCTGTTCCCTCATCTGTAAATGAGGATGATAATAATGGCACTTAACTCTTGGAGTTATTGCGAGGATTATTGAGATGATACATGCAAAGTACTTTGTACAGCATCTAGCATACAATAAAAGCCCAACAACCATCAGCAGTTATTATAGTAATCAATATGCATCTGGGAAAGAGTCCATTTGCTTTGCAGGAGAAATCATTAAAGTCATAGATTCCCTCATTTTGACACAAAACACCTAGGGATGTTGTGAATGGCAAAGTATTTGTCAGGACTAAAGTTCGCTTCTTTGATTGATTCCTGATCTGAGAAACAAACACTCAGTGCACGTTGGGTTGGAATATTGCAGCTTTCTGATTCAAAGCAAAAGTCCTCAAAATCAAGGTAGCTCAGAAATCTAATAATTCTCTCCCGTGAGACCCTCATCAGTTCTTCCTCTGAAAGGGCTCTTGACTCCATTCCTTCACCTTCCTCACTGCCTTCATAGAAATGTGATGACCTCTTCCTCATCTCCTTGACTGACAGACAGCTCTACGTCCAGGCAGCTGAGATAGAAAATACTCAATGGACTCAAGATATAGTAATTTGAAAATCCACATTTAAAATTTTTCATTGCTAAGATTTTTTTTTTTTTTGGTCAAAATATTTACTGCATCTGTTATTTCAAATAACTGTAAAGGAGGAAAGAGATTTGTGTGTTTGTCAAAAGATGGGAGAGTAGGTTAAGAAAGGACTAGAAGCTCTGCCTTAGCAGGGCACACAGGGCTACTACTAAACTGCCTTGTCAGGCTCACCTGTTGAAACTCCCTCTACATAGCCCATCATCAGCCTCGCTGAATTATAAATTGCGTGGCCTAGCCCTGCTCTTTTCATCCTTTCTGTCTTTACAAGCTTAGTTGCAACTATCTCTGGAATGATCTGCCTTTAGCCCCCTATCCAATTATAAAGCCTCAATTCAAATATCATCTCACAAGAGGAATAAATTTGTAGAGAGAAGAATCTGGGTTTGAATCCTGGCTCTGCTTTTTCCTGGTTCTTTGACCTTGAGCAATAACATTCAGTTTTCTCATCTGTATGGAGTCCTAAGAGCTCAAGCTCCACGTTGCTGGGAGTAAAAATCTAAGCACTTAACATAAATCTCTGACTTGATTGCCTTCACCCTGTCCCTCTCCAAATCAGTTTAGGGGCTATTTAGTTTGTTGCTGTTGTTGTTGTTGTTGTTGTTGTTGTTGTTTCCAACAGATTCTCCCTCTGCAACTATTGTTGGGAACTTCTAAGGGAGATTGTTGAACAGACTCTAGGTCCGGACCCAGCTGGTCCACAAAGTTCACTTGGAGGCTGAGATCTTGCCCTTATTGTTACTGCTACCATTATTTCAGTCACCTGAAAGCAACTGACTTTTCATTGCCAGTTAGAGCAACTGTCTGCCAGTCAGGAGAAAATTCCACCACCATCCTTGCTGCCATCTGGTTCCTCCATGCTCAGGCCTTTGGGCAATATCATCACTGTTTCTTAACAGTTATTTTTGAAACAAAATAGAAAGCTCTCATCTTTTGGTCTGTGAAGGATTGCCTCCAAACAATGCTTATTGAGCTTCAAAGTTTTGCAGCTTTTCTTGTTCTCCAGATTGTGGTTGATTATAAATACAGAGTACACCTGTATGCAAAAACCCCACGTACTCTCTAAGCCTTACACCTTGGTCAAATTTTAACTGAGTCAACTCAGTGGGCCAGACACCTGTTCCCCTTTTGGCAGGTTTCCTCCTAAGGGCTCTCCAACTGTTCCCACCTGAGAGTTCATTGTTCCCACCTGAGTTTAAGTTCTTCTTACATCTGAGCACTTCAGGGCCTCCTCTGCAAATCAGCATATGCGAATAGTTGCTTGGGGGTTGCAGGGACGGTATTTTGTTTCCTCTCAACATCAAGCATCACCTACCATCAAGTGAGAATCTATGTAACATGTAAAACTATGGTAATAATGCGTACCTAATGAGGGTCTGGGAATGAAAAATTAGATTATATTAAGTGAGGTAACATATTCAAAGTGCCTCGTGCAGTCGCTGGTACGAATTATAGCTTATGTATTATATAGTACATATTATAGTGCATTCGCTAGTACATATTATAGTTTATTCTTGGGCAGATCCAAACAACCAGTTTCCTGAACTTCACAGTGAAAGATCTCCCTTCTCTGTGTTTTCACAGGAATTAGTAGGTTTCTCTCTCTGGCCCTGATCATATTGTGTGTAACGTATCTCTCTCTGTGTTACGGAGGCCCATGTCCTCTCATTTCTGTATTCTTACCACTCTCCCTACCATTGGCTGAGCACAGTGCCTGGTATATCACAGCCCCTTAGAAACTCTGGAGTGAATGAGTTAAGAGAAAAGGTCAAAAACAACTAAATTCCAATTTTTCTTAGAAAATAACAATGTCAGCACATCTTTAGAAGCCTGTGCGTTCTTTCCCAGCTACCTTGTAAGTGATTCCAGGTGAAGGTGTTTAATTATTTTTGAGTCTCTATTACTAAGCCCCAGCGTCCTATACAAGGTACACTCAATGGCTGTTTGTTGTTGATGATAATTAAATTAATGCTTCCTCAACTGTCTAACCCATGACACCATTCTAGGCATTATCATTAACCTAAATCCCTAAACACCTAGCTCTCAAATAAACAAACACAAATGTCTGCAGCACCTTATTGCTGACCCCACCAAATGGCAGTGCAGAATATGTGGACCTGTTGTCTGGCTTGCAGGTGAATCTCCTCTCCCACTGGTTCCCCAGGGAACTGTGTTAGCCCAGCGCCTGAAGGAGGCTTCGGTTCCCAACTTAACCCCCGATGACATGAGTGCTTTCAACATGGGAATCCAGACAGCCATATGCAACCAGTGGCTACATGAGAACTTGAGAGGCACCCAGCCAGTGCGTCCCACACCTGGATCAGCAGGATCGCCTGGGAAGTGTACTAAAACAAACTTAGACTCTCTCCCCCACCTCTTCCCCCTAGGCTTTAATTCAGTAGTCAGAACATGGGCCCAGGAGTCTGCTTTTTTTTTTTTTTTTTTTTTTTGAGATGGAGTCTTGCTCTGTTGCTCAGGCTGGAGTGCAGTAGTACGATCTCGGCTCACTGCAAACTCTGCCTCCCAGGTTCAAGCGATTCTCCTGCCTCAGCCTCCTGAGTACGGGGATTACAGGTGTGTGCCACCATGCCTGGCTAATTTTTGAATTTTTAGTAGAGACGGGGTTTTGCCATGTTGGCCAGGCTGGTTTGAAACTCCTGACCTCAAGTGACCCGCCCGCCTCAGCTTCCCAAATTGCCGGGATTACAGGCGTGAGCCACTGTACCCAGCTGAGTGTGCCTTTTCAAAAACTCCCCAGGTAGTTCTGATACAGATCAGAATCTAGTGGGTAGACTGGCCTTTGGAAACTTTGACCTGGGTCATCCATCAGGGCTCAGTTAAGACTTTTCTAAAGGGATTGGTCTATTGTGTTACAGGGGATATGGAACCAAGGAAGGGGGAAGGACACCCAAGGGAGTGGTGGGGCAGCATTCTTAGGAATGGGATCTGTTGGTGGAAGGGGGATATGATAGGCAGAGATGAGTAGGGTTGAGGGACACAGAAGATGAAGGTGAGAGCATACCCCTTACCACTGAATTCAGGAAACTCGGGAGCAATGTGAGGTATGACGTGAATAATGACGGAAAAGGTGACTGCAGAAACAAGGCTTTGAGGAGAAAGGATGGGGTGGGGGCAGGCAGGAAGTCTGAGGAAGCTACACGGCAATTCAGGAAAGGCTGCTGCGGAGGGTCAGCCCTGGGGATTTCCAGTGTGCATGGCAGGAGGGACTTCCGAGCCAGGGTAAGTGGTTCCTGCCTGAATACACGGAGATGGGGTCCTGGCTGGGTGCTTTCTTGTTTCAATAGGAAAGTTGTGACTGTCACCGGGAGACAGAATAAGTGAGGTGGCACAGGTGCAGTATTGGCCACCTTGGACACTTCACTCTGAGAGCGCAGGAATAGTTTGAGTTAATTTAAAGAAAAGCAAAATAAGAGAATGCGACTCAGAATGATCTATTAACAGGAAAGAAATTTGATGCTGATGGATGTTTGCCATGGTTTCGTTAGATGTTTTTACAGAAGTGGAGGAAAAAATACCAAAGCCAAATTGTACCTAGGCCTTTGATTCTGCACAGAGGCCTAGGGGTGAAGCCCTGAAGGTATTGGCCATGCCAGATGGGTGTTCCCCAAATGGGGCAAAAAGCAAGGACTCAGGTGTGGGCAAAAGCAGTCCCCTGACACAATGGAGTCTTCATGGGGATGGGCAAAGCTCAGCCGCAGGCTGTAGAGAAGACACAAAGGAGCTGGGAATATTTCTAGAGAGAGGAAGAAGACTCATGACATTCTACTCCAAACTCTGTGCTGGTCCACTGGACCGCGCAGCCCCTCTTTGACCTCTTGGCAGGGCATGTGGGAACCTCTGGGTGTCTGTGTGCCCTGCCCAGGCCATGAGGAATTGGGGATGCCACAGCAGGCCCTTCAGCATGAGCCCACCAATAGCCTCAGTCCCAAAATGCACTGGGTGTGGCACTGAACCGAATGGGGACTTCCCTAGAGACTTAGAGCCACCCACAGCCATGCTGCTAGAAGGAGGCCACTAACCCTGATAACCTCCAGGTTGCTTTTACCAAACTGAATGCTTCACAGCTCCCCCATCCCAAACACCCTTTGGGGTTTGGTCCTGAGGTAACACTGGTTACCTCCTCCTTTCTTTCCTTCTAACAGAACCCCGATTTTATTGAGGTATTTCCCCACTGTTTAACACAGCCCATGTACCTGGAAAAATCTGACCTTACTCCCAGCCCCAGGAGTGGCTGGGTATAAGAAAAGTCTTATTTTCCTTGTCTTTTTGTTCAGGAATGGCCATGTGACCTAATTCCAGCCAGAGACACATGAGGGGAAATCATCTGAGTAATTTTGGAGAAACTTGCCTCTCCTCCAAGAAAGATCTGCAGAAAGGCATATTCTCCCTCCTTCCTCTGCAGCATTGCCACGTCTGGTATATTTCCAGAACTTCTGTAGCCATCTTGCTACCGGCATGAGGATGAAGCCAACATTAAAAGTGGGAGAAAGGAAAGATAGTAAGAGGATGAGTCTTCTAAGATATTGCTGAGCAATTGAATCAACTAACTCTGAAGTCCACTCCACCCCTGGATTTTCAATTTACCTGAAATAATACACTTCTTTGTTGTTTAAATCAAGCCAGAGTTTCTTCTACTTGTAGCTAAAAGTGTTCTAATTGTTAAAATTCCCAACAGGAAGGCAAAGCATCTGAACAGATCTTTTTCATTCATTTCCCCAAACCCTCAAAGAATAGAAGAGTGGTTTCCACTTGCTATTTCAGTCTCTTAGGGGTTCCTCCTATCATACCCTCCTCCCTCCTGAATTGGAGTTTGTTCCTCTTTGTATCTCCAGTACGTGCACCATGGTTAGGCCTTCTGTTTAGTTGATGTAAATCCGAAAGGAAGAAGTTGTTTGATGCTGCGTAATACAGGAAAGGGAAGCAGAGGGAAGGAAAGATTGTGGATGACAACTCTACACAATCAAAGATGAGAATTGTGCACAACTCAAGATGCTGAATGTGAGGGAGAGCCATGGCACACATTCCACAGTGAAAATCCAAGGCACCTTTCAAACCTAATGTCTCAAAATCCAAGGCACCTTTCAAACCTAATGTCCCAGTGTTTTTTGGGATTCTTCCTATGAAGCTATGCTGTCCTATACGGTAGCCACCAGCAATTAGCCACTTGTCCCAGCCACTAGCCATAGATGGCTATTTACATTTGAAATTAAAATTAAATAAAACTTAAAATTTAGTTCTGCAGTCACACTAGCCATACTTCAATTCTCAGGAGCCACAGGTAGCTACCATATTGGACAGGATAGATAAAGAACATTTCTATTGCTGCATGAAGTTTATTGGGCAGCACTGTTACAGAGGCACCTCTTTATTCAAAGAGAAATGATAACTAGAGAACCAATCCCAGGCTTAGGAATCATAAGAGATGAATGTATAGTGGCAAGGACACAATTTCATAGTGAGTCCTGGGTTTGAGTCCTGGCTTTTCCACTTATGTAAATTCTACGAACCTTAGTTTCTTTATAAAGTGAGGAAAATAAATTGTATTTATTTTGGAGGAGTATTCTGAGGACTACAGTGATATATATGAAATACTTAAGGAAGATTCTTATCACATTGTAGATGCTCAATGGCATTAAGTGCTATCCCTGGTTTCCTGCCTTGGGGATGAGTTATGCAAAATTTTGCTTTGTCCATACAATCTTCCATACCTATGATAGTCTACGTGTGGTTCAGACTTGTAACTTCAGCATCACCTGGGAATTAGAAAAGCAGGATCTCAGACTCCACCCCAAAGCTATTAAAGCAGAATTTACATTTTAACAAGACCCCAGGTGATTTGTATGCACATTACAGGTTGAGGAGCACTTATTTATTCAACATGATGATCAAAAATTCAAAATAAGTAAACTATGTGACCTACCAAAAATGATTTTGATAGTGGACTATGGAATTCTAACCATATCTGAGATGCCTCAGTTTGAAGACAGTGGCTGAGCCTGGCAATGATGGGACCTGGGTCAAGAAGGAGCACCAGGACGGAGACCTCTTCCGTCATTCCAGCAAGATAACTCCACAAGAAGCAGAAGCTCTCGCCTCCCTGGATGGGGGAATCTGGTGCATCCCCAAATCCTCCCAGGAGGTAAGCCATTGCTGCATAGCAAATTACCCCCAAAAGTTAATGACTTAAACAATAATAAGTTCCTTTAGTAAGAAATCCAGACAGGGCACTGGACCTGAGTCCTCAGCTGGAGGACTTGCAGGTTGAGGGCTGGAATTATCTGAAGACTCATTTAATCGCATGTGTGGCCATTGATGCTTGCTGTCATTTGGGGGCCTACTTAAGACTGCCAGCTGGAACACCCACCCATGGCCTCCCCTTGTGGCCTAGCCTTCCTCAGATCATGGTGATTGGGCTCCAAGGACAAGCGTTGAGAGAGGGAGAAAGAAAGAGAGAGAGAAAAGGGGAGAGAGGGAGAATGGAGAGAGATAAGAAAGGGAGAGATAAAAGGAGGGAGGATTAGAGAGAGAGAGCCATATTGCATTCCATGACCTAGCTTTGGCAGTCATGCAGAATCATTTCTTCCATCTTCCATTGGCCAAGATAGTTACAAAGTTTTGCTTAGGTTGAGAAGAAGGAAACATAGACCCAACCTCTCAATAAAGGTAGGTCAACGTCACATTGTAAGAACATTATGTGGAAAGAGATATTTTTGTGATGGCCATATAATTGTGGCCACCTTTCAAATCTACCATACAAATATTCTTTTGAGTTCGAGTTATTCCAGATCCGAAGTTGCTACTCCCACCACCATCACTATTAACAACTTCTTATTTAGTGTCTTCCACATGCAGGGCATCATATTCTGATTCATATTTATATTACAGCAAGACTGCAGGGAATTCATCTTCCTTTGGTGTACCACGTTCTTGGGAATTCTTACAATTTTTTTCCAGGAAAAATAGCTTCAAAGCTAGTTTCACTTTTCATTCTATCTTGTTCTTTTGCATTATTTCATTACAGTCAAACTCTTTGACTGTGACATCAAAGGACTTTGAGAATAAGTGAATAGGTAAAGATAATGGCTCATTCACTGGTACTAAGTCCCCAGATGGGTTTTTGGTTGCTCAACAGCTTGAGATTCATTGCTAATGGCAAATAAAATAATTACAACAAAATGTGTCCATGCATTACAATTTCTGATTTCTACTTTTGGTAGATATCTAACTACCTTACATTTTCAGACTAAAACATTCCTCTGTGCATTTTCATCTTTATAGTAAAACTTTCTTGGCAAGATTGATCTCAATCTGTTTGGTGGTTCTTATATTAGAGCAGAATCAAGAAAGGGAGAAGAAGAGATATAGTTTTCTACATATGACAGAATAAAAAATACTAGTGTTTGTTTCTCATTAAAAAAAAGTCAGAGGCAAAAACTACAATTGGATCTGGCCTATAGCCACTCATGCTAAATAATGAAGGAAGGGAAGCATAAGGCAACCGGATATAGACTTGGCACAGACTTGTAGGTTTCTAATTTTGTAGAATCTTCTGTGTTCCCTTTCACCAGAAAGTCACATTCTAGTTTTGTGTGGTTAGATGCTTTGCCCCATGATAGTCTTTTCTCCCTACCCACCTCCTAATTGCTGTTAACATCTCAATGTTCTCAATACTTCCTTCTCCCAGAAACTTCACACATGCTAGTTCACTGCATATGTACACAGTCACACACACACACACACAGCTTATACACAGTCATTCACATGCACACACACAATCACTCCTAAGCACATACACATATTCTCATGTTAGCCTAGCACAATCCACTTCCTGACTCTGATCACCTGTGCAACTACTTGGCCATCTCTTCCCTCCCTTGAACACCCCAGCTTCACCCATAAGCAGGAGGAAAACCTTTCATTTTGGGGGACCTATACGATAATAGTGACATTCACATTCAAGACACTCCCAAAACTCACTCAGAGTCCTGGCTTTTCCAGTGTCAGCAGCATATGACTCCACTCCATTCTTTTCGCTAATCAAGATTATCAGGAAGCAATTAAGAGTGAAATCTGCATAAGGTTAACCTTGAATTTGTTTTAGTTTCTCTTTAATTTCACAAAATTCTATAAGTGTTTTGAATCGAATTGTGTTCCTTAGAAAGATATGTTGAAGTCCTAACCCCCCATACCGGGGAATGTGATCTTACTTGGAATTAGAGCCTTTGTAGATGTAATCAAGTTAAGATGAAGTTATTTGGGTAGGCCCTAAACCAGTATGACTGGTCTCCTTATAAGAAGGGGAGAAGACACACAGGCAGGGAAAACGTCACGTTACAATGGAGACAGAGACTAAAGGGATGCAACTACAAGCCACACAAAGGATTGCCAGCCACCGCCAGAAGGCAGGCACCAGCAAGGAAGGATCCCACTCAGTGTTTCTCAGAAGGAACATAGCCCTGATGACATCTTGATTTCAGACTTACAGATTCCAGAACTGTGAGAGAATAAATTTCTACTGTTTTAAGCCACCTAGTTTATGGTACTTTTTTATGGCAGCCCTAGAAAACAACTGGAGTAAGTATAAATATACTCCTCCTAGTGAGCCTCATGACTGATGAGAAATAAAAATGGAATGTTAGCAAGGGCAAGAGTGGAGAGAAATCATGGGGGCCAGGCTGGGCGCCTGACGGCTTGTCCTCTGTCCCTCTAGGCCCCCTGAAGTCTGCAGCGTGCAACTAGTTTAGGGACCATATTTGCTTCAGCTCTTTCAGGAAATGTAAGGTTCAGCTATGACGATCTGTTGCTTATAAAAATATAAATGCTTATGCCTCTGCTCATTTGTGTGTATATTTATTTAAGTCTTAGATATAGCTGTGTATGTTTTGCATGTTTCTTGTTGAACACTAGTCCATAGAATGTTTTCCTGGTTATAGTGAATTTCCTGTTTTTGATGTCAGCATGGCAATTGCTGTAGTTGGTGGTATAGCTTGGGTCTGCTGGTACTACCCCTTTATGTGAATTGGGTGATAAAGATCCATACCAGAAAGAAAAAGACTTCTTGGAAAGACATAGTCAGAGAGCAGAAAAGCAGCTTCCAAATGAGAAAGGATAATGTATATTAAAAGAGAAGGGAACAGAAGAAAGGTCTTATTAATTGTATTCACGTATTTCATATATGTATTGCTGTCTAGTCCTAACAATATCCTTAGGCACAGGTATCATGCCCATTGTGGGGATGAAATTGAGGCTTGGAGAGCTTAATTGGTCTGCTCAGTCACACAGCTAGTAAATGGGAGAGCCAGGATTTCAGTCCAGTTATGCCTGGCTCTTATTCCAATTTGTAGTGGAAACTCAGTAACTATTAGGACACCCTTGAGAAGAGCTGTTCAGACTTATCAGAATCATGGAAGGAAGCTGGATTCTTTGATTACCAACCTGAAGTTGTAAGTAGTCACATCTTTTTACATTGCATATAATGGCAGTCTTACTTTGATACTTAAGAAGGCTACACCAGGATGCATTGTTGACACATTTTTCTATTGAAAACTAAGATTTAGGAAATTACAATGGCAATTTGATCACCTTCTTTCATAATAATAGAACCTAAATTTCTAGCTGGGCTCACGGCCATGTTTCTTGGTTTTCTTTGCAACAAGATGTGTCCATATCACTAATTTCTGACCACTGGGAAATAGAGGGGAGTGTCACGCAGGTTCAGTAACCTTCCTAAAAGAAAGCTGAAGCATACTCTTTGCCCCTTTCCTCGCCAACCCTCCCTTCACTATGTTGCTGGTAACTTGGATGTGATGACTTGAGCTCTAACCCCCTTATTCGATGACAAAGGTCTTGCTCTAAAGATAGCAGAGCAGCAAGTTGAAGAGCCCAAGTCTCTGAGGACTTTGTGAGGACTGGGGTTATTTCAGTCCTGGACTGCCCACCTTCTACTTGCACACAAGAGAAAAATAAACTAACTTGTTTAAGCTACTAGAACTGGGGACTTTGTTACTTGCAGCCAATGCTAATTCTAACTGATACAGGTTTATCACAGAGGCAGTCAGCTAATAGCAGAAGGTAGAACAGGGATTGCCATGTTTGAGCAGCTTCCCATATTATGGTGGCTTCTGTCCCTTAAAACACACACACACACACACAGACTTCTCTGTGTTTTTAGTTGTGTTTTCATAGACTCATCCTCCTCTTCAAAAAGCCTAAAACCCTCAAGTGAAGTATCGGGCACCCAATTCCCATCTTTCGCCAGTGAAGTCAATAATACTTAAGTTTTATGTTTTTCTCCATTCTTTCACTTTATTTTTCTCAGTCACTATTACTTTTACTTGCACATGCTCTAAAATTTGGTTTGTCAAACTCTTCTCTCTCTCTGCTCTTTCAAAGCCTTCATTATGCTCCACATGTTCAGAGACGATATAATGCAATACTCTGCCGCTTACTTTTACCTGCTCCTCATTCTTACTGATGTAAGGCTGATAGATCAGAGGAACAGACCCAAGGGCAAAGGGGAAATGAAATGAAATGCTCTTAAAAACTTACTGGGAAGGTCTGTCTAACCCTACCTGATGTGTCTCTTTGTTACAGCTCTTCATTATCTTTTTTTTTTTTTTTTTTTTTTTTTTTTTTTTTTTTTTTTTGAGACAGAGTCTTGCTCTGTCACCCAGGCTGGAGTGCAGTGGTGTGATCTTGGCTCACTGCAACCTCCACCTCCTGGGTTCAAGCAATTCTTCTGCCTCAGCCTCCCTAGAAGCAATTCTCCTGCCTCAGCCTCCCTAGAAGCTGGATTACAGGCGCACATCACCACACCCAGCTAATTTTTGTATTTTTAGTAGAGATGGGGTTTTACCATGCTGGCCAGGCTGGTCTTGAACTCCTGACCTCAGGTTATCTGCCTGCCTCAGCCTCCCAAAGTGCTGGGGTTACATGCATGAGGCACTGCGCCCAGCTGTTCTGTCATTTTTGATAAGAATATAAGTCCACTGATCAGGAAACCTCCCTACATCTTCCATATGCTGCCAACACCTCATGGGTGTCTAATAAGCAATTAAATAGTCCCAACAATAAGAGAGAAACCCAAATTCTAAAACTCGAATCTTCACAAACCACCATGGCACACGTTTACCTATGTAACAAACCTGTATATCCTACACATGTACCCTGGAATTTTAAAATAAAGAAGCAGGTGAAATTAACATTAATAAAGACTCTATTCAACTCCCCCCCACCAAAAAAAAAAAAAACCCACTAATCTTCATTTATGACGTTGTATAATTCCTCTAAAGCTATTCTTTAATTCATTTGACAGGGGCTGAAGGAAGCTTGTTACTTAAGCAGGAGGTGGCCCAGAGGGAAGAACTAGAGAGATGTTGGGGTGGGGATGATGGTGGAGGATGCATTACACACTCTCAGGGCCACCATTACTACCACCCTGGACTCACACACAACCCACTCTCTACTGTGAACCAAACTCCACACAAACTTCACCTAGAAGCTCCTGAGCAGCTTCCCTGCCTCTGTGAGTTCCATGGCAGTGTGGATGGTGGCACCCACAGCACTTGGTAGGCAAGGAGAGAGGGGATTCTCCAGAGGTCTTCCCCAAGAGGGAACCGCTTCTAAAAGATGGGCCCCAGAACTTCAGAGAGAGAGAAATTTAGACTTTGTAAAGCCAACTCTTCGAGATATGGGAGTGGACAGGGAAAGGAGGTGTTTCCCTAGAATTGTACTATTTCCTAGTTTGGTTTAGTCGGTTCTCCACAGCCCACTCTACATAGCCAGGGGATGCAGAGCCATGTCTGCTCCCTGAGGGTTGCACCTACTGTCATTAACCCCACCCAATTTTCTCACTGAGGAGGTAGTAGAGTGAAGTGAGCCTGTAAGCTGCTGGCTCTTCTTGCTGCTACCTCCAATATGCCCAACAGCAGATGGCCTTCACGGGCCTGTTGCATGACCCCAGGTCCAGCAAACACATTTCCTCTGTGTCATCAAGGTTTGTCTGGAAGATGAGCTCAATAAATTCTTGATGAAATCCGCCAGCCTACTATCAAGATTTGACTGAGACATACTTAACTAGCGTAAACCAACTGCTACTAACAAAAAATTAACTGATGAAAAGTGATGGAAATGAAGGGACTCTGAAGCAACACGAACTAGTGATAGTCAAATAATAGTAATAGCTAATATTTAGTGAGCACTAACTGGGTCAAACATTGTGCTATATGCTTTGTATATTTTAGATAACAGTCCTTTATCTAATATATCTTTTGCAATATTTTTTCCTACTCACGGTTTGTGTTCTCATTCTCTTGTATTTGCAGAGCAAAAGCTTTTAATTTTAATGGAGTTCAGCCTATCAGTTGTTTCTTTCATGGGCGGTGCCTTCAGTGTTGTACCTAAAAAGTCATTGCCAAACCCAAGGTTGTCAGATTTTCTCCTATGTTATCTTCTAGGAGTTTCATAATTGTGTATTTTACATTTAGGTGTATGATCCATTTTGCATTACCTTTGTGAAGATGTAAAGTCTGTGTCTCGATTCTTTTCTGTGTGTGTGCATGGCTGTCCAGTTATTCCAGCACCTTTGTTAAAAGACTGTCTTCTCCATTGTATTGCCTTTGCTCCTTTGTAAAAAATCAATTGATAATTTTTTTTTTTTTTTTTGAGACGGAGTTTCACTGTTGTTGCCCAGGCTGGAGTGCAATGGCGCGATCTCAACTCACTGCAACCTCCGCCTCCCAGGCTCAAGCAATTCTCCTGCTTTAGCCTCCTAAGTAGCTGGGACTACAGGTGCCTATCATCACAACCTGGCTAACTTTTGTATTTTTTTTTAGTAAAGACAAGATTTCACCATATTGGTCAGGCTGGTCTTGAACTCCTGATCTAAGGTGATCCACCTGCCTCAGCCTCCTAACGTGTTGGGATTATAGACGTAAGCCACCGCACCCAGCCAGTTGACAATATTTATATGGGTCTATTTCTGTGCTCTTTATTCTGTGCCATTAATCTATTTATCTGGGTTTGTTTTTTTTTTCCTGCTACTACTCTGTCTTGATTACTGTAGCTTTATAGTAAGGCTTGAAATAAGGTAATTAGGAAATTAGGTAAAGTCAGTCCTCTGATTTTGTTCTTCTAAACTTCAATATTGTGTTGGCTATTCTTGGTGTTTTGCTTCTCCATATACACTTTGGTATCAGTTTGTCGATGTTCACAAAAAAATTTGCTGGGATTTTGCTGTGTCTATAAATCAAGTTGGGAAGAACTAATATTTGACAATACTGTGTCTTCCTACCCATGAACACAAAATATCTCTCCATTTATTTAGTTGTTCTTTGGTTTCTTTCATCAGAATTTTGTATTTTCCCTCATATAGATATTGTATATATTATATTTATACCTATTTCATTTTGGGGAGTGCTAATATACATGGTATAATGTTTTTAATTTCAAATTTAACTTGTTCATTGCTGGTATATAGAAGTGATTGACCACCCTGCAACCTTGCTCTAATTGCTTATTAGTTCTAGGAGGGTTTTTTGTTTGTTTTGTTTGTTTGTTTTGTTTTTGTCAATTCTTTCTGATTTTCTACATCATGTCCTCTGCGAACTGAGAGTTTTATATCTTCCTTCCTAATCTGCGTATCTTTTATTTCCTTTTCTTGTCTTATTGCATTAGCTGGAACTTCCAACATGAACTACTGAGAGAGGACATCCTTATCTGTGCCTAATCTTAGTGGGAGATATTATGCTATATACTTGTATATCTCAGAGCATCCTTACAAAAACCCTGTGAGATAAGAACTATTATAATTCTCATTTTTCATGTGAGGATACTGAAACCCGAGAAGTCATGCCCAAGGTTACATGGCTTGCAGTGGTAGAGGTAAAATTTGAACTCACATATTCTGCCCCCAGAGCCTGGTTTCCTATTCACAGGTTCCAAGGATTAGGACCTAATGTCTTTGGGGGCTATTATTCATCCTATTACAAAGACACAAGTCAGCAAGGGGCCCATGGGGAAACAGTCTCCTGACCAGGTCCCTAGAAACTTATACTATCATCCTAGGGAGACAATGCTGCTAAATAATGGCTCAAATTAGAGTGTTATATGTAAAACTGCTATTTAAATGCAATTTATTAAGGTTGTTAATATATCTAAGGAAATATAGATTTACTCATCATTCAGCGACTTTGCATCATATAATCATGATTTGTTTTTTGCCTTGAGCAAATAATTTGCCCCAAGCATAATTTCAATTTAATTAATGCCATAAAAATGAATGTGAGCATATTTATGGGGAATTAAGTTACAAAATGCTAAATTTAGTATACATTTTCTGAGGCGTGGTTCATTTGTGACTTCCATTCCTATCGTCTTATGTTTGCACAGCTGGTAACTGTAAATTCAACATGAAAACTGTATTTGAAAATCAGCAGACATTTCACTGAGGTTGGGGGTGAATTTGTCACTGCTGAATTCTGTGATGATCTACATTCTTAGTTTGTTGACTTTGAGGGGGTGATAATGGCTATATTACTCACATAGGTGTCTAGTATTGACCCAGCTTGTCATAGTATGAGATACTTGAACCATGTCTAGAAATTTTTTTCTGTTCTAACCACAGAGAGGAACACTGAACTATACCACTTGCTTAAGGAATGGGTATAACCTGGCACTGCGGAGGGGGCCCTCTGAAAGTTTATAGTTCAGCTACAGCTCTGGTTAACCTCAAGCTCAGAGGTCTAGGGAATGTGGAGGCAAAGGATATTACAGAAATCATCAGACAGACCCTCTTTCTGACTATGTTAGTGTTAATGAAGGTTCCAGTTCCCTTCCCTCTCACCCCTTAGCAGCAGTTAGTGCTTGGCACACTTTTTTCTAATGGCCCAGACAAGGGATTTCAGCTGTAAGAGTGGTCATGTGCAAAGACAGAAAAGCCTTACAATGAAAAAGCCTGACTGAGTACCTCCTTCTTGGTTTCTGAAAGGCTCAGAATGGCTTGCAACAGAAAATGGATCTTCAGCAGCTGCCCACAAACAAGGTCACCGACAACAGCAACCAGCTCTCTTCATCAGCCCCTGCCAACCCCACAAAAAGTACATATTCTCCTTCAGAAGGATCCATGAGGCCGCCATTCAATGGCTGACAGAAATGGAAAATCGATTCCAGATTCATCTCTGCTGGGAATTAAGTATATTCCTTGGAAATAATGAGTTATGAGGTCATTGAGGGCTTGTTCTTTTCCTGCTTGCAGAGACATTTTAATTTTAGAAGGAAGAGTGACTAATGAACAGGACATTCTAATTCTGGTGATGTGCTTTTTCCCATTTTAATGTCAGCTGAACCACAAAAATGTTGATATTTCTCTCTTCATTACTCCTCATGGTTCAGGAAGAACATTGTCGCCAAAGGGAAAAAAAACTGGGTAACTCCTGATCCCTCCACCCAGTTTCAAAAGACAAAATAAGGTGCAGCTCTGGTGTCAGCCAGCCTGTTTTCACTGCTCTTAGTGGGGTCATTCTATACACCAGCAGTGTCCCCACAAAACGACATTTTCCACACTTTGTCGATAGTAGTGAGATACAAGGAAGACAATGTCATTCAGAACCCAGGACGTTCAACAAGGTGGACAGAAGTTTGAAATGCAAAAATAAGAAATTCCCTTAGCAAGTCTCTCACCAAGCAGACTCACAGCTCATTCCCTCCCCCAAGTTTATAAGTACCATCTATTGAGTGCCAGCTGTAATTCTGATGTTGTTAAAATCCTGTTTACAGGCATTTTCTCATTTAATACTTGTAACAGCCCTGTGATGTCACACAATTAGTAAATTGCAGAGCTGACATTAGAAATCAGGTAACATAGTCTGTTTTCTTAAACCTTGTGCTCAAATTCAGTGGCTCTCAAACTGAAGCCTGCATCAGAATCACCTAGGGGGCTTGTCAAAACAAGGATTGCTGGGTCCCACCCCAGAATTTCTGATTCTGTAGATCAGGGGCTCAAACTCTGAGAACCATTGCTCTCATGCCTCAGTATGATCACCCACAATCACACTCTTAAAAGGCTACTTATTCAGGGAAGAACTTCAAATACAGAACACTATTCTGACTCCTCCCTTCCCTACTTCCTAAAAGAGAATCTGAGAACACTGACTGATGTGCCCAAGGCCAGGTAGGAAAACAGAAAAAATGGAGAGTTAGAGGTCTGTATTTCTCGTGTAACAATGTCCCAGTTTAGATAAAACTTCTTTACGGTGGCTCAGGACATCCAGGACACACATCCTTAATTGAGGCTCTCTACTTTAAAGTGAATGCCTCCTTCATGTGGGCAGGACTTGATCTTACTGTGGTGGTTCTCTCCACCATCACAGTCCTAGGGCAGGTTCTCAGAATTTAGAATACTTTGCATTTCTGTGTCTCTTGAGAAACGCTGGCCCCACCGTTTCAACCCTACAGTGAACTTAGCCACCAAAACAGCTACGACCTCACTACCTGAGTTTGAGTTTTTCTTTCTCTGTGAGGGTGTGTCTCTCTCTGTCTTTCTCTGTCTCTCCCTGTCTTATGTTATTGCTCACAATTTTCTTATGGATTAGCTAACCATTGGTTGATTCAATAGTAAAGCTGATGCAGTGCAATGAAATGAAATATAGTCATGTGTCACTTAATGATAGGGATACATTCGGAGAAATGCCTCATTGGGTGATTTTGTCATCATGTGAACATCACAGAGTGAATCTACATAAACCTAACCTACTACACACCCAGGCTATATGGTATAGCCTGTTGCTACTGGGCTACATACCTGTATAACATGTTACTGTACAGAATACTATAGGCAATTGTAACACAATGGTAAGTATTTGTGGGTCTGACATGGTTTGGCTCTGTGTCCCCACCCTAATCTCATCTTGAATTGGACTTCCATAATTCCCACATGTTGTGGGAGGGACACATGGGAGGTAATTTGAATCATAGGGGCAGTTTTCCCCATACTGTTCTCGTGATAGTGAATAAGTCTCAAGAGATTTGATGGGTTTATCAGGGGTTTCCGCCTTTGCACCCTTCTCATTTTTCTCTTGCTGCTGCCATGTAAGAAATGGCTTTTGCCTCCCGCCATGATTCTGAGGCCTCCCCAGAGATGTGGAATGATAAATCCAATTAAAACCTCTTTTTCTTCCCAGTCTTGGTTTTATCTTTATCAGCATCACGAAAATGGACTAATACAGTTCTAAATAAACATACCTAAATATAGAAAAGGTGATTGGTTGTGCTATGATGTTACAATGGCTATGATGTCGTTCAGTAGTAGGAATTTTTCAGCTCCATTATCACCTTACAGGACCACCTCATATATGCAGTCTGTCATTGACTGAATGTCATTATGCGGCACATGACTGTACCTGAAATAGACACAACCGGCACTTTGATTACACTGGGCAAGGAGCTAACATGACTCCTCTTCCCCACTCTTCTTCCCTTAATAATAGCCATGTCTTGGACCTTAAACAGCCACTCCTCTCTTCTTTCGCATTCACTTGGGACTGCGAGGACTTTCAGAATGGGGTACAACTACACCCAGTGCTGGAGCAGACTTCTGTGGTTTGCCTGAGCCTCTATAACACAAGGGTTCTCATGCCTCCAACGCCCTCATGGAGCTATTGTGAGGAGCTGTGCTCCTCAAAGAGGAAGTTTGAAGTGACCAAAGCCTACTTTACTGGTAGACCAAGAATTTTTTTGTTTCAATACTGAAAAGTCAGAACATAACAAAAATGGGAAATGAGGCTTCAGGTTCTACCTGTCTATATTGAAAGACTCATAGAAAGTTATTTCTTATTAAGAAATTATAAAACGAACAGGATTGGCCTAAAACAGTAAAGGGAGCCTAACCTTTGTGGTTGAATATTCCTATAATATACCAGGCACTGAGTTAGGGGCTTCAGCTATGCTATTCAATCTAATCATCATCATATCTCCGTGAACTTGGCTTTGCAATTTCAATTTCCATTTCATAGTTGAGGAGGCTGGGGCTAAGAGGTTATGTAATTTGCTTCAGATCTAATTGAGTCAAGGCTGGAACCCAGAATTTTGTTTCTTTTATGGTATATGGCCTTTTTGGAAAGGCACATGGTAAATAAAGATGGCAAAGTGGAGGAGAAAGATAAGCAACTTAGAAAGGAAAATCAAGAAAGGGTGTATGATGGAAAAATAACAAAGGCATTTACATGGATTATAGAACCAGGGCCTTTAAACCCATTAAAAAATAAAACATAAAACATAAAAAAATAAAAAACATAAAAAATAAAACATAAAAAACCCATTAGCCACAAGGAAAAATGTTTAAATGAAGACAGATTTGAGAAAGAATGAGAAACGCATAAAAGGTTTTAGGGTAGATCAGAGCACAACCTAAAGCAGGGTAGGAAAGGAGAATGGGCAACAAACACCTGTCCATGAACACACTATAACAGAGATACTCAGGGACACCTGATCAAGATGATAGAGTATAGGGATGTGGACAAATATAACTCAAATGCAGTATTTCTTTAGTCTTGTTAAAAATGAATGGGAAAAGGAAGTGCAAATAAGCATGAGATTATATAAATGGTAAAAACCTTAGAAATGTGTAAAAGAATTAGAAAAATAAATTGCCAAAAGCAGAGAGAAAGCGGGGAGGGAGGGAGAAGGAGTCGGGGAAAGAGGAAGTAGGGAAGGGGGAAGAGGAGGAGGAGGTGAAAAGAGAGTGAGGAGGGGAGGGGGAAGAGAAGAGGGAAGAGAACAGCAAAACACTGGGGGAGGAACAAAAATGTTTTAAATGTTTCCAAGGAACAAGCATGCAACTATTCTGATATCTGCAGAAATGCTGATTTTATGCTAATAAAGGAAAATACAAATACAACATACCTTTAAAAATTTCAAAATAAAACCACAGAGATGTGTTAAAGTGACAATATCAGGAAGGGGTTCTTCAGAGAAAGGATCTGTATGAATTGAAAAGCTGGGCTCAACTCTCCTTCAAGATACCTGCAATAATGCTGGCAAATTCATCTGCCTTTCCTTCTTCTCTGGCTCATTACTGAGGTGCCGCAAAATGCTGTCACATGCCCAGGCAATAAAGGGTTGGTTGGGAGGCACACCTGCTACCCTTTCTTTTATCGCTGGGAGCAAACAATGCCAGTTAGGATTTATAGCATGTCTGAAAATGCCCCAAACATAGTCACTCTCTTGGAGAACTGTGAGGAGATTCCAGACCTAGATACGGATCCCTCACAGACCCTGTTCCATGCAGCTGTTTTTATGGACTATAGGATAATAATTGAGGTTAATTGCCACTGAAAGACACACACCATATGATCTTTTTACATCCGGTTAGTGAGATGGTTCCAGCCTAGAGAGATGTTCCCAGGGGCACCACAATGATTCGCTCCCACCATTTCCCTGTACCTTACATTTATGGGTTATGCACAAGCTAATGGGGCTAATTGTTACTGCTCCAGAGGAAGTCCCTTTTGCATTTCCCCCACCTCCTGCCTAAATGTCATGTCCATTGTCTTTTTGTGCTTTGGCTTGTACACATTTTGCAGTCCACATATTTTTTTAACTGCTGTTTAAAAAAAAAAAAAAGTTACCACAAGTGGAGTTTGGCAGCCTTGACTGTTGCTCTCTGCTCAAGCGGGATTTTGTTTTTCGAGTCATAGAATAAAATGATTTAAGAAAAAGAATCCTCAGTGTTCAGGCTTTGCCTTCTAGCTTCAAAGCCTTTTACAAGCTGCAATTCATTAAACACAATAATCATTAGAGGCCAGTGGACCGACCTCTGCAGGGAGAGAGGCCAAGCCCCCCCACCCCACCCTCTTTCTCTTTGTGTTCCCAGCCACAGAAAGCAGGAGAGGGGGCGGAATAATGTTGTTCCCACCAGGCGGGCCACCCATGGCCTCCAGCCCAGGCTGCGTTTCTCTCTCCTCCTTGCCAGGGCTCCACGCTCCATTTAGCCATCGGGTACAGGCTCTTCTCTCCTCTGGGCTGCGTTTGTCTGCCTTTCACAAATAGACAGGCTGCCCACATTTTTATTTGCTTTAGATAAATGCAGAGAATTTCCTAACCACAGGGCCAGCCAAGCCTGATATATGCCCCATGGGACAGATTCCTCTCTGCCCAGCTTCTCCAGGCTGAGCCAGGAGGTATCGCACCACTTTGTCACCAAGAGATAAAGCCAGGGCACCCCCACAGCATGCAGAGCCCAGGGAGGGGGTGCACATGGCTGTGGGTCCGTGGTATTGGGGTCACTGGAATGAGAGGTATGTGGGCCACTGAGCTCCCCTGGGTCATTCCACCATTTAGAGTCCCTGTTTCTTTTGCTTTCTGTTCTTCCACACGGACCATACCCAGACCTTTTCTTAGAGACAGGGAGAAAATAATAAAGCACTCCCAAGGCCCAACCATGGCCCATGACGTTTCATATGGCAATGCCGAATTAATTTTTAGAGTTCTTCTTTCTTTCCCTTTCCCTTTGCTCTCCTCTTGTCTGCCTACTAGTTTAAGAAAACAACAAGCATAACATCCCCTTAAAACACTAACGAGTAACTATACTGTAAGGCAGCAGATTTGGCATTTAATAGCTAATCATTTCCTAATGGTACCGACAGCTTTCGGGAGTTTCATCCACAGAACAACCTTAAAAGCAGAAACTTGTGCCAGGATCTTCATGGGCTGGAGTTCCTGTGGGTGAAAGATGTGGAACCACCCCCTACCCCACCACGCCTTCCCCAGCCCCAGGCTTTTTTTCTCTACTGTCTCTACCTCTCACTCCAACCCTCTGCCTTTTCTTGAAGTCTTCCCCCGAGGCGCCTGTTTCCTCTCCCAGCTACTCCTTGATGGCTTTTCTACCAGCTCCAGATCAAATGGATCTCTCTTTCCTTCAGGTTCTTAAAACATCCATACTCAGTGGTGTCAAAATTATAATTTGAAACTTAGAAGGAACCTGAGATGCCAGCCTCTTCATTTATGGAACAGGAAATCCAGTTATTATGAGCTTAAGAGACTTTCTCAGTGTCACACAGCTAGTTTGCGGAAGGGACAAGACAAGAATCTAAGTCTCCTGGCAATGACTTGTCTGCTTACCTCCCTACACAAATGATTGCTAGAGCCAGGGATGTCTGTAGATCACCAAAGGCCATCACTCATGGCACATTTTGTCTCACCCCTGAAAAAAAAAAATGAGGCAAAGTGGTCACTGCTTTCAGCAGAATTCATTCTATTCCATTGTGAACCAGATTTCAGCCTCCAACTGCAACCTGGGGACTATCAATACTTCCTTGCTCTGCGTGTCTCCAGGAAGTTCTGTTACAAGCCCTTGCTGCTCCCTCTCCCCACTTCTCCCAATTTTGCACTACTTCACTGCTCAGGTTGCTAGCTGAGCCCCTCTGGACACAGAGCACTCAAATATGTTAACTAACACATTCAAAAGCCAAACACCACCACTTATAGTGATGCTAATTGGCACCAATGGCAGTAAAGACCAATTATATGGCAAGATTTGGGGTAAAGAGGAGGTCCAGATGACTCAGAATATATTCATATTAATTTAATATTTTTAAAATAATTTCAAACATATAGGAAAGCTTCAAAAGTACCAAGAACTCTTTTTTCCCTAAGCCTTTTGGAAGTAAGTTGCTGACGTGATGTACCACCATCCCCAGATACTTTAGTTTGTAATTTCTTCAAAAAAAGGATATATTCCCTACATAACCACAGTACCAACATGAACACTGAGACATGCACGTTGATACATTACTACCATCTAATCCACAGACCCCATTCAAGTTTCACCAATTGTCCCAGTAGTGTTCTTAATTGTAAAAGGATCCAATTCAGGATGGTGTGTTAGATGAATTGTCATGTCTTTTAATCCCTATCAATCTGGCACAATTTGTCAGTCTTTCCTTGACCTTAGTGACTTTAAGGGTTGGGATCTTAAGATTACAAGCCAGTTATTTTGCAGAATATCCTTCAACTTAAGGTTCATCTGGAATTTCCTCATGATTATATGAGATTATATATTTTGGCAGAAACAACACAGAATTGATGCTCTGATTGCATCTTATCAGGTGGTACATAATTTGTCCCATTACTGGTGATATTTTTCTTAGATACAGTAACATGTGAGTTACAGAATAACACAGCATCAAAATACATAAAGCAAAAGCCTAGAACATACGAAATGATGTACAGAACAATAGTTGGGAAAAACTCTAATAAATTTTTGACAGATCAGGGGCAAAAAAGCAAATAAGGAGAAAGAGAATTTGATAAATATAATTGATATGGCTCATTTTATATCATTTGACTTCTGGACCCCATTGACAGATCATTGACATGCTTTACATCACAGAGAAAACAGCAGTAAGTTTTCCAAGCAAGATATCTTATATTTTATTTGAAATAAAAGTATGAAAATTTCAAACTACTACTTGATTATCCAAAGGTGCTTTTAAAGATACCTCTTGGGACAAAGAAAAAGTCAAAACTATAATTAAAGAATACTTAGGAAACAATAATAATTAGGATATTATATTTTAAAATCTATAGTATGGAAGCAATGTTGTAATCAGAAGCAAATTTATAATATTAAATGTATTTTTAAATAAAGGGGGAAGGGAACGTATACTAAGAATTCTCTGAACACATTATAAACAAAGCCAAAATACCAAAATAAAGAGAAAAAGGATTCAGTAAAAAAGAAGCAAACACTAACAAACTGACATTGAGAAGAAAAAAGGATACATAAATATAAGGGTAGAATAAATTTATGATCATTAAAGTCGTGTAGTATTGCTTCAGAATTCTACAGATAGATCAATGAAATTATATAAAGCATCCAGAAATAGTGTTCATGCATAAGTACTTAATATATCAACAAGGTAGCATTTTATATTGATGAAGGATGACTCTATTATTCAATAAATGATACTGGAAAATAGATTAACCTCTGCGGGAAGATGAAGGAAGTTAAATTTCCTACTTTAGACCATGTGTCCCCAAAGTATAAATGGATTAAAGAGTTTCTAGTAAAATTAAAATATTACTTCTAAATTTTAGGCAAAAAATGACCATTATATCCCATGATGGAAGCAATCTTCCTAAATAGCATCAAGCATCGACACTCTAAAGTAAAAAGATCAATACATTTGACTATATGACTTCAAATAATTATAAAACAAAATTAAAAGGAAAAGACAAATTAGAAATATATTTGCATTATATAAAACAAAAAGAAGAGATTCCAATATATAAATAG
Source organism: Homo sapiens (assembly GCF_000001405.40). Taxonomy (NCBI): domain Eukaryota; kingdom Metazoa; phylum Chordata; class Mammalia; order Primates; family Hominidae; genus Homo; species Homo sapiens. The sequence continues at coordinate 68,537,812 of NC_000005.10, forward strand.
ATCTTCTAGAGCAATTAAAATTAGAAAGACCCCACTTATTGGCAATATACCAAATCACATTAATAAGGAAAAAGATTGAAATTAAAATAAAGAGATAGAACTTTGTGTTTCTTACCTTGACAAAGATTCACAAAGATATAGTCTACCCAGTGTTAGGCTTCAAGGACAAAGATACATTTCATATACTGCTGGTGGAAATATAAATTAGAACAGTCTTCTTGGAAGAAAATATGACAGTATGTATAAAAATTTAATGTGCATATTCCTCTCTAGAAATGTATTTTAAGGATTATAATTATGAAGGTGAGCAAAGACTTATGTGCAAAATGTATAATTAGGAAAAATTAGAGACAACATAAATGTCCAACAATAGGGGTTTGATTGAGTAAATTGTGGTACAGGAAAAAGACGGAATAATGTTCAGCAATTAAAATCATGTTATAGAAAAATATATAATGCTGAGTGGAAAAGGCAGGATGTAATAAAATATGATTCCTCCTTTAGTTAAAAAAGTGTGTATATACACATATATGATTTCTATATGTATAAGGAAAAAAAGAGCTCAGAAAATGCATACCAAATGTTAACAGATTAACAGCAGTTACCCCTGTTTGGGTAATTTTTGTCTTTTCATTGGTGATTTTTGTGTTTTCTATGTTTGCTACAGTAAACATGGAAGTTTTATAATCAGGGGGAAAATACTCTATTTTCAAAAGTTATTTGAGTCTTTTCATGACAGTTGCTAAATACTTTTTTCTTGTTAGTTTCCAGAAATTGCTGCTAATGAGCTTGGCTCACAAGCCAAAGCCAGGTCTACTCAGGCTTCCTTGGCCTTACCCCATCCCTGCCCATCCACCCCACCATGCCTTGTGTCACCACAGGGCTCCTCTGTATATTTTTTCCACAACCAACTCTTCCCTTAAGCCCTTTCTTGGATCCCTGGAGTAAGGAAAGGTCTGGGAAGCCCCACCAGAACTTGGGGTCTGACAGCAGCTCCACTCCTCCTCCCTAAATCCTGCAAGCAGCCTACCCTCCAGCACAGCTCTCGTCCTGCACAGCTCTCATCCCGTACAGCTTTCCTGAGTCCCAACCAGCCCCAGGACAATAAGCACTTCACAGTTTCCATGGAACAGAAGCCAAGCTGGGAGCACAGCATGGTCCGAACAAAGTATCTGAGCCACAGAGCAGAAGGCAGCCGGTGGCTGGTTGTTGTCGCTGTGTGTCCAGGGCTCACAAGAGCCCTAAGGCATGGCAATGACTAACCAAAGAATCTGAGGCCACCTTGGGATAATTTTTTTCACAATCAGACAAGAGTCTCAATGCAATAACCTCAATTAATCATGCAGAACAAGGCTAAAGAGGCATCAGGATTGTTCCCTCATGCATGTGGCCTGGGCCAGCCTGGCTTCTCTGGGCTTCTGCAAGGAGAGAGGGAGAGGCTATGGAGTGTAGGTGGAGGGGGTTTCGGGCCACAAAGCTGTGTGATTTTGAAAGCCCTTGTTAGCCTCTAAATCCTTTTCCAACAAGCTTCTGTCAACTAATATCACCTCTGTAGTGTTTTAGAGACTTGCCCATTAGAATCCTTAACACAGTCAGTCTTTAGCAGCCTGTGTGAGTGGATTGCTGCCTTCTCCTTGGAGAGCCCATTAGAACAGGTGGATGGGTTTGTTTTGAGGAAGAGGTAGGCAATGAGGAAGGTGTTTTCTGAGTGTACAGATCTAGGAGGAGACACTGAGTGAAAAAGCAGCCACTGCAGGGCTCTAGGGGCAGCAAGGAAGAGAGGAAAACAAAAAGAGGGGGTGTCTAAAGCAGGTGAATGGGTGCGGAGACACAGTTTCCCCCATCTTTCGTCCTGTGCCAGTCCTGGGCTTGGGGTTTCTACCTGTCTTCCAGCACCTGTCTTGGTGGTATGGTATAAGGGGTGGAAGGGGCTTCTTGTTTGATTGGCATGTGAGTCAGATTCAGGACAGTAGTACTCAGCTGAGATCCACCAAATTCCTGTTCTGTACTCAGGGTGATAGTTGGTATAACTTGGTTATGTGGAAGGAAATTTAATATAAAATCCACATGGGTTACCATTCTGAAAGGTCAATTCATTTTCACATGTTGAGATCTGAAGCTTTTGCATAAGTGCTGTGCATTCCACCCTGTTCGTGTCTCCTTTGCCATTCATCAGAACTTACCTGTCCCATGTCCTAGTTCTACTGAAAGTGCCCTTCTTCAGGGAGTGGCTGGTATGATAGAGAAGCCAAAATTTTTGGACATCACCCGGTACCAATGTGTTGTCACATGCTCATTGTAATATGTTTCTGAATCTAGAGGTCATATTATTTTACTTAACCTAGTAGAATGAGAAAGGGACTTGGATTATAGTGTTTGGCAATGTGGAATTCATTTTACCCACAAATAAGGAAGGCTCCCAAAGTAATTATAGCTCATTTTTATCCTTCAAGAAGTCCCAGGGATCCCAGGCTACTCCAGGCAAAGTACATTAGGAGTTATGGCCACATCTTCTCAGCAGGACTCCAGAAAAAGTGCTTTTATACGATATAGTCAGCTTATATTTCTTCCATGAGCTTCTCCTCTTATTTGTCTCTGAGAAGTTAAAAATACAGTACTCCCTTTGAGGAAGCAATCTCAATACTCATGTTCTACAACACATAATTTGGTAAAGGGGACCCTTCAGGAAACATCTCAAGGGACTTCAGTAATGTCCAGATGTCTTCCTTCTCCTTTGCATGTTGTGCTAAATCATGTCGGAAATTAGGCTTGCTACATTGTTGTCATTTTAAACAGCAATTGTGTTGTTGATACTATATCCATTTTAGAAAGAATCATAGAGGCTGGTTCTGTCTGTATCTAGAGCAAAATGACAGATCCCTGACATATTATAAATTAGAGAAAGAATGGAAAGAGTGAGAAGACAGGAGAGCTAGAAGCCAGTCTCCTGTATCAAAGTAGCTTTGTTTTTGCCTTTTTTACCCCTAGAAAAACAAGGAGAGGTTTTTTCTTTATAAATCACAATCTTTTAGAGACTTTTTCATTTAAAAAATTAGAGGTTCTTACTAAATGAGTTCCAAGTTGACATTCTTTGATGAGTTTGGGCAGGTAAGGAAGATAGATGTTTTCCCTAACTGACCACCTGGCTCAGTTCTCCCACGCTCTCTTCCCCTCCCCCGAGCGCTCCCTTGTTTAATACAAGTCTCCCATTTTCTTTGGGCTTTCACTTGATACAGCAGGGCTTCTCTGCATGACAGCCATCGTAGCCCCACAAACAGGGTTCTCCTTTCATGCAAATAATTTCTTAGATTACCGCATTTTTTCTATTTCCTTTTGTGGGGAGGAATTGTTTTTAAAAAAAATACAGTTCAATGTCTTGAGCCCATTTGCACTGATTCTCTTTAGATAACCAGAATATCACAATAATCAAAATCGGCAGTAACCATAGGCATAAGGATAGACATAAAGATAGAATCGAATTAAGATAAATAAACTGTTATATTTATGGTCAGCTGATTTTTGGCAATGATGTCAAGGAAATCTAACAGCAGAAACATCGGTATTTTTAACAAATAATACTGAGAAAATTGCATCTCCACACGCAAAAAGGTGAACTCAGACCTCACATCATACACAAAAATTGCCTTAAAATGGATGAGAGACCTAAATGTAAAAGCTAAAATATAAAACTTTTAGGAGAAAATCTTCAAAACCTTAGGTTAAGCAAAGATTTCCTAGATACAATACCAAAAGTATGACTCATAATAGAAAAGAACTTTTATTTTGGACTTCATCAAATTCAACACTTTTGTGCTTCAAAACACATCATTAAGAAAATAAAAAGACACACCACAGGCTGGGAGAAAATATTTGCAAATTCTATACCTGATAAAGGACCTGTATCCTGAATATACAAAAATATCTTACAATTCAATAAGATGACAACACGATTAAAAAAGGATTAAAGATAGGAATAAACATTAAAAAAAATCAATGACTAGCTAATAACTGCAGAAAAAAGATGGTCCACATTATTAGTTATTAGGGAAATGCAAATCAAAAGCATAAGGAGATTTATATCATACATACTAGAATCGCCATAATAAAAAAGACATAATAGTCAACATTCCAGGACATGGAGAGTTAGGAACATTTTCAGTGCTGGTGGGAATGTAAAATAGTATAGATGCTTTGGAAAAAAGTTTGATAGTTTCTTAAATATTAAACATAAATTTACCATATGACCAAGCAATTTCAGTCCTATGTATCTAACCAAGAGAAATGACAACATATGTCCACACAAAGATTTGCACACAAATGTTCATAGCAGCATGATTCATAATAACCTAAAAGTGAACATAATCCAAGTGTCCATAAACTGGTGAATAAATAAAATGTGGTATATACATACAGTAGAATACTCTCAGCAATAAAAAAGAATGAATTCTTGATACATGCTACAACATTAATGAACCTCAAAAACATTATTTTAAGTGAAAGAAGCAAGACACAAAAGACTACACACTGAATTATTCCATTTATATGAAACGTCCAGAAAAGGCAAACCTACAGAAACAGAAAGTGGATTAGTCATTGCCTGGGGCTAGGGATAGGAACAGGGATTAACTAAATGAATAGAAGGGATCTTATTGGGGTGATGAAATATTTTAAAACTGGGTTATTGTGATGTTGCACCACTCAGTCAATCTACAAAAAAAATCATTGAATTGTACACTTAAAGTAGGTGAATTTCATTGTATGTAAATTACACCTCAATAAATTTGTTAAAAGTTAGTAGCTATCAAAAGAAACTCAATGATAGATCTCAATTTCAATTTAAAATGTATTTAATTCTTCATCAACCTATTCCCCTAAGAGAAAAAGAGGAGAATAGTTCTCTAACTGTAAACAATATAATAGAGAATGTCTTTTCTGGAAGCATAAAATAGCCTATTAGTTATACCTAACCATACCCAAAAGGAAAGCTAGATTTCTTTTACACATTTTCTTTGTAGAAGGTATTCCATCCGAATAAAACTTGATCCCATCTCACAAAGAATTGGTCCTGAATCAGATATTTTAAAGTCAGATGTTAGGACAGTTAGCCATCATATTTTCCCAAATAGAAGAAAATCTTTTCCAAATGGAAGAAAAAGAAGAAAAGAAACAAAAAAAAAAAGAGGTGGGTGTGGGGGGAGAAAGGGAGAGAGGAAGAAAGAAAAGCAAAAAAGCTAGAAGAAGAAACAAAGCATCTGAGATTTGGAGAACCTCAAGCCAATCTTCAAGGTTGGAAACATTTCACAAAATTGATGAACCAAATTCCCATAGCACCCAACTCGTAGAGACAATTTTCAGGGAGAAAGACCCACTGCTATCTCCTCATTAGCATACCTGTTGCTTTACATTCTATGCTTGAATAAATATACAACATGCAAGTTGTATAGGAAAGCACTAGCCAGCTGCCCCTAAGTTTGATTAACTTTAGGAGCCACTGAAATAAAATAACCAAGTGCCTCACCCTCTGATAGCCAGGGCAATCTGCAAACCACTACCCACTTATGGAAGTCCTGATCCTGAGCAGAGTACAGCTTGTCCTGTGCCTTCAGTGTCTGAACCTCGTGCAGATTATGCTTCAGAGGGTGGTGTGATTTAACATTTCCTCTTTCATTTTTTTCTTTCGGCTGAGTGGTTGCTGATTACTAGACAGTCAAAATTCTTCTAAAGAAGAAATGTGAACTGTGAGTTTTCAGAACCTGTGTCTGCAAAACCAAACCTATGGCTGCTTCTGTCCAGGGTTAGCCCAGAAATATGGGATGATAAAGCATGTCTGTGTTTAACTTACGGTCAACTCCTGTGGCAGGATCCTCATCAATGCTACTTTCTTTTCTTTTTTTTTTTTTTTTTGAGACAGAGTTTCACTCTTGTTGCCCAGGCTGGAGTGCAATGGCACAATCTCGGCTCACCACAACCTCCGCCTCCTGGGTTCAAGCGATTCTCCTGCCTCAGCCCCCAGAGTAGCTGGAATTACAGGCATGAGCCACCATGCCAGGTGAATTTGGTATTTTTAGTAGAGACGGGGTTTCTCCATATGTTGGTCAGGCTGGTCTCGAACTCCTGACCTCAGGTGATCTTTCCGCCTCAGCCTCCCAAAGTGCTGGGATTACAGGCGTGAGCCACCATGCCCAGCCATCAGTGCTACTTTCTTTTGCATTCAGTTAGAAGAATTCAAGTCAGGCAGGACTTGCAGAAAAATGATATTGGGGAGATGACATGGGTCTAGTTGTCTTAAGAACCGAGATCTTTTGTCTGGTAGGGCTGGAGAAAAGGTGTGAGAAATGAACCTCCTGCTGACACAAAGGAAAGGGTTCTGGTAACTGTTCATTTTACCCACAAAAGCTCTGAATGTCTGTGAGACAAAAGGCAGCTTGTTCCTTTCCAGACTCAGTGATACTATGGAATGGAGGCCGGGGTGGTTCCAACAGGTATTTTGCCAGTGCAAATGCATGAGCTTGGAGAAGGGCTTGCCAAAACCTGTTAAGGTTTATAGAAGTCAAGCGGCCATGGAACGCCAGCTCTGATCATATTTCTTGAGTTCGGCTTAAGTTTTGTGCTTGCAGTTGACTAGCTTTTTTGTATTTTGATTTTCATTAACACAGAAGGCTTGCTGTTGGCAATCATGCCTTGGAATGTCCTTGCTACAGCTTAACGTTTCAGCACATTTTGCCTTGCCTAATGATGGAGTTGCGGTTTGCCAGGAAGGTACTTTTAACGCTTTCTTCCTAGAACTGGGTAGAACTATCCCCATGCAAACCTCAGCTAGTTCAAACAAAGCTTCTGTAATGGCGAAGGGAGAGAAAAGCTGCTATAAATACTTTTATAGGCTGCATAGGTGATTTACAACCCGCTTTATTAATCCTATAAAAAGGCACAGCTGAACGCCTTTAAGTTACATGCATACAGATGACTAATTAAATACACAGTTAAAAGTCTTGACCTAGCACAATTCTGACCATTAAAGAAATAAGTCTTGAATTTTCCTCTAGGCAAAAGTTTCTGGATGAATTTGTGGGTGGAAGCGGGTGGGAGCAAGGTGGAGGGGGAAGGCTGACATGGATGACGGTGGCAGGTAGAGAGCCGAGGGAGGCAGTTCATTTCTGCTGGCTCATGTTTTCCCATCTTCACTACACACACTGACGACAACACAGCAGTCACATGAAGGCTCCACACCGCCAGAGGCTGCTTCCTCTGACCTCTAACAATGACAAGTCCATGGTTAGCTTGCATGGGGATGAATTCAACGGCCTTGGGAAACAAAGAATAGGAGAATCCCAGCATTCATTCTGGGAGAGATCTTAGCAGCTGATCACCACCCTACTCCAGGCCTCCCCCGCCCCTGCCCTTAGTTTGCGCTCTCAGCAACTGAGATTCAGGGATGAGAGGTGATGTTTTTCCAGTCACAGGACTAGTTAAAAGGAAAACCCAGACGAGGACCCAGAAGCGACCTCTAGAACATTAACCTTTCAGAGACACATTCATTGCTCAGGCTGTGTTGCCAGGAGACACAACATATTTAGATGGGGGGGTGTAGGGGGAGGAAGAGGCATTAGTGGAAGGCGAGTCAGGTAGGATATGATTCCAAAACCAAAAATGTTTGCCAAACCATTTATCAGAAACATAAAAGGCCCTTTCAGTTTTCAGGTTCTTGGAAGGGTTTGGAAGAGGAGGGAGTGGCCTTTCCCATCAGGGGACAAGCCCCAACAATTCTTCCATTAGCTCAGTGGGATTTTCTTTGTTGGTTGGTCCCCTCACAAAACATTTTTAGAAGCTCCCAAATCAGACTGTGAATGTGTGATATGAGAATGCTGGGTCAGGAAGATTGGGTAGCGAGCCTGGGGGCGCCGCTTAAGGCAGCCAATATTATTCCTCCTGCATTTAGCTCCTGAGGTGACCCACAATGTCAAGGTCACCTCAACACTCCAGGTGGCCCGTACAGGGCTTACAGCCGAGCATTTTTTCCATTGGAACAGTTCTACTTGCTTTGCTTGGCTCCCTTATGAGCCTGGGGCTATTTCCTCAGTTCCAAAATGGAAGACACATTTTCTTCCCTCTGTATATGTGAAGCACCTGCTTGGAAACATTGCCTTCACTTTCTTTCACTAATTTTCCACCCCCTTCTCCAGCAAATTCTGATTCATTATTCAAGTTTCAGCTTAGATGTCACTTCTAATCAGGGAAGTGTTTCCGGATCCCAAGAACAAGTTGAGGGCCCTCTCCTTTGTTTGCACAGAAGGCTACATACACCCTGTCACATAAAGCTCTCATCACACTGTCTTACAATTGGGTTGAGGTTGATTTTTCCTGCCAGACCATAGGCTCCAGGAAGTAACGTTGCTTTATTCACCATTGTGTCTCTAGCACACACCATGGGGCCTGACATCCAGAGGGGTGATTGAACAATGCAAATATTTGTTAAACACCCTCACCATCTCTCCATCATTTTCCATATCTGAAAACACTTTTATAGGATACAATTTTTTGAGTTAGAACTTAAAAATTGGCCCGGCATGATGGCTCACACCTATAATCCCAACACTTTGGGAAGCCGAGGCCAGAGGAATGCTTGGGGCCAGGACTTTGAGACCAGCCTAGGCAACATAGCAAGATCCTATCTCTACAAAAAATTTAAAATTTACCAGGCATGGTAGTGTACACCAGTAGTCCCAGCTACTTGGGAGGCTGAGGTGGCAGGATCACTTGAGCCCAGGAGTTTGAAGCTGAAGTGAGCTATAATCGTACAACTGCACTACAGCCTGGGTGACAGAGTGAGACCCTATGGCAAATATATATATTTTTCTATATATAAGTATATATATATATATATATATATATATATATATATTTAGATATATATTAAACATTTATATTGTATATTAAACATATATTGTATATTAAATATATATATTTTGAAAAGTTTGTTTTAATACTATTGAACATTTCATTTTCCCCCCACAGTAATCAAAGCAAACATTTTATCATTATTTTTATCATTATTATTCTTGGTATATCAAACTAAATTCCAGGAATGTATTATATATAAAAAACATATTTGCTATATATAAGTATATATATTTATATATACATATGTTTATATATAATTTTACTCTAGACACAGGGATGTGGAAGAAAATTACTGAATATGGGGACTTCACTCATTTGTTAGGACTGCTGCAGACTAGGTGACTTAAACAACAGAAACTGATTGTCCCACAGTTCTGTAAGTTAAAAGCCAAAATCAAGGCATCACAGGTTGGTTCCTTCTGAAGGCTGTGAGGAAAGTATCTGTTCCGAGGCCTGTCTCCTTAGCTTGTAAATGTCTGGCTTCGTGTTCACATGGGGTTCTCCCTGTATGCCTGTTTGTTATCAAATTTTCCCCCTTTTTATAAGCCAGTCACATTGAATTAAGGCCGCCTCTCATGATCTCATTTTAACCTAATTAGTTCTGCAAAGACCCTATCTCCAAATAAAGTCAGAGTTCAAGGTACTAGGATTTAGGACTTCAACATATGAATTTTGGGGACACAATTCAACACATATCAGGAATAGTGGAAGTTATTACAACTCTAGGTGGCCACTTGAAAGGCTAAAATCAAAACAAAATTAAAATATCTTTTTTTCTGGAAACAATCTTCTCATAGGGCTTGGACAGCCAGGCTGGGTAACATATTCTAGGGATGTAATCGTCTCCAGATTGGGAGGCTTAGGATTTTTAAGATCCTTCAGCAGAGTGTTCTATCTGAACACAAGGTGTTCTAGAAATGCCTTGTATACAGAAACCCCCTTCTTTACCTGTCATAGTGAAGAACTATACTCCCTTTCCCCACCAGTGATTCCTATGATGATGACAAGAAGCAAAGGGAGACTGAGATTCCTAAGCTCATGATGGGAGTTTCCATTCCTTGTTCCAAATTTGCACTACATTCCCAGAATAGCTGTGAAATTAGAATTTGACCATAAACCTGGTGAGCAATGAGTTAAGGTCACCTAGAGCTAAACTGTGCCTCTGCTTGCTGTTCAGTGTTTCTTCTCTGTGTCTCTTTCCCCTCCCAGCAAGGCCAGAAACAGACAGATCTCTAAGGCAGCCTCCTGCTTCCTTCTGTTTCAATTTGCACTTGCTTAATTTTCAGTGGTTTGAGCATCTTTCTGTAAGTTGATAAGGCTGTTGAATTTTCTCTTTTGTAAGTGCTCTTTATATATGAAGGAATGTTTCTCTTAATGTGGCCTATTTTCTCCATGTTTCCAAGTTTCAGCTTTGCTTATGAATTTTTCCCTGCCAAAATTTTAAATCCTTACGTAATCAAATAACAAGTCTTTTGCTTTTTATCTTTTACATTTCTTAAATGTTTTCCTCAGAAATTTCACTGATTCCTGGTGGCATTTTCTGTCCCTGTCTCTTACACCAGGAGTTGTATATGTCTGACTTATTTACAAGTCTTGAGAAACTTCACAGGCTCTTTAAGTGATAGGTTTTATTTTCTCAGGAGTGGCTTTGCAATATTCTGGATTAGACACATTTAATAACATCAAATAACACTTCCATTATAGTGTTGATCATATTCTATATTTTTGTCCGGGTAGATATCTGTGTCTCCCACCAAACTGACCTTCAATGAAGCCACAGATTGTGTCTCATTCACTGCTATAGCCCTGAAGCCTAGCAAAGTGACGGGCAAACAATGAGTGTTCAATAAATGTTCTCTTGAATGCCATCCCTAGGGCCTCCCCTTCCCTGGTTGGCCCTTACCCTTTAAGTGCCATATCCTGAATGGTAAGTTCTATCAGGTTGTTCAGAGCTCAGCATCTGATAACATCATTGGCCCACTGGTAACAGGGTATTATGATGGTCAAGTGTGACCTCGCTCCAAAAACATTTTTTATCATTAAAAAAGTACGAGGGACTGAATCCTTTGGAGCCACTCAAATTCTATCTCTATGCCTATTCTGTCTACATATAATGGTGAACCAGATTAAAGGACTTTTTCACCCCAAATCTTTGCTATTTCTTAAGTTAATCTTTGTTTTTTCTTCCCTCTCAGAGTCCTGCAATCAATAAAAGCCAATCAGTGGCTTCCATTTTGCTGTTACTGTTCATGAAAAGGCAACGCTTGACCTCTTTTGAGAAATGATGCTATAAAAAAGATTTTAGACCTCTTTTCATGTGGCCAATAAATAGAATAATAATGGAATCTATTTCTTAGAGTATGCATGTGGCAACCCCTACTCTTAGCTACTTTTTTCCACTCTACTTGCCACTGCTGAAAAAAGGGAAGACACATGCTTATTGAACTACTCTAAAGTTAGGAAGCCAAATGTCATGATTTTGTTCGAGGAAAAACCCTGCTTTGTGTTTTTCAGTTCCACCTTAGCAAAGTTAGGGCTGCTACTCAATACTGAGCAAGCACGTGAAGGGAGAGAATGGGAAGAATGAAGTGGGATGCGTCTGTCGAATCCTGCACAAGTCTGCGTTTGGATTTGCTATGAAAGTGACTCATTTCATAAACAATACAGCCGCTGTAGGAGGCAGGCCTGTCAGATTTGATGGATGGCTGTGTGTCTCTGGATCTTCTGCAGTTGTTGGGCGGATAGGCTTCAGGGCCAAGCAACCATATCAAATCTATCTTGAGTCAATAAGAAATATGAGAACTCTTCGCACCAATGGTAAAAATAAGGCAATGTTCTGTGAATTCTGGGACTCTGGACCTACTCGACACGCTGACCTCCACCTGCCTTTTGACCGCAGCTTCACATCTGACCAGTCTGAGTGCCTGTGCTTTGCAAGGGGAATTCTGGAGAGTCGTTCTCCCTTTCAGAGCGCAAGGTCAATCTCAGGTGGTCCCCCCACAGCAGAGGCTGGATGGGAGAATGGATACATGATAGTTGCTTTGAAGAAAGAATGGATTTCTGGCAAATGTGTGTTTAAGAGGACAAATCCATGAGTTGGATAATGACCATTTTGCTTATTTAGCCCCTTGACCCATTTCTAGCAAAATCACTGCCAATAACACAGCTCCTGGAGATCTCAAACAAAGGGAGCCAAGAATAATCATCATGGGCTGCTTGCAGATAAGAGGGCATGACCAGTGGTGAGCTGAGCTCTACCTCCACTCAGACCTAAGGGACACTAGGCCTGTTCTTACCTCCCAACTCCTAGAAAGCCTGAATCCTGGCTAGGAAAAGCACAAATTTTGACAGAGGAAATGTGATTGGAAGAACTCTGGAAAAGTCTTCTCAGTTAATTACATCTAAATATCTCTCCCACCCCTCATGGTCTCTGAAAGCTCCATCACAAGACATTTCTTTGTGTTAACACATGAAGGTACCTGGGTAAATGCAGTCATAAAGGGGTAAACATTAACCTTGATCCCCCATGCATACTTTAGTTCTAAATAGTTTATCACACTGCCCAGGTATTTTTAAGTACCTCCAGGCTAGGAAAACAGAAGAAGTAAGGTTGACACCAAGTTTGGAATAGAAATCTCAGAAAAGAGTGCACAGACCAATAGGGTAACTTCTAGCCAGACAAATATCAATGGGTGATCCTAAGTAGAGAAAAAAATTACATAAAGGAATGACTTAATGTGGCAATGGACATAAAAGGAGACTTGAGGCCAGGCACAGTGGCTCACACCTGTAATCCCAGCGCTTTGGGAGGACAAGACCGGCAGATCACTTGAGGTTGGGAGTTTGAGACCAGCCTGGCCAACATGGTGAAACCCTGTCTCTACAAAAATACAAAAATTAACCAGGCATCGTGGCACACAACTGTAATCCCAGCTACTTGGGAGGCTGAGGCAGGAGAATCACTTGAACCTGGGAGGCAGAGGTTGCAGTGAGCCAAGATCGCACCACTGCACTCTAGCCTGGTGACGAGCAAGACTCAAGATGAGTGGAATTAACATTCCCCAAGGCAGCCATGAACAGAAAGCTTTCCCAGATGAATCGCCCATCAGTGGCAGGTAACTTTTCACTTCTACAATGTAGGAATTCCTTTATTCATATACCCATTTAACAAGCAGGTTCACAGTGCCTAGTATAAGCCCTGAGAGAAGTGTGTGAGACAGAGCACAGGGTGGTTCTTGACTCCGTAGAGGCTCCTTCACGCTCCAGCTTTTCCCTAATGCCTGCCACTCAGGTCCTCTTCCTCACTTGGTCCTCCTCCTGCCCAGGTCACATAGCACCTCTGAGCACATCCCTTTCTACTACAGTGTGAGGAAATTTCTTGAGCAACAAGCTCTTTGCTGTTGAGGGAAACTGCAAGTTCCATTTCACATGGCCCCTGAAGCAGTCTAGGGCTGAAGGATCACACTGTCCTGAGGGCCCCCACCTCCAGTGTCTAACCACCCAGGCTAAATCTCAGGCCTCTCTTCCAGGCTTTAGCTCTGAAATTCACAAATTCTTCTTCCTTCTTTTCCCAGGCTTGAGCCCAACTCTCTCTTGCAGCCTCTTTTTCCTAGAGAATTAGGCATCTCTATTTCCTGTCCTGATTCCAGGTCCTTTCCGCTGTTGGCCACTGTCAAAACTCTTCCATCAGCAATCACCTGCTCTGCTGATTTAGCTTGGGCCTCCCGACGGGACGTTGCCAAATAAACTTCTCCCGGCTGAACTGCCCTGAGGAAGGTACCTACCTCCAAAGTGCTGTCTCTCCCCTCTGTTCTCCCATCCTCCTTTCTATTGCATATTTACTTCTTTGACAAACCTAACTCTTAAGGATGTGGCTGGTTTAGACCCTCATGACTCAGTGTCTGGCCTAGCAGGACTGGCCTCGCCCAGAAGCTTTTTAGAAATGTAGAACTCTAGGGCCGCACTGGAGACCTGTTGAATCAGAATGTGCATTTTAGCAGGTGATTAGTATGCATACAAATGTTTTGATAGTCCAGCTTTAGACCTCTTTTCCCAGACACCCCACTCAGGGATGTTCATCCTCTGTTCCTTCAAGCTGAAACCTCCCTCCATCCCTGAGAGTTCCAGGCCTATCTGACCAGCCTGGCAGTGTTGTCAGCCTTCAGGTACCAGATGGCTTTTCTCAGTAATTTGCTTTGACTCACCCCTCCACCTGTGGGAGGCACCCTTTATCTTGTCCTCCAAGGTGCTATGGGGGCTGGCAGTTCCCCTCGGTCTGGGCTTCCCCTCCTCAAACAAGGAATTGTACCAAGTATTCTTTTAAAGAGACTTTGCTTTAAAAAACCCAGTATGGAATATTCTTTACAAAATCCCATTTACAACGTCAATATGCCAGGGAGAAGGGTCATCTCAAGGGCTTACTCTACATTTGTAGAAACTTTTTAAAGAAAATTGTAGATTCACATGCAATTATAAGAAATAGTACAGAGAGATCCTCTACGCCCTTCACTCAGTTTCCCCCGATGGCAACATCCTGTATAACTGGAGTTTAATATCACAACTAGGCTATTGACATTGATACAATACTTCAACCGTATTCAGATTTCACCAGTTTTACCTGCACTCATTTATATATTTTTTTGATGCACTTTTTATCATGTGGGTGGACCCATGTGACCACCACCACCATTACAATATAGAAGAGTTTCATCATAAGGTTCCCTGATGACACTCATTTATAGCCACAACCACTTCTCTCCCCACCCCAGGCAACCACTCACCTGTTCTCCATCTCTATAATTTGTTATTTCAGTAAATACAAACACACACACACAAACACACACACACACACACGTAACCCTTGACCCTTGTACACCATGGGGGTTAGGAATATTGACCCCCTACACAGTAAAAAAAAATTCTACCTGTAACTTTTGACTCCCCAAAACTTTAAGCACTAATGGCCTACTGTTGACCAGAACCTTACCCATAACATAACATAAACAGTCAATTAAAACACATATTTTGTATGTTATCTGTATTATATACTGTATTCTTACAACAAAGTAAGCTAGAGAAGAGAAAGTGTTATTAAGAAAATCATAAGGAAGAGAAAATATATTTACTATTAATTAGGTGGAAGTGGATCAGAATAAAGGTCTTTATCCTCGTCCTCTTCACATTGAATAGGCTGAGGAGGAGGGGTTGATCTTTCTGTCTCAGGGGTAGTGGAGACAGAAGTAAATCTGTGTATAAGTGAAACCACACAGTTCAAACCAGTGTTATTCAAGGGTCAACTGTGTGTGTGTACACACACACATACACAAAATATATATACACAGGTATTGTGGGTTTCGTTCCAGACCACTGCAATAAAACAAATTTATCACAATAAATAAAGTGAATCACACAAATATTTTGATTTCCCAATGCAATAAAAGTTATGTTTATACTATACTATCATCTATTAAGTGTCCAATCATGTCTAAAAAACAATGTAATATCATGATTTTAAAATACTTTATTGCTAAAATATGCTAACAATCATCTTAGCCTTCAGCAAGTTGTAATTGTTTTGCTGGTGAAGGGTCTTGCTTCAGTGTTAATGGCTGCTGACTGATCAGGGTCGTGGTTGCTAAAGATCAAGGTGGCTGTGGTAATTTCTTAAAATAAGACAATGAAGTAGTTTGCCACATTGATGGACTCTTCATTTCACAAAGATTTTTCTGTAGCATGTGGTGCTGTTTGATAACATTTTTTCCACAGTAGACCTTCTTTCATAACTGGAGTCAATCCTTTCAAACCCTGCCACTGTTTTATCAACTAAGTTTATGGAATATTCAAAATTCTTTGTTGTCATTTCAACAACATTTATATCACCTTCACCAGGAGTAGATTCCATCTCAAGAAACAACTTTCTTTGCTGACCCATAAGAAGCAACTCCTCTTCCATTAAATTTGATCATGAGATTGTAGTAATTGTCACATCTTCGGGCTCCACTTCTAATTCTGTTTTTTTAAATATTTCCACCAAATCTGCGGTTGCTTCTTCCACTGAAGTCTTGAACCCCTCCAAGTCAACCATGAGGGTGGGAATCAATTTCTTTCAAACTCCTGTTAATGTTGATATTTTGACCTCCTCCCATAAATCATGAATGTTCTTAATGGAATCTAGAATGGTGAATCCTTTCCAAAAGGTTGTCAGTTTACTTTTCCAAGCTCCATCAGAGGAATCACTATCTAGGGCCGCTATAGCCTTACAAAATACATTTCTTAAATAATAAGACTTGAAAGTCGAAATTACTCCTTGATCCATGGGCTGCAGAATGGATGTTGTGTTAGCGGGCATGAAAGCAATATTAATCTCCTGTACATCTCCATCAGAGCTCTTGGGTGATCAGGTGTATTGTCAATGAGCAGTAATATTTTGAATCTTTTTTCTGAGCATTAGGTCTCAATGGCAGACTTAAAATATTCAGTAAGCCGTGCTGTAAACAGATGTGCTATCATCCAGGCTCTGCTGTTCCATTTACAGGGCCCAGGCTGAGTAGATTTAGCATAATTCTTAAGGGTTCTAAGACTTTCAGAATTATAAATGAACATTATATATGTTCATTTGTATATAATATACTGTATATAATATATACATAGTATATTATATACAATGTATATAACATATAAATATATACTATATGTGTATATACATATGTGTGTATATTATATATAATCATAAGGTATGTAATCTTTTCATATTAGATTTTTTTATGCAGCATAATTCTCTAGAGAGTCATCTAGCTGTTGCGTGTATCAGTAGTTCATTCTTTTATATTTCTAAGTAGTATTCCATTGTATGAATATACCACCGTTTGTTTAACTGATCACCTATTGAAGGACATTTGGGTTGTTTCTAGTTTTTGGCCATTACAAATAAAGCTGCTATGAATACTCCTACAAAGGTTTTTGTGTGAACATAAGTTTTCATAATTCTGGGGTAAATGCCCAAAAGTACAATTTGCTGAGTCATATGGTAGTTGCTTGTTTAGTTTTGTAAGAAATTGCCATAATCATTTCCAGAGTGGCCATACCATTTTACATTTCTGTCCACAATGTATGAGTGATCCTTTGCTCTACATTTTAAATGTTTTTTATCAGGCTAAATGTCAAAATCCAATTACCATCCATAGTTTCCTTTAAGCACCCAAAGAAACAATAACAGAAAAGGAAACATTTGCCCTCTCTGAGTTGCATGATTTATGCCTCTGCCCCCTAAAAGGCTCTGTCTGCCCACGCTCACTTTGATTTTGCAGTCTGCCTTCATGTTTTTCCCTCCTTTGGGTGCCTTCCAAATTGCTTATCAACATTGGCTGCAATTTCTTTGTGTCTTGTTCCGATCATAATCTGCTAATCCTCCCCAGATGCCACGCCAAGTCCCAGCGGTGCAGTCGGGCCTGCAACCACTGCTCATGACTCAGCACCTTGGACAGAAGAGCTGAGGCTCTGGCCCCAGGCGCCCAGGCCAGCACTAGCCACTCACTCTTTCCGAGCCCAAGGTACATCTCTGCCTCCATTCCTATTTGGTCAGGAGCAAAGCAGAATTGTGGGAAGGGTGAAGAGTCCAGGCAGAAATTGAACAAGACTGGGGCAGGAACATATTGACAGGGATGTCCAAGCAGGAAATGGGCAGAACTTCAGCACAGGGGACTTTGCCATTTGAGCCAGGTCTTTCCTCAGTTCTGAACATCATAATCATAACAATGCTAGTTATCATTTATTGGGTATTTCATGTGGGTCAGGAACTTTTAAAATACACTTTCCATGTACTCTTTTACTAAACCCTCATTGACACTCTATAAGAACACATCTTTTCTCTCCTCCATTTTACAAGTGAGGAATCTCAGGCCTGAGATCACACAAGAATTTAAATCCAGACAACTTCAGAGCCCACGGATTTAACCCCATTGTTCTATTCTCTCCCAAATGCGTGAATCTCTAAAGCACAATGTTCTACAAACCTTAAGAAAGAGTCCACAGGTCCTGGGTTCTCTTCCTACTAATTCATACCCAAATATTTGCATGCCAGGAAGGAGGGCCCATGTGGAGGTGGAGAAGTATGTCACAAGCAACAGCTTGTGCAGCCTGTCAATAAACCTTTGGTTCTTGTCTTAGGAATCGAGTGACAGTGTCCAGTTCATATAAACAAATGTATTCTAGCAATTCACAAATTCTAGGATAAAAGAAGACAACTAAAAAGTTGCTGCCCATCTAAAAATGTTTGAAGGGATGTGGTATGCAGCAAGCTTCAGGCGAGAAATGCAGGCAAGCGTGTCTCTCGTCCACCTGCTCATGACCCTGCGACATACCACAAACTAGCAAGGACACAGTGCAGCTTCATGGAATACCAGGGCTCCAAATGCATATTTGTTACATACCATTCACTCTGGCAACATGCATTCCACATGCCCCAGAATTCTGCAACTTGTGCTGTTTTGCCTTCTGATGAGACAGCTTGCTGACAATAAACACTTCTTGATAGAGGACCTTCACTCCCAAGCTGAATGTTATTTGACCTGTGTGTTAAATTCTTTTCCCCCCTTACTATTAAGCCACACATCTGTATTCTCCACACACCCCATCTTGAGTAGCCTGCTAAATATTCTGTCTTGTCCCAAAGAGGATTGCCTTCTAGATGATTTCTTGTCTCCTTAACACAGTCTTGTCATGGGACCTCCTGACGCTTAAGGCTGCCAAGAACAACTTGCAGTTCTTGCAGTCAACACACTCCATGCTCGTCCTGGCCTTCTCTGACACTCAGGGAGCCCCACCTTTCCTGGGCACATTCCATCCCTACTCATCCCACCCACTCCTTTTTTATTCCTTCATTGGGTGGTGCCACTGAAGCTTGCAAACTGCTCTTTTCCCTTAGGCAAGGGATTTGGGCTTGACAATGTCATCTGTTCTATGTGGTCTAGGGCCGAAAGTTAGGATTTAAGAATCCAAAAGTTGTGGCTTCCAATCTTGACATTCCCAGGTACCAGCAGTGTTCAAAATCCCCAAGTTACCAACAACCCATGTGTAACATAAAATCCCTGGCTCTACCTTCATTACAGGGAACACCCCTCAATATCAACTTTACCTCAGTGCCTTATTTCATTGCCTCGAAACAACAGATGTCTCCTTTTTATTTAATGCCCCCTACCTTTGCTTATTTCCTTCTTTCATTCTGCCTTTTATAGCTGCTGTTTTGTATGTTTCATGTATCTTCAGAAATTGGTTGCAATTCTTTCTGATTACAAATTGTGGAAAGAATAAAGGGAGAAAGTGAAGAACAAAGGAAAAATGGAAGGAAGGAGGGAAGGAAGGAACAAAGGAGGAAAAGTAAAGAAAAGAAAGAGAGGAGAGGGAAGGAAAGGAGAGGAGGGAGGAAAGGAGGGCAAAAGGAAGAAAGGAAGAAGGGAGGGAGGGAGGGAAGAAAGACAAAAATGCAAACAAAATTAAGAAATTTCAGACAGAACTCTGTCCATAGCAGATAAGTTCAGAATACCTTAGCAAATTTAGCTTTTCTTTTAAGCAAAGCAAGCAGCAACCAGAGGGAGGAAGCACCTAATATTCATAGATAAAGAATTTAATAGCTCAAATTTCTTGCATTCTATGCATAACTTCATAGGTGAGTTAAACTTTCTGATTCTTTCTTTCTCAATCTGTAAAATGAAGTGGGAATTAAGGAACTGGACCACAATAACTAAAACAGGACATTCTCTTATAAAATATTGATGTTACAAATAAAAAGCAGCATTACTGAGATACATTAAGAACTCTCTTCCAAGCAGTATGCTAATTATAGAAATGAAAGAATCATTTGTCACTACTATTTATCTAGGCAGATTCACAAATTCTTATCGCAGTTTAAAATGTATCCTTTTTATTTCTGATCAAAAAACACTTGATAATTATGGGAGTGATTGCAAATAGCCCAAAGCATGCCAGCAGCTTTCCTCACCTTTGCCCTGCTCAGTTCCCATAGAAAAGCACTGACACTGGCGCAATCTACTTTACATTTCAGGGCTTGCTCTGCTAGGCCTCTTAACCTCTCTGTCTTTAATACTGCTGAGTCTTCCTGAAACTCTCCCCTTTCATTGGCTTCTATGCCACTACTCGTTGCCTATTCTTCCTCAGTCTTCTCACTTTCTGTTCCTAGGTCCTCTCCTGTCCTAACGGTGGCCTCTTCTCTGCTCACTCTGCACCCTCTCCCTTCCAAGGCTCCAGTGTTTCCCAATGGCAACATAATTGGTTGGCATTTTGAGTGGCACACATCATTGTTTAGGACTGCCCTTTTATTTCAGAACATTTAGCATCCTGGTCCCCTCTCACACATGTCAGCAATGCTACACCCCATCATTGTGACAACAAAAAACAACTCATATATTTCAAAATGCCCCTTCTAGGGGCAGCACTACTCACAGTGTGTTAGAAATTCTGTGCCATTTTACCATACCCAGCCCAAATATCTCCCCTATGCTTTAGTCCATTGTCAACTAGATATCTTCAGTTAGATGATGCAAAAAAACCCTTCACACTTCTGTCTGCAGCAAAGCCGATCTCCCCAAATCTGATTTTCCTCTTGAATTCCTATCTCTGTTGGTCATGCATAATCACCAGAGCCAGAAACCTAGATGTCAACTTTGATTCCTCCCTCTTCTCAAATCCCAGATCAATTAATCTCCAGGTCTTTTCAACTGTACCTCATGAATAACTTTCACATCTATCATTTCCCCTCTATTTCCACATAATAACTGTCCCTTTTCCAACCCACTGATTCTCAGTATGGGATCTTAAGCCTGCTGGTTGGCCATGAAAGACCTCCCAATAAGCTACAAAATGATCATATGTATATATAAACCTCTAAACTCATATTCTTCTCTTATCGAGTAAAAATTGGTTCTATAAAGTCTTCGTTCTCTAAATTCATTTTTACTAGAGACTGAAATTCCTGGAGTAAGTATGTTAAGGTATTGTTTGTCCCACTACATGGGTCAGGGTCAAAAGAGTCTGCACCACTGTCCTAGACAATAAGCTCCTCAATGTGCAAAATAATCTCATTTTTCTCCCACCAGTTTTCTCCTTACCAAGTCCATAGTCCCCTGCATTTTCAGAATTATCTTTCTAAAACATTAACTTGACATTGTCACTCCTCTGCTTAAATTTATTCAATAGTTGTTTATCACCTAAAACACACACCTCAGGCAACCATATGTGAAATCTCAAGATATGGTCCCTCTCTCTCTCTCAACTCAGTCCCCAAACTTTACACAAAGTTCTACCAATACCAAACTCTTATAGTGTCCCAAGGACACCTTGCTGCTCAGTGCCCTTCTGCTTTTGCACATGTGCCTCTCTTGGCCTAGAGTTATCTGCCATTGACTTGAGTTGTATTTTAAAAGTATCAATCCCAGTATTGTGTAGAGTAGGGGTCCCCAGCCCCCAGGCCATGGACCAGTACCAGTCTGTGGCCTGTTACGAACCAGGCTGCACAGCGGGAGGTGAGTGGTAGGGGAGCAAGCATTATTGCCTGAGCTCTGCCTCCAGTAAGATGATCAGTGGCATTAGATTTTCATAAGAGCATGAACCCTATAATAAACTGCTCATGCAAGGAACCTAGGTTGTGCCCTCCTTATGAGAATCTAATGCCTGATAATCTGAGGTGGAACAGTTTCATCCCCAAACCATCTCCCTGACCCTGGTCCATAGAAAAATTGTCTTCCATGAAACTGGTCCTTGGTGCCAAAACGGTTGAGGGACTGCTCGTATAGAGAACAGACTTCGAGGGCATGGGGAAGAAGCAGCAAAACAAAAGCTGCTGGTGGTTTGACCCATGGTGATAGCACTGAAAGGGGAGAATAATGATCAATTCTTAGATGTTTGTAAAGTATTCATTTTATATATTTCATTTAAAAGCCTACCAAAATGTTTTTCCTAGTTGACAGGCAGCAAAACTGAGCCATGAAGTCATTGCCTTAGTCCATTCAGGCTGCTGAAACAAAATTCCATAACTGGGTGGCTTATAAACAACAGAAATGCATTTCTCACAGTTCTGGAGGCTGGGAAGTTCAAGATCAATGTACTCGCAGATTCAGTGTCTGGTGAGGGCTTACTTCCCAGACAACCATCTTTTCACTTTAACATTAATGGCAGAAAGGACAAGGGATCTCTTGGGACTTCTTTTTTAAGAACACTAATCTCATTCATGAGGGCTTCATCCTCATGATCTAGTTACCTCCTAAGGCCCCATCTCCTAATATTGATTAGTATTAGGATTTCAACATATGAATGTGGGAGGAGGGGTACAAGCATTCAGTCTATAGCAGTCATATAGCATCTCATCAGTATTGTATTATGTATGAGTATTGTACCTGAGAGTCCCAGAATTCATTTCCTCAATTAAATAGTTATTTTCCACTCAAAACTTCTTTGTAAACTGAGCAGGGGTGTGATTTCTGTCTCTCTTGAGAATCTTAAAAGTTAAGTGCATATCTCAGTTATCTTGAAAAGAATTCCCCATTCCCCAGTTTGAGGTTGTTTTTATTGTGTTGTTTTATTTTCAGCAATGCTAGTAAGAAAAGCCGTGACATTAGTAATGTTTCAATGTTGCTTTTGCTCCCCTTTCAACCCTCTTCTCTTAATCTTACCATATACCCATGCCTCATAAGGTCCTTTATCCTAATTGTTTTATTGGTAATAGTAGTAGTTGTTGTTGTCACTAGGAGTAGAAATAATTATAATACTACAGTGCATTAACTCAGACTCACAGAATCTTGTCATGCTAAGAGTTTACATGAATTACTTCATTTAATTCTTACAGGAACCATAAAAAGGTGAGCAGCATCTTCATACCAATTTTACAGATAAGACAATAGAGGCTCCAAGAAGTTATGAAATGTATTCAAGATCATTCATCTAGCCAATTGTACAACAGAATTTAAATCCAGATTTCATGGCCTGTACTCTTACCTACTACTCCATGTTGGCTCTCTTACAGCCATTTATGTAGATTCCAACTATCGTGTAACTGTGAATTAATCTAATGAAGCATTTAAAAATAAATATTTTAAAATTTAAAAAGTAATTTTATGTTTGTTGTAGAAAGTTCAGAAAACTTAGAAAAGCACAAAGAATAAAATATTTATATAATTACATCATACAGGGATTGTTAATATTTTTGTATTCTCTACATCATACTTATAATAGATTAATATTGTGATTAAACTGAACAAATTTTTTGTAATCTGATTTTCTAAAACTTATTAAAATTATTAAAGCATTTTCTCATATCATTGTTATATTTCCCAAGATCATTGTAGTCATATAGCATGCTATTATGTGGATGCATAAACAAATTTATTTCATCAGTTTTATACTGTTGAATATTTTGGTTAATTTTTTTTTTATTTTAGGTCACAAATTTCCTTACTGATATAGCAGTTAAGAAGAAATCACGTAGGCAGTTAGCAAGGGTATGAGAGTCCCTGGTAAAGCTTTTCTTTTTGATGAAAAGCAGCCCCAGATCATTTTCTAACAAAGACCAGCCTGTAAAGTTGAGCTGCAGACATAGACAAGCAAGCTGGAGCTTGCGTGAGTGAATGCCAGCAGGAACTAAGAACTAGACATTTTCAAGAGGGCAGCTCCATCTTCCTGTCTCTGCCAGCCACATGTACTGTAAGGAGCAGACAAGATGGCGCAGATCAACTAGAAAGTCTATTTGCATAGTAAGACTAAGTTGGGACAACCAGCTTTCCCAGCACGCTACATAAATTTCATACCTTACCTGATGTGACCAATCTATGAGCCCTCTGCAAATCAGACACTGCCTCCTCAAAATGGACTATAAAATTCGGTGCATTCACCACTAGCCGGTCCTTTCCCTTGGAGACCCCTCTCTCTACGGAGAGAGCCGTCTCTTTTTCTTCTCTTCTGTTTATTAAACCTCTGATCCTAAACTTCTCGCTTGTGTCTGTGTCCTAAATTTTCTTGGCATGCAACAATTACCCAGACAACGTAGCCACTCCATTACTATAATTAATTATTTAATTAAAACTTTCATATATGTCTGATTATTTCTTCTGGATAAATACCTAAAAGAAGAATTTCCAGTTCAAAAGTAAAAAAAAATATAAGCTTTTTATTCTTTTTTGCCAAAATACACTCCAAAGATTGTTCTAATCTAAATTTTAACCAGTAGTTTTTTAATGTGGCCTGCTTTTATACACTCTAGCTAATACTAGTTTTATTATTTGGAATTGTTTTCTTTTCCTTTTAATACTTCTTCCCATGTATTTTATTATTTTATTTTATTTTATTTGTTTTTTTGAGACAAGGTCTCACTCTGTCACGCAGGCTGGAGTGCAGTGGTATGATCTCAGCTCACTGCAACCTCCACTTCCTGGGCTCAAGCGATCCTCCCACCTCAGCCCCCCAAGTAGCCATGTATTTTAAAATCAAAAGGGGAAGGACTTTTGCTTCCTTCCATGAAGGAGTAGTAATTGCATGGTCTTTGCACACCCTCCTCCAAAACCCATAAACAACTAGAAAACTAAATGAAATATATAAAATGTCTGTTTTCCAGCATTAGACAAGAGGCAGTGTAGGTCTATGATCCCTGAAAGCATGACTTGCAGCCTGGAAACAATTTCCTAACCTCAGGGCAGGAAAGGGGGCCCATGCAGAGCTTGGCAGTTTCTCTGAATTGAGGAGAGATAGGAGCTCAGAAAGGCTGAGGCAGCTGGAAATTACAGGGCAGCATTCCAGAGAAGGAGGAGCTACACAAAGGAAGAATGCCAGAAACCTGCATAAGAGTCCCATTGAGTGGCTGAATCCAAAACTGCACATGTGTAAGTGAACTCCACAAATCCAGGCAAAGAACAACTGCCGGGGTTTTCTATCGGAACAATTCTCTGAGCTCATTCAGGGCTGAATGACATTCAACGTTTTATTCCTTGGAGTGGAAAGACTCCATTTGAATATCTAGGTATTCAATAAAGACTACAGAAAAGCCAAGCCTTAGTAGTAGGAATAAACTAACACTACAATAAGGCTACTCTAGACCTATCCTAACAAAGCTTAACAATAAGGCTCAAAAGGATAAAACTGATATGCAAGTAACGGCCTGCCAAAGCAAATATCAACACTCTAAAAGACGATAACAAAATCCAAATAGTCAATAATATAACATTCCTAACATCTAACATCCAATAAAAAATTGTTAGATATGCCAAGAAGTAGCAAAATGTGACCCTTAATCATGAGAAAAATAAGCGAATGGAAATAAACCCAAAAGTGGCTAAGAAGTACAATTAGCAGACAAGAACTTTAAAAGAACTACTATCAAAACCCAGCAATTTAAGAGAAAGCAAGGACATAAATAAAGAAGTTGAATATATGAAAAGGAGCCACACAAATGTTCTAGAGTTCAAAAATAACATATCTGAAGTGAAAAAAGATTCACTTAATGGTCTTAACAGCAGATAAGACACTGTAGAAAAAAGGCCAGCAAACTTGAAGATATAGCAATAGAAACTATCCTAAATCAAGCACAGAGAGCAAAAAGGCTGGAAAAAAATGAATGAAACTTTAGTAAGCTGTCAGACAAGCAGTCTAACGTACATGTAATTGGAGTCTCAGATTGAGAGATAAGAGAGGAAGAAGTAAAAAAAAATTTAAAGAAATAATAGTTGAAAATATTCTAAAATTGATAAAAATAATAAGCCTACATGTTCAAAAAGCATGAGAAATGCAGGGCAAACACAAAAAAACACCACACCAAGTGTGATAGCCAACCTTCAAGATGGCTTCCAGTGACCCTCATCTGCAGGTATTCATGCCGTTGTATGGTTTCCTTCCATACAAAATAGTGCTGACCTGTGTGACCAATTGGATATTGTGGAGATAATGGCATGTGACTTCTGAGTCTAGATCACAAAAGGCACTGCAGCTTCTGCCTTGCTTTCTTTTGAATCACTTGTTCTGAGAGAAGCCAGCTACAATGTCATGAAGACACTCAAGCAGCTCTGTGAAGAAGCTCATATGTAAAGAAATTGAGGCCTCCTATCCAAGTCACCATCAACTTGCCAGACACATGAGTGAGCCATCTTGGAAGCAGACCCTGCAGCGTCAGTCAAGCTTTTAGATGACTCCAGGCCCAGTCAACATCTTGACTGAACCTTCATTAGAGACCCACAGCAAAACCAAGTAAGCTACACCTGAATATCAAACCCACAGAAATGGCAAGAGATAAGTGCTCGTTGTTTTAAGCCACTTGACTTTGGGGCATAATACTTTACACAGAAATAATTAGTTGTGTTTCTATTTGCTCATAAAAAAAGAGGAAAACAAAATCAAAAAAAAAAAAAACCCTTAACAATAGCTATGAAACAGCATCTACTGAAAATTACAGAACATTACTAAGAGAAATTAAAGTAGACCTAAATAAATGGAGCTACCTACCGTGTTCACAGAGTAGAGGACACAAGACTATTAAATACCACTTTTTCCCAAATTAATCTATAGGTTCTAGCAATCTTTTCGTAGACACTGATAAGCTCATTCTAAAATGTATATGGAAATGCAATGAACCTAAAATAGCAAAATAAATCTTGAAGTAAGAACAAAGCTGGAGGCCTTATATGCCTTACGTCAAGAATTATTACAAAACTACAGAGCTCAAGATAATGTAGGGTTAGCATAAAAGTAAACATCTAGAAAAATGGAATGGAATACAAAGTCCAGATATGGATCACACATATGTGATCAATTGGCTTTAGCAAGGGTACAAAGACATTTCAGTGGTAAAAGGAAAAATTTCCAACATATGGTGTTGAAATTACTGGAAATATATGAGGGGAAAAATGAACATCAACTTTTATCACACGCAGCATGAAACAGTCCTAGAACTAAATGTAAAAGCTACAACTGTAAAATTTCTAGACAGAATTTCACAAAGAGAAAGTTTTTGTTCACAAAGAAACAGGAGAAAATCTTTGTGACCTTGAGATAGGCAAAGATTTCTTACGTAGTACACCAAAATCACAAATTATAAATGAAAAAATGATAAATTAGACATCATCAAAATTTAAAATTATTATTCTTCAAAAATCACTATTAAGGAAACAAAAAGGCAAATCACTAAACAGAAAAAATATTTGCATACATGTATAGCAAGGTGTCTAAATCTGGAAAATAGAAAGAACTAATAACTCGATAATAAAAAGGCAAACAAATTAAAAATGAGCAATGGATTTGAATAATAATTTCTTAAAAGAAGGTGTATGAATGGCCAGTAAGCACATGAAAAAGTGTTCAACTTTGAGTAATGAATTGTACACCTTAAATGGGTGAATTGGATGGTATGTGAATGATATCTTGATAACACTTACGTAAAAAATGAAACAATGAAGCTAGGAGTGGAGGAAGGAGTAAATTGCAAAGACACGTGATACAGAAAAAGTGGCAGATAGGAGGCAGGACTAACTTGCAGATCCCACCTGGACAGACACAGCAGTGTGTGGAGAGTCACATTGTGAACTTTTGCTCCAAGAACTCCTACAGGAACATACAGGGAAAGCCGAGAGAATCTACAAAGCCTGTGAAAGAGGTGGAATGCCACTGCAGCTCTGTGAGACAGCCAAGGAACTGTGAGTCCACTTTCTTTCTCACCTGGGAGTCTCGTAACCTGGGACAAGTTCTCAGCCTTGCTCACTGGTTGCCTGGAAATAAATTCAGTGCTGTTTGCGGGGACATGGTGGGAGTGAGACTGGACTTTTGGGCTGCATGGGAGACGGGTGAGGCCTGTGGTTGCCGGGTTTCCCCCACTTTCCTGGCAACCTGTGTGATGCAGCAGTGGCAGCCATAATCCCTCTGGGACCATAACTCCACTGGCCTGGGAAACCACAACTCCATCCCCCACAGCAGCTGCAGCAAGCTCCACCCAAGGAGAGTCTGAACTCAGACAGCCTAACCCCGCCTCAACGTGATGATCTTTCTCCACCCACCCTGGTAGCTGGAGACAAAGGACATAATCTCTTGGGAGCTCTATAGCCCTGCCCACCACCTGATACTTGGGCAAGCTTGTATCCTCCCTATACTACTGCAGCTGATGCACTTTTGAAAGTGCTACCTTTTGGCTGGAGGCCAGCCAACACAAAATCAGTGCACTTAAAAATACAACCACGGACCCCTCACAGAGTCTACTTCAGTTCCCTGCTACCTCCACCAGAGCAGGTGCTTGTATCCATGGCTGAAAGACCTGAAGACGGATAACATCACAGGACTCTTTGCAGATATTCCCCAGTACCGGCCTGGAGCCCAGTAGCTCCGCTGAGTGGCTAAATCCAGAACAGAAATAACAATAATGGCAGTTTGGCTCTCAGGATGCCCCATCCCTAGAAGAAGGGGGAAAGCACCAAATCAAGGGAGCACTTCGTGGGACAAAAGAATCTGAACAGCAGCCCTTGAGTCCCAGATCTTTCCTCTGACATAGTCTACCCAAAAAAGAAGGAACCAGAAAAACAATTCTGGTAATATGACAAAACAAGATTATTTAATACCCCCAAAAGATTATACTAGCTCACCAGCAAAGATAAAATCTCTGAATTGCCAGGAGAAGAATTCAGAAGGTCGATTATTAAGCTAATCAAGGAGGCACCAGAGAAATACGAAGTTCAGCTTAAAGAAATAAAAACAATGATACAGGATATGAATGGAAAAATCTCCAGTGAAATAGATAACATAAACAAAAGACAATCACAAATTCTGGAAATGAAGGACACACTTAGAGAAATGCAAAATGCACTGGAAAGTCTCAGCAATAGAATTGAACAAGTAGAAGAAGAAACTTCAGAGCTCAAAGACAAGGCTTTAGAATTAACCCAATCCAACAAAAACAAAGAAAAAAAAATTTTTTAATGAACAAATCCTCCAAGAAGTTTGAGATTTTGTTAAACAACCACACCTAATAATAATTGGCATTCCCGAGGAAAAAGAGAACTCTACAAGTTTGGAAAACATATTTGAGGGAATAACCAAGGAAAACTTCCCTGGCCTTGTAGATCTAGACATCCAAATACAAGAAGCTCAAAGAACAACTGGGAAATTAATTGCAAAAAGATCATCAGGTTATCTAAAGTCAAGACAAAGGAAAGAATCTTAAGAGCTGTGAGGCAAAAGCATCAGGTAACCTACAAAGCAAAACCTATCAGATTAATAGCAGATTTATCAGCAGAAATCCTACAAGCTAGAAGGGACTGGGATCCTATCTTTAACCTCCTTAAAGAAAACAAGTAACAGCCAAGAATCTTGTATCCAGTGAAACTAAGCTTCATAAATGAAGGAAAGATACAGTCTTTTTCAGACAAACAAATGCTGAGAGAATTCACCACTACCAAGCCAGCACTACAAGAACTGCTAAAAGGAGCTCTAAATCTTGAAATGAATCCTCAAAATACACCAAAATAGAATCTCCTTAAAGCATAAATCTAATAGGACCTATAAAGCAATAATAAAATGAAAAAACACAAGGTATTCCGGCAACAAATAGTATGATTAATAGAATAGTACCTCACATCTCAATACTAACATTGAATGTAAATGGCCTAAGTGTTCCACTTAAAAGATACGGAATGGCAGAATGGATAAGAATTTACCAACCAACTATCTCCTTCCTTCGAGAGACTCATCTAACACATAAGTACTCACATAAACTTAAGATAAAGGGGTGGAAAAAGATATTCCATGCAAATGGACACCAGAAGCAAACAGGAGTAGCTACTCTTAAATTATACAAAACAAACTTTAAAGCAACAGCAGTTAAAAAAGATGAAGAGGGACATTATATAATGATAAAAGGACTAGTCCAACAAGAAAATACCACAATCCTAAATATATATGCACCTAACACTAGAGCTCCCAAATTTATAAAACAATTACTACTAGACTTAAGAAATGGGATAGATGGCAACACAATAATAGTAGGAGACTTCAATACTCCAATGACAGCACTAGACAGGTCATCAAGATAGAAAGTCAACAAAGAAACAATGGACTTAAACTATACTCTAGAACAAATGGACTTAACAGATATTTACAGAACATTCTACCCAACAACTGCAGAATATACATTCTATTCATCAGCACATGGAACATTCTCCAAGATAGACCATAAGATAGGCCACAAAACAAGTCTCAACAAATTTAAGAAAATCGAAATTATAGCACATACTCTCTCAGACCACAGTGGAATAAAATTGGAAATCAACTCCAAAAGGGAGCCTCAAAACCAAGCAAATACATAGAAATTAAATAACTTAGTCTTGAGTGATTGTTGGGTCAACAATGAAATCAAGATGGAAATTTAAAAATTCTTTGAACTGAGTGATAATAGTAACACAACCTACTGAAACCTCTGGGATACAGCAAAGGCAGTGCTAAGAGGAAAGTTCATAGCATTAAATGCCTACATCAAAAAGTCTGAAAGAGTACAAATAATCTTAGGTCACATCTCAAGGAACTAGAGAAATAAGAACAAACCTAACCCAAACCCAGCAGAAGAAAAGAAAGAAAGATCAGAGCAGAACTAAATGAAATTGAAACAGTATATGTATATATATACGTATACATACACACACACATATACATATATATATATACACACATATATACATATATATACATGCACATATATATATATGAGACAAATGAAACAAAAAGCTGGTTCTTTGAAAAGGTAAATAAAATTGGTAGATTATTTGTGAGATTAATTAAGAAAAGAAGAGAGAAGTTCCAAATAAGCTCAATTAGAAATAAAACGAGAGATATTACAACCAATACCACAGAAATACAAAAGATCATTCAAGGCTACTATGAACACCTTTATGCACATAAACTAGAAAACATAGAGGAGATGGATAAATTGCTGAAACTATACAACCCTCCTAGATTAAAGCAGGTAGAAATAGAAACTCTGAACGGACCAACAATAAACAGTGAAATACCAAAAAAAAGGTCCAGGACCAGAAAGATTCACAGCTGAATTGTATCAGACATTCAAAGAATAATTGGTACTAATTCTACTGATACTATTCCAAAAGATAGAGAAAAAGGAAATCCTCCCTAAATCATTCTACGAAGCTAGTATCACCCTAATACCAAAACTAAGAAAGGACATAACAAAAAGAGAAAACTACAGACCAATATCCCTGATGAACATAGATGCAAAAATCCTCAACAAAATACTAGCTAACAGAATCCAACAGCATATCAAAAAGAGTATCCACTATGATCAAGTGGATTTCATACCAGGATGCAGGGATGTTTTAACATACCCAAATCAATAAATGTAATATACCACATAAACAGAATTAAAAATCACATGATCGTCTCAATCAATGCCAAAAAAGCATTTGACAAAATCCAGCAACGCTTTATGACTAAAACCCTCAGCAAAATCATCATAGAAGGGACATACCTTAAGGTAATAAAAGCCATCTATGACAAACCCACATCCAACATTATACTGAACAGGGAAAAGTTGAAAGCATTACCCCTGAGAACTGGAACAAGACAAGGATGCCCACTTTCACCACCTCTATTCAACATAGCACTGGAAGTCCTAGCCAGAGCAATCCAACGAGAGAAAGAAATAAAGGGCATCCAAATCATTAAAGAGGAGGTCAAACTGTCAAACTACCGCTGTTTGCTGATGACATGATCGTATACCTAGAAAACCCTAAAGACTCATCCGAAAAACCCTGAGAACTGGTAAATGAATTCAGCAAAGTTTCAGAAAACAAAATTAATGTACACAAATTAGCAGCTCTGCTATACACCAAGAGCAATCAAGCTGAGGATCAAATCAAGAACTCCACCCCTTTTACAATAGCTGCAAAAAATAAAATACTTAGGAATATACCTAACCAAGGAGGTGAAAGACCTTAAAAACAAAACTTCAAAACACTGCTGAAAGAAATTATAGGTGACACAAACAAATGGAAACACCCCCTATGCTCATGAATGAGCAGAATCAATATTGTAAAAATGACCATACTGCGAAAAGCAATCTACAAGTTCAATGCAATTCCCATCAAAATACCACCATCATTCTTCACAGAACTAGAAAAAAAAATCCTAAAATTCATATGGAAACCAAAAAGGAACCTGCATAGCCAAAGCGAGACTAAACAAAAAGAACAAATCTGGAGGCATCACATTACCTGACTTTATATAGTATAAATAGGCCATAGTCACCAAAACAGCATGGTACTGGTATAAAAATAAGCACATAGACCAATGGAACTGAACAGAGAAAATAGAAATAAAGCCAAATACTTACAGCTAACTGATCTTCAACAAAGCCAACAAAACCATGGAGTAGAGAAAGGACTCCCTATTTAACAAATGGTGCTGGGATAATTGACAAGCCACATGTAGGAGAATGAAACTGAATCCTCATCTCTCACCTTATCCAAAAACCAACTCAAGATGGATCAAAGACTTAAATCTAAGACCTGAAACCATAAAAATTCTAGAAGATAACATCAGAAAATCCCTTCTAGACATTGGCTTAGGCACAGACTTCATGACCAAGAACCCAAAAGCAAATGCAACAAAAACAAAGATAAATAGATGGAACTTAATTAAACTAAAAAGCTTCTGCACAGTAAAAGAAATAATCAGCAGAGTAAACAGGCAACCCACAGAGTGGGAGAAAATCTTCGCAATCTATGCTTCCAACAAAGGACAAATATCCAGAATCTACAAGGAATTCAAACAAATCAGCAAGGAAAAAACAAACAATCCCATCAAAAAGTGGTTTAAGGACCTGAATAGATAATTCTCAAAAGAAGACATGCTAATGGCCAACAAACATATGAAAAAATGCTCAACATCACTAATGATCAGGGAAATCAAATCAAAACCACAATGTGATATCACCTTACTCCCACAAGAATGGCCATAATCAAAAAGTCAAAAAAACAATAGACATTGGCATGAATGTGGTGAAAAGGGAACACTTTTACACCGTTGGTGGGAATGTAAACCAGTACAATCACTATCGAAAACAGTGTTGAGATTCCTTAAAGAACTAAAAGTAGATCTACCATTTGTTTTTGTTAGTTTGTTTGTGTTTTGAGACAGAGTCTCACTCTATCGCCCAGGCTGGAGTGCTGTGGCGCGATCTCAGTTCACTGCAAACTCCATCTCCCAGATTCAAGTGATTCTCATGCCTCAGCCTTCCAAGTAGCTGGGATTACAGGTGTGTGCCACTACATCTGGCTAATTTTTGTATTTTTAGTAGAGATGGGGTTTCACCATGTTGGCCAGGCTGGTCCCAAACTCCTGACCTCAGGAGATCAGCCTGCCTCAGCTTCCCAAAGTACTGGGATTACAGGCATGAATCACCATGCTCGGCTAGATCTACCATTTGATCCAGCAATACCACTCCTGGGTATCTACCCAGAGGAAGAGAAGTCATCATAAGAAAAAGATACTTGCACACGCGTGTTTGTAGCAGCACATTTCACAATTGCAAAAATATGGAACCAGCCCAAATGCCCATCAATTAATGACTGGATAAAGATAATGCAGTGTGTGTGTGTGTGTGTGTGTGTGTGTGTGTGTGTGTGTGTATGAAATATATATATTTGAAATACTACTTAGCCACAAAAAGAAATAAATTAATGGTATTTGTAGCAGCCTGGATGGAATTGGAGACCATTATTCTAGGTGAAGTAACTCAGGAATGGAAAACCAAACATTATATGTTCTGACTTGTAAGTGCAAGCTAAGCTACAAGGACACAAAGGCATAAGAATGATACAATGGACTTTGGGGACTCGGGAAAGGGTGGGAGGCAGGTGAGGGATAAAAGACTGCACATTGGGTACAGTTTACACTGCTCAGGTGATAGGCACACCAAAATCTCAGAAATCACCACTGAAGAACTTATTCATGTACAAATAATAATAATAAAATAAATAAATATTAGGGCTTGGTGATGGGCCACTGTAAGATACAATAGCAAAAAATTAATTAAATCATACAATTTTTAAAAAGGTATGTGAGGTGATGAAATGATGAAAATGTTCAGTATCTTGATTGTAGCAGTAGTTTCATGGGTGTATGCAACTCTAAAAATTAATCAAATTGTACACTTTAACTGAATTCAGCTTATCGTATGTAAGCAATCAGGTTGCTTTTATAAGATGTGTAAACTGAAAAGTCTCCAGCATTTATTTCCCATCCCCAGATGCAATTAACATTGTTATACACTTGTATATTCTGTAGACATTTTATGCATGTGGAAATAAATACTTTTTTTTTTTTTTTCGAGACAAGGTTCGCTCTTGTTGCCCAGGCTGGAGTGCAATGGTGCAATCTTGGCTCACTGCAACCTCCGCCTCCCTGGTTCAGCGATTCTCCTGCCTCAGCCTCCCAAGTAGATGGGATTACAGGCATGCGCCACCACGCCTGGCTAATTTTTTGTATTTTTAGTAGAGACGGGGTTTCTCCATGTTGGTCAGGCTGGTCTCGAACTCCCGACCTCAGGTGATCCACCTGCTTCTGCCTCCCAAAGTGGTGGGATTACAGGGGTGAGCCACCACACCCAGCCCTTGGAAATACATTCTTATATACATTGTTTTCCCTTTCTTAAAACAAATGGTACCATACTATGCACACTTTTATACATCTTGTGTTTTTTTCACTAAATATATTTTGAAGATAATTCTCTATCAGAATATAAGAAACTCCATTATCCTTTTTTGCATCTGCTTAGAATTAGGTGGTATGGATGTAGTATGCTTAATCAGTATTTTATTAATTTATATCTATGTTATTTTCACTCTTGATATTACATAAAGTGTCGAAGTGAATAAGACTTGTATATATGTAATTTCATGGGTTTATCTATCCAGAGAGTAAATATGTATCCAAAAGAAGGCTAGAACAAAAAATATAGACCTTTGTAATTTTGATAAATATAGCAAATTTCCCTTCATGTGTATTGTATAAATTTATACTACCACCAGCAGTTATCAGGTTTTTTAATCTTTGACAATATTATAGGTGAAAAACAGTATCTCATTACTTGAATTTATGTTTCTCTAATTGTGAATAGGATTCAGTATCTGCTCAGTTTCCAGAATCATTAGTATTTCCATTTCTGTGAACCAGTGTTTATAATCGTTGACGATTTTTTTCTATTATATTCTTAAATATGGACTTATCTACTGGTAGAAGGTCTTTCTATATAAGCAAAGTATTTTTAACCTCTGTTGTGAGTTGCAAATATTTATTTCAGTTTGTTATATTTTGACTTGATCAGAATGAACTTTATCAAATATTTTTATTTTATAAAATTCTAACTTATCACACATTTCTTCTTGACTACTGAGTTTTGTGTTAGACCTAGATCTTTCCCATCTCATGACTATAAAAAATAATTCCCCAGAGTTTTCTAAGGCATTTTTATGGTTTTACATTTTATGCTCAAACCTTTAATCAATTGAGAATATGTTTTGCTGTAGCATTCTAATTACTCAAATTTTTCCCAGATGGCTACTCAATTGTTCCAATACCATTTATTGAATAATCCATCTTTTCTCCATTAATTTGAAATGACACCTTTATCATAGGCTATATTCCCATATGTATTTGAATCTATTTCTACACTTCTGTTCTGTTCTACTGATCTGCCTGTCTATTCATGTAACTATACCAGAATGTTCTAATTGTTATAGCTTTATAACAAGAGTCCATAGCTAGTAGGGCTAATTTCCCCTCCTTTTGTCTTTTTATATCAAATTTTTTTCTGGCTCTGCTTGTTTGCTTGTTTTTCTATTTGAGCTTCAGAACCAGTTTGTATAGTTCCACAGAATAAATCCTTTTGATATTTTTATTGGGATTATTTAAAGTTTATAGATTGTAGAATATTGACATATTTCTGATTTTGATCCTTTCTATCCAAAATCAATTACAGTATACCTTTTCATTTGTAAGTCTTCTTTTACTAGTCTTCAGTGCTAGTCTTTTACTAGTATTTACATTTTTTCTTTATAGAAATCATGCATATTCTCTTTCCAGGTGTTTTAACCTAATTGCATTGACTAGAATCTCTTAGAACTTGCTACATAAGAGCAAGGACGTCTTGGTCTTGTTCTTAATTTTAATGGGAATGTTTATAACATTTTCCTGTTAAGAGCCATGCTGTGTTTGTGGTATACATGTACATATTTACACTACCACCAGCAGCTATCAGGTTTTTTAATCTTTGGCAATATTATAGGCAAAAACCAGTATCTCATTTACTTGAATTTATGTTTTTCTACATAAATCTATGTAAACTCTGCATAGAAAGAAACATAAATCTATCCATTGAGAGATTTTTTTAAAATCAGAAATGAAAATTGAACTTTATTAAATGTTTTTTAGCTTCCATGAACACTATATTATTTTTCAATTTTACCTATTGCAGCAAATTTTAGTCATATATTTTTGTAACAATGAATAATTCTTACATTCCTGGAATAAACTTCATCATGCTGTATTCATTTCATATAGAGAGAGAGAGAGTGAGAGAGAGAGATGGGGTCTCACTGTGTTGCCCAGGTTGGTCTCAAACACCTGGGCTCAAGCAATCCTCCTGCCTTGGCCCCCCAAAGTAATGGGATTACAGGTATAAGCCACCACGCCTGGCATGTATTAATTTTTTAATATGCTGCTGAATGCCATTTGCTAGTTTTTAATTTGGGATTTTACATCAGTATTCATAAATGAAACTGATAGTCCAAACTTTTGTTCAATCTTTGCTGGATTTTGAAATCAGTGCTAGTTTCATTCTAAAATGTTTTGCAAACTTACCTGTGTTTGTGTGCGCACGTGTGTGTGTGTGTGTGTGTAAGAACAGTTTAAATTGTATTACAGTTCTCTCACCCTTAAAGATTTCATAGAATTCCCCTGTGACTCCATCAAGCCTAGTGATTCTTAGGAGGAAATTGTTTTATCCATTTATTTTTCCCATCATAAATGGTAAGATGACATTTTTATCTCTCCAGGTCAATTCTGGTCATTTATATTTTTCTATAAAGTTATACATTGCATCTGGATTCTCACATTTATTTCTATAAATGTGAACACAAAGTCTTGTGAATTCCTTTTTTTCTGTATATGAGGCTCTTTTACTATTGTAATTTTACAATTACAATATATGTTTTCTTGCTTTTTTCTTATTTAAGTAAGCTAGATTCTCTTTAAATTTTTTTCCCCACAGAACCAGCTGTTGGACTTGTTATACATATGTTATCCACTTTAAAATTTATTAATTTGTTTTATCCTTATTTTTATTTTTCTGCTTTCTTTAGCTTTGTTTCACTTTTATAATCTATTAAAATTGGGTGCTTTACTCAGCCGTTTTCATCCTTTATTATTACTATAAAATTTCCTCTAAGTACTATATAAAAAAACCTGTATCCTGATGAACCTCTTATGTTTTGTTTTCATTATCATTATTTTCTAGATAACTGGCACTCTCAGTTTTGATAATCTCTTTGGCTTAAAAAGTTAAACTTTTTTGGTTTTCTGAGGCATTCTCACTCTGTCACTCAGGCTGAAGTGCAGTGGCACAATCACGGCTCACTAAAGCCTCAATCTTCCCAGACTCAGGTGATCCTCACACCTCAGCCTCCTAAGTAGCTGGGATTACAGGTGCACACCGCCACACATGGCTAATTTTTGTATTTTTTTTGTAGAAATGGGATTTCTCCATGTTGCCCAGGCTGGTCTTGAACTCATGGGCTCATGTGACCCTCTACCTTGGCCTTCCAAAGTGCTGGGTTTACAGGCATGAGCCACTGCACCCAGCCAAAAAGTTAGTGTTTAAGAGAAGGTTATTCTTTCTCAGCTGTTATTTTTGTTTGGTTTCATGATTTTAATTTATGCACAGTGAATAGAATATGTTAAAACTGTTTCTATTTTTTTTTTTTTTTTTTTTTTTTGAGACAGAGTCTTACTCTTTCATTCAGGCTGGAGTGCAGTGGCACGATCTCACGCACTGCAACCTCCACACTTCCCAGCTTCAAGCGATTCTCGTGCCTCGGCCTCCTGAGTAGCTGAGAATACAGGCACACACCACCATGCCCAGCTAATTTTTGTATTTTTAGTAGAGACAGGGTTTCACCATGTTGGCCAGGCTGGCCTTGAACTCCCGACCTCAAGTGATCCACTCACCTCCGCCTCCCAAAGTGCTGGGATTACAAGCATTAGCCACCATGCCCCACCTGTTTCTACTTTTTGAAATGTATTCAGGTGTACCTTATACCCTGAAATTTGGTCAATTTTTATAAATGTTTCATAGATACAAAAGAGTGAATTTATCCTCAGTTTTCATTATACACAGGTTAGATACTTATATCAGTATAATCTCCCTCAATATTTTAATATAGGTTTTATTTCCTTATTTACTTTGACCATTTGTTCTTTCATAAATAACTAAACTTCCTCCTCCCCACTGAACTGTATGAATAATTTTTCTGTTTTTCCTAATGTTTGCCTTAATACCTTTATAATTCTATTTATATTACTTGAGTTATTAGCTTTTTAAATGATCTCTATTTTTTTAATGAGAAAATTTGGCACAACTTTACTATCTGCAGCTTTTTAATCACCTTTCTCCACCAGTTATTATTATGCACATTATTTCTACATTTTCAGGTTTTATATTTATATTCTATT
Organism: Homo sapiens; assembly: GCF_000001405.40. Lineage (NCBI taxonomy): Eukaryota > Metazoa > Chordata > Mammalia > Primates > Hominidae > Homo > Homo sapiens. The sequence continues at coordinate 68,576,479 of NC_000005.10, forward strand.
GATCATCTCCATTTATTTTTATTTCTTCATTCACCTACTGGTTAGCTAAAATTCTTCTGCCAATATCTTCAGAAAGGGATCATATGAAGAAAAATCTCTTATTTTTTCATGTTAAGAAATATTTTGTTGTTGCTGCTGTTTTTTATATGTAAATGACAATATGTCCAGATATAATATTCCTGACTCACACATTCTTTCCTTCAGTGTTTTAAAAGTATTACTCCACTTTCTGCCAACATTGAATATTGCTGTGAAGAAGTCTGAGGCCATCACTGTTTTCTCCTCTTATAGTGACTTTATCTTTTTACCTATGTGCCCCCAAAATTCTTTAGCTTTAAATCTAGAAACTGTATAAGGAGATTTTAATATGACTGTTCTATGCCAATTTTTTCCTGAAACATGCCCTTATAATTTCTGGAATCCAGTCTTGAAAGTTTTCTTGAATTACATTTTTATCTTGTTCTCCACTTAAAAGGCATCAATTATACATATTTTGGATCTCCTTTGCCTTTATTCCGTGTCTATCATTCTTCCTTTACTTTATAGCAATATGCTGAATCACAGTTTTAATTGGTACTGTAATAATATTTTGATGACAAGTATTTTTCCTATCCAACATTATTTTTTCTTGTTTCTTTCCAACTGTTTTCCTTGTTGTATATCTATATAGATCCTGTGGTCATTCCTCTATAATTATTTATTATTATTATTACTGCAATTCACCTTTGGGTAAGATGAGTAATTATTGGGTCAGCTGTTCATAGTCAGTTTGTTTTAAGGAATGGCTTATAACCTTGTTCCAAGGTAAATAATTCTCACAAAACAGGGCTGTGTATATGAATGTGATTGTTGAATCATTTCTTCATCTCAGCTAACAAAAAAATTACACTGTATTACTTACCAAGTAAACCAAGAATGGCTTCTTTCCAGTCTCAACAATAGACCAGTTATAGTCAATATGAGCTATTTGTTTAATTCCTTTTCAATCTGGACTTCTCAGCTTCTCAATATCTCATTCCACATGTAATCAGGAAATCTTTATCTGCCAGCTCCTCACCCTATTGCCATTGTTACAGATAAAGAATTATTGGTTTACGCCTCAGGCTTTACCACTTATTTTAAAGATGTGTGCTTTGCTAGCTTTTTCTGAAATACACAGCTCAAAGCATCTTTTCTCTGTGTCTTCTTGAACTCCTGTTTGACCTTCACTGTTTTTGGCAGGGCTTCCTCTTATTTTATGGTTTTGGGTTTCAGATGCTTTTTATTTCATGGCAATGGAGCATTTGTTTTTGTTGTTCATGATCTTTGTTGCTTTTAGATGATTCCCAAAAAATAAAAGAGAAGTTCTGATTTTGCTCCATACTTTAAAAGTATATATATAGCTGAAAAGTTTAAAAAGTATTGATCACACCCTCCACTGGGGAGTGTTTAATTTATTTCAGACTCTTGAAAAATCAACAAAGTTTATATTATATCTGCAGCCATCTAAGCTGGCTGCAAGATCATGAATAGGTAAACACATTACCAATGTGTGTGTTAATCTTTTGGTCATTCTCATACACTCCCTACTTCTCATCATCCACTAAAGATCAAGCACACACTCCCTACTTATCCACTAAAGATCAAGCACTTGATGATAATAGCAAAAGTACCAGATTGAGGAAATAGGCTCACTGCCCCTAAAAATAGATAAATAAGTCCGCAGCAACTTCTTTCCACTCTTAATATTAGTATAAATCTATGTTCATTTCAATTGCATGAGAAAGAATTTTTTTTTTTTTTTTTTTTTTTTTGAGATGGAGTCTCACTCTGTCACCCAGGCTGGAGTGCAGTGGCATGATCTTGGCTCACTGCAACCTCCGCTTCCTGGGTTCAAGTGATTCTTATGCCTCAGCCTCCAAAGTAGCTGGGATTACAGGCACCCACCACCACGCCTGACTAATTTTCATATTTTTAGTAGAGACAGAGTTTCACCATGATGGTCAGGCTGGTCTTGAACTTCTGGCCTCAGGTGATCCACCCGCCTTGGTCTCCCAAAGTGCTAAGATTATAGGCATGAGCCACCGTGCCTGGCCAAGAAAGACTATTCTTTTCAGTTAAATTGCATATCAAAAACTGAGCACACATGCATGAAACCACGCTGATAAAAATTTTTGAACACAGAAATTGTCAATATATAGACTTTATGAGAAACAAGAATTTCACCAAACTGAACAATCCTTGGAGGCTCCAACTTTGTTAGATAGCTTCTATAGAGCAGCTAAAAGTGTCTTTGCTTTTAGATACTATTAAGATCCAGTTTTATTGAATTATAATCAGAAAATGTTAATTGTAATATTCTAATTTGAAGAACTTATCAAGACTAATATCTGATTAATATGAAATTAGTATTTGTGAAATTTTCATCAATGTTCCATGGGCATTTAAAAAGAAGCTATATTCCCAATCATTGGTTCCTACATATAGGTCTTATTTACCATATTATTTGCGTTACATTGGTCTCCTTTATTCTTATTTTTTCCTTCTTGTTTTAGTCCTTTTTCCCTGTATTTCCTGTTATTTCTGAATCATTAATGCTGTTGATGTGTTAATTAGAGATAGATTTTTCTAGCTGATATCTTTCTTGTGAATTGCATCTTGTAGCATTAAGTGGACTTCTTCTTTGAAATGACTTGGGTCCCTAAATTTCACATTGTCTAAAATTAATATCACAACCACAGCTTTTTTTTCCCCTCCTAATTTGCTCCATTATGGTATACCTTTGCTCACTCTTTTAGTTTCAAACACCCTTATAGCATTATTTTATATGCCCTTCATTGCTCCTCCTCCTCCTCTATACAATATCAAATTGGGTTTAGCTATATAATTTAGTTAAAAATATTTTTCAATTAATAGGTCAAGCTTGCTTACATTTATTGATATGGCAGATATGTTTACATTTAATACTGTCATTGCTATTTTACATTTTGTTCTCTGTTTTCTACAGTTATTTAAAACTTATTTTATTATGTGGCCTGTTAATATCTATATGCTAATCTTAAATCACACTACTGAACTAGTCTTTTATTTAGTTAGTTCTCCTGAACTTCTAAATATATCATTTTAAACACAATTCTAAAATAATCATCAGTGAAGACAGCCTAAACATTACAAAATATGTGTGTATTTTAGCCCCAGAGCCATGTCATGTTCTATGGGGAAACCCTACCTACATTTCCACCCTGGTTAAGAACAATAAAAGGATGCCCATTATCACCACTAGCACAATGCAATTATCCAAGGAAAAATAATAAATGCCATAAAAATTATATACAAGGAGATAAAACTGTATCCCTGGAAACCCCAAGAGAATAAAATGAATCAATTGAAAAACTACTACAAACAATTAGAAAATTCATTAAATTAAAATATATGTTAATTGATCTCCTATGTACAAATAATCAGAATATGTATTGGAATAGAAGGCTCTGTTTGCAATAGCAATTATTACCCCAACAAAATACCTGTGAGAAAATGGAACAAGAATTTTCAAAAATCCATGGGAGGAAAAATAAAAGAAATTTAACACCCATAAAAGGCACAAAAGAACATCAGAACAAGTGAAAAAAAAAAAAACCACTTTTCTAAGAAAGGAAGATCACAACAATGTCAAGTTATTTTATAAATTAATGATACAACATTAATTTATAACATATCAACAAGTTTTTATTATAACATACCAACACTTTCTTGTTTCAAACTAGGTAGACTGATTGTAAATCTCATGCAAAAAAAAAAATAAGCAGAAATATTCAGTAAAAACTCTGAGGAGGACGAGGAGCAATGAAGGGGTAACAAGCCCAAGTCCAAGTGAATATTAAAACACATTATAAAGTGATAACTCAAATTGTGTGATACTGACTGTGAACAGATAGACAAGTGGAACAGAATAGAAAGTAAAAAAATAGCCCAAATCCATATGGAAATTTATTATTTGACAAAAACAACATTTCAAATTAATGGTGTAAGGAGAACAGAGTCTTAATCTAGAAAAAAAAATGTGATGTCAACTACTTACAATTTTAAACCTTATGGCTTAAAATGAGTGAATTTTTTTTTAATTTTGAAGTGGGAATGTCCTTTCCAATTATTGTACAAAATCCAAAGCCATAAAAAGGGACAGATAAATGTAAGTACATTTTAAAAACCCTCTGCATGGCAAAGTTATCATGAGCAATGTCAAAAGATAAATTAAAAATTAGAAAAAAGCTGCCGGACATGGTGGCTCACGCCTGTAATCCTAGCACTTTGGGAAGCTGAGGTGGGCAGATCACAAGGTCAGGAGATCAAGACCATCCTGGCTAACACGGTGAAACCCAGTCTCTACTGCAACTACAAAAAAAAAAAAAAAAAATTAGCCGGGCATGGTGTCACGCGCCTGTAGTCCCAGCTACTCAGGAGGCTGAGGCTGGAGAATCACTTGAACCTGGGAGGCAGAGGTTGCAGTGAGCAGAGATCATGCCACTGCACTCCAGCCTGGGCAGCAGAGTGAGACTTTGTCTCAAAAAAAACAAAAACAAAAACAAAAAAAATTAGAAAAAAGCAATTACAACATGTATCATAGAAAAAGTGCCAATTTCTCGAGTGTTTAAAGAGAGCACCTAGAAATTGATGACAACCAATCATTGAAAAGAAAAATTGGCAAATAATATGAATGGAAGTTCACAGAATATGAAATACAAAAACATTTGAAAATGAAAAGCTGTTCAATATCAGTTAAAGGAATGCACACTATCACTACACTAAGTTGCATTTTTTGACATATCAGAGTGGCAAAAAAATGTTTAAGAAGTCATTCTGTTGGCAACATCTATTAAAAAGTACAAAAGTATATAAATGTACAGGCATCTTGACCCACCGATCTGACACTGGGGAATTTATTTTATAGATATATCAGTACAGTGAAAATGTTATATTCAATATTATTTTTGCAGCATTGTAATAGCAAAATGACCCAAGAATAGCTATGACAGGTTAAATAAGCAACAGCATATCCACTCAGTGGAATACTATGAAGCTTTAAAAAGTGAGGCGGCTTTGTATTGATATGAACATATTTCCATGATATATTAAATAAGAAGAATGAGATAGAAAACAGTGTATAAGAATGATAACTTTGGGGTAAGGGTAGGAGAATATAAATACTGAATATGTATTAATAGTTACTTATATAAAAGACTAGAAAGACACATTAAAAATGAATAATGGGGTTTTGTTGGTAGAGGGTACTGTATGAATTAAGAACAGGGTAAGAAGAATATTGTTAACTTTGCATATTTAAAAAAGATTTTTTGAACTAAGTAAATTTTATTATCACATAAAAAGATTGAATTTAAGTAACCTTTCTTTTTGTTGGTATAAGTAGGGTTTATTGGTTATGAGAAAATTATCTTCAATGAGCCTTTCTATGTACAAACAAGGTATTCTTTTTCATTCAAGTTTTCTTTCATGTCTAACTTTAAGATTTCAAATTTTTCTTTGCATTGATCTTAAACATTTCCTGCTACATTTATTACTAAATATTTTATTTTTGATTGTGTTATAAATTGTACTTTTTTCCATTATACCTTCTAAATAATTATTGTTCACATATAGAGACATTACTGATTTTATTATACTAATTTTATACTCAGACATCTTTCTAAATTCTGTTAAGTTTTACAATAATTTTTCAGTTGAACTTTTTGGATTTTTTTCTCTTGTTCATTTGCATCAATTTGTACTTCTGGAACAGTGAGCATTGAATTATTAAAGTGATAGGGAATTTCCTTGTTTTTTTAATAACTTTGATGGGGAATGTTACTTAAGTTTCAGCAAAAAAAAAGTCATTTTAATGAGCTTTCAGAACAAAGAACTTTGTAATACTTTGAAGATACATGGTCAGAATATGATAGATCAAGCATTTACGAACTAAATTCACAGGCCAAATCCAGCTTATGTCTGTTTTTATAAATAAAGTTTTATTGAAATGCAGCCACACATGTATGTTTATGTACTGTCCATGGCTGCTTTCACTGAAAATATTTACTATCTGGTTATTTACCAAAAAATATTGTCCTCCCCAGTGTGAGAGACTATGCTTCAGTAACAATTCCAAAATATTGGTTGCTAAACACAACAAAAGTTTATGTCTTGCTTAAACTACCTATCCAACATATGTGGACAGGGGCTTGTGTTCCAACAATCACATCAGGACTTGGCTGATGAACTCTCACCATCTTGTAGCTCTACCATCTGAAACACACCCTCTTCTAGGACACACATCACTTCCATCCATGTCCCATTGGCCTAAACATATCATATAGTATCACACTTGGAACTGTAAGGACTAGACAAATAAAACAAGCTGTTATCTTTACTCTTGGGAGTTTATAGTCTAATAACAAAGAAATGAGGGGAATGACTGATAAATAATCAGCTAAGTCCTAGTGGGTTTCATCGAAGAGAGCAAAGTTCCATGAGGAGGCAACAGCAGGAAGGGAGTGATCATATCTGTTTCAGAATATGAGCAAGGGCTTGAGCTGAAGTGGTACTCAAGACCTACAAAACAGAGATTTAAAGTGGAGGGTGTCTAAAGAGAAGGGGGTACTGTGAATAAAGAGACAGAGGCCAGAATACTAGAGGTGCTCAGGCAATAACAGAGTCTAGTTGGATTAAAATATATGGTATATTTAGGAGAATAGTAGGAAGCATGGTTGCAAGTATGGGGCCATATTGGGAGGATCTTGAATATGTTGAATATGAAGTCTTTTGCCCAGAGGTTACAAGTGTGAAGGTGCAGACTCTTCAGTGTAAATAGGTTTATCCTGAGCACTCAGCACAGTGCTTGGCATGTGCATGAGTCTAGTAAATGTTTATTAAGCAGATAAAAGAATAGATGAATTTCCAAATTTTCTCTTATTATTTTAGAATATGCTGATAACAGCACAACAAAAATGTCAGTGAAGATTGATAATGCTGATGACTCTGATCTTACAAAGAAACATTTTCAATAAACAATCTAGGCATGTTGGCATTCTGCAAATAAATAGGGCAAAAGTAAGTATTTTGTCCATCTTCCTGCCTTTAATCAAGTTTCAGTCTAAGTACTAAGACTGTGAAATCAGTTTCACAGTACCCCCCAACAAAGCTCCTTTATTCCCTGCTCCAATTATCACAAACTGACAAGATCTCATCCCATTGACTTTCTACTAGGTAGTCTTATATTTATTCACCTTAAAGTTACTTTTTCTGAAAGGAAATTATAAATCATGAAAGAATCACTTAAGCTGATTTTTAAAAATCATTTCTTATAGCATAGACCAAAATAAATTCCAGATAGATTAAGAGTAAACTGCTTAAAAATTCAAATCATAGAAAAAATGAAATCAGATAGCTATCAAACATCTGATGAGAAGATGACTTTGTAAGCTTAGAAGCATTAGAAGATGCTTGAAAAGGGAAAATTCAACAGACTTACTACTAATTCCTAATGACAATAAATGAATAAAAAGCAAATGTTAAAAGAACTCATGGACTAAAATAAATTTGTAACATATATAATGTACAGAGTTGATATTTTTAAAGTAAAAAAGAATTTAAACCAATTGTTACAAGAAATACTAAGCTGTCTCAATCGACAAAGGAAAGGTCTGTCCATGACAGAAAAAAACTACAGAAAATCTAGAAAGATGGCCAGTCTCACTAGTAATAAAGTGAAAACTAAAAATAAATTAAGAGACTACTGGGAAAGTTATCAAAACAAAAATTATAAACTATCCAGTGCTGGAGAAGATATAGTAATAGTTGCACTTATTTCTGTAGCTGTGAGGATTGTAATTGGTGCAGCTCTTTAGGAAAGAAATTTGACAATAGGTATTAAGAAGCATAAAAATGTAGTTAGTGTTTTATTCAGTAATTTTACTTCTGGGAACCTGTCCTAAGGAAACAATCCAAAATATGGGGAAAAATTTATTTACCAAGACATTTATCATGGCATTATTTGTAATTACAAAAATAAAAACTATCCAAATGTCCAATAAGGGAATAGTTAAGTAAATTATAATGTGTCATTTGAGAGATTTTATGTGGCCATTAAAATTATAGTTGAAAAGAATCTAAATGGAAAAATGCTTATGCTATAAGAAATATTCAAAATATCATGTATACTAAGATAGCAAGTAACCACAGTCATTGCATAAATGGTAACATACAGGTGTTTTAAAATCCCACCCCCGCCCCACCACTGTGAGAAAAATTATTGGTTATTACAGTTACCCACCTTAAATGGCCAAGTGATCAATTCCTTTCTTAGTGTAGACATGGCAGAAAACTTCCATTCACATGACACTGTATCACTCATGGACTGTTTTAAAGCGCAATCCACCCTGTCCATTGATGCTGGAATTCTTCTCCCCACTGCTGCACAAGCCATTGTCTCACTGCTGTGCGTTAGATTCATGTGAAGGAAGGTCAGAGTCAGTCTGCCCTTCTGTCAGACTCAGATTCTTACCTGGCCACAGTGAGGTGGTGGAGAAGCAATTGTCTCAGGATAGGAAAGAAACTAACTGGAGGGTCTCTCCCCTTTATGATGACCTTCTCACAACACCACTACCACAGAGGAAGGAAGGTGAATGCCTGCACCCAAATTATCCTAAGTACTAAGAATGTATCTGAGACATGTCACCACCTATGTTGTAAGCTACACATTACACCATGAAAAGGCTACGGTAAGGTAGGCAGTCCTCGGCCTTCCCTAAGACCACACTCTATAGGTAGTATATCTATGGTGTAGTTCTACTGCTATGTAATTATCTTGAAAATGAACTAGAATAAATAATTTAGCTAAGCTTAAAGTGTTTACCTTGGGCCTGGCCCTATGTGCTCAATATGTATTAACTCATTGAACAACAGTCCTACAAAGTATGTGCTGTTATCATTCTAATTTTGCAGATGAGAAAACTGAGATACGAAGAGGTTAGATACCTTTCCCAAGGGCACTCGGCCAGCAGGTGGTGAGATCGGGAATGCGATCAGCACTGTAACACCATAGCCTGTATTCTCAACCACTGTTTAATAAATGCCTCTGAGAGCCTAGTTTCTACTATTTAATCCATTTTGATGCTCATTTCTTAGGCTTCTATGAGTTCTAATTATTGACCAGTAAAGAAAACCATGAATCCCACTTGCATCCTCTCATTATGAAAGGTATCTCTTATGGATTGAATTGTGTTCCCCAAAAATTCCTGTGTTGAAGCCTTAATTCTCAGTTCCTTAGAATGTGACCTTACTTGGAGGTCAAATCTTTACAGACATAATTAAGCTAAAATGAGGTTATTAGGATGCTAATCCAATATGACTGTTGCCCCTATAAAAAGGGAAAATTTGGAGACAGACACATACATGCAGGAAGAATACCATGTGAAGATGAAGGCAGAGATCAAGATGATGCTTCTACAAGCCAAGGAACAGCAAAGAGTGCCAGGAAACCACCAGAAGCTAGGTGAGAGGCCTATTCTCTCTCTCAGTCCTCAGAAGGAACAAACCCTGCTGACACCTTGATCTTAGACTTATAGTTCGTGGTTGGAGGAGCCGTAGGAAACCAGTACAGTATCTTTCCTCTTCCTGTTATCATTGTCTATCTACACAATGAAAATTATTTTGTTCAACCAATCAGATGAAACTAAAGTGGAAGGTAGGGATCATGTAAAAAGTAGAGATCTGGGATAGAATAATTTAGGGCAGTAATGTTAAAACATTTAATGAAGGCTTAAGATTCCACATAGTTACCTGAAAAGATTCCATGAGGTTAAAGAAGGCACAGAGAGCAGGGTTCTTGTGTCCAACCCCTCCAGATAAATCCCGCCTTTAGTGAGAGCCAGGCTACTTTTCTCTGTTGTACAATTTGTGTTTAAACTAAGATTTTTGTTTGAAGAAAAATTTCCATTGCATTTTTGAAGGTTAAGAATATTTAAAAACTGAACTTGTTTCATTTCTTCACTTGATGTAATTTTATTGAGCCACTACTATGTATCAGTCAATGTTTCATCTCCCATGGACTACCTTTTTTTTTTTCTTTTTGAGACAGAGTCTTGCTCTGTTGCCCAGGCTGGAGTGCAGTGGCATGATCTCAGCTCACTGCAACCTCTGCCTCCCAGGTTCAAGTGATTCTCATGCCTCGGCCTCCCAAGTAGCTGGGATTACAGGCATGTACCACCATGCCTGGCTAATTTTTGTAATTTTATTAGAAGCAGGAGTTTGCCATGTTGGCCAGGCTGGTCTCGAACTCCTGGCCTCAAGTGATCCATCTGCCTTGGCCTCCCAAAGTACTGGGATTACAGGTGTGAGCCACTGGACCCAGCCACCCATGGACTAACATTATGGCCCCCAGGTAGCCTGTGTTTTAAAACACTGGGTCAACAAAAACAACAAAAATAAATTATTAGGTAATCATTGACTAATTAGCTCATTTTTATGAATCAAAACATGTAATAGCCAATCAAAATATATTTACCAACAAAGCTATAAACATTCCCTAATAATGCCATTGTCCAAAGATGACTTTTGGAATTGCCTTCAGTATCTGCAACATTTTCTTTTGAACATCTTCAAAGGCAGTAAATCACTTTGGGCAAGTTACTTAACTTCTTTGTGCCTAAATTTCCTCATAGCAAAATGGTGATAATAATAGTATCTACCTCAATGGGTTTTTGTGAGGATTAAATGAGAAAACCTATCAATAGTTCTTAGCACAGTGATTGTACCCAGGAAATGTTCAGCAAATGATGTTAGTATTATTAGTAATACAACTAGAATTGTCACAATTCTTGGAGGATGTGTAATTTTATTGGAGTGTTGCAAAGCTTTTGAAAATAAACCTTAAATCAGATGGGTGATACATACTGGGTAAAAAAAACTTTAAATCAGCAGCAAGAGGGAACTACAGGGCAAGGAATGGTATTTGTGTAGTCTATAAACTGGTATTTTTTATAGTCTCAAATATGTGTGAAATAATCTCTGCATCCTTAAAATATGCACTGTCTCCCTAATGTGACTACTTTGAAAGAAAAAAACAGAGGCTTCTTTCAATGGAAGCTCCATGGAAATGAGTGGTTTCACCATCAGCCATTGTTTTCAGCATCATGCCTGGTTAAATCTCACAGGAGTTGACAAACACAAAGATGGCATGTGCAAATTGAAATAATACAAACAAGCACCTGTGCACTCATGCTTTGTAACTCTCTCTAATTTTATCTCCTCCACGTGCTGCTTGTCTGTCTCTGAGCCTTCGTGGAAAGGGAAAAGGGGAATTTTTAGAATGTTCATACTCTGTGTTATTCATGTTTGTATTATTACACATTTAAAACTAAGACTCTAAATTATTTACTGTAACATAGAACATGGATGGGTTTTTTTTTCCCCACTCTTTAACTTACTACTGGTGGTACAAGTTTCAACTCTTCAATTCTAGTTAAATTCTAGAAGCACTTATGGAGTGTCTGTTACATGTAGGGCCCTGTCCTTGTAAACATGGTTCACATCACCAAGAAGCTTCCTGTCAAATGGGACAGACGAGATTTTAAATCCACATGAACCAAATCATGATACCAGGCAACTTGTGGTTAACAGCAAAATCTCAGGAACAGGTAATTGTTTTGGGATATCAGAGGAAGAGTCTGGGAAAATATCATGGGAAAAGTAGGATTAGATGAGGTTTAAATTTAATTTTCTGATTGCAATAGAGAGACAGTTGTCCATTCATTCAACACTTGTTCTTGAGTGGCCATTATTTGCCAAGAAGATCTTTATGCAAAAATGAAAAAGCACCTTCCCTAACCTGAAGGAAATTTAGAACCTGGCTATACCATATAGAAAAATTGACACAAAAATAACTATGCTACAGAGTAAGATGTAAAATTTGCTATGCGTTGAAATTGTTAGAAGATAAAAATAATTTTATATACATGTATCACAGCTAAAGGTTCAAAAAGATAGACACCAAACTGTTAACTGAGAAATGTTTACCTTTTAATCTAAATGCTGTGAATTACTTAACTATTTTTCCAATGGACATATATTAATGTATTATGTAGATCATTTTCATAAGGTAATATAGGAAGTACTTTGATAAAAAGAAAATTCTGACTTTGGGAATTCTGGGAGGTTGCACAGGGAGATAGCTTTTGAGTTTCATCCTGAAGGATGGCTGAGGTTAGAATAGTAACAATGGCCAGCACTTACTGAATATATGTTGTACACTGGACTTTATGCTAAAAGATTTATAAATAGGTAAACATTAAAAACAAAACCATTTAAGTTATTTTATCCTTATTTCTACAGATCACAAATCTGAGATATAAAAGAGTTCCCACATTGAGTGACAGAGCTGAAGTTTAAACACAGGTTGTCTAGCTCCAGAATCAGTGCATATAACTACATTAAAGAGCTTCAAGTGGAAATGTAGGGCAAAATTCTCTAGCTTTAGAGAATGGAATCAACTAAAGACAAGGATGTGAAATAGCAAGATATGTGTGGGGAACACTAAGCATCTTTGTGTATGAACTATTTTTCATTTGTAAACCTTTCCTTACATGGAGTAGAGCTCCTCCATAAATGGCTAGGAATATCTTGATAAGTTACAATTGTTCTTAACTAGCCTCCCTGCCTCTAATATTTTACCCTTCTAAGATGTCTTGCACATTAACGCCAAATAAATATTCCTGGCTGGGCAGTTATTTGCCCACTTAAATATATCAATGAATCCCCATAATGTGTAGAATCATTTCCAAACTCTTTAATATGTGGATCAAATTACTGTAGTATCTGAGCCCAACAGATTTAGTAAGTTCCCACCATCCTTTATACTACAAATAGGAAGTTCCAGGTTTATTTTTTAAGCCACATTCGTTAAGGGTTATATTTATTTTCTTGTTGAAGAAGAACAGAAGATCAATATCAGAACTGGAGCTTTTATAACCAAATAACCAAGCACAGTAACCAATTGAGTTTTTCTTTTTTCCTTTTTTTTTTTTTTTTTTTTTTTTGAGATGGAGTTTTCCTCCTGTTGCCCAGGCTGGAGTGCAATGGTGCAATCTCAGCTCACCTCCACCTCCCAGGTTCAAGCGATTCTCCTGCCTCAGCCTCCCGAGTAGCTGGGATTACAGGCATGTGCCACCATGCCCGGCTAATTTTTATATTTTTTAGTAGAGACGGTGTTTCTCCATGTTGGTCAGGTTGCTCTCAAACTCCGTACCTCAGGTGATCTGCTCACCTTGGCCTCCCAAAATGCTGAGATTACAGGAGGGAGCCACCACGCCCAGCCCCAATTGAGTTTTTCTATGATGAGTACAAACTTATATTTTCAAAACCAAAAGTGATACTTTTAGTGTCAAAGACAGAGAAAATATCAAAATTACAGACAATAAGTTGTGCTCATCATAAGAAAAAGAGGCTTAAAGTCATATTTCCAAGTTTATATAACCAGCTACAAAGTTGATACCAATTCTTACACTCAGTGACAAGTTTTTGCAAATTCCTATACAAATATACCAGCAACAACCAGCTCAGTGGTTGGACTGAGAAGAAACTCCAAAGCACTTCCCATGGCCAAACTTGTGCCAAAAAAAAGGTCATGGTCACTGTTTGGTGGTCTGCTCTCAGTCTGATCTACTACAGCTTTCTGAATCCTGGTGAAACCATTACATCTAAGAAGCATGCTCAGCAAATCAGTGAGATGCACCCAAAACTGCAATGCCTGCAGCCGGCACTGATCAACAGAAAGGGCCCAATTCTTCTCGACAACAGTGCCCAACCGCATGTCATACAACCAGTGGTTCAAAAGTTGAACAAATTGTGCTATGAAGTTTTGCCTCATCCACCATATTCACCTGACCTCTCGCCAACCAACTACCACTTCTTCAAGCATCTCGACAACTTTTTGCAGGGAAAATGCTTCCACAGCTAGCAGGGTGCAGAAAATGCTTTCCAAGAGTTCATGGAATCCCAAAGCATGGATTTTTATGCTTCAGGAATAAATAAACTTATTTCTCATTGGCAAAAATATGTGGATTGTAATGGTTTCTATTTTGATTAATAAAGATGTGTGTAAGTCTAGTTATAAGTAGTTAAAATCCATGATCCAAAACCACAATTACATTTGCACCAACCTAATATATATGTATGATATTTGGTAAAACAAAACTATGAATGAACCTAAAACAAGACTTGGCTTATACACAGTACATTCGTAAGCAACAAGTACTTAATAAATCTTTAGATTTTGTTATTGAAAACCCAGGCTACAGGAGAAAGTGTTTGTTTGCTTGGTTTTATTTATTACCACTTTTCAGGGGGAGTTATATGGTGTAGACTGACAAACGTGCACTTGGTCTAACAATAATTAAATACCAACTGACTGAGCAGCAAGGAATGGTTTTTTCCCATGAATAAAAGATGTTGCACCCGAATATAGGTCCACACCCTGGCTTATTTATAGAGAGCAGCTAATGGTCAGCAACATACCTCTGGCTCTTGATTCCATGTTGAGGGTTCTAGTGAAAATTATTAATACAATCAAGTCACGACTTTAGGCAAGAAATGGGAAGAAAGCTCAAGATTATGCTTTCCCGTTTGAAATGTTCTATTCTATGAAAGGAAGGATGCTTACGCTGATTTTTTTTTAGGTGAAAGATGAGATAAAAACATTTCTATATGACACTGACCTTGAATGGTGTGTATCAGTGATATATGCAGCATCTTAATGGTATAACCCATTACTTTAGGGTCAAATTTTCAGTTTTTAATGCTGTGTATAAAATAGTAGAATTTCTGTGACTCAAATGGCTCAATTTCTGAGTTTGGCTCTTTTCAGCATTTGATCATTTTCTCCACCCAGCAAAGAAAAAAAAAATCTATGAGCACATCATTGAGCATATTTTTCAAAAAACACATCCAAATTCTACCATAGAACTTGAAAAAATTCTTTACAGAGACTAATACTACCAAAGAGTGTATTCAGAATCCATTCACCACCATCTTCTAAGTCAAGTCATTTAACATTCAACTGTCCTACTTCTGAGTCTAACACACTCACTAACTCAACATATGATGGAAAACTCAAAGTAGTCTTCAGTAAGAAATTGTTCCATAATATCTCAATCTAAATACCAAGAGCTACCTTGCTGCCATTTTCAAGGAGCTGTAATTTTGCATTAGGGTTTTTTAATTAAGTAGAAAGGAAAAGGAAAAGATAAGCCACCCAGACGTAAAATCTGGCCTAAAGCTCCAGCAATCTGATGTTTACATAAAGCTACTCTTATTCTTATTAACTTTAAAATATATATATTTTTAAAACATCATGATTTTTAAAAAATTTGTTTGACACCAGTAATCTATTCCTTAAGTGGTTTCCAGATGTCAAGGTTTTTAAAAACTATGCCTTATAGAATGTTGTCTTCTGTGCCTTATAGAATGCTGTCTTACTAAGGCTTATTTCTCTGCTTCGAATTACACCTTACCTATACTTTCCGTTCATAATTTCAAAATTGCTCTGTAAGCTGCTTGCTCAGCATTTCCCAAGCCCGAGTGGGAACTCTGTCTATCCCTGAGTAATCACTGCCAAGCAATAGTAATATCACTAGAATATTAAAATCGATAATCCTGAAACATTAGGGATTTTTTTAAACTTAAAAACCATGTCTTTTCTGGTTATTTTATCTTTTCCCTTGGAAGCTAGAGTGTATTAGAAGTTCATTATCTATAGCAAAACAGAAAATAAGGGAGAAGGATGAAATAAGAAAGAACAGAGTCCCTTGGTAATGAAGCCCATTATGAGACACCCGGAAGGGTGTGGCCGCGGCTTGCCCTTAGTGCTTGCCTACCACAGCAACTGCTCCCATGAGGATATGCAGATTCTCAGGCTCTGTGTTTGGTTTTCCATGGGCCAGTGTTTGTCTTTGATGGTAGCAAGTTTAGGAGACTCTATTAGTAACTAAGAATAACGCTTTGGTTCGTCCCCTTTCAAAAAGAGGAACGTCTGTATCCTAGCTTCCTGGGTATATTGTGAAGAAGGAAGATTCTGAGAAGAAGTGAAATAGCCAGTGGGCACTAATTGCATTTTCCTTCTGAGCCTTGCAACTTATTTCCCAAGTGAGTTAAATCACAAGCTAGAAGAATCTTAGAGCTGTGAGAGACTTGAGGATTTTCCTTTATCATACAGTTGAGGAAACTAAGGCCCACACAGGGCATGCCACTAACTCAGAGTCAAACTAGAGTTTATTTCTGGTTCAAGTAAGGACAAGATTCACTTGCAGACCACTACATTGTCTTCACCCTCTGCTTTTGACTTCTCAGTTTCCCTATGAAGCAGAGGCATCTCACGACCTGCCCACCCCCACTCCCCAAATCTCATAATCAGCTTCATTAGAGAATTGCCCTACATTAGAGAGATACAGAACACTTAACAAGGAGTTTGTCTCTCTCTAGAGAGTTTGAAGAAAGAAAAGGAGCTTTCTATTAAGGTAATATTTTAAGTGCAGTCTTTACTGAAGGCACAGAGTAGCGGTCTTTTAAAGTCTCCTTTATGTCCTGAGATTCTTCTCTCCTGATCTGAGAAAAATAAAGCATTGAGAAGCCTCCTTGAAAGTTGACATCAAAATGAGAATTACATCTTAGATAAGAGGCAGAACTAATCTTTGATTTAATCCTACTAAGCCATGTGCCCAGTTTCTTCGGGTTGGTTTGAGTCCAAGTAGACAGAGGTTAAACAAATTAGAATACACGTTGACAGTGGGAGCAGGGTTTTCAGAGCTATTTGAGGATTATGTCTACCTTGCCAGCCCAGGCTTGCAGCAAGTAAGTAAACTTAGATCAACCCTAGATTAATCCATAGACAAAAGAACCTTCGGCCAAGGGACTAAGATAGGGCTGAGGGAGAGGGGGAAGAAAAATATGCTATGTCCTAATCACCAGGATAGAACAGGCTGTTCAAGCCAATTCTGTTCTGATATATAATGAGATCAATTGCATCTGGAGCTCTATGGGCACTGGCAGCAGGCACAGGGACAGCAGGGCAGCACGGAGGAAGGATTACCTCATTGAAGAGAGCAGCCAAGGCTGCCACCTCCCTTTCTGACCCTCCTTTTCTGAGTCTGCCCTCCCTCGCCTCAGCCACCACTGAATTTCCAGTTGCCCAGTGAAGCATAGCTAGACTGCAAAGTAAATATAGCTATATATTGTACCAACAGTCTCTCTTCCCATTAGCCAACTAAGTGTCTTCCTGTTCAAATTCACCTAAAATTTTAAATGTATAGAAATTATACAGCTGCTTTCAGATGGTTCCTCCTCTTTTTTCCCAAAATATCTCTATAGATGATATTTAGGGGAAAGTTTTAACCATCTCTCTTATTCTCCTTCAGCATGGAATGAAACCATATAAATGTGGGAAGATGGTTCGTCATTCAACCATTCCATGGCCATAGAAACTTAAGTTATTACAGCTTAAGTCTAGGTCACTAGGCTCCCAACAAAGGAAAAGCTAGAGCAGGGGTCCCTAACCACCATGCCACAGACAGGTACCTGTCTGTGCCTGTTAGGAACCAGGCCACAGAGCAGGAGGAGAGTGGCAGATGAGCGAGCATTACTGCCTGAGCTCCACCTCCCATCAGATGAGCAGTGGCATTAGATTCTCATAGCAGCAGGAACCCTATTGTGACTGCACCTGTGAGGGAACTGGGTTGCCACTCTTTATGAGAATCTAATGCCTGATGATCTGAGGTGGAACAATTTCATCTGGAAACCATCCCCCCCACCCCCATCTGTGGAAAAATTATCTTCCATGAAACCAGTCCCTGGTGCCAAAAAGGTTGGGGACCACTGAACTGGAGTGTCTTTCTTTGTTCTTGTCCTCCATTTTACTTCTTTTCTTCTTCAGACAGCATAGAAAAACAAAATGGATGATGTCTTTATGAACCACTTCAATTAGTGATCACATCAGAGTGGAACTGGTATGGATGGGGAGTCAGAGAAACAATACAGATAAGGTTTGAGTCAGATAGGGACTGGGACAACAGAACTTGCCAATTCACTAATGTTCCTGAAAAAAAAAAAAAGAAGAAAAATATTGGTGGAGAAAAGGCTATGCTGGCTTATTTAAGAAAAAAAATGGCATTGGAGGCCTCTTGGACTTCAGATAACTCTTACAAAATATTTTGATGGATTAAGTGCAAAAAGTGAATCAAACATATGGATTAAATTTTCATTAAAATATAAATGGGGTATTTTGCTATTAAATTAAGTAAAATGTTTGGCAAAGTAGACTTGGTTTTGGCCAATCCCAGAACATTTGAAAAATGGTTTTGAGATATTCAGTGAACTGAACACAAAACCAGGTTTACCCAACCCTAGAGTTTGGACAAATGAAATTTGGCTCATCAAAGTTTGATTCAGTGCCAAATATATTTGTGTGGAAATAAGTTTCTGAAACACCAAAATTGCCTACGTGCCTTGGAAGTGTAGTTGAAATGCCCAATTGTTATTGAGTAACTCAGTCTGTCCAGCACCATAAAAGGCAGAATCCACTGACCTGAGATAAAGGTGAGCAGCTCCCCTCCTCCCCAACCAAGGTATTAAGAACTGAACCAGCCGGGCGTGGTGGCTCATGCCTGTAATCCCAGCACTTTGGGAGGCCGAGGCGGGCGGATCACAAGGTCAAGAGATTGAGACCATCCTGGCTAACATGGTGAAATCCTGTCTCTATTAAAAATACGAAAAAAAAAAATTAGCCAAGAGTGGTGGCGGATGCCTGTAGTCCCAGCTACTCGGGAGGCTGAGACAGGAGAATGGAATGAACCCAGGAGGCGGAGGTTGCAGTGAGCCGAGATGGCACCACTGCACTCCAGCCTGGGCGACGGAGTGAGACTGTGTCTCAAAAAAAAAAAAAGAACTGAACCAAAGCCAGTCTATCCTGCATTTTCAACAATACTGTCTAGCCCAGAAAATTAACACAAGGCAGCAAATGAATAGGAAACACTCATTTGTGAGAAAGGTGATCAGCATAGTTGGATGGCTGACAAGGAATTTTATTATCTGCATTGTCCAGAGAATTTTAAAAAGCAAAAGACAATAAGAGTATTGATGAAAGGTGAGTAGAATGTTTGGAAATATTTTCCAGGTATTAAGAACTTCATTTTACTTATTTGAAAAAAAAAATCCAAAGAAATGCATGGAAATTGTTAGCACTCTACTGCCAGTCCATTTGAATATCTTTCCATCAACCCATGGGTTACTGGAATTTCTTTTAATCCATCTATCAGCAGCCCATCTGAACATGACTACACATGAAATTTCAAGTTTAGTAATCTTTTGTTCCTGCACATGGCCATTATGAAACTCCATTCTACCCACGGTAAAGCTTCTTTCTGCCAGTGTTTTGGGGGAATGGGATCATGAAGAGCCAAAATTTCTGGGTAACTAAACAAGTATCAAGATACCAGCATCAAACCATGAGAGGGTTATATTTAAGCCACTTTGAGTAAAAATATTTGGAAATCTTCGATCCACTTTTTTTGTATTCTTAAATAAAGGATCACATAGTATTGTAAGAATACTCCAAAGGTGGTTGAGATGGATAGAGCTATTTGCCTCCAAACTACATAATCTCAGCTTGCAATACCGTTTGAACACTTGTATTTTCTCTGTACAGCATATAAGTCAAGAAAACAGAATTACTCTAAGTATTTAAAGCAAGAAGAGATTTAAAATAGGGATTTAGAAGTTTATGCAACCATCGGAAGGGCTGGGTGGTATAAAGATCAGGGATACTGCTGCCTGCTAGCACATCATAATTCAGGAAATGCAGGCTTCATAGGAGACTTCTATCTAGGACCTTAGCTGACTGTGGTACCAGAGGAAGTGATTCTCAGGGGGGTTACCTGGAAGTCCTCGGAAAAATCATGTGCCTGAAGATGTCCATATGCCTGCCCACAGCTGCAGCTAGAAGATGATCTTTCCCTCTTTTCCACATTCCACACCTGTATGAGCATCTCTCCTTGATGAAATCAAAACTTGAATCCTCCTAGTAAAAGAAAATGTAATTTCCACACGTCCAGTCCCTGCACACAGGAAAGAGTTTGGAAGGGAGAAGTGATGTTGAGCAGCAGTCCCCAACCTTTTTGGCACCAGGGACTGGTTTCATGGAAGACAGTTTTTCCACAGATGGGTTGCAGGGTGAGGGGATGGATTCAGGATGACACTGTTCCACCTCAGATCATCAGGCATTATTCTCATAAGGAGCACACAACCTAGGTCCCTCGCATGCGCAGTTCACATTAGGGTTCATACTTCTGGGAGAATCTAATGCTGCTGCTGATCTGATAGGAGGTGGAGCTCAGATGGTAATGCTCACTCGTCTGCCACTCACCTCCTGCCGTGTGGCCCCATTCCTAACAGGCCACAGACCAGTACAGGTCCACAGCCCAGGGACTGGGGACCCTGTTAAGTATCATCAGCAGACATTATTGACACATGAGGTTTTCCTGCTTTTTGTGTGTTGCTGAGTACTCCACCATTTATTCAGTGGATTTTCCTTACCCATTCCTCTTCATTCCTTTCCATCTTTTATTTTTGTGGCACTTGATATTGGTAACAGCCAAAAAATCTAATGCCTAAGTTATTGAGAATAAATAGTCCCAAGTGAGGACCTTGAGACCTTAAAAAATAAAAATAAAAAAAAACAGTATAGTAGAGTGGTAGGTGCTGGAACAGACGTATTAGCCCAGCTCTGCCAATTACTAGCTACATTACATTAATATTTCTGACTATAGATTTTCTCATCTGTAAAACGGAAGTAATAACAACTGCCATTCCTACCTTTCCCAAAGATGTTGCAAGTATCAAATGACTTATACCTATGAAAGCTCTTCACAGATTGTAGAGTATTATGAAATATAATTCATTCTCTCACTCACTCAACACATTTATTTAGTACCTAGTCTAATACATAGATTTGGACATTTCAAGGGTATAATATAGAGACAAACAACAGTCTCTGTGCCCTAGAAATCTACCACTTAGTAGCAGAACAAAATACATAAATATAAAACCAAAATACAAAACAGAAAGCTAGAAGGGCAGTAAGGAAGAAACAAAGGATGACAAGTTTGCCTAGGAAGGAACTATTATTTGCATGTGAAGAAATTAGGAAGGCTTTGTGACCCAGATCGCTCTTCTACTTACCTGTTCTTCTATCTGATTCTTGAACTCCCACTCTCACATACTATACTCACAATCTTCAGTAGATGTCATTGTCTTAGTTCCATCAATCATCCATCTAATTCCTTTTTCTCCATTCCCATTGTAATTGTTTTAGCTTGGGGTCTTATCACCACTGTAATACCTTCCTCACTAATCTATCTGCCCCCCAGCCTGCCCTCACCATACTCTCCACACCACCCTACCCAATCCACAATCCCATATAAAATTAATCGGTCCTCTGCACTGCTCTCAGAATAATCTATCCAAAATTAAAATCTAGTCACATAATAATCTGCTTAAAATACCTTCAAAAACTAACCCTTACTTTTAGGATAAAGGTGGCACACAAGGCCCTCCATGGTCTGGTCTCAGTTTCCCTCTTGACTTACATGGGATGTGCCTTTGTGCATAAACTTCACGACACCTATCTATAATACTCAAGACAGCTTTCTCTTTTCTCCTTCCTGGTCCATGACAGTGTTAAGAGTAATATAGCCATGGTCCTTAAAGTGAAGGAATGGAATTAAGAGATTGGTGGGCTGAGGAACAAAGGAACTGGCTGAAGAGAATAAAAGAGGAAAAAGTATGACTAAAGAAAAGGGAGAAAGGTAAAAATATGTAGTTGGTGACATCCGCCTTACATGATACTGAATGTGGGAGTCAGGACTCAAGCTGATTGTCAGGTAAGGAAGGATTCACTGGGGAGGGGCACTCAAAACTGTGGCCAAGCAGATGAGGTTCTTCTCTATAGAAGGGTCTGAAGCCAAGAACTCTCTGAACCTTTTTACGGAGGAGGAATCAGTTTAGGGGGAGGTCTTACTGACCATAAGAAGTTCCACTATATATACTATTCTTCAAATATTTTCTAGTGGGATGCATTGCTGCAATTATGATAATGATTATCTAACATTTACAAAGCACTTTAAGGTTTCCCAAATGCTGCCACAAATATCTCATTTAAAGACCAAATTATAGGCTCTCCAAATTAAAGCAGAGTTTCCAAAGGGTGTCCAGACTACTTGCTTAGCTAACTAAAATGGTTATCATATGCTATGTTTTTATGGAGTCTTTGAACTCTCTATTAACTCTTGGCAAAACTAATGTGTTTGAGTG
The DNA here is from genome assembly GCF_000001405.40 of Homo sapiens. Classification (NCBI taxonomy): domain Eukaryota; kingdom Metazoa; phylum Chordata; class Mammalia; order Primates; family Hominidae; genus Homo; species Homo sapiens. Next base: position 68,598,859 of record NC_000005.10, read on the forward strand.
TTACCTAACATTAACATGATAACACGGTAAAGTCTAAAAAACATTTAAATGAATGAATAATCACAATCCTTTGTGCTAAGAACTCAGATTATCTCTGCAAAAAAAAAAAAAATCAGCTAGTGCAGTATAGAAGATTCAAGAGAGGAGGTAGTGTAAGAAGACACAAAGGCAGGTCTTGACTGCCAACTTGCCTCTATTTGTTCTTTTTAGCCATCAGACTGGTCTCAGTGCACTCATGTGTCTAAGGGAAAAGGTAGGAAAGAGGTGTGCAGAAGGAAAATCTCCTTTTATTTTGTAGTTAATGGATTAATTAACCTTTTCTGAATATTTTGCTTAGAGAGTTAAAGGTCTACAGTTTAATCTTGTGGTGCTGAACTAGTGATTGGTTTATATCAAAGATATTAAAAAGTAACCTTTCCCCAAATCCTTTCTCCTTCCTGACTCTAACACCAAAGTCTTGTCACACCTACTTGGAGAAACTGACCCAGACTAAATGTGTTTTAGCTCCCAAATTGAAACTTGAAAGGATAAGACATTGTAAATATAAATAACACTTTTCAATTACTTCACAAATAATTGCTCCTTCCTTTTTCCACCCTTCTGAAGTTCTCTTCTGTAATAACTAGATCAATGTATCCCTAAGCTTCTGAAGTTTCTGGCAGGACTCATAAGACTTGATGCAATTCTGATTACAGGACTAATACCCTGCTGGGGCAAACTGAAAGCCAGAGGCACTTTCTTTTTTTTTATTTTATTTTATTATTATTATACTTTAAGTTTTAGGGTACTTGTGCACAATGTGCAGGTTAGTTACATATGTATACATGTGCCATGCTGGTGTGCTGCACCCATTAACTCATCATTTAGCATTAGGTATATCTCCTAAAGCTATCCCTCCCCCTTCCCCCCACCCCACAACAGTCCCCAGAGTGTGATGTTCCCCTTTCTGTGTCCATGTGTTCTCATTGATCCATTCCCACCTATGAGTGAGAATATGCGGTGTTTGGTTTTTTGTTCTTGCAATATTGATGATGATGACTGAGAATGATGTTTTCCAATTTCATCCATGTCCCTACAAAGGACATGAACTCATCTTTTTTATGGCTGCATAGTATTCCATGGTGTATATGTGCCACATTTTCTTAATCCAGTCTATCACTGATGGACATTTGGGTTGGTTCCAAGTCTTTGCTATTGTGAATAGTGCCGCAATAAATATACGTGTGCACGTGTCTTTATAGCAGCATGATTTATAGTCCTTTGGGTATATACCCAGTAATGGGATGGCTGGGTCAAATGGTATTTCTAGTTCTAGATCCCTGAGGAATCGCCACACTGACTTCCACGTGGTTGAACTAGTTTACAGTCCCACCAACTGTGTAAAAGTGTTCCTATTTCTCCACATCCTCTCCAGCACCTGTTGTTTCCTGACTTTTTAATGATTGCCATTCTAACTGGTGTGAGATGGTATCTCATTGTGGTTTTGATTTGCATTTCTCTGATGGCCAGTGATGGTGAGCATTTTTTCATGTGTTTTTTGGCTGCATAAATGTCTTCTTTTGAGAAGTGTCTGTTCATGTCCTTCGCCCACTTTTTGATGGGGTTGTTTGTTTTTCTCCTGTAAATTTGTTTGAGTTCATTGTAGATTCTGGATATTAGCCCTTTGTCAGATGAGTAGGTTGCGAAATTTTCTCCCATTTTGTAGGTTGCCTGCATTTAGGACATCTGGTCACCTAGTCTTATGACTTTTTCATAAGCACATTGTAGTCCCCAAATTTCACATTCTTTTGGAGAACGATGAGGATTTCTTCATTTATATTATACCCTTATAGACAAGGAGAAAATATTTCATGGCTTCAGGCTTCTCCATGGAAAACTGGGACTGTTACAGTGGCCTTAACTTAGCAATCTTTCACACTAGTGATGGCTCTCTAATTAGGAAAAAGATACAAAATAACATTTGTGAAGTGCTCCACAGATAATTTTTATAATTTTTTTTCCCTGTGGTTGCTGTAACAAGTTACCACAAAGTTGGTGGCTTAAAACAACATACATTTACTGTCTTACAGTTCTGGAGCACAGAAGTCTGGGGAAAAATTAAACTATCAGCAAGGCTGTACTCCCTCTGGAACCCTATAGGAGAATCTATCTCCTTGACATCTCTACCTTTTACACCTGTATTTCTTGCACACCTTGGTTCATGGCCCCTTTTTCCAACTTCAAAGCCAGCCATGTGGCCTCTTGCGTCAGTGGTCACATTGCCTTCTTCTGTGTCAAAGTGCTTTCTGCCTCCCTCCTATAGGGACAACTGTGACTGTATTGGGTCCACCCAGATAATCCCAGATAGTCTCACTATTTAAAGACCCTTCACTTAATCAGAGCTGCAGAGTCTATTTGGCCATCTAAGTGTTGCAGGAAGTCAGGGACCCCAAATGGAGGGACCGGCTGAAGCCATGGCAGAAGAACGTGGATTGTGAAGATTTCATGGACATTTATTAGTTCCCCAAATTAATACTTTTATAATTTCTTATGCCTGTCTTTGCTGCAATCTCTAAACATAAATTGTAAATATTCCATGGACACTTATCACTTTCCCAATCAATACCGTTGTGATTTCCTATGCCTGTCTTTACTGTAATCTCTCAATCCTGTCAGCTGAGGAGGATGTATGTCACCTCAGGACCATGTGATAATTGCATTAACTGCACAAATTGTAGAGCATGTGTGTTTAAACAATATGAAATCTGGGCACCTTGAAAAAAGAACAAGATAACAGCAATTGTTCAGGGAATAAGAGAGATAACCTTAAACTCTGACCGCCAGTGAGCCGGGTGGAACAAAGTCATATTTCTCTTCTTTCAAAAGCAAATGGGAGAAATATCCTGAATTCTTTTTTTCAGCAAGGAACATCCCTGAGAAAGAGAATGCATGCCTGGGGGTGGGGCTCTGAACTGGCCCCCCCTGGGCGTGGCCATCTCTTATGGTCGAGCCTGTAGGGATGAAATAGACCCCAGTCTCCCATAGCACTCCCAGGCTTATTAGGAAGAGGAAATTCCCGCCTAATAAATTTTGGTCAGACCAGTTGCTCTCAAAACCCTGTCTCCTGATAAGATGTTATCAATGACAATGGTGCCCGAAACTTCATTAGCAATTTTAATTTTGCCCCAGTCCTGTGGTCCTGTGATCTCGCCCTGCCCCCATTTGCCTTGTGATATTCTATTACCTTGTAAAGTACTTCATGTCTGTGACCCACACCTATTCGCACACTCCCTCTCCTTTTGAAACTCCCTAATAAAAACTTGCTGGTTTTTGCAGCTTGTGGGTCATCACAGAACCTACCGACATGTGATGTCTCCCCCAGACACCCAGCTTTAAAATTTCTCTCTTTTGCACTCTGTCCCTTTATTTCTCAAGCTGGCCAATGCTTAAGGAAAATAGAAAAGAACCTACGTGATTATATTTAAATATCCTTCACTTAATCAGAGCTGCAGAGTCTCTTTGGCCATCTAAGGGAACATCCACAGTTCCCAGGAATTAGAACCTGGATAACTTTTGGGGGGCCATTATTCTGCCTACCACACTTTTGCTTTTAATTTTCACACCACCACCACCATCATCACGCAGACATTGTTACCTCCATTTTACAGATGAAGTTACCGAGGCAAAGACAGATTACAAAATGTATTATTTTAGGAAATAAGTGGCAGAGCCAAAGATCAAACCCAGTTTTTCTGGGTTTATGGGAGAAAAAAGAGGGAAAACCAGGGATACAAGGAAAAACTGATGACAACTTTTTCAAATCTTTTTTCTCAAATTCCCTTCTAGTTCTCCTGTACAGCACAGGTAGCCCAATAATGACCCTCTATATCTTCCTGACCTTGGCAGAAAAAAAAAAAATCTCCATTTTTAAACTTGGAATGAGAAAGAAATGGTGACTGACAATTGATTGAAATTGAATTCCATAATATTTCACCTAAACCCTTTTTCATCTGAGATGTGGAGATTTGAAAAATAAATAAATGAACCTCTTATATTTTTCTCACTTTTAAGTTGTCTAATAAGAAAAATTTTTCAGTCATTTCTATGTGTTTTTACAAGTATCAACTCATTTAACCTTCACAATACCCATACACTATAGGTGCTTCTCATTTGTTTTCATTTCACAGATGAGTAATCACACCATACTGCAGTAATTGTGGTCAACTTTTCACAGACCAGGATTCAAGCCCAGGGATCTTTAACCAGTAGGAATCTTACTATACCATGTATAGTATAATGCTTTACATATATTTTAACCTCCTTCTAGTTTGTAAGTTCCATAAGAGGAGGCTTGATTTTTTTTTTTTTCTTTTGAGACGGAGGTCTTACTCTGTCACGCAGGCTGGCTGGAGTGCAGTGGCGTGATCTCGGCTCACTGCAAGCTCTGCCTCCTGGGTTCATGCCATTCTCCTGCCTCAAGAGGAGGCTTGATTCTAATTCTCCCTTTTTTCTGCATCATTGAGCATGTGTATTATCCGTAACAGGCTTTTAGGTGCTGGATAAATGAGTGAATATTGATTGTGATTGAATTTCTCTTTTCCCCATATGTTTACTCTTAAATATATTCCTTTAGAACCTTGCTATTCAGAGTGTAGTCCCCAAACCAGCAGCACAGGCATCACCTGGGACCCTATGAGGAATTCAGAACCTCAGACCCCACCCAAGACCTGCTGAATGACAATCTGCATTTTAACACATTTCTCAGATGATTTGTATGCACATTAAAGTTTGAAAAGCATTCTTTAAAGCACGTGGTTAAATTTAACAAACTTAATCCACTATTTCCACATGGTTCTCTCACCTACCGACATACTTGAGCACCTTGGTTCTGGCCTCTTCAAGTTTATTCTAGGTCTAAGGTTCTGTGAATTGGCCAGTTCCACAAAAGCTGTTCCTTTTATGAGCACTTGTTTCAATATGACAAGAGCAAGATTATTCAAGGGAAGCATTAGTGGGTAGTGGGTAGCTAGTACTTTTTTTTTTTTCTTTTGCTTCAAAGTTCTCAACAGCAAGTACACAAGAAGCTCCCCTGTCCCTGGACACACACACAGACTGCACTTCAGTGGACTGCACTGCAGGTGAGCTGGGAAGCCGCAGCCCAGGTGGAGAAAAGACTAGCAGCCTGTCCCTGGCACAGGGAAGGAAGCTGCTCATCATGGTGACATAAAATAAAGCTTCTAAAGTTGCTCATCATGGTGACATAAAATAAAGCTTCTAAAGTAGCTCATATGTCTCGACCATCAGGAGAGTTTTATAACAACACATCTCATCTTGCCACTCTCATCTCTAGACTCTGCGGCACCTGGCTGTGAAAACTTTTAAATAAAGGAAGCATTGATATGGTGCATCCAAGGCAATGCTTTTGAGAGAATCTAAAGAGCAGTTTGTGATCCCAAGATCAGGGCATCTCTTTTTAAGAGCTGATATTACCATATGAATAATAAAAAGAAAGTACTCCCTTAGCATAAAAGAAGATGAGATCACTGCGGATCCCCACTTCGGAAAATGAATATCAGTCCCATTCCAAAAATGGTATAGGAAAATTGAACTTTAAAGAAACGAACAACTTTCAGGTGATCTAATCTACTGCACCTTCAGAATGCAACAAATCTAGATTAGGGTTTGACTGTACTAGACTTTTTGTTTTAAGATTTTAATTTCTACCTATATAAAAAAAATTGGTGGGGGAATTGTTGTAATTAACATGCTATCCTCAATCTGTAATATAAACAGAGGATGCTGATACCACATTGGTAGAGGGCATTTCTGAGTATTTTAAACCTCAAACTTTGGTTTTAAACAGTACTTGATTCCGGTCACATTTAACTGAGGGCTTTTGCTTCTGGCCAAGATAGAGTAACAGGGATAGAATGTATCATCCCTCCAGAAACAACCAAAAACTAGACAAAATATATAAAATAATGGTTCTCAAGATGTAGGATGTGAGGCAACAAAGGACAGAAATCCCTGAGAAATACAAAACAAGTGAAGTGAGCCCTACCATCACCAGCTTACTTCCTGGAAGGAGATTTTAGGCTGCAGCACCTGAAGAGAGAACCCAGGTAGAGCTTGGTAGTCTCCCTGAGTTGAGGTGACAAGGCTAAAAGTATGAGGAGGCTGCTCTCCAGGGCAGAGTGCCAGAAAAGAGGGCTGCGCATAGAGAAGACTCTGAAGATCTTCAGAAGGACCCCTTTGCATGTTCAACTGAGTACTGACCAATACAGGTATATGAGGAAACTACCAGAGGCCAGGGAAAGAACCATCCAAAACTATTAGAGAATAGAAACTCACAGTTTATGCAGGACAGGGAAAAGTGCCTGTTTCCATTAGATAGAATGGAAAATCCTGTAACACACAGGATATAGGATAAACTACCATATTAGTTTTCTATTGCTGTGTAACAATGAACCATGAATTTAGCAGCTTAAAAACAATACCCCATTTATTATTTCACAGTTCTGCAGATCAATAGTTTAGGCAAGTTTGACAAGATTCTCTGTTCAAGGTCTAAATCAAGCTGTCAGTTAAGTTGGGCTCTTGTCTGGAGGCTCTGGAGAAGACTCTTTCTGCATTCATTCTTGTTATTGACAGAACTCAATTTCTTGTGGCTGTAAGAATGAAGTCCCTATTTTCTTTTGGCCATTGGTCATGGATTGCTCTCACTCCTAGAGGCCACTCTCAGCTCTCAGATTCTTTCCCCGTGACCCCTTTCACATTCAAGGCAATGACACCTCAAGTCTCCCTGGTGTTTAGAATATTTGACCTACTCTTCTGCAATCGTCCAGAGAACAGAATCTGCTTTTTAAAATACAGCCTAGGCCCACAAGATAATCTCCTTATCTTAAAAATCAACTGATTAATAATATTAGTTACATGTGCAAAATCTCTTTTTCCAGCCATGTGGAAAAAAAGTCATTTAAAAAAGTCATGTTAATACCCAGGGGAAAATACAGGGATTATCTTAGAACTCTACCAACTAAAAGTACTTAGAAGAGCCTTGCCTCAATAGTTGGATTAAAATTGCTCTCCATGAAATATGGTCCTGAACTGTATTAACAAAGTTTAAAAGCAAGACCCAAAAAAATCAAACTATTTCTAAATAACTTAACCATCATAACTTAACCATTCCAGGACAAAACTCTACAACACCTATGGGAATGCAAAAATAACGAGCAGCCAAAAAAGTAAAATTCACAATGTCAGGTATTTAATAAAAAATTACCAGGCATGCAAAGCAGCAGGAATAGGTGACCCACAATGAGGAGATAAATAAAACAATAAAACTCAACTCAAAACTGACAGCAGTGATAGAATTAGTAGACAAAGATCTTACCATAAATATTACATTTATAATATAATAATATATATAACGGTCAAAAAGATAGAGGAAAGACTAATCATGTTAAGTGGAAGCATGGAAGATATTTTTAAAAGACATACAATAATCTTTTAGAGATGAAAATACATTATGTGGGATTGATGTCAGATTAGACATTGCAGAAGAAAAGGTAAGTGAACTAAAAGACACACCAATAGAAACTATCTAAAATAAAACACACAGAGGAGTAGGGAATTAAAATAAATAAATAAACAGAACACCCATGAGTTGTGGGCAAATTCAAATGTCTGCTATATGTATAATTGGAATCCAATCCTCAAAGGTAGATAGAAGTAATATAAGAAATAATCACTGAAAATTTTACAAATTTGTTGAAAACTATAGACCCACAGGCCCAGGAAGCTCAACCAACCCCAAGGACAAGAAGCATAAAGAAAATTACACCATGGAATATTATTATGAAATTGCTCAAAATCTGAGTTTTAAAAAACCTTAAAATCAGCCAAAGAAAAAAATTATGACATACACAGGAGCAAATATTAGGATGAAACCATATTTTTCATCAGAAATAATGCAAATGAGAAGATAATGGAGCAACATCTCTAAAGTACTGAAAAAATAATTGTCAACATAGAATTTTACACAACAGTAAAAAATATTTTTTAAAAGTGAAGATGAAATACTTTTTTAGATGTACAGTGGCTGATCCATTGTTATCAGATCTGCACAACAAGAAATGTTAAGAAAATCTTTCAGTCACAAGGAAAATGATACCAGATAGAAATATGTATCTACACAAAGGAATGAAAAACATTTGAAATAACTACATGGGTAAATATGATTTATTTCTTTTTTTATATTATTTTTATTTTAAAAATTTATTTCTAGAGATAGGGTCTCACTCTGTCACCCAGGTTAGAGTGCAGTGGTGATCATAGCCTCAAACTCCTGGGCTCAAGCAATCCTACTTCCTCAGCCTCTCAAGTAGCTGTGACTACAGGTACGTACCACCATTTTTTAAATGGTTAATTTTTAAATTTTTTGTAGAAACAGGATCTCGCTATGTTGCTCAGGCTGGTCTCCAACTCCTGGCCTCAAGCAATCCCTCTGCCTCTGTCGCCCAAAGCACTGGGATTGTAGACTTGAGTAACAGAGACTGGCTTAGGATTTATTTATTATTATTGGGATGCCTTTTAAAAATAATTGGCTATTTAGAACAAAGATAAATAAACTTTTTTTCTAGGAAGAGCCAGATTGTAAATATTTTATGCACTGTGGTTCACACAGTTTTTGTGACAACTACTCAACTGTACTGTTATATCATAAAAGCATTCATTAAAATATGTGAATAAATTGATATAGCTGTGTTACAGTAAAATTTTATTTACCAAAACAGTTTGCAGGCAGGTTTGGTCATTGGGCCTTAAATTGCCAATCTCAAAGTTAAAGAAAAAACAATAATAAATATAGCGTGAGAATTATAATATAGGTAGAAGAAAAAGGTATGACAAATATAGCATAAAGGCCAGAAGGTGAAAGCTGGACATATGCTATTGTTCTTATAGCATATGTAAAGCAGAACAATGTTACTTGAAGGTAAACTGTGCTAAGTTAACTATTTAAGTATATTACAAATCCTAAAGCAACTGCTAAAAAAACAAAGAATTATAGTTAATACACAATTAAGGAAATTAAAAATGAAAATGTAGAATCATAAGTAAAATTCAAAAGAAAGCAACAAAAAGCAAGAGGGAACAAAGAACAAGTGAAACAAACAGGAAACAAATATCAAGAAAATACAACACACTGATTAAAATGTCAATGACGATAATGGAAGAGAGGATAATACACAAGGTCAGATGCGTAATGTTAGTGGAGAGATGAAAACTGTAAAAAAGAATCAAGTAGAAATGCTAGAAATAGAAACACAATCGTAGATGAAGAATGCCTCCCACATGCTCATCAGTAGACTTGACACAACTGAGACAAAGAAAAAAGGGAACCAAGATAAGTCCATATAAATAACTCAAACAAAAACACAAAGAAAAAAATAGAGAAAACAGGAGCTATAGAATATTATCAAATAGTCTAATTAAAATGAATGATAGACTCTAAATCACATATCCAAAAAGCTTGGAAAATACCAAGTAGGACACCAAACTGCTGAAAAACCATGACAAAGAAAAAAAATTTTGAAAGCAGCACATAAAGTATAGAGAAACAAAGACAAGAATTAGAGCAGACTTCTCACCAGAAACCATGGAAGCCAAAAGATAATGCACTGATGTCTTTAAAGGGCTGGAAAACAAAACAAACAAAAACAGATAAAAAACCCACTGTCAATTAAGAATTCTAAACTCAGAGGAAGAAGAAAAAAGAGGAAATAAAGGTATTTTCATACAAACAAAAGCTGAGCCGAATTATTGCCATTAGATCTTCACTAAAACAAATGTTAAAGGAAATTTTTTAGTAGAAAACGTATAACACCAGACAGAAATTTGGATCTACACAAAGAAATGATGCGCACTGGATGTAGAATAAATGAAGAAAATATAAATTTTATTTGCTTTACTTATAATTAGAACAGAGATGAATAAACTTTTTTCTAGGAAGAGTCAGATTGTAAATATTTTATGCATTGTGGTTCATACAGTCTTTGTGACAACTACTCAACTGTAGTATACTAAAATGTAACTACAAAAAGCAAAAATAATAGTAACATTTTGTGCATTTAAAGCACACATAAAATTAAAATATATGACAACAAAAAAGGACACATAAAAGTAAAATATATGACAACAATGATACAAAAGATAAGATGAGGAATTGGGAATATACAGTTATAAGATCCTTATACCACAGGTAAAATGGTATAATACTATTTTAACTCTGATTAATTAAATATGTACATTGTAAATCCTAGGGCAACAACAAAAAAGGATTTTTTTTTTTTTGAGACGGAATCTCACTCTGTCGCCCAGGCTGGAGTGCAGTAGCGCGATCTCGGCTCACTGCAAGCTCCGCCTCCTGGGTTCACGCCATTCTCCTGCCTCAGCCTCCAGAGTAACTGGGACTACAGGTGCCCGCCACCACGCCTGGCCAATTTCTTGTATTTTTTAGTAGAGACGGAGTTTCATCATGCTATCCAGGATGGTCTCGATCTCCTGACCTTGTGATCCACCCACCTTGGCCTCCCAAAGTGCTGGGATTACAGGCGTGAGCCACCGCATCTGGCCAAAAAGGATTCTTAAAAGTGATATAAATAGCAAACCAATAGTGGAGATGAAAGGGAGTCATAAAATGCAATCAATCAAAAATAAGAGAAAAATAATAAATGATACAAACAAGAAACATTTAGCAAAATGGTAGATTTAAAATTAGCCATATTGGCAATGACATTAACTGTGAACTATCTAAACACACCAATAAAAAGACAGAGATTATTCAACTAGATAAAAGTCAAAGCAAGACCCAACTACATGATGTCTATGATAAACCAACTTTAAATATAAATTAACTGATAGGTTAAAAGTAAAAGAATGGAAATATAGATGGCATACAAACACTAATAAAAAGAAAGCTGGGGAAGCCATATTGATATCGAGAAAAGTAGACTTAAGGATAAGGAATATTATAGAGGATAAAGTGGAACAATACTTAAGAATAAAACGGTCAATTTTCTACAGAGACATAACAATCCTAAAGACATATTTACCTAATAACAGGATTTAAAAATACCTAGGCCAGATGTAGTGGCTCGCCCCTGTAATCCCAGCACTTTGGGAGGCCAAGGTGGGAAGATTGCTTAAGACCAGGTGTTTGAGACCAGCCTGGGCAACATAGCCAGACCCTGTCTCTACAAAAAAATTCTTAAAAATTAGCCAGGCATGGTGTCACACACCTGTACTTTTAGCTACTTGAGAGGCTGAGGCAGGAGGACTGCCAGAGCCTAGGAATTTGAGGTTGCTGTGAGATATGATTGTGGCACTACACTCCAGCCTGAGTGACAAAGTGAGAACCTGTCTCTTAAAAAAAATAAAAATGTGCAAATAAGATAAAAATACCTAAAGGAGAAACAGACAAATCCACAATTATATTTGAAGTTGCCAACACTCTTCTTTCAGAAATTGGTAGACAAAGTAGACAAAAAATAAGTAAGGATATAGAAGAGTTGAGCAATACAGTTAACCAACTTGACCTAGCTGACATTTATAGATCAATCCAAGAACAGCAGGATACACACTTTTCTCAAGTACACATGGAATATTCATCAAGACAGACTATCTTCTGTGCCATAAAACAAACCTTGACAAATCTGAAAGAAATAGAAATTATACAATATATGTTCTCTAAACATAGCTCAATTAAACTAGAAATCAAAAACAGAATAACATCCAGAAAATCATCAAATATTTGGAAATTAAACAATATACTTCTAAATAACCCATGAATCAAAGAAGAAGTTTCTTTGAGCATGACAACCAGGGTCCTGAGAATCAATCCACCCCACCCACTGCAGCCTGTACCTATGTGCACCATAGGGAAGCCTGAGGACAGGCCAATGCCACTCACAGCCTTCAGCAGTGGTGACCATGCATGCCATCCAGGGGCCTGAGGATAGACTTGCCTGGTTCATTGCCACCACCACTGCAACCCCAGCATACGATCTGAGGAGCTGGGGATTGATTCATTCCGCCACTGAAGCTGGCACCCACACACACCATCAGGGAGCATGATGACAAGCATGCCTCACCCACTACCACTACTGCCAGTGCCCATGAATGTTATTCAGGGCCCTTAGGATCTATCCATCCCACTTACCACCACACGTACCCACATGCACCATCAGAAGGCTGGAGAATAGGCCTATTCCACCTGCAACCACTGGTGCCAGCACATACCTTCTGGGGGCCTGAGAATGGACCTATCCTATCTGATGCCACCAACTAGATGCACATTCCTGGGGCCCAAGGACTAGCTTGCACAGCCTGCCACCACCACTGCCACCAGCACCCCCTTACCTGGAGACTGGCCTGCCCACCATACCAGTGCCACTGCTGGCACCCACACATGTCACTCAGGGCATGAAGTCTAGCCCACTGCCACTCCTGCCATAGCCAACACCATGAACACCACCCAAGGGCACAAGAACCCACTCATTTGCCTGCTTGGCCCACTGGTGTCACTGGCAGCACCCAAGCAACCTGCCTGGAAGTCCAAGAACTGGCCTACTCAAACCTGCTACCACTGATGCCAGCATACACTGGCCAGGAGACTAAAGACCAGCACACCAGGCCTGCCACCACTACTAGTGCTCAAACATTAGCCAACCTGGCATCCCCATCCCACCAAAATGCCATCACAGCCTCCACTAACATGCACAGCCTAAACCACTAAGGAACTCAAACACCACTGATGCTGATTCCAGTTGAAGAAGTCATATGGAGACTATACTACTGCTACCCAGAATCAAAGCCAAAGTACCATACTTAACCAACACTATAGATATACCTACAGGAAAAGTCTTTTCCTGAAAAAGCCAATCCATAAAATTCAAAAAAGTGATTATTATATCAGATGCATAGATATCTTGTGTAAGGACAAAAGAAACATGAAAGAGCCAGGAAACATGACACCTTCAAAGGGACATAGTCATTCTCCAATAACAGATCCCAAAGAAAAGGAAATCTATGAAATGTCTGAAAAAGAATTCAAAATAATGATATTAAAGAAATTCAGTGATATGTAAAAGAACAAGACAAATAATACAAAGAAATCAGAAAAACAATTCAGGATATGAATGAGAAATTTACCAAAGAGCTAGATATCATAAAAAAGAACCAAACAGAAAGTCTGGAACTGAAAAACTCATTAATGAAATAAAAATGCATTCAAAAGTTTCAACAGTAGACTAGGTAAAGCAGAAGAAAGAATTTCTGAACTCAAAGATAGGTCTTTTGAAACAATACAGTCAGACAGAAATAAAGAATAAAAAAGAATGAACGAAGCCTATATCTTATATGGGACACCATAAAGTGACCACATATTCAATTTTTTGGTGTCCCAGAAGGCAAAGAGAACAACCAAATGGATAGAAAACTGATTTAACAAAATAGTAGCTGAAAAGTTACATAGTCTTGCAAGAGATTTAGACAGCTAGATACAGGGAAGCTCAGAGATCCTCAAATAGATGCAATTCAAAAAGATCTTCCCCGTGGCACATTATAATCAGACTGTCAAAAGTCAAAGACAAAGTGAGAATTCTAAATACATCAAAATAAAAGTGCCTAGTCACTTATAAGGAACCCCATTAGAATAACAGTGGTTTTCTCAGCAGAAACTTTACAAGCCATAAGAGAATGATATATGTTCAAAATGCTGAATGAAAAAAAGAAGCTGCCAGGGAAGAAGACTATACTCAGAATAAATAAAGTATTTCCCAGACAAGCAAAAGCTGAATTCATCACTACAGACCAACCCTACAAGAAATGTTTAATACAGTCCTACACCTTGAAGTAAAAGGACAAATTCCACTATCATGAAAACACACAAAAGTATAAAACCCACTCACTGGTAGAGCAAACCAACAAATAAGGAAAAGAAAAGATTCAAATGGTACCACTATGGAAAATGACCAAAACGCAATAATAAACAAGAAGATTGGAAAAAAAGAAACAAATGATATACAAAACAACCAGTAATCAATAAAATGACAGGAATAAGCATTCACATATCAATAACCTTGAATGTAAACAGACTAAACTCATAACAATTCTATGTACCCAATACTGGACCACCCAGGTACATTGAGCAAGTATTATTAGATTTATAGGGAGAGATTCACCCCAATACGAAAATAGCTGGGGACTTTGACACCTTACTCTCAGCAATAGACAGATCATCTAGACAGAATTAACAAGGAAACATTGGATTTAAATTGGACCTTAGACCAAAAGACCTGGCAGACATTTACAGAATAGTTTAACTGCCACAGACTACATATTCTCCTCATTAGCACACAGAGCATTCTCCAGGGTAGACCATATGTTAGGCCACAAAACAAGTCTCAAAAATTTTTTTAAAATTTGAAATCATATCAAGTATTTTCTCAGACCACAATGAAATAAAACTAGAAATCAATAACAAGAGGAACTTCAGAAACTGTACAAATACATGGAAACTAAACATACCTCTGAACAACCACTGGGTCAATGAAGAAAGTAGTGAGGAAATAAAAAAAATTTCTTGAAACAAATGAAAATAGAAGCACAACGAACCAAAATCTATGGAAGACAGCAAAAGCAGTGCTAAAAGAGAACTTTATAGTGATAAACACCTACACCAAAAAGGTAGAAAGATTTCAAATAAATAACCTAACAATGCCCTTAAGGAACTAGAAAAGCAAGAAAAAAAACAAACCCAAAATTAGCAGAAGGAAAGAAAGATCAGAGCAGAACTACATGAAATAGAGACTTAAAAAAATAAAAACACAAAGAATCAACAAAATGAATGGTTGGTTTTCTGAAAGATAAACAAAATCAGTAAACCACTACTAGACTAACAAAGAAAAAGAGAAGACTGAAATAAACAAAATAAAAAATAGAAATACAAAAGATCATCAGAGACTATCTGAACAACTACATACTACATACACCAACAAACTAGAAACCCTAGAAGAAATAGATAAATTACTAGACACATACAACCTACCAAGATGGAACCAGAAAGAAATAGAAAACCTGAACAGACCAACATGAAAAATCAAGGAAACATGATGCCATCAAAGGAACACAATAATTATTCAGTAAAAGATCTCCAAGAGAAACGAAATTAAAAGTGTTCCAACAAAGAAAAGCCCAGCACCAGATGGCTTCACTGACAAATTCTGCCAAACTTCCAAAAAGAACTAAAACCAATTATCTTCAAACTATTCCAAACAATAGAAGAGGAGGGAATTCTCCCTAGCTCATTCTATGAGACCAGCATTACCCCGGTATCAAAAAAAAGCAAGGATACAACAAAAAGAGAAAACTACAGGCAAATAACCCTGATGAACATAGAGGAAAAGAATCCTAAACAAAATACTAGCAAACCAAATCCAATAGCACATCAAAAGTATAATATACCATAATCAAGTGGGATTTACCTCCAGGATGCAAGGATAGGTCAACATATACAAATCAATAAAAACATATCGCATCAAGAGAATGAAGGACAAAAACTACATGATCATCTCAATTGGTACAGAAAAATCATTTGATAAGATTCAACATCCCTTTATGATAAAAACTATGATAAGGCATAGATGGAGCATACTTTAACATAATAAAGGTCATATATGAAAAATCCCAGCCTAGCCAACATGGTGAAACCCTGTCTCTACTAAAAATAAAAAAAGTAGCTGGGGTGGTGGCGCATGCCTGTAATCCCAGCTACTCAGGAGGTTGAGGTGTGAGAATCGCTTGAACCCTGTAGGTGGAGGTTGCAGTGAGCCAAGATTGCTCCACTGCACTCCAGCCTGGGTGACACAGCGAGACCCTGTCTCAAAAAAAAAAAAAAGAAAAGAAAAGAAAAACCCATAGCTAACATCATACTGAATGGGGAAAAGCTGAAAGCCTTTCCTCTAAGAACTGGAACAAGGACAAGGATGCCCACTTTCACCACTCCTATTCACATAGTATTGGAAGTCCTAGCCAGAGCAATCAGGCAAGGGAAAGACATAAAAAAGCATTCAAATTGGAAAAAAGAAATTCAAACTGTTCCTTTTTGCAGATGGCATGATCTTACATCTAGAAAAACTGAAGACTCCACCAAAAAGCTCTTAGATCTGATAAATTCAGTAAAGTTGCAGAATATAAAATCAACATACAAAATCAGTAGTATTTCTATACATCATTAATGAGCTAGCTGAAAAAGAAATAAAGAAGGTAATCCCATTTACAATAACTACCAACAAATAATACCTAGGAATAAGTTTAACAATGAGGTAAAAAGCCTCTCAAGAAAAACTACAAAACACTGATGAAATAAATTGAAACAATAAACAATGGAAAGACTTCCCATGATCATGAATGGGAAGAATATTGCTAAAATGTCCATACTCCCTAAAGGAATCTACATATTTAATGCAATCCCTATCAAAATGCCAGTGTAAGTTTTTTACAGAAATAGAAAAATAATCCTAAAATATGTATGGAACCAAGAAAGAGCCCCAAAAGCCAAAGCAATCCTGAGCAAAAAGAACAAAGTTGGAGGCATCACACTCCCTGACTTTAAAATAAGTTACTATAGTAACTAAAATAACATAATATTGGTATAAAAAGATACATATACCAGCGGAACAAAATAGAGAATCCAGAATTAAATTTATGCTTTTACAGCAAACCGATTTTCAACAAAGTTACCAAGAATATACCTTGGGGAAACGATGGTCTCTTTAATAAATAGTACTGGGGAAATTAGGTATCCATATGCAGGAGAATGAAACTGGACCCCTTTCTCTCACCATATACAAAATTCAGCTCAAAATGGAGTAAAGACTTAAACATAAGACCCAAAACTATAAAACTACTACAAGAAAACATAGGGTAAATGCTTCAAGACATTGGTCTAAGCGAAGATTTTATGGCTAAGACTTTAAAAGCACAGGTAACCAAAACAGAAATAGACAAATGGGACTATATTAAACTAAAAAGCTTCTGCACAGCAAACGAAACAATCCACAGAGTGAAGAGACAAGTTGTTGAATTGGAGAAAATATTTGCAAATTATTCAGTTGACAAGGAACTAATGTCTAGAATATGCAAGGAACTGAAACAACTCAACAGCTGTTCGAAACAAATAATCCCATTTTTAATGGTCAAAGGATATCAATAGACATTTCTCAAAAAAAGACATTCAAGTGGCCAACAGGTATATAAAAGAATGTTCAGGCCGGGCACGGTGGCTCATGCCTGTAATCCCAACATTTTGGGAGGCTAAGGAGGGAGGATCACGAGGTCAGGAGATCAAGACCATCCTGGCTAACACGTTGAAACCCCGTCTCTATTCAAAAATAGAAAAAAATTAGCCGGGCGTGGTGGCAGGCGCCTGTAGTCCCAGCTACTCGAGAGGCTGAGGCAGGAGAATGGCGTGAACCTAGGAGGCGGAGCTTGCAGCCAGCCGAGATTGCGCCACTGCACTTCAGCCTGGGCGACAGAGCGAGACTCCGTCTCAAAAAAAAAACAAACAAAAAAGAGTGTTCAGCATCACTAATCATCAGGGAAATGCAAATCAAAACCACGATTAGATTTCATCTTACCCAAGTTAGAATGGTTGTTATTAAAAAGACAAGAAATAACGATAACGATGCTGGCAAGAATGTGGAGAAAAGGAAATTCTTATACACTATTGGTGAGAATGTAAATTAGTTCAGCCACTATAGAAAATAGCATAGTGATTTCCCCCCCAAAAAAAAAAACTAAAGAAAAAGCACTACCATATGATTTAACAATTCCACTACTGGATGTTCATCCAAAGGAAAGGAAGTCAGCATTATCAAAGGGATACCTGTACCCCCATGTGTATTGCAGCACTATTCACAATAGCAAAGACATAGAATCCACCTAAGTGTCTATCAACCAACAAACGGATAAAGAAAATGTGATATATTTACACAATGGAATACTATTCTGCCATAAAAAATGAAATCATGTTATTTATAGCAATGTGGATGGAACCAGAGATCATTATGTTAACCGAAATAAGCCAAGCACAGAAAAACAAATATTGCATGTTCTCACTCATATGTGGGAGTTGATCTCAAGGAGATAGAGTAAAGAGATGGTTACCAGATGCTGGGGAGGGGGATGGGGAGATGAAGAACAGTTGGTTAATAGGTATAAACATATAGTTAGACAGAAGAAATAAGTTTCAGTGTTTAACAGAATAGTAAGGCAACTATAGTTAACAAGGTGTTATATATTTCCAAATAGCTAGAAGATTTGAAATGTTTGCAACACAAAGAAATGATATATCTCTGAAGTGATAGATATCCTAATTACCCTGATTTGATCATTACACATCATATGCATGTATCAAAATATTACATGTACCCCATAAATATGTATATTTTTGTGTATCAATGTAAAGTATATGAATATGTGCACACACAATGTAGAAGTCTCAAGGGAAATATTAACATATTCTGAACTCAATGAAAAGAAAAATATAACATATCATCATTTTAAAATTAAACATATACCTACCATATGATCCAGTCATTCCACTCAGATATTTACCTGCAAGAAAAAAAGAAAAAAGAAAATATGTTTATACAATGACCTGTACATAAATGTCCTTAGGCTCTTTATTTGTAATTGCCAAAAATAGAAACAACCCAAATGTCTATCAACAGGTGAATAAATCAACAAATTTTGGTATAGTCACACAATGGAATACTACCTACAATGAAAAGGGATACACATATTTTGGTATATTCATTAAATGTAATAGAAAGGAATGAACTATTAATATATACAACAACATAGGTGAATTTCAAAACTATTATGCTGAGGGAAATAAACCAGGCAAAAAGGAATAAATATGATTCCATTTTATAAAATTCTGGAAAATGCAAATTAATCTGTAGTGACAGATCAGTAGTTGCCTGGGAATGGAGGGTGGGGTGAGGAGGGGAGAGAGGGAGGGATTACAAAAGGACTCAAACTTTTAGGGGTGATGGCTATGTTCACTGTCTTGATTATGGTGATCGTCTCATGGGTATATGAATATATCAAAATGTATGAAAACTATGTATTTTTAAATATATGCAGTTATTGTATATGTCAACCTACACAAAGTTGTTAAAAATGAATCAGTGACATTCATGTGAACTTGTACAATCTGAGTGGCTTTCGAGTAGATATCTGGCCGAACTCGGGATCTGACTATAAGCAACCTCTCTACCCTCCATCCACTCCACTCCTCTGTAGAACAAACGAGAATAAATATAAGAATTTTATCAGAGCTAGAGTCTTTCATAAAATTTTGATGGCAGGGCTAAAGCTTAAATTGATAACACCAGCTTTGAAAAAAAAAATCCCAAAGGGAATAGCCTAAAAGAGAAATATAATCCAAAAAATAACTGTCATCCCTAACCTTTACATTTAGCATCTTTCAGCCTATTCACTACTTCCCTCTCTGGACCATAATTGCCAGCAATGGCATCAAGTTCTCCATTATGCCATAGGGTCATTTTTTAAAAACTGCCTGGATCCTCTATTAAAATACTGGGTTGCCTCATGATTAAGTAGTTTTCACTTTTTATTCACAATAAAAGCTCAGACTGGGCAGTTTATCACTGCTTATTCTACATCTAGGGAAAAATCATCCCCTATTTGGCAGCAAAAAAAGCTAGTAACTCATTTCAATGCTGCAACAGGCCTTGCCTGCTAGTGGGCACACCCTGGCTTCAGGAAGGCTTTGGATGTGTGAAGACCATACATTGCCATGACTCACTCAAATAAAATAATAAACCAGGCCATGCAAACTTAGAGAGAAACGTATAATTTTGCAGCCTATCTGCATCCGTTCAATTATGTCAGCATTCATGACCAATGTATTCAATTGAACATCATAATGACATTTGCTGTTCCTGGTTTTGAGTTGATTTCCTTACAAAATTAGCATTTCATTTTTCCAATTTCAGAGCATATTGAGAACTGTTCGCTACTTAACTAAATCCAGAATTATGAATCCTTTTTCCTAATAAGGCAGCCCCTTGTGCCCCTTCCCAAATTCGATAATTCAGTTTTAAGAAAATAAATGCTTTTCAGCTTAGTGATGGGGCTCAGGCCTCATGAGCATTTGAGCGTTGCAACCTCACCTTTCACACAGGATGAATCTCTGGTGCCCTTATGCTCCTCAGCTCTTGCTGGATGGCCAAAGGAATAGTTGTGGTTAATAGTCACACAATAATCTTTGGCAAGTGATTATTGCCATTTAGAACCCCAAGTCTCAAGGGTGCATTTCTTCTCTTTTGTTTATTGTTTCTCCTGGAGCTTTATCTCATAGTGTGTTGTGGTTATTATTACTTTTTAAAGCAATGGGAAGTTGCTATTACCTGCCTTTGATTGAATTTCCTTAGCTTGTTCTTTCTATTGCCACATTATTAAAGGCACCAGGAAACACTTTGTATTTATCCTCTCTTCAACGTCAGCTTCCCCTGGATCCTAGCTGCCCAGGTAAGTGAAATTTTCCAGTACCAATGTCCCCCAGTCTTCTCATTTTTTATTTCCCAGCTAATTGATCTGTCATCCTTCACTCTTCCTAAGTTATTTGCAATGTCTGGAACATTTTTGAAAAGTAAAACAACAAGGCCTAAAATGAACACTTAAGAGAAATTATAAATCGTCCTCTCCGCTTTACTGGAAAGGCAATATGGAAGGATCTGACGGCAAACTGTGTTTCCATTCTTCTTAGTGAAAGAATGGATGACCATCTTAGCTATAAAATTAGGTATCTTCTTCAGAATGTTCCCTCAGGTTCTCCTGTGGTTTTCCTGTTGGTATTGATAAAACCAATCACAGATTCCTCGGTCAGCAGTTTATTAGGCATTTGTAGAACTCTGATTTGAAATTCGCTTCTTTATGTATTTGGCCAGTAACTTAAGGACTATCAGAACAAGAGACACCTCTATGATTTTCTGAAATCTCTGTTTCTTTTAGGGATTCAGCAACCACATGTAGGGCAGAGTCATTTGCTGACCCACGAGCATCTTAGACTGAAATTGTATCAGATGGATGTAGAATCAATCCTGCATATCCGTACCCCTGAAACAAGTAAAAAATACAGTTGGACATTTCCAAAAACAGGGCCAAGCAGTCATTTGTTAAGAGAGGGTTGCTCTGGGAGATAGATGCAGGAGTTGGAATAACACATCCCAAACCTCCCTTTCCCTTCCAAAACACAAGTCAATAGACCTGCCTTACATTAATTCATCTAAACTTTTCCTAACCATATTTGTATTTTCAGTCTGTATGAACTCCTGGGGTAATGGATCTGAGAACCACTGTTTAAGAGGATTGATTGTGTTGCCTTGTAGGAAAGTAGAAATGGAGTAAGATGAATCACTCAGGCAGAATCATTGTGCTGCAGGACAGATGGAAAGGCTCGGAAAGCACTTGTGCCCCTCCCTGTTACAGAGCATCTGGCCATGCCTAGCCTTGGTGGGCTAAAGAAAAAATACAACTCTCACCCTGCCAGCTGTGTTTTCCATCTTAATTGAAAACTTACACTGAATCTCTATCTAATATGCTCAGCTAGGCAATGCAAGCCCTTAGCCTTTCTTTTGGTACAAGAAGTTGTTGACATCTTTCTGGAAAACATATTTACTACTACCTGTGAAGTTGCTTTGTACGACTAGGTGATATTCAGGGTAAATAAAACGTGTGGCTCTTGACCCTTGGGGAACTCAGTGGATAGAAGAAGCAAACTCAGACAGACAAATAGAAGTTTACAATAGATGTAAGAGATCAAGTAGCTATGCAGAGACATCAGTAAATTAAAAAGAGATGTTTACATATTTACAATAAATACCAGAGGTGCCCATCCTTGCAAGTACCATAATTAGATGGATGGGGGTTGGAGAGAGACAGAGAGATGCTCTCCACATATATTCAAAAACTGGGAGAAAATTTAAAGAGACTTGCTTCTAAATCTGTTAACACAAATGAAGAGATGAACAGTGTTCAGTAGATTTGTTACAAGAGGAAAGTACATATTGGGCACCATATTTTTAAGACAGTGAGTGTGATATGGAGAAATAGGCAAAATCAAATAAAAATAACTGTAATGAAAATAGAAGAGGTGGAGGGAACTGCTATTAGGGCTGTGTGTATATAGGAGAGGAGGAGATAGGAAAGATCTGAGGTAGTAGAGATTTTTAGTAAAGTTCTTGGGAACTGGAGTACATACAGTCTGGGCATCAGGACTTTTCAAAACCCTCCAGGCAATTCTAATGTGCAGCCAAGTTTGAGAACCACTGATCTGTATCATCCTACAAATGGCCACCAGATCAAGTTTTTGATTGCTTTCATTTTATTATTTCCTCTACCAAAAGATTTTTTTTTTTTTACCAATTATTGGGTAGGTATCATCTATTCTTTCATTTTTTTAACAAATAAATGGTAATAGCCATAGATAATTGCTTTACTGCTTTGAATCTTGGGCTTTGACCTGCATGTTGAAAACAATAACTACTTGTAGCTTTGCTTTAAAGATAAAAGGAGGCAATGTTTATAAATAAAGCATTTAACACAGTGCTTGCTACAGAAAATATGCGAGAATAGCGGCAATTACTGCTACTAACTCTCAACATTATGACAGATGATCTTGCCACAGTCTCCGCTCCACCCCATGAAGGTATCTGGCTAACTTCCTCCATATCTTTGCTCATGCTGCTCTTTCCCCTGATAATAGGTTCGGTTCCTCTTGATTTAAGCCCTGCCTTTCTGAAGTTCTACCTCCTTGAAATCTTTTTAGGACATGTCCCCATATACTTTGTCCTAAACAATCTCACCCCATTTTAGTATCCCTAAAGAGAAATTATCCTCAATAAAGTTGGTCTTGAATTGTCTCTTCATTTTACTATGCATGTTAAGCATTATCTCTGCAATTATGTTACAAATTCCTTGAAAGCAGGTGTTTGGTTGTGTCATCCATGGCGGGACGTGGGGGAGCCTGTTTATTGTGTTTAATGAAATAGTCATTCACATATAAGAGACACTTAGCAGATTGCAAGTTCCATGTGGGCAGGAACCTTATATACAGGATTCATCTAAATCTCCCCATGACCTAGAATAACACCTGATACACAACAGGTGCTGGTATTAGTTTGCTAGGGCTGCCATAAAAAGTACCAAAGATGGGGGACTTAAACAACAGAAATTTATTTTCTCGTAGTTCAAGAGGCTAGAAGCCTGAGATCAAGGTATCAGTAGGGTTGGTTTCTTCTGGGACCTCTTTCCTTGGCTTATAGATGGCGTTTTTCCTTGTGCTTGTGTCTTAATCTTCTCTTCTTATAAAGACACCAGCAATGTTGGATTAGGTCTCACTGTAATGGCCACATTTTAACTTCATTACCTCTTTAAAGACCTTATCTCCAAATACACATTCTGAAGCATTGGGATTTAGGACTTCAAAACATTGAATTGGGGGGGTGGGTGGAAGTGCACAATTCTTCCCATAAAAATGCCCAATAAATATTTGTTGAATGAATGAATGCCCAACATGTCCTCATTGCCTAATCCAGCATTACTGCTTAGTGCAGTCTGACATTTATTAAGCAACTATTATGTTACTATCTTAGGAGGCTGTGATAGGAAGTTCAGTAAGCTATGGTTCCTGCCTAAAGGAACTTACATTTTAATGGAAAAAAACCACTGCACACAATTTCAATAAATGGGAAATTAATTTAAAAGTATGCACAGGGAATATGTAGAAGAGAAGGAAGCCATCTAGTCAAGCTGGGGGTACAAGGAAGGCTTTCTTGAGGAGGTAATTTCTTAAGTGGATTTTAAAAGATGAATGAAGCCCACTTGATCGTGGTGGATAAGCTTTTTGACGTGCTGCTGGATTCAGTTTGCCAGTATTTTACTGAGGATTTTTGCATCAATGTTCATCAGGGATATTGGTCTAAAATTCTCTTTTTTTGTTGTGTCTCTGCCAGGCTTTGGTATCAGGATGATGCTGGCCTCATAAAATGAGTTAGGGAGGATTCCCTCTTTTTCTATTGATTGGAATAGTTTCAGAAGGAATTGTACCCACTCTTCCTTGTACCTCTGGTAGAATTCGGCTGTGAATCCATCTGGTCGTGGACTTTTTTTGGTTGGTAAGCTATTAATTATTGCCTCAATTTCAGAGCCTGTTATTGGTCTATTCAGAGATTCAACTTCTTCCTGGTTTAGTCTTGGGAGAGTGTATGTGTCGAGGAATTTATCCATTTCTTCTAGATTTTCTAGTTTATTTGTGTAGGGGTATTTATAGTATTCTCTGTTGGTAGTTTGTATTTCTGTGGGATTGGTGGTGATATCCCCTTTATCATTTTTTATTGCGTCTATTTGATTCTTCTCTCTTTTCTTCCTTACTAGTCTTGCTAGCGGTCTATCAATTTTGTTGATCTTTTCAAAAAACCAGCTCCTGGATTCATTGATTTTTTGAAGGGTGATTTGTAACTCTGTCTCCTTCAGTTCTGCTCTGATCTTGGTTACTTCTTGCCTTCTGCTAGCTTTTGAATGTGCTTGCTCTTGCTTCTCTAGTTCTTTTAATTGTGATGTTAGGGTGTCAATTTTAGATCTTTCCTGCTTTCTCTTGTGGGCATTTAGTGCTATAAATTTCCCACTACACACTGCTTTAAATGTGTCCCAGAGATTCTGGTATGTTGTGTCTTTGTTCTCGTTGGTTTCAAAGAACATCTTTATTTCTGCCTTCCTTTCTTTATGTACCCAGTAGTCATTCAGGAGCAGGTTGTTCAGTTTCCATGTAGTTGAGCAGTTTTGAGTGAGTTTCTTAATCCTGAGTTCTAGTTTGATTGCACGGTGGTCTGAGAGACAGTTTGTTATAATTTCTGTTCTTTTACATTTGCTGAGGAGTGCTTTACTTCCAACTATGTGGTCGATTTTGGAATAGGTGCAGTGTGGTGCTGAGAAGAATGTATATTCTGTGGATTTGGGGTGGAGACTTCTGTAGATGTCCATTAGGTCTGCTTGGTGCAGAGCTGAATTCAATTCCTGGATATCCTTGTTAACTTTCTGTCTTGTTGATCTGTCTAATGTTGACAGTGGGGTGTTAAGGTCTCCCATTATTATTGTGTGGGAGTCTAAGTCTCTTTGTAGGTCTCTAAGGACTTGCATTATGAATCTGGGTGCTCCTGCATTGGGTGCATATATATTTAGGATAGTTAGCTCTTCTTGTTGAATTGATCCCTTTACCATTATGTAATGGCCTTCTTTGTCTCTTTAATCTTTGTTGGTTTAAAGTCTGTTTTATCAGAGACTAGGATTGCAACCCCTGCCTTCATTTGTTTTCCATTTGCACAGAACCAAAAACAAAAACCACATGATTATCTCAATAGATGCAGAAAAGGCCTCCAACAAAATTCAACAGCCCTTCATCCTAAAAACTCTCAATAAATTAGGTGTTGATAGGACGTATCTCAAAACAATAAGAACTATTTATGACAAACCCACAGCCAATATCATACTGAATGGGCAAAAACTAAAAGTATTCCCTTTGAAAACTGGCACAAGACAGGGATGCCCTCTCTCACCACTCCTATTCAACATAGTGTTGGAAGTTCTGGCCAGGGCAATCAGGCAAGAGAAAGAAATAAAGGGTATTCAACTAGGAAAAGAGGAAGTCAAATTGTCCTTTTTTGCAGATGACATGATTGTATATCTAGAAAACCCCATCGTCTCAGCCCAAAGTCTCCTTAAGCTGATAAGCAACTTCAGCAAAGTCTCAGCATACAAAATCAATGTGCAAAAATCACAAGCATTCTTATACACCAATAACAGACAAACAGAGAGCCAAATCATGAGTGAACTCCCATTCACAATTGCTTCAAAGAGAATAAAATACCTAGGAATCCAACTTACAAGGGATGTGAAGGACCTCTTCAAGGAGAACTACAAACAACTGCTCAGCGAAATAAAAGAGGACACAAACAAATGGAAGAACATTTCATGCTCATGGGTAGGAAGAATCAATATTGTGATAATGGCCATACTGCCCAAGGTAATTTATAGATTCCATGCCATCCCCATCAAGCTACCAATGACTTTCTTCACAGAATTGGAAAAAACTACTTTAAAGTTCATATGGAACCAAAAAAGAGCATGCATTGCCAAGACAATCCTAAGCAAAAAGACAAAGCTGGAGGCATCATGCTATCTGACTTCAAACTATACTACAAGGCTACAGTAACCAAAACAGCAGGCTACTGGTACCAAAACAGAGATATAGACCAATGGAACAGAACAGAGCCCTCAGAAATAATGCTGCATATCTACAACTATCTCATCTTTGACAAACCTGACAAAAACAAGCAATGGGGAAAGGATTCTCTATTTAATAAATGGTGCTGGGAAAACTGGCTAGCCATATGTAGAAAGCTGAAACTGGATCCCTTCCTTACACTTTATACAAAAGTTAATTCAAGATGGATTAAAGACTTAAATGTTAGAACTAAAACCATAAAAACCCTGGAAGAAAACCTAGGCAATACCATTCAGAACATAGGCATGGGCAAGGACTTCATGACTAAAACACCAAAAGCAATGGCAACAAAAGACAAAATTGACAAATGGATCTAATTAAACTAAAGAGCTTCTGCACAGCAAAAGAAACTACCATCAGAGTGAACAGGCAACCTACAGAATGGAAGAAAATTTTTCCAATCTACTCATCTGACAAAGGGCAAATATCCAGAATCTGCAAAGAACTCAAACAAATTTACAAGAAAAAAACAAACAACCCCATCAAAAAGTGGGCAAAGGATATGAGCAGACACTTCTCAAAAGAAGACATTTATGCAGCCAACAGACACATGAAAAACATGCTCATCATCACTGGCCATCAGAGAAATGCAAATCAAAACCACAATGAGATACCATCTCACACCAGTTAGAATGGTGACCATTAAAAAGTCAGGAAACAACAGATGCTGGAGAGGATGTGGAGAAATAGGAACACTTTTACACTGTTGGTGGGACTGTAAACTAGTTCAACCATTGTGGAAGACAGTGTGGCGATTCCTCAGGGATCTAGAACTAGAAATACCATTTGACCCAGCCATCCCATTACTGGATATATACCCAAAGGAATATAAATCATGCTGCTATAAAGACACATGCACCTGTATGTTTATTGTGGCACTATTCACAATAGCAAAGACTTGGCACCAACCCAAATATCCAACAATGATAGACTGGATTAAGAAAATGTGGCACATATACACCATGGAATACTATGCATCCATAAAAAATGATGAGTTCATGTCCTTGGTAGGGACATGGATGAAGCTGGAAACCATCATTCTCAGCAAACTATCACAAGTATTAAAAACCAAACACTGCATGTTCTCACTCATAGGTGGGAATTGAGCAATGAGAACACTTGGACACAGGAAGGGGAACATCACACACCAGGGCCTGTTGTGGGGTGGGGAGAGGTGGGAGGGATAGCATTAGGAGATATACCTAATGTAAATGATGAGTTAATGGGTGCAGCACACCAACATGACACATGTATACCTATGTAACAAACCTGCATGTTGTGCACATGTACCCTAGAACTTAAAGTATAATAAAAAATAAATAAATAAATAAATAAATAAATGATGAATGAGAATTTCATAGGAAAGAAGAGCATGAGGCTATTGATTTTAGTATTAGGTGATCACACTGTCTGCAGAGTGGTAGATGGATGTAAGGTAGGGGCAGTATTAGAGGCATGGAAGTAAATAGACATAATTAACAACAGTTCAGGTGAGAGATGAAGGGATTTGGCCAATGATGGTGGTGCAAAGAAGTCAGTAGGTATGAGAAACATTTACAGGATAAAATCTGCAGGCCTTATTGGTAATTGAATATGGGAGGGGTAGAGAAGCAGAGGCATAAGGATAGAACAGCTCAAAGAAGTATTGAAGAATTTGTGGCCATAGTTTAAAACCACCACAATCTGCAGCACACGGGAACGTGAGAGAAATGCAAATTCATAGAGTTCACCTAGACCCACCAAACCAGAATCTCTAGGGGTAAGGCCCAGCAATCCGTTTTTAATAAGCTCTCCAGGTGATTTTGACACTGCTCAGAGGCCCTGCTCTCATAATGAGAAACTTTTTCTATGTGTTCAGGAAAAAATATTTCCTTACTGTTGCTTCTAATAACTCTCATTGAATTATTCATGCCCCAGTTCTTGCTGAATATCTCCAAACCAATTAGTTGAGGGAAAGGAGACATTATGGGGGTGGTTGGGGTATGCGTGCATGCGTGCGTGCGTGTGTGTGTGTGTGTGCGCGCTAGGAAAAGAAGTGGGGAGAATGCCCAAACACAAATGATCTCTATGCATCAAAAGATTTTCCAAAATCTGATTTTCATTATTTATTACTTAAATTTAATGTGTGGCCAAGCTTTTCTAGTAAGGTTTTTCTAGTAAGGTTGCAATTAAAAGAAAATGTAAGCAGATCACAGAAAACGTCATACTTTGGGGGCAGGCTTTGGAAAGCACAAATTTATTTACTTATTTATTTGTTTATTTATTGTCACTCACTGTACTACCCAGGCCTACTAAAAAGAGGATGCATTAAAATAACTAGCTGGTCAATATCCCCATCAATGTTTTAGCATAACCCCACGGTAGAATCAATAACGGTGACCCTAATGCAATGACCTTTGAAGTCCAAACTCTTCTGCCTCACAGGTTATTTCCAATCAACTTAATACAAAAGGTTCAGGTGCAAAACCAAATGGTTCAATTCCTGGAGCATCATTAGTAGTTAAGTAATTAAACAATCACTCACTTATTAACTTTTCTAGGTACCTTGGTCACGCTTGACAATACCAAGATTGCCTGGTAATTATATAAATTATTCCTATTCCCTGTTTAGTAGTTACCCAAAAAATATATTTTCAGAAAGAATATATAACAGACAGGGACATAACCTTCAAAGTGGGGTTTGGGGGAGTAGAAAAAAGGTGACAAATTCTCCTAAAGAAGAATTGCTAATTCAGAAAACATGTTGGGAGCAAGCGGTGTGAAGTGGTAGAAACAACAATTTGTTTCCTGTATAGTTCGAAATTTTAATAATAAGCATGAGCACTTCATAATTAGAATAACAAAGGTATTGTCATTTAAAATTAAAATAAAAAGGAAGGAAAAAACCTGGATGAAGGAAAAAGCACAGGGATCGAAGTCAGAATGTCCTGGTTCAATTCCTGATTCTACAACTTACTAGCTGTGTGACCTTGTGTCAGAGGTGTTTGAACCAGAGCAACTCCATTTTGAATAGAAGCTGGGCAAAATAAGGTTGAGACCTACTGGGCTGTATTCCCAGGAGGTTAGGCATTCTAAGTCACAGGATGAGATAGGAGGTAGTTACAAGATACAGGTCGTAAAGACCTTGCTGATAAAACAGTTTGCAGAAAAGAAGCCAGCCAAAACCCACCAAAATCAAGATGGTGAAGAGAGTGACCTCTGGTTATCTTCAAGCCTCATTATATGTTAACTTTAATGCATTAGCATGCTAAAAGACACTCCCACCAGTGCCATGACAGTTTACAGATGGCATGGCAACATTCGGAAGTTACCCTATATGGTCTAAAAAGGGGAGGAACCCTCAGCTCTGGGAATTGTCCACCCTTTTCCCGGAAAACTCATGAATAATCCACCCCTTGTTTAGTACAGACTCAAGAAATAACCATAGAAATGGGCAACCAGCAAGTCCTGGGGCTGCTCTGGCTGTGAAGTAGCCATTCTTTATTACTTTACTTTCCTAAAAAACTTGCTTTCGCTTTACTTTATGCCCCAAATTCTTTCTTGCATGAGACCCAAGAACCCTCTCTTGAGGGTCTGAATCGAGACTGCTTTCTGATAATGCTTGGACATGCTACTTAGCTGCTCTGGGCTTCAGTGTTCTTATCTTTAAAAGAGATATGTGTACCTCCAATGGTGGGTATAATATTAAAGGAGCTATTAATAATATATGTAAAGCACTCAGCACAAGCCTGTCAAGGTGTATATTCAACAATAGTAGCTTTTTGCTGCTGTTAGTAGCTTTTGGCTCAGCTGAGATCAGAATTTAAATCTCAGTTCTCCTACGTACTAACTATATGTACTTGGTCCAATAATTTCACCTCTATAAGCCTTGTTTGTTGGTTGGTTTTTGAGATATGTAAAACATGACAAGATTATCTATCATTCAAGGCTTCAGAGAACACAGAGCAGACATTTAAGAAATGATGGCTATTCTACGTTAGCTCTTTAAAATGGATTTTAACTTTCACGTCAATTTGCCTTTGCCTGCTACTTGGGCTCAGTTCAGTCCTTAGTACTGTCCTGTCCACACTGGCAATGGCAGGGAACTCTCTTCTTAAAGAAGAGATGGTTTTCTTCATTTTGTGTTTGTGGGAAGGCCCTCTTACATATGCCTGCCCTCAGATTGTCCCAGAACCAGAGTATGGAGACCCCACAAACCATGGGGAAAAAGATAAAATCATGCCTTTGAATAAGCAAACAGAGATGATCTCAGACATATACTGTAGATGTTTTCTCATTTTTTACCAACACAGTCCCTGTCTTATTAGAATGTATTCTCAGCCATCTGGCTTCCATCGAAGCCTAAAATTCAGTCAGGCACAATAAGACAATATTATAATGAAAGAAAACAAAATATTTTACCCCAAAATATAATTCTTGGACATATTTTGAGATGGCTGTTCAGAGAGCCAGCAAACAGAATTAGCCCTGCGAAGCTGTCTTTTTTGGGGGAGATTTGCATCTGTAGAGAAAATCCGCATTGAGGAAGCCAGGCTTTCTCTGAGGGCCCTCTCTCAACCAGACCTAGGAAAGATGAACTGAGAGTCTGACATCTTTCAAGATCTGAAAGAAACATTCACCACCTATCCTCTCTGAGAGCTGCTACCTTGAAGTTTCATCTACATAACAAGACCACCTTTGCTAGCAAGGATTCCTCTTCCCGTCCCATACATGTTTTGCCACTCACCAAACCCCCATTCTTTCTGGAACTTCAAGATGGTATAAAAGCATCAACCATCTGGACATTTTTTAAGTTCTATTTTATATGACTCCCACACACATTAATAGCTTTGCATACCCTTTCTTCTATTAATCTGTCTTTTGTCAGTTGATTTTTAGCAAATCTTCAGACGGCAAGGGGGAAGTTTTCCATTTGCCCCTATGATAAGAACTGGTTGAAGAAGATGACATAAAAATACAAAACCATAAAAGAAAAAGTGATTAGATGTGACTACATTAATTTTGTTTGTTTATTTTAGCATCTCTATGGCAAAAAGACAACATAAAAATAAAATGTCAAATGATACATGAAAAAAATTGCAACATGTATTGTAGTCTAAGCATTAATGCTCTTAATACCATATACAAAGAGCATTTGCAAATCATTAATATGAAAAAGACCAGTATCTCATTAGAAAAAAATAGGCAAAGGATAGAAAGAGGACATTCACAAAAGAAGACATACAAAGGATGAATAAACAAAGGAAAAATGGTCAACATAACTAGCAAACAAATAAAAGTAAAGTTTCATCAGATGGTCAAAGGTTTTATAAACAGAGGATTTTTGGTGTTTGAGAGGACATGGAAAATGGTATTTTGTATACTGTTGATAGAAACTTTCAGAAGGGCCGCATCTATTTGGTAACATGTACCAAAAACTTAGTGTGCATATTATTTGATCTCATAATTCCATTTTTAGGAATTCATCCTAAGATAAATGTATATAAAAGGATATTTGCAACAGAATTGTTTAAAATAGAAAAAAGTAAAACAAGCTAAAAATCTAGCAATATGTCATTGATTAAAAACAATAATGAATCAATGCCTTAACCATACAGCAGAAAACATACTTTCATTAATTATATATATCATCGAATTATACCTATTGGGAATAGATACCAATCCAGGCAGAGAAACTAGCTTGTGCAAAGGCCCTATAATGGGAAGGGCTCCAACTCCACATGGGTTTTTGCAATCAGTTTTACCTTTGCGGGAGTCTACCCTAAGTTAAGCCTGAAGGTGAAACTTCACTAATCAGGGCCCCTATCTTTTGTGTTCATTGCTATTTGCCAAGTGCTTTGCACAGCCCTGGCACAATACACCTGTTAAACTGCTCTGCATGCCATTTCTATAGAAGTGTTTCTCTGTGGGTATATGGAAGGATGCTCACAAAATGTTAACAGTGGTGACCTCTAAGTTGAAGCGCTTGGGGGATGCTTTCTTCTTTCTATTTTTATGTGTTGCTTGAAATGTTAATGATAACCATGAGTTGGCTTCATAATTAGAAATAATTGCGTTATTGTTCTTTTAAAAGTTTATGAAGAAGAAAAAGATCTGGATGTAACAGAAAGTACCTACTAGCCATTGAATTCAGATATTTTTGGTTTATTTCTTGAACGTAGTCTCTTACACTTCTATCAAAGGCTACAAACAAGGCAGCCACACCTCACTGTCAGTGGCTGAAAAGGCACCTGACACTGACACAGTCTGGGGACAGTCAACAGTATTTGGGCCACATTCAGAGAGAAGCCACCCCCAACCCCAGACCTGCCATGCTGGCTGCCCCTCCATGGAAAGGAATGTTCTTCCCCTCCTTCCACCACCTGGCAGCAACACACCACTTATCCTTTTACTCCTAACTCAGCCTCACCTCCTCTGGAAGCTTCCTCGATCCTGGCGCTTTTCCTCTACGTCCCTGCAATGCTCTCTTCATTCCTCTTGCATCACCATCTCTCTTGGGTTCTAAGTGATCCATTTACTTACCTGTCTCATTCATTCTCATGAGCTCCTTGAAAGCAGGAAGGCTGTTTTACTCTATAGTTAATAGTTTTATGCTATTTGCAGGCCCAGCCTATCACCCAATATATAGCAGAAGCTCAATAAGTACTTGTGAATGAACAAGCAGACAGTAGCAACTTTATCCTCGGCTTTGCCATACAGCTATTACTATGCCCTAAGAAACTTTCCCACACCTCAAGTTCTTTTGTAGCTGGCTTGGCCTAGCCCTCCAGCTGTGTCAGGCACTCTGCAGATATCAATTCACATGACTACATTCCTGGTCTGAGGGATGGAGGTGGTTTACCTCCCAAACATCAGGGAGGTCAAAGGACGCCACCCTTATGTATCCTCTGACTGCCACAAACTCTGTTCAAATAAAAATAAGATGGGAGACCAGTTTAAAGTAAGATCAAAGCTTCTGAGGCTTGTCATGTGTCCAGACACCAAAGCATTCTGAAGGAAAAGGCAGTATTTCTCCAATCCACGTTTTACCAGTGGATAGAAAGCACATGCTGATCCTGATCCTTGCCACCCTGCAAGCAGAACTTTCTCACACATGAAAGGGCTCTGGGTACCCAGCAGTTACATTTTCTTACTGTGAACCCCTCTACCCGTGAGCTTCCAGGTGGGTTTATGCCAAGCAAGCCCTGGGCAGCCCAAGTTATAGAAATGTTACTGGAACAAAGAAGAAAAACAAAAACTGTGAAGTTATGTGTGTTGACAGACTGGCAATGTTTTTATCTGATTCAGTAAGCTTTTCTCTGAGGTTTAGCAGGAATTGCAAATGCTAAGCTGTTCCACCTGAGTTGAGCTTTTAAAATGCTGCTGCTTTGGAATCAGAACTGTAGGAAATAATAATGTTTCCATTAACAACAAGAAACAGTGTTAGAACAGTATCTTTCTAGTACTTCAAAAGCAGGACAGGGGCCTGGGGTGAGACTCCTGGGAAGCACATGGGCAACATTAGCTTCCAGGTCATTCTCACCCTGCCCTCTTCATGCCTAACAGTGACTTCCTTCTAGGAATATATTTCATGGAAAAATCCAAAATACAGGGAGGATCTTCCACTGTTTATATTAGGAAGAAAGGAAGGGAGGGAGGAAGGAAAAAAGAAAAGAGGGAGAGAGGGAAGGAAAAAAGGAGGGGAGAGAGGGAAAGAAGGACAGAAGGGAGGAAAAAAGAAAAGATTAGTCTAAAAACCTACCATTTACAGACATTTAAGAAATTAACATATTTCTAGTGACTAGTTTATTGTGACTCCATTAAAATTATTTTGAAGAGTATGCAACAACATGGAAAATGCTTACTATATGACTTTACGAGAAAATACAGAATATGAATACATTATAATCACATAATTTTGGGAAAGACAGAAAATATAAAGACAAAAGTAAACAAAAATTAACAATTCAATCACCCAGGGAACTATTATTAACAGCATGTTTTCATCCAGTCATTTTTTAGTTCATGTAGGTACATACATACGCAAACATGTATTTTAATAAAATAAAATTGAGATCTCATGATGTATACTTACCTTTATATCCTACCTTTTTTATACATTTTATTTATAAGCTTTATATATTCTTTAAAAATACGATTGTCAATACTTGCATAGAAGTCTATCATATGAACATCCCACAATATATTATGTTGAACCATATAAAAATGCTGCTTTGTAGGTCAACATTTTATATGATTCAATAATTTTACATTAGTAGTTTTAAATGATTTCACTTGGTATTTATCTAATTCTCATGTGGAGCACTTGGGTTATATTAATTACAATGCAATCATTATAAATAAATATTTAGTGCCTTTTCACTTATTTCTACAAGGAAAATTTGTAGATAAGCATATTTTTTAAGATCCCTCAAATGTTTTTTCATTTTGCCCTTCAGAAAACTTGTACCTATCTACATTCCCATAGTAGTCCTTCTCATATTGTTTCTACTGCACTCCAAATGCAAGAAACTGCTTATATTTTCTATTTCACACATGATGTTCTAGAAAAAGATGTCATTTTTTTCATTCTTGCCATTTAAGATAACAGTTTCCCCAGAATAGGGCCTGTTCTGGGGTAGGGGTTTGCGGAAGGGGAGAGATAGCATTAGGACAAATACCTAATGCATGCGAGGCTTAAAACCTAGGTGACGGGTTGATGGATGCAGCAAGTCACCGTGGCACATGTATACCTATGTAACAAACCTGCATGTTCTGCACATGTATCCCAGAACTTAAAATATAATAATAATGAAAAAAAAAGTTTTCCCAGAATAGTTGTGAATAATTTATCTTATCAAAGCTTGTTGATGTCAAGAGAAAGGACTTTCTGTTGAAGCCTTCTATCTGGACAGAACAAAATTGGAAATCAGTTCTGAAGTCTAGGGTAAAAAACAAAGAGGATATGTTCTGGGGCCAAGTAAATACAGCAATGGGAAAAAACACAGGGAATTTGAAATTCCAGAGTTAAGTTTAGAATTTTCAAGATTAGACTCTAGTGAGGTTATGGAAGCCCACTAGTTCAAATTGGAACAGAATGAAGCATAAAAGGATGATCACCAATAAAAGAGAGCTCTTGGATGTCTTTGGTGTTTGGTGACGTCTCCATCTCTGCCAGCATAACACCCACATCCCAATCAGCACTCACTTCTCTACAGTGACCTGTCACCTGGCTGTCATAAACTCACATGGTGGCATGGTGTTGGTTGATGGGTAAAGTCTGAGGGAATAGAAATTATAAAAAGATGGAAGGGAGATAATATAGAGGGTGCCCTCTTAGGGTGATTTCTACTAGCTCCTTTTAATGCAAATCACCACTGGTTCAGATAAATATCCTCACAAGGGTAGTAAGTAAATCCTTGGCCATTCTGACCATCTTCTCCACCAAAGAGAAAGGAGAATATTGGAAGGGTTACAGAGGCTTCCAGGGCCCACTACAGCCAGGGGCCTGCCTGGGACTTCTGTAAAGAGAGCTAAAAGGATGACTTTGTTCTCCAGAAAACAATCTAAAGAAAAGGCAGAAACTTCTAGCCAAAGTGACCCCAGGCCAACAAAAACATGAAACTGAATAAAAATATGGAGCCCTTTCAAGGGAAGGCGCCATAATAAGCAGTTGCAAAAGCTTCTTTGAGCCATGGCAAGTCCCTGGTTCCCAATAAAACTCCAGATCCCCCAAGTTTGCTTGGCTGGGGACTCCTCTAGGAACAGAACACAGAGCTCTCCTGGAGTCTTTGAAAGACATTTTCACAGATTGCTATATACCCACCAGCACCAAGTACACCATCAGCAGAGATGCTCAAACCAGGAAACCAGCTTGGTCTAGTTCATGAATGCATCCACATCTAATTTTCCTTCTCCCAGATCACTGGCTCCAAAGACATTCAAGCTGCAATAACTTAGTTTCACACATCACCAGCAACTCAGTTTCATACCTGTCAAAGATTAATGAATTGCATTTGAGCTGTGGGTCCAGGTCTGGACCTGACCCTCATCTCTGTGCACTTTTCCTTCCTTTGAGTTTCTCAGATGCCTGTCCTACGGGGCAACCAGCCATAAAAACAGATAGGAGACAGAAAGTGGGCCCTGAAATTTCCACATTTCAGAAAAGATCAAGGAACTCAGCTTTCAGTCCTCTTAAAAATGTTCCTCCTCCCACGTCTGATTCAGAAGGCACGCATGCAGAACTAACCCCACACAGAACTTCTTAATTACATATAATAACTTTTCCTCTCATAGTTTCTCTTCATATAGAAGTTTACACCAGTGGCTCTAATATTCTTTCCATGATACTTATTTGGGACATATCTCCATACATAACCATTTCCCACTGCCAACATTGGATATCGTGTACATTAATATTACTTTCCCTCTTCTCAATCTATGACCACTATTTGAAAACTTTATCTAAAATATGTTTTGGGGGTTTAGGGTTTCTGGAAGACCCACTTAAAGCCTTAGAGAACATCTCTGGGGCTAGTACCTATTTTCAGGAGCCTCGGACAAATTTTTTGTCTCCTATTCTTAAATGTTACATCACAGAATTAAGATGAGGCCCCTCTTTAATTGTTAATGAGTTTGAAGTAGAATTATATCTGAAGGGGTTTTTAAAAATATATTTTATGTTTTTTAGCCTGTTTACATAGTGGTGATATTTACAAGTGAAACTCATTGTGGAGCTTAATTGAGTTTGTATTTTTTCCAAATATATTCTTAGCCCCAAATTATTTAACTCCCATGGGAAATGGTCAGATCACACTTTTTCCATTTCAGAAGAGAAGAAACTGATTATATTTTAAACCATTTTTTCACTTCTAGTATAATCAAGAAAGTTTCTACCAGACTCTAGCATCCAACAGATAACAACTACAAAGCATGGACAAATTATACAAACAAAAATCAAATATCCAAAAGTGCTAGGGAGTAAACTCAAGCAGGAAAATTCTGAAAGGAAGCTGAGATTTGATAGAAGGGATTGGTGCAGGTAAGAGTATTTATGTCTTCTGCTGAAAGGCAGGTCAAAGTCAGTGCCACACAGAGTAACTAAAACTCTAATAGAAAAACCAAGTCTTTCTAGACTAAAGAACCAAAGGTCAGAATTTGGGGCAACCATAGCTACTGGAAAATGGCAGGAAAACCCCCAAAAAATGAGCTAGTGAGGAGAAGCCCCAAATTTTCTACATATATTTTCCTAAGTATCTGGATCACCCCTGAATCACATGTGTATTTGGTAGACTCAAAGCACCTCAGCAAAGAAGAAAGAAACAAACAACAAGAAAAGCTAAACTGGCCAGGTGCAGTGGCTCACACCTGTTATCTCAGCACTTTGGGAGGCTGAGGCAGGAGGATCACTTGAGCTCAGGAGTTTGAGATCAGCCTGAGCAGTATAGTGAGACCCTGTCTCTATTTTAACAACAACAACAAAAGAGACAGAGTATAATATGCAGTTTGAGCTACAAAGGTAATTGCCTGTCGAAATAAAACATCAATAGTCTTCAGAGGGAAGTAATACAAATCAGAATACCTACAACCAATCATTCACAATATCCAGAGTATAATATGAAATGTATTACCATATGAAGAAACTATCCCCAGTAAAATAAGAAACATATTCTTACAATGAATTCAAAGATAATAAACCTCTACTGAGAAACGGAAACTATAAAAAAAAGAATTAAATTGAAATTTTACCACTGAAAATCAACATATCTGAAAGTTAAAACTCACTCAATGTGCTTTATAGTAGAATGGAAAATATAGAAGAGTCAGTAAGCTTAAAGACAGGTAAATGGAAATGATCAATCTGAAAGACAGAGGGAAAAGATTGAAGAAAATAGAACAGATCCTCTTGAGCTAATGGACCTATGGAGCAATAACTAAAGATCTAACATATGTGTCATAGGAGTGTCAGGAGGAGAGAAGAGGAGGGTTGAGAGTGACCATTAAAAAATATTTAAAGGTATAATGGCTAAAGGTTTCCAGATTTGGTGAGAGACTTAAATTTACAGATCCAAGAAGCTTAATGAACTCCAAACAGGAAAACTGTTATGTAGTTTCATCATAGTTAAACTGCTAAAAAACAAAGATAAGGAAAAAAATCTTGAAAGCGGTCAGATAAAACCACACATTACACACAGGAGAACGATGGTTTAAAAATACTGACTTCTCATTTAAAATTTTGGAAGCCAGAAGACAGTGGAACAATATCTTTTAAAGAACTGAAAACAGAACAAATAAAAATCTGTTACACCTGAATTCAATAGGCAGTGAAAAGATCTTTCAAGAATGAGGCAAAATAAAGACCATTTTCATATAAAATAAAACTAAAAGAATTTATGATTAGTTATCTGCACTATAAGAAAAGCTGAAGGAAATTCTGCAGGCTAGAAGGAAACAATACCAAATGGAAACACAAATGTATAGAAAAGAATGTAAAACATCAAAAATGGTAAATATCACGGTAAACAGAAAAGACGTTTTCATCTTTATTTCTTTTAAATTCATAAGGCTATTTACAAAAAAGCATAACATTGTCTCATGGAATTCATAATGTATGTTAGCATACTACATGTAATAACTATAGCACAAAGGGCAGAGGTAGGATGGACTCATACAGCTGAAACCCCTAAAATAACCATTAAAAATAATACACAAAGGTGTATCTGAAAATACAATAGACATTTTGGGGTTTTTTTTCTTTTCTTTTTTTTTTTTTTTTTGAGAAACAGGGTCTTGCTCTGTCACCCAGGTTTCAGTGCAGTGGCAATAATCATGGCTCACTGCAGCCTCAAACTCCCGGGCTCAAGTAATTCTCCTGCCTCAGCCCTGCGAGTAGCTGGGACTACAGGCATGCACCACCATGCCAGGCTAATTATTTTATTTTCTGTGGAGGCAGGGTTTTGCTTTATTGCCCAGGCTGGTCTCAACTCCTGGCCTCAAGAATCCTCCTGCCTTGGCCTCCCAAACTGCTGGGATTACAGGTGTGAGCCACCACACACAGCCTACAATAGACATTTTTAGAAAGCAATCCTAGAGGAGAAAAAAGGAAAAGCAGAAAAATAACAAAAAATAATAATAAAACAGTAGACCTAAATCCAACCATATTGGTAATTTCATTAATTGTTTTTAGACCAAACAGAAATTGTCAGAATAAAAAAAAAAGAAGACCCAGTTACCAGAAATGCACTTTAAATCCTATAAGGAAGCCAAGAAGCATATAAGCAGTCCAAGCTATAAAACAAAAACAAAACAAAAAGCAGATTTATGAAAAAACCTTGACAAATCTCCACAAAAGTCTATGTTTGAGAAAATAGCCTCTATGAACTTTTCAAACCTTATGCTTCAGAACCAAGTACACAATTTACTGATTTTAGCCAGACAGCAAGATAATTTTCTACATTCAACTTTATCTCCATTAACATATAAAGAATTATTCCACATGTGAGACGTCATCAATTTTATTCCTTTCCTTCCAACTCCGCTTTGAGCAAAACATTCCTAAATTAAATCACAAGGCAAGTGTATATCCCTGTCTTCTAATACACATTCTAAAAAATTCTTGACTCCAGAACAAATTTTTTTATTTGAACATTACATTCTTAGTAGCATTTTGAGAGGGGGTAGGAAAGGTGGGCTCTGACTGAGTTTTGAGGAATATTGGTCAGGTATTTTGTAGAATGTCTCTCAATTTGGGTTTGTATGGTGTTTATCTCACAATGACATTAGAGTTACGAGTTTTTCTTTTTCCATTCTCCATTCTTTAGAAGCAGGTCACTAACTCTAGCCCACACTCACGATGGAGGAAATTAATTAAGTTCCATCTCCTGGAGGGGGTAGCATCTACATAAATTATTTGAAATTCTTCTAAAGGGAAAAATATTTTCATTTCTTTTTTCTCTATTTTTCAACCATTTATTTATATCAGTATGGACTCATATATATATTTATTTTGCCTTTTGCGTTATAGTATAATACCATGCCATTTCTTTTTGATTTAAGTGAAATCATTTTCTGTGCACAGAACTTTTTTTTAAGAGACTTTAAGTTTTGGAGCAGTTTTAGGTTCACAGTAAAACTGAGCAGAAGGTACCTAGCTTTGTCCATTACCAACATCCCTCACAGTTGGGTAATAGACAAAGCTGTGTACCTTCTGATATTGACACATCAGTATATGGTAATGACATATCATTATATCCAGAGTCCATAATTTACATTAGGCTCTTGGCGTTGTACATTCTATGGTTTGGGACAAATGAATAATTTGTCCATGATTCTACCATCATAATATCATAGAGTACTTTACCATAAAAATCCTCTGTGCTGCACCTATTCAGTCCTCCCTTCCCTCTAGTCCCTGGCACTACTGATCTTTTAACAATCTCCATAGTTTTGTCTTTTTCAGGATGTCATATCCTGAAATCATAAGGTGTGTAGCCTTTTCAGATTGACTTCTTTCACGTAGTAACACACATTTAAGTCTCCTCCATGTTATTTTGTGGCTTGATAACTCATTTCTTTTTAGCACAGAATAATATTCCAGTGTCTGGATGCACTAAGTTTATCCAGTCACCTACTGAAGGACATCTTGGTTGCTTCCAAGTTTTGGTAATTATGAATAAAGCTGCTATAATTATTTGTGTGCTGGTTTTTGTGTGGACATAAGTTTTCAACTCCTTTGGGCAAATACTAAGCAGCACAAGCTGTGGATTTTATGGTAAGAGTATGTTTAGTTGTGTAAGAAATTGCCAAACTGTCTTCTAAATTGGATTTTTGCATTCCCATCAGCAAAGAGCGAGTGTTCCTGTTGCTCTACATCCTCTCCAGCATTTGTTTTTGTCAATGTTCTAGATTTTGACTATTCTAATAAATCTGTAGTGGTAGCTCACTGTCATTTTAATAGGCATTTCCATGATGACATATGATGTGGAGAATTTTTTCATATGCTTATTTTCCATCTTTATGTCTCCACTGGTGGGGTGTCAAAGTCTTTGGCCCATTTTTTAAAAAATCAGGTTGTTTGTTTTCTTATTGTTGAGTTTTAAGGGATCTTTGTATATTTTGGATAATAGTTCTTTATCAGATAATGTCTTCCACAAATAATTTATCCCAATCTTTAGCTACTTTCTTAGTCTCTCAACAGTGTCTTTCACGTAGCAGAAATTTTTTATTTTAATGATGTTCAGCTTATTAATTCTTCCTTTCATGAACTGTACCTTTGGTGTTGCAACTAAAAAATTTTTCCAAACCCAAGGTTGTCTAGATTTTTTCCTGTACTATCTTCTAAATGTTTATAGGTTTACGTGTAGGTTTGCAATCCATTTTTAGTTAATTTTCATAAAGGGTATAAGGTCTGTGTCTAGATTTATTTACTGTTTTGCATTTGGACATCCAGTTGTTCCAGCACCATTTCTGTCTTGATTATTGACTGTAGCTTTATAGTATGATAAGAAGTCAAGTAGTGACTATCCTCCGACTTTGTTCTTCTCCTTCAATATTGTGCTGATTATTCTGGATCTTTTGTGTCTCATATAAACTTTAAGATCAGTTTGTCAATATCCACAAAAATAATTTGCTGGGATTTTTATTGAGATCACACTGAATCTATAGATCAGTTGAGTCTTCCTATCCATGAACACAGAATATCCCTCCATTTATTTAGTTGCCCTTTGGTTTATTTCATCAGAGTTTTGTCATTTCCCTCATATAGATCTTGTACATGTTTTGTTACATATATACCTAAGTATTTCATTTTGAGGTATGCTAATGTAAATGGTAATATGTTTTTAATTTCAAATTCTATTTATTGCTGATATATAGAAAAGTGACTGACTTTTTTTTGGTCAATTCTCTTAGATTTTCTACACAATCATGTCATCTGAGAACAAAGGCAGGTTTGTTTTTTTTTTCCGCCGTCTCCATTTGTACACCTTTTATTTCCTTTCTTGTCTTATATTAGCCAGGACTTTCAGCACAATGTTGAAAAGCAGCGCTGAGAGGGGATATCTTTGTCTTGTTCCTGATCTTGGTAAGAAAGTTTCAAGTTTCTAACTTGAAGAAACTTGAAGTATGATGTTAGCTGTAGGGTTTTTGTAGACATTTTTAAATCAAGTTGAGGAAGTTCCCCTCTATTCTAGTTTACTGAGTTTTTCATTATGAATAGGTGTTAGATTTTGTCAGATGCTTTTTCTGTCCATATTGATATAATCATGTGATTTTTCTTCTTTAGCCTGTTGATGTAATGGATTACATTAACTGATTCTCAAATGTTGAACTAGCCTTGCACACCTGGGATAAATTCTACTTCATTGTGGTGTATAATTCTTTCTATACATTGTTGGATACAATTTGCTAATATTTTGTTGAGAATTTTTGATCTATGTTCATGACAGATACCGGTCTGTAGTTTTCTTTTCTTGTCTTTGTTTGGTTTTGGTATTAGAGTAATGCTGGCCTCAAAGAATGAGCTAGAAAATATTCCCTCTCCTCTTATCTTTTGAAATAAATTATAGGTAACTGGTATAATTTCTTTCTTAAATATTGGTAGAATTTACCAGTGAACATATCTGGGCCTGGCATTTTCTGTTTTGGAAAGTTATTAATTATTGATTCAATTTCTTTAAGAGATATAGGACTATTCAGAGTGTCTACTTCTTCTTGTGTGGGTTTGGCAGATAAGGTTTTCCAAGGGATTCATTCATTTCATCTAGGTTATTAAATTTGTGGCCATAGAATTGTTCATATTATGCCTTTACAATCTTTTTAGTGTTCATGGGATTTGTGGTGATGTCCCTTTTTTATTTCTGATATTAATATTTTGTGTTCTCTTTTTTTGTAATTAGTTTGACTAGAGGCTTAATAATTTTATTAATCTTTATTAATCTTTTCAAATAGCTTTTGGTTTTGCTGATTCTATTAATTTCCCACTTTTAATTAATTTCTGCACTAATTTTTTTATTCCTTTTTTCTACTTTGGGCTTAATTTGGTCTTCTTTTTCTAGTTTCCTATGGTGAAAGCTTTGATTATTGATTTTAGATCTCTTCTTCTATTATAATAGATGCATTTATGCTATAAATTTCCCTCTAGGCATCACTTTTGCTACATCCCACAAATTTTGATTTTGTTTTCATTTTCATTCTGAACTTTTTTGATTCATGTAATCTGTAATGTGCATTTCCATATCATCCTAAGTAGATCTATTTCACTTTAACTGGTATGTAATATTACATTGTATGGATGTTTCATATTTTACTTATTTAGTACTATTTTGTAAGATACTTAAGTTGTTCTAATTTTTATTCTCATTCAAACAATGCTCAATGAAATATATGTGTATATCTTTGTATATTGCAGGTTTATATCAA
This sequence comes from Homo sapiens, assembly GCF_000001405.40. Classification (NCBI taxonomy): domain Eukaryota; kingdom Metazoa; phylum Chordata; class Mammalia; order Primates; family Hominidae; genus Homo; species Homo sapiens. The sequence continues at coordinate 68,642,669 of NC_000005.10, forward strand.
TAAGATAAATTCCTAACGTTGGAATTGCTTAGTCAACAGATACATATATTTTCCAACGTGATAAATATTGTCTAATTGTTTTCCAAAAATGTTGTACCAGTTAATACTCACGATGAGCTTTCAATAGGTCATTGCCTCTGTAGGAGGAGATCCACTCTCTTTTTGTAATTGCAAAGCATAGTCACCTTGCCTAATTACAGCAGGATGTTATTTATACCTGTATGTTTTGCTATAAACACATTAACCTAGAGATGTGGGATCTAAACGTTAATCTTAGGTGTTGATATGCTCTGATGAGTAAGAAATTGCTAAAAGCTAGAGACAAAATGGGAGAAATAACTTGAGGCTTGCTGCAACACAGGAACAGAAAATAAAAATCAAGAGAAAAAAAGTTGGGGGGCATAAAGCAAAACATAAAAGTAAACAAAAAAAGGGGGAAGGGGAGAGTGAAGACCATGGAGATTGTGGTTAATCAACAACAGGACGTGAGAAGTTGGGGAGCTGACCAATATTCTTGACATAAGATTTTGAGAAAAATAGAGCTTACAGGGTAGGCTTAAACCTAGGAATCATTCTTCATATTTACCCAAAGAGGACTATGGCACTAGCAAGTATTTGTTTTCTCAGGTACTAGTGATTCAAAGAGAGGGAGCTAAAAAGGGGAAAATTAAAATCAAAAGCCTAACTTATTTTATGCAAGAGATAGCTGAATTCTAAAATTTTTGTTTTGTTTTGTTTTGTTTTTTTACCCTCTCATGGGCCTAGCCTTAGGATTTCTTTCACCACAAATCCTTTCATAGATGGGATCCCTATCTGCCATAGCAGCTGCTACCTCTGAGAGACTTGAAGCGACCTCTACCTCACACATGAGAGAAAAGACCCTTCTTTTTACTTCTTGGGGAATGTAGTGATTCAGGACTGTAGTGTTTCCTCTTGGAGTCTCTCCCTAGAGGTTTTCCTATTGTTTTTGCTCTAAGCAGAGTCCCCACATCCACACTCCCCCACCCCCTCCATAGCACAATCAATATTAACTCATTCATAACAGAGGAGCAGCCTCTTTTCCAATCACAGTTCTGCTGACTTGTTTGGGATTGGTTTGGGTTGAGTCACTAAGAAACATATTAGATTAAGGCACTGGTCTTTTTAATAATAATATAGAATCTCCACACCTCTCAAATAGACCTCAAATTTGGGAGCCATTTATTTTCATTACCCTCTCTTCATAGGAAAAATTGAGGACCCCGTTTATTTACTTAAAACAACAATAAGCTGAATCACTGTTGCTATTTAACATCTTACTTTTTAGAAAATATTCTTTGTGGTGCCTGACGGCAATGCTGCAAAGGAAACAACCAGTTTAAAAATAGGAAAGATAAATTAAATAATACCAATTTACAAACAAATTTAAAATCGAAACAATCCCCCATACACACTCTTCTTGGTCAGCTCTGCCTCACCCTAAGAGATCAGTAGGTAAACAACATTCTGTTACCTCTGTTTGCACCCATGGATCATCAGGTGAGAGGGCAGGTGTTTGGGAGTAGTTGGAGAGAGGGCTGAAACAATATTTTTGCACCAAATAACTTGGTCTCTCCAGTTTGTAGTTAGTTTATAATGAGTTTGTGATCCATGGATCTCACAGGCTGCTTCCTTGTAACTTAATGAACCATAATGACAATTCCAAAGGCTACATTAATTTCTTTTTAAAATAAAAGAAGGAGGGTCTGCTGAGAGTGGATGTTAGGAACTAAGCTATTTCCATTACCCTATTTTAAGTAAAGCGCTAGCTAGAAGGCCCATGTACCAGCTACTGCTAACTCCTAACTTCAGAAACTCATTTGCAATGAGCTTTCCATACCTCTTTGGGTGGGAAATGTACTATTGCTTCTCTTCTTAGCGAGGCTATCAAGAAACACACTTCAAAAAATTCCCACAACACACATAATCATTCTTTCAAAATAGCAATTTGGCTGTAGCAGCCTTCTTCCCATTCAGCTAAGTGTGTGAAAGGTAATGGAGACAGCTAATGCCTTTTGGTTTTGCTGTGGGCAGGGGAATCTTACCATCATATGTAATTAGTAAGAACTACCAGAAAACAGACAATTGTTATAGAAGTCACACTGAAAATACTCTAACAAATAGTCTAAGCAACATTCATTGAGCTCCTTTGGGGGTGGGGCAAGGGGGGTAATTTTCTGGTGTTAAGAATGTCATAAGATTGCCAAGGTAGTAAATGACTGGGACTTTACAAAGGCCTTTGGAAGGAGAGGGGGCAATCCCATGAGAAAATGACAGGTACTGTTTTATTTCCATGGTCCTTTTTTACCTGCCAGTTCTTACTTCTCAGTGAACACAACTGATGTCCCCACTTTCCCCAACAACAACAATGACAATAAAATAAATTTTAAAAAGATTCTCGGTATGAGTCATGAGCTTACCCACTGTGGACCAGGAAGTTCTCTTCAGGCTCTCACCTGCTAAACTATGGCAGAAGTGATTATGCAAAGTTTTCAAAAACCCACAGCACAGCTCTCCTCCTGCTGGGCTATGAATGGAGACAAGGGACTGGTACTAGTGAGGGCCATTCGGAAGAGGAAGTGGGTGAAGGCTCTGCCACTGGCCAAAATCGGGTTGCACCTCTTCTCCCATGCTCCCCATACAAGCCCTGACAATGACATTCTCCTGGAAGCCCATTTTCATTGCTGCCTCCAGGCCTTTGCTCTCCTGTTTGTCTGGGACTACCTGAGAGCCCTTCTTCTAAACCCATCCTAGTCTGATTCGAACTCATTTTTCAAGGACCTACCTCTTCCCAGTTTATAGGCCATTTTCTCTCATTTCAGCCCACACTGCGCTCTCCTTTCTCTGAATTCTTGCAGCACTTATAATCTCTATAATTATAATAACAACAATATTTTAGTTATTTACGTATCAAGTACTCACTACATGTCAGGTGCTATGCTAAGTAGTTTACGTAGTCCCTTATTTAATCTTCACAGCTATCCCAACCTATGTTACATTTGAGGAAACCGTGGTTACGTGGTTAGTAAGTGGCAGGATGGGATTTGAACCCAGGTCCATCACTGGTAAAGCCTGTGTCCTTCCCCATGGTCCATATTTCATTTTTTGGGCTACCTCACAATATACTTGCACTGCATCCTTTTTGTATATTTTATATTTCATTTTATGTGCTTGTGCCTCATGTTCACAACAGAATTTATGCCTCTAGTGAATGGGGCTACTTATTAGATGTGTGTTTACTGCCCATTTTGTCAAGCATGGGATCAAGCATTTAGTAGGTGCCTAATATTTGTGACTGGATATAGCATGAATAGACATGCATCTTTCTTCGAAACTCTCAAAGGTCTTTATAAGAACAATCACACCAGACAGTGGTGCATGGAGGAGGGGAGCAGTGTAGTGGTCGCGTGTGAAAAGGGTCCCTGAATAGCCAATAAACCATCTTACTCCGGTTCACTGTGATCCCCTTAACCCCTCAGTAATAGGCAAGGCCATGTGAAGCCTGGCACAGATAGAGTATCAGAGAAATCCCAAGAGGTGCAGCATCCTTGCCACAAAAGCAGTGTGGCTGTGGCAATCATTGTTCCTGAAGCTTCTCTGAGGATCCAAGATCACTTCAGCCAATCAGCTCCAGGATGGAAAGAACTTCAGGGTTTTACTGGGCTTCCTTGCCAAGCTTTAAATAGCTTAGTTACATCATTGAGAACCAGTGCCAAATGAAAGTCTTTCTGATTGACCTGCTATTAGGAGGCCACTGCATTATAAACCTTCAAAGCTTTAGCCATAAAATAATTTCAAATGCAGTGTCAAGAGAAGTGTTCCAATATGTAATAAGTAAAACTTAGAAGACGTATAAAAATTAAAGAGTGGGTCAACTGGTTCAAATGGCACACAAATTTAATGTGAGTGTCACAGTCTAATGGAAAAAACAGCATCTCAGGATCCAAGGGGGTTCACATCAATTCCAGCTTTGCCCTTCATATAACCTCAGCCATGTTACTTCATCTTACTGTGCCTCAGTCTCCTCAGCTGCATGACGAAGACTGCGAATTCATTGATTCTCAAATTACATGCTAGATATTATCTGAGGTTCACATGATGGCATAAGCTTCCTTTCCCAAACCTCATGTAAATACGTACCATATGTTTCTAAAAAGTTCTCTGTATACACACCTCTATTGCAAAAGTATATCACTCCGCAAGTTCTGTCGAGGTAACAAGCCCCATTTTAAAGAAAAAAGAAAGGGAGGGGAGAATTACATTCAGGGTCAGAGAAAATAAGGCCAGAAACATACAGAAACAGGTTCCAGATATGCAATCTGCTGCTTATCCATGGAGCCATGCTACTTTCCTTTAAGAAGAGAGCGCTTAAAAGAGTAAGGTTCTACCTCTATTCTCATCAAGGGGAGCAACACTTTTGTAATGACTTATAAAGTGACTTGAGAAAAATACTTTCTTATCACAATTTCCATGTAAATTCAAAATTACCATAATTTCCATGCCAATTCAAAATTAGGAAAATACTTAACACATTTTCTTAACTGTACAAATGCCAGGGGAACAGAGTCCAAGACTCACTGTAGAGGGAAAAAACCCAAGGTTCTCACAGAATCTCCATCCCCAGCCCACTTGGCCAGAGTTTTCTTTCTTTTTAAATTCTTGTGTCTCTACCTCTCACAGGTCTCCTCTTCCTCTTTTCCTCTTGTCACACTATCTGCTGTCTCTCCTGGCCACCTCTAGAAGCCAACACCCTCATCCTTTACCCTTTCTTTGCTTGTTGCATCTAACTTTTAAGGGGCTCAGAGGCAAGAGGCCAAAGCCTGTTAAAATCAGAAATAAAGCTACAAAACTGGAGAAGACCTGAGCTGCCTCCCTGAGAAAAGCACACAAGTGTGACATCTGCTAGTTGCTAAGTCCTTGTCTGTCACAGACAGTGGTAGAGGTCTATCTTTCAGAGTAAAGAAGCCTAGCTTGATCTAGAAAGCAGCATCATTTGGGCTCTTGACTTTGGGAGAAGGAGTCCTTCTGATATGACACACTAGTTAATTCCTATTCCACAAAAACCATAACTATGGCACAGTTAAAGCACTATAGCAGGCACAGGTAATGAATAGGGTCACTTTCCTGAGTGACATCTCCACTAAGATCTTTCATCACATCAGACATCTGTGACCCAGCCAAGCAGCAGTTACGAGGTCAGTCCTATAAGAGAAATAATAGGAGGTGGGGATGGGCATTTGAGCTTAGCAAAGTTGTAATCTAATCTTTCGGACTTTGGTCATAAATGGGACAAAGTCCTAAAGAGACCACACTGGGTGTTAGGGAATAAAATGGCACTTTCCTCAAAGAAACAGCTAGAAAGGAAGCATCCCAAGCTATATCCCGAAAGGCTCTAACCTCTGGGACTAAATTACAGTCATCAGAACCTTTATCTTACAAATGAATTGTTAATTGTACTTACCCCACCAGGACCCTCATTTGTATCTGTTTCTCAACTTCACCCATGAGCCTTCCATACACTCCTTCCCACCCTGTGCTAGATGCCTCTCCTCTGATGCACAACACCCTATCACACTCCTCCTGACTAACTCACACACACACACACACACACACACTGTACTATAATTGTATGCTTTTCTTCATCTGTAGGCTCCAGGTCCATTAGGACAAAGCTTGCATCTTTCAGCTCATAACTTTAGCTCTTAGAATTGTGCCTTGTACATAGTACATGTTCACTATATGTTTAAATGAATGAGTACATGAACAAAATGAATGAATCTTTGTATCTTTTATAATATAGTTCTCCTTCCACCAAAGCACTCATCTTGGTACCTTCCCATCATGAGGCCAGGGTAAGGCTTTGTGACATCACTCTAAGATAAGACAAAAGCACAAGAATAGGTTGTACTTAGCAGAGGCAAACAAAGCTGTCCTCGGGCAGGGTGTGACACAGGTTTCTTCTTGTCTTGAGGATGAGTGAAGAAGCCCACAGCCACATGGGTATTTTCGCAGCTTCCCATGGGGGAAAGGCTGACCCTGGATAGGTAGGTGATACATGACCTCGGAAGTACATGGTTTCATTGTGGCTGGGGCCTAAAAGAAACAGGACTGGGCCTTGTGGTAGGTCTGGCCTCCAAAGCCTGGAAGGATGAGGTTGGTGCTCCGTGCTGTGGCCCAAAGAACAGTGTGAGCTGTTTCTTGAACACATAGTAAGATGTCCATGCCTTAGACACCAGCACAGGAATTCAGGCCCTGTACATTGGAGCTCTCTTATACTTTTCCTGGGCAACTAATTCAATTTTCAGGAGAGGGAAAAAAAAAAAGGAACAGCTGACATTTTCCATTGATGGCTCTCAATAAAACCAGAAATACTTTGTGCTTTTGGGATTGAGGCGGGGTAAGGTGAGCTGCCAAGCTGCAACGTGTTCTTAAACAAACAGGCTGTGCAGCCACAGGAAAAGCCATCTAACAAGGTATATTTTTATTAGTCCTTCTTTCAAAGACTTACAAGATTTTAAAAGAACCACATGAATTCTGCTTTTAACTTGCATAAAAGCCTGAAGTTAATTTTTATGAGCAAATTTCAAATCCCTGAAAAACAGGTTTGGTAATATCTCTGACAGGGCTTGAACTGCAAAGTTTAAGCAGGCCTCAGAAAAAAAATAGACATTTTAATGTCCCCTGTACGTTTTCACTGAAAAGCTGTGTCACATTTTGGTAAATAATATTTAAAGGACAACAAATCTTGCTTAACAACACTCCATGGAAAAAGCCAGCAATGAATGACTTTCTACTGACTTTTAATGGTTACCTGCAAATCATCAAAGCCAAGGCTAATGACGTTCAGAAAACTATGAATTTTCTTGGTTTCTGATAAGTGATGTTGAAAGAATAGTCCATAAAACACACCACCAACTCCCACCTCTCTCCCATCCCTAAAATGCCTCATCTAGTCAGAGTTTCTGTTTATAGTTCTCAAGTAAACAGAAGACACGAGAAGGTCACTGCACTCCCTGTGCATCTGCTGAGCCCTGACTTGGTCTATGTCTACACATGTAAGCTAATTAAAGCAAACATATTTAATTTTTTTTCTTTTTTTTTTTTTTTTTGAGATGGCGTTTCACTCTTGCCGCCCAGGCGGGAGTGCAATGGTGTGATCTCAGCTCACTGCAACCTCTGCCTACTGGGTTCAAGCAATTCTCCTGCTTCAGCCTCCCAAGTAGCTGAACTTATAGGCATGTGCCACCATGCCCAGCTAAATTTTATATTTTTAGTAGAGATGGGGTTTTGCCATGTTGATCAGGCTGGTCTCAAACTCCTGACCTCAGGTGATCCACCCTCCTTGGCCTCCCAAAGTGCTGGGATTACAGGCAGGAGCCACTGTGCCTGGCCTTGATTTTTTTTTTTTTTCTAATTCAGCCATATAATTGATTAGTATCCTTAGAGTTAATTAGGTTAACTAATACTAATTTTCCCCAATAATTTACAGTTTATTGAAATTATTGGTAGGACTCAGTAATACTCCTGACAGGTTAATGTCTGTATAAGCACAACATAAAGCTACTAGTCCTAGAAACTGAAGGCAGATGATTTTTTTCTCTCACTTTTTCTTTAGCCTCAACCCAAATAGAACAGAAGGTCAAAATGTGGCAATGTCTTGGTCACTTTTGAAGAGCCAACCCAGCATACATAATATTTCTGCATGTCATACTACCAAGATAAATCGCAAGTCAGGAAGCCAGGACCAGAACACAGCAGAGAGCTGTGTTCAAGAGGTGGAAATGAGAGCCCAGAGTCAGGGCACTGTGTCTATGTCTTGCCACCGGACCCCAGCAGCAGGGGGTCAGGAAATGACCTGGGCTTGGTTCTAGCCAAAAGGAGAGGTTCAGAATCCCTTCTATCCCCTCTAGACCCTTCCATTCACCAGCCACTTCTTCCTCACTTTGCCCACCATCTCCACCCTGGAAGCCAAGCCTCAAAACAGACTATATCTGGAAACTGCTTACCTTGTGGACAGGATGTGAAATATTTTAAACATCCTAACGCTACAACAGTGATCAGTGGTTTTATTTTATGTCAACACTGAAGTGTGAGGACCAAATGTAAATAGATTTTTAATCACAACATTATTTCCAGAATGGCAGGAGAATTTAATTTTAGGATTTGGGAAGAAGGAATTATTGTTAAGTATCTCAGAAGAATCAAGATTTGGGAGCAGGAAGTGAAGACTTATCCAAATTAAAGATTGTGCTAATTTATTACAACCATGTATACTGAAAACAAGCATGTTGGGGTAAGTGGACTGCTTCCTCCATAGCAGAGTTATGATAGCTTGGGAAGAAAGAATTAAGCCATTATAAAAAGTACAGCAACCTTCCTCCTTCCAGCCTGCCTGCACAAAGTGACCATGCAGAACAAGCCATACCTGTACACAATCTCCATTTCAAACACGTATAAAATCCTATTTACACATTTCTAAGCTTGTCTTTCTTGAGAACAACTGATTCCACTACAATCCTGGAGTCCTAAAACGTCTTATGTAATCCACTCCAACTTTTTCAATTGACAGACGAAAAGCCCGAGGTCCAGAGAGATAAAGTGACTTTCCCCAAATTTTAGAGTTTTCTGTTCCTCTAAGGGCGTAAGGGTGTAATAGGACAAAAAGTGATAATCTATGTGACTTGGGATTGGGAGACCAGTGTAATGTAGTGTGTTTGGATCCTGGCCAACTGTGTGATCTTAAGCAATTTTATGTCTCTGAGCCTCAATTTTCTTATTTCTAACAACTGGTATAATAATAGCACCAACTTCAAAGGTTTTTGTGGTGATTAAATGAGAGAACATATCTAAAGCATTCAGCACAGTGTCTGGTACCTAGTAGGTATCAACAAAAGGTATCTATAATAGGTATTGTTGTTATTGGTATTATTACTGTGCTAATAGCATAATGGGTGACAGAATAATGAAGTCAGGAGTCAAAATAAATTATAATAATGATTATTATTATAATAATAATATGATTAACATTTCTTAAGTGTGTGCCTAGGTACTTTAATGATTGCTTCAACTACATTATCTCACTCAGTTCTCCCAATTCTACAGATAAGGAAACTTTCCCTTAGAGGAGCTTAAAATTTTGCTCAACAGCTGATAAGTGATGACCCTAGGATATGAACCTAGGTTTCACAGACTCTAGAATTTCTGCCATTATGCTGAATTAAGGATAACCATTAATAGATTAAGGAAAAATAAAGAAAAGGAAGATGTTTAATTCCATGAGTGAGGTCCTTTACTCTTTTCCCAACTAAAACAGATGAAAGCCTACATTTTAGAGCAAGATGGGCCAATATCAATCACTTCACTTAACCATGTCAGACTTTTATGATAAATGTTACGGCTGAGTGTGAGGTCACTCAATGTCAGCTCAATATCCCTTTAACAGGGAGCTATAAGTCAATCCTGCCATCTTCAGATTTATCTCTGGTGTACAATAAAACTGGTTGATTTTCTATTGATTGAGCATTTGAGATACAAAAGCTTGAGAATTGGCTGCTATTTGTTTGATGTGTTCCTGTGTCTGTCAAACTTGTAGGAGTGTTATCTGCTGTTTGAATGTGGCTTGAAGCTTCCCAAATCTGGCTTCCATAATTGTTTGGGAAATGTCATTTGCTTGAAAAATGGGGGTAAATTGAGGGCCTGTCTTTTCCTATTTGCAGATATTAAGAGATTTTATTTATGCAAGCTGTTAACCAGGTTAACATTGCCCACCCCATCCCTAGGGATGAAGTAGGAGTTCAGTGTGGGTGAGGCATACTTCTTAAGGGTCCTCAAAGCCTCTGAAAAAGTTACATCTTCAGTAGAAAGCCCACATATTGCAAAATGTTGGAAGGACGGTGCCTTAAATTGTGAAATCTTCTGTGAGGGATCTCATTTTTCTGGAACTCCCTGACATCTGAGCCCTCATGTTGCTGGAATGATTCCAAGAGCACCATAAAATTAGGGCTGGTCCTGTCTGAACTGAGTCCAGATCATTTCAAAGTGACTCAAGGCAGGGAAATAAATATTGAACCTAGTTAAATGTTGCTTGAGATTATGCTTGGCACTGGGTGTCCAGTCACTGATTTACTCTTAGGTTACAGGGGTTATTTTGAGCCCAAATGGATGTGCCAGGGCGGATTCATTCAATGGCAGCAATTATTTGCAAGCACAGTTGCATTTCTGACATGTTTAGCGGAATGTAATGTAGAGATTTATGTGATGGTTTCAGGTGGGTGTAACAGACATTAAAGTCCTCAGTTTCATGCTACTTTACTCAACCCTGGATCACATTTGGCTTTTCCCCATTCTTTTTCTCCTTTTCCTTATCTTGCTTGAAAAAAACAAAAAACTGACGTTTTTTCTTTCTTTCTCTTTCTTTGTCTCTTTCTCTCATTCTGCTTCTTTCTTTGTCTTTCCTTTCTCATCCCTTTCCTTTCCTTTTAGACAATAACTTATAAGTTATGAGTGAACAATACGAAATCAGAATCAAAGAGGTTAAAAGAAAGAGTTGTAATGATATTCAGCTCACCCCACTCCCACTCTAAACCACCCAAAAAATATGGGGGTAGCTACTTGGAAAAGAAATGTTTTAAATGGCCAGTTACAACTTTAAAGAAGAGATTTTGAAGCACAGGTACCCATGGTACACATGGACTATGTACAGCCATACAATTTAAGCCCTGTTGAGTTGGCCTGTGACATGTTTCATTTTATGACTGATGTCGGGTCTTGTACCTCAGTGCCACAAGATGGAAGTCACATGCAGTCCCAGTCCTCTGCCTCTCTTCCCTTCAGCAAGAGGAGGATACTCCCTAGTGCCACATTTGGTCTCACTGTTTGATCTGAGGCTCTGGCTGCTGTCAAGTCCCAGCTGGGCAAGACACTGGAGCAGCATTCTGGTATAAGAGCAACCTTTGGGATCACACATACCCACATGGGACTCCTGATCTGCACTCTATTAACTGTCAACCTTCAGCAATTGACCTAAAACTCTCTGAGCTCAGTTTCCTTATCTGTAAGATGGAGATGATAATAACTCCTACCTTGCAGTACTGTTGTGAAGATTTAATGGGGTAATGCACATAAAGTGCTTGGGTCAGCACCTGCCATCAGCAACACTTACTACATGGTAGACAGCAGAACAATTCCTCAAATGTCAAACCACCTCTCTTTCTGATAGGCCTGCAGACTCTGGCCACAGATGTGACCCTAGCCTCAAACCTCTAAAGACCTGGCCACAGAGATCAGGTGGCTCAAAATCTTGGCAGAGGTGGACAACGGGGGGCAGGTCAGAGGTCCAACGTGGCAATCAGGCAGGAACCATCTTCCCAAGACACACCCCCACTTCTTGGGTTACACTGCCTATGCTCGGTCTCCGACCCGTTTCTACATTGGCCTGGCAAGGTGCAGGGCCCTGCCAAACACAATGCCAAGCACAGGCTTTATTAACTTGCCTATATCTTGAGAAAATAGACACAAAACAACAGAGTATACATTAAATCCTGTTAGGAGAAAAATCAATAAGAAATATCTGTTTAACAAAGCCCCATACTTAGACCATTTTCTTTCAAGAACTATTTGATCACACTTAAGATCAGAAGCCATAATTTTCACATATGTAAGACTGTATAGTTCCCAAAGCCGTTCCCCATACCTTATCTTATTTGAGCCTTCCCAATACCTTTCAAGGTAAGTATTATCTCCACTTTACAGATAAGAAGCTGATGTTCAGAAAGTTTTAAGTCAAATCCAAGGTCATTCAGCTAATACCTGTTTGAGTTATTTCTTGATCCGAGATCTTCTGACCCCAGCATTCCCAGCACTACACTGTTCACCTTTTTCTACCCACTGAGTACTGGTCACCAAAACCCCTACTACCCTCACATCCCAACACTCACCTATGCTATCTGGCTTTGATTAGAAACCTGACCAAGGTATAGGCTCTGAAAAGACACACAAGTTAAACGAGGCATGAAAAAATTATCTGGTTTAAAATATGATCATGAATATACACCATATACAAAAGAACTTAATGGAAAGAAACAGAGCCCAAGAATTTCAGGGGGACTCTTCACTCTTCCAGCTTTAAGAAGCAAACTGGACCTGATGGGTGATGTACTTTGTGAGCCAGTTAATATAAATATCATGATAATTTTAATGATAATACAGCCCATAGACCTCAGGGAGAAAGTAGTATTCTCACCAAAGGTACAAATGGATGGGGATTTTATGAACGAAGGAAGATCACTTCCTCTACACAGACTCTATGCTCCCAGCTATAGTGATTTATTTCTGCCCCTTCCAACCCAACATTTCCTGAGAATCCCCATGGCCCCTGTCTTTGCTAGGTGGGGAAGAAAGACCTGATCTTGTCACAGGAGTAGTGCTGGTGAGGAGAGGACAACAGACCTAGTGATGTTTCTTTCACCCTCCCCAATTCCCACCACCTAGAAAATGAAGACTGACAACTATTAATGACTCCTGGTAACCACGTATGGATTATTCATGAGATAAAGCATGATTTAAACCATAGCTATGAGATGATCGTTTCATGTCCCACATAGCCCTTCCCCAGCCAGGCCTGAAGCTATAGGGATGGAGGTGGGTGTTTGGGATGAACCAGGGCTGCCACACAAAACATCCAAAGAAACCAACTTCTTGACTGCGGGGAGCACAGGCAGAGCTGATTGGACATCAGCTACTCTGAGGAACACAGGAGATTGCCTATTTTTTAGGAAATGTTCCAAAAAATTGTTTCCCCTCCTCTTTAGCCCAGAGTGAAGGAGGGTGTTTCCCATGCAGACAGTGCAACCTGCCCCGGCCCCTCACCACAGTGAGAGAAGACTCAGCAGCACATGCTCACCGAGCTAACTGAACCGATGGTGCTCTCCGTAGTGGCCACAGACTACAGCTGAGGTCAACTGATGCATGCCCAACGACGTCTGCAGATCCCAAGATATGATTTCATTAATTGCCATGGATAAATCAGTTGGGCATTTGCTGGCAGTGTTTAAAATGCCACGATGGGTCAGATTAGAAAGCTGCTAGTACTGTAAGTCCAAAAGTGACCCAAGGAGGGTTCTTGGCTTCTGCCAAGGGTAAGATCCCACAGCTGCTTGAGTTGACTCCACCTGAACAAAGTGAGGCCTCTGCCATCAGGCCCATCATTCCATCTAGATAGGTATGGCCTCCTGCCACCACCGGGACACACATCTGTGATACAACCAGAGACAACAAAGGTACCCTGGGCTGGAGGCAGGGCAGGGGTAATTGCAGTATCAGAACCTACTTCCCAGGATTCTTGACAAAGTTCTCCCCAACAGGTGCTTCTCCTCTCTGGAGTAGTGTAATGATGAAAGACACGTATTAGAAGTTGAACTACCAAGGTTTGAATCCCAGCTCTGCCCACCAACTATGTAATCATGAGAAAGTCACTTAACCTCTCTGAATCTCAGCTTCCTCCTCTGCAAAAGGGAAGAATAAAGCTCCTATATAGTCCCATAAAATTGGTGTAAGGATTAAAAGACATGATTGGTGTGAAGAGTTAGAACAGTGAGTCAACATGAAGTCATGTTCCATATTATTTTTCCTTTAGGGTCCTCCGTCTTCCCCTTTCCCTGGAGACCCATCCTATCTGCCCTAGTGGGGCAGTGCCTTGTTCTCTGGGATGCTCCTCTCTTTACTCTGAAAGAGATCAAATAACCAGTCCACACAAAGCTTAATATGTTGTTCAATAGGAGGGTGGAACTTTAGATGCAAGGAGCAAACTCCTAGAGGGAAATTTCCAGTTTTATTGGTCTGCAGATAGAAAAGGGTTATTTGCATCATGTAGGAGAGTATTGAATAGGAGGTGAGGAAGTAGGCCAAGGCCTCATAATCTGGACATCGATTTCAGGATAAGAAGTGCATATATAAGAGGTTTCATAGGTAGAGTCGAGAGCAAGCATAGTAGAAATGACACTACAAAGATTTTAAGAAAAAATAGGATTGAAGGGGAGCCAGTGTTGCCAGATGGAGGCCATCATGTGGAGATCCTGCTTGGAGCACTCACTAGCCCAGAGCCACCATGCCATGGGATGGACCTGCAGCCTCTGGAGGCCTTGATAAGGGATGGCTGAGCTGAGCTGAGTGTTCACTTCCCTGTGCTTTTTACATTTCCTAAGGTATAGGCAACCAGGAGATGCCTTATTCTCTACAATTTTCTGGGACCAACATAGCCACATCTGTTATCCCTTTGTCCTTCCTCACCTTCCTTGCAACTCTTCATACACATTCACACACACACACACCTTTCCAGGTCTGAGAAAAAGGTAATAGACAAAACACAAACTCTAAGAATCAAATGCAGACATGTGAAGCTGGCCAGGTGCAATCATACATGCCCTCGGGTAAGGCATGATTCATCACCAAAGTCCCCAACTCCTCTGCTCTCTGAAAACACTCTGCCTTCTTGCAGATGGATGGTGACAGTCCCACTCCTTTCTACCTCATACTGAGACCAGCTTGAGCATGTGGCTGGCCATGCAGCCTTGAAAAGGACAAATGACCCGAAGGGACTAAAGTAGAATGGGGAAAGCCAGGCACTCCAAAGCTGCAACATCACCCTCTGGCAGTTATAATTGCTCCCCTGCAGTGAGGGAATGTCCCTGCCCACTACTCATCGACCAGGTAGCTCCTGGAGGGCTCAAGTTCCTGGTGGAAGGGGCTTGGCCTGTTTCAACTAACTTCAAGCAGCACAAAGCCCAGCCCATCTCTCTGTAGCTCTGGGCATTTAACAAATGCTTTTAATGATGATGATGCAATCCTTTCAGCTTAGGTCTATCAGGGTCCCCTGAGAAACATATATTATCTGAAGCTTTCCCTTTTGCTTAATTACATTGTGCTAATGTTCTTTTTCCACTAGATTTCTCCTCCCCCAACTCTCCCATCCAAATCCTGCTTCACTGTGGGTTGGATTTACATAAAAGGCCAGCACGTTATAATTGTGATGATTGATCACCAAAGTTTCCTTGGGTTCAGATTGTTTCCTAATGTGGGTCATTTTTCATCATGAAGAGTTGGCTGATAATGATGTCATTTCCATTGCTTGAATTTTGAGGCAGTGGCCACATATCACAGAGTTTAAATGACTGTCTATAGGGCAGCAAAATCATGTCGTTATCAGTTTAAAGCAGTTGCTGCTTTACTCCTGGGGACAAAACAAGAATTGGAGCCTCCTAAAACTCATCAAACAAGAGCAGGATGCCAAGAATACAAATCTGTATCTGGGCCTGGGAAAGGGGGAGCAGGAAGGAGGGGTGGTGGTGAAGCAAACCTGTTTTTGCATGAGGCTGTGTGGTAAGTATCAGATAAAAATGACAAAGTCATACTTGACAGAAAATAAGCTGTACTGCTGATCACTGGATACCTTAGATGTGTTCACCCACAATCCTTTAACTGTGATTTCACAGGAAGATTAACGAGCAAGAATTGAAATCATTCACGAAGAGAAGCTTTGGACTAAAACCCATCTGCCAGATAAGCCAATAAATGTCCCTCTCATCAAGTGATTGGGACTGGGATGGAGCTGGAATTTGGCCCTAATGTTGCATGTGTAAAGTATGCATATAAAATGAAATGATGTTACATGTGTGTTTAAAACAAATAGTTGCATTGTTAAAATCCCAAGGCTTGCAGACCCTAAATCACTGTGAGTGAGCTGCTGCCCCAGATGCTCTGTTTTCTGCTATTTGCCCCCAGCCAACTTCCCATGTGGCATGTCCTTCTGAACCCTCTAGGATGCCCTGCAGATGTTAAAAGTGTATAGTGCAGCCCCAGCCCTGTCTTCCACAGTCTTTCTCATGCAACCCAGCATCCCTCCTCCAACTTCTTTTCAAAATACTCTAACTTGGAGAAAATTGCAAGAACAGTAAAATGAACACCCATATATTGCTCACCTACATTCACTAATTATTTTTATTGTCCCAAATATGCTTTATCTCTCTGTATACATATACACACTTTTTTTTGTTTAATCATTTGAGAATTCATTGTTTTAGCTTCCCATGCTTCAGGATACTTCCCTCCTACATACTTAGGTGAGTATCTCAACAAAAGGTTTTCCTCCTTTCATATCATACTTCAGAAATTTCACATTGATATAATACTATTCTCTAATATGGTCTTTTTTAAGTTCAATTGTCCCTATAGTTTTATGCAGCTGATCTAAGTACATACATACACACATACACACACCCACACACACCCGCACACCCACACACACACGCCTCCAGGGTTTAATCAAAGATCTCACATTGCGTTTAGCTGACATGTTTGCTTTTTCATTTGTTTGTTTTGTGTTGTGGTGTTGAATTGGTCCTAGCGGTATCAATATAAACCTATTTTTATTTCAAAAATTTATTTCTTAGGAAGATGGAGATATGTCAAGAAGACACAGGATTCTTCTTGAAAGGATTCCCACTGGGAAAACTGGGATAATTTAAACATCAAAATGACAAATGACAGAAGTGGTTATAACATATTAGAGGGAACAAATATATTTTCTGATATTTTGAAAAATCAAGGTGGGAAGAAGAATGGAACACTCCTCTTTAGAGAAGAATACCAACTAATAAATGAGTAGGAAATTTAGAAATAGAAAATTGTCATTTTGTAACCATCATAATGATAATTAATTCAGGCAGGGGCCATGATATCCCAGTCCACATTTGTACCTTTCTTTTTCCACAGTGAGAATCCAGGTTCCCAACAACCTTGTTATGTTTACCCATTTGCCTGGTCCTGCAGTACACACTATCAACAATTTATTAAGTGGAGTTCAAGATTTCCATACCGTTTCATTTTTATTCTTAGAAAATGTTATGTTGGGTTGTACAATCAGCATACTTTGTTCGAAAGTGACTTGAGTACTTTTTCTAATCTGTGATTTTTATCTATTTCATGTAATTTTGGGTTTTTTCTGCTTGAATTCAATTTTCATCTTTTTTCCATTTCTTAATTCTATTTTTTGGAAATGTAAACCTTTAACACACTTTGAAACACAAAACCAAATCAAAAGGGATCCCCAGAGAAATTCCATCTTCTTCCCTATGACTTGCATTTGGTTCTCACTGATCCCTATAAATAACCAATTTCATTCATTTCTAGTTTAATTTCCTTGTTTTGTTTTTGTTGTTGTTTTTTTTTTTTTTTTTTTCAGAAAAATAAGCAAATTTACAGACAAATTTTTAAGCCATTAATATTTGTGTCCTTTTTGTAACAATTGCTTTGGAATTTTGGAAAAATATATGAGAAAATTCCAAAAGATGAAGTCACCCCAAGAACATACGTTTTCATTTCCTGCTTAGAGTTAAGTGAAGAATTTTTGTTTAAGGGAGGATGACAGACGCCAACCTAGTCATTGGACTTAGGGGACTAGCCACTATCACATTCCTCAAAATCTGTATTTTTTTGTCTCAGTAACAAATAGGAATGCAACCAATTTGACCCCGTACTGATTCTCTTGTTGATATGATCAAATTAACCAGCCAAGCAACAGCACTTCCTAGACTCAGCATAATTCTGATCACTTTGTTCTGTAGCTTAATACCCTTCCATGGCTTCCTATTGTCCTCAGGATAAATTCCAAACTTGCAAAGCCCACTGTAGGCTGCCCTCTCCACTTGGCGTGCACACAGACACACACACACACACGGGTTCCTGAGTCCCAACAGTTCACTTCTTTTCTCAACCTGTGCTGTTTGCTTTGCTCACACTGAGCCCAACATTTGAACTGCTCTTCCCACGAAGGGCAAGGAAGTCGGGTGGATGGGTGTCACCTTCACCAGCCCCTCAAGGCAAGTCCATTTGTTGAGCTCTAAAGACGCATCTTACATTGCAGTTTCCCATGTCTGAAACTTGGGAGTTGGATTTATAACAGGACCTCCTGTGACTGCAACCACTTGGAAAGGCATGATGGGAAACTGGGCTTTCCAGTTTAGCCTTGGAGCCAAGGACAGGTGCAGGACGGCTTATTACTGTTCCAGGACAGAACTTGGGACCCAGTAGCTCCTTTGGCCCCAGCCTCTCGGTCCTGCACTGTGGTGTGGCCCTCAGCCCTCCCGATAGTGAGGACTGCACCCCCACCCTGTTCCCTTCATGCCTCAGGCCTTCCAAGTTCCGACCCTGCAATTGGATGACTCTGTCTGCCTCACCTGTTTCCATGCGTTGTATTTCCAACCAGGCTAGTAAATTAACAGTCTCCTAGGAGATCTCTTTTTCTGACTCTCTTCTTGCATTTCTACTTCCCGGATCCTGCATCGGATCCTACATGGCTCTATAGCAATCCCATAAAACCCAGCATTTAATCTTGGTCTAGTTCCTTCTATTGTCTTCAACTCCATGCTTCCACTTGAAGAGAAGCTAACGCAGCAGTAATTTTCAGCCTTGACTGTGAAAAAGAATCACCTGAGAGATTTCTGACTCAGTAATCTATGGGTAGGGCACTAGGATTTGCACTTCCAGCATGTACCTCGGGGACCGCCAGGACCTCTTTAAGAAACCCAGTAGGTAGGCAGTCTGGGCACTTCCTATCACCCTTCACCCTAACTGGGCCCTGTTAATGCTAGAGATACTCTTTCTCCTAATTACTCACAATGACTATTCAGCAGACATCCTTAGGAAACTCTAGGCCTCTAAGCCGACAATTGCTCTCACCAGAACCACTGCCCTCAGCTGGCCCAGTCAGGAACCACAGCTCTAAGACACACTCCCTGCTCTTTACCCCAATTACCTTCTTGCCCTAAAACAGATTTATCTTTGAACTGTGTATTTTTGCACTCAGAAAAATAGACATTATTATGCTGCCTGCTCACACTCTGTTTATTCACACCAATGTAATTTTTATTAAAATAATGTTTGCATATATCATTTGTAAATGTGTTTTAGATAGTAGGCATACTTTGAAATCTCTTTCCATCACCCAACTTGTAGAAAATAATTTCACTAACACCCAGCTAATCAATATTTCTTCTTCAAAAACATAATAAAATGAAATTTGGCTTGACATCTATGAAGCTGGTACAAATTAGTGAGAATTACCACCACCTGGCAGAAAAGTGGCTAATAGACATGGTGGAAGGTGTCCTGGCCATTTATAAGCAGAGTCTGGTGGAGGCGGCCACATAGAACCAAGTCCAGTGGAGGCAGATGATGGCTGGTTTGGGAGGGGTGCTGGGAGACTGTTTTCCTCCAGCCCTTGGGACACGGGCATGCTTGTCTTCACTTCTGAGGATGTCAGCAGCTGCTTTGGCCGAGAGTACAAGTGGTCTTACGTACAAAGCTTTTTTTTTTTTTTTTTTTCCCCACAGAGCCTTGAAAGAAATCAGAAGAGATTCTGAGGAGGTAGCTAAGGAATCCCAGATCACCTAAGAGTTTGGAAAGAAGAAAGAGGGCATGGCACACCCAGGGGAATGACGCCTCTGCACCCCAGCCTGGCCTCACAAGCACTGTAGTGGTTATATACGAGGCTCTGGGGGCTTTCTGCTGGAATCCTCCTCCTGCTCTGCCATGACCAGTTGTGATTCTGGGCAATTTACTTAGTCTCTGTCAGCCTTCCCCATCCACTGGAGGAGAGATAGTTTTAACTCATGTCACTGTGATAACTGCACTGATGACATCAGGTATTTGACACAAAGTAAGCATTCAATAAACATGCCTTTTTTTTGTTGTGGTAAAATAGACATAATAAAATTTATAATTTTGGCCATTTTTAAGGGTATGGTTCAGTGGCATTAAGTACATTCACATTGCTGTGCAACCATCACTACCCTCCATCTCCAGAACATTTTCATCATCTCCAACTGAAACTTTATTCTTTTTTTCAATCCATTAGCTGGATTTAGTCACGTTTATAAATTTCTTTATATGGTGTCTAACACGTTAACTATAACATCAGGAAACACAGGATCCCATTTTAGCTTTTGGATTTTATTTTTGAGCAATTTATTTGTAGGGATTGATATTACATTGCTTTTACTTTTTCTTAGAGGTCTTCCAAATAACAAGAGAAAATTTACTATTTAAAAAATAGAATAAAAGTCAATCTTGCAATTTTTGTAAATCCAAGCTATATTATGGAATCTTAGTGATTTTCTTTTTCTTATATCTTGAAACATTTTGCTATTCATCATTCTAGTCATCATTTGATCATTACTCACCAATTATTCCCAACTGTGTTTAAAAACACTAAAATAATGTGAAATGGAAAAATGATATAATTTCATAAAAGGCTGATGCAATAATGAACTAAACTGTGGCTATTACATCACCTTTTAGTTTTCCTGCTGTCCTGCCCCAAGTATTGTAGAATCATTCAAGAAGGTTTAGGAGAACAGTAAAGACACCATCTTTGTAGTTTCTTCTCATCTTTTATACACAACTGAGCATCCATAATTTTTATTTTCCAACCACAATGGCAAAGATAAGCAAATTTACAGAGGAAGATGTTTCATATTATTAAACAAATCATAAGATTAATGCAAAGAGATTTCATATAAGCAAAATTTTAGACTGTGAGTTTTCAGATGACAATATCCTAAGTGAATTTTTCCAAAGTCTAGAATCAATAAATGGACACTATATTTTTAAGGACAAAAATGAAATATCGTGTCCTCAATGAGTTAGTAACTCAACAGGAAGAACTTTATCATGCAGTGTTCTGTGATCAGAACATAGACCATCCCGTTTTGAAAAAAAAAAAAAGTAATAATATTCTTTTGTCTCTTATGTGGTTGTGCACCAAAATTTGCTTAATATGGGTCATAAGTGGACTAGGTGGGTGTGTACTGAAAGGGGAATGGAAGAAAATAATGTGGAAACCAAAACAATCAATTGAATCATTCTAATTGATAAAACATGAAAATGTTTTGCAATTATAGAATGAAGATGTGAGTCCTCTTTTAAACAAATCATGAGCCACAGTTTTTAAAAATATTTTATTTTGATGATATAACTGCAAGAAGATAAAATTAGAGGTAACGATAAGCTAAACTTTTAGAGATGGACTTGAAATTTGGAATCAATGCTGTATTTCTAAGACCAACATGTTCCAGAATCATGCATGACAATTGATCACCAGTTAATGGCATTCGAAGGAAGTTGCCCAAAAATTGTAGGCATCAATACCTTCTACACCAGGAAAATATGGTAAGAAAAACTGGAGTTTGCTATGTTTACATTTTTATTAAAATTTTTAATAAAGTTATTTTTCATAATATATCTGGTCTTCTGTAAATTACTCATAAAATGACTAAAAAATATAAAAACACAAAAAGGGTCCATTGGACACAAATGGTAAATGGTGAGAACTATTCTTGGTTTACCAAGGATTAAGCACTCAATAAAAGGTCATTGTTATCACTGTTACCGTCATCAGAGTTCACAAAGTTTTATCCGGTCCTAGACTTATTCTGAAAAAGAAACCACATCCTATGTTCCATGGAACAAAAAGGACTCCTAAGCACCAGTGGGTTTGAGGTATCCTGCTACCACAGCCAGGAAAGGGTGTCCCGCATGCCTTCCCATTGCAGCATGAGAAAGGAAGACATATGGCCTGATGCGGCCAGTCATGAGGTGAGCCTTCTTCCTGGTGGGTATGCACAGCCTGCAGGATGTATCACTGACCACTCTCCCCGGCTACTACCCACCTCTACGGATTTACATGGAACTGTGCAGCCTTCCCTGCTTTTAAGAGCTCAAACTTTTAAAAAGAGTAGAAGAAAAATTTGTAGCCCAGTGGTTCCTTTATTCCTTCTGATGTTTAGGCTGTGACTTTGAAAGATAAAGACTATGGGAAGTGACCATCTGGCTACAGGAGGGAGTGTCCATAAAAGAATCATATAACTGGACCAGGAGTGGTGGCTCATGCCTGTAATCCCAGCACTTTGGGAGACCGAGGCAGATCACTTGAGGCCAGGAGTTCGAGACCAACCTGGGCAACATGGCAAAACCCCATCTCTACAAAAAATATAAAAATTAGCTGGGTGTGGTAGCATGTGCCTGTAGTCCCAGCCACTTGGGAGGCAGAGAGGGGAGGATTGCTTGAGCTTGGGAGGTCAAGGCTACAGTGAGCCATGATTATGCCACTGCACTCCATCCTGGGTGAAGACTGAAAATCTGTCTCGAAAAAAAATTAAAAAAACCCGAATACAAAAAGGACATCCAGGGGCTCAAAGACAGAAAAATAGTAAGAGAGGAATCTCCCTACTAATTCTGAAGAGTAACATCTGAGAAAATGAGTAAAGGAGAAAACAGAGCTTCAGATTTCTATGTATCAATTAAAAATAGATTTGATTTTTTTGATTAGTAAATGTTACCCCCTGGGTTTGTCCAATCTAAGAGAAAGCTTCCCAGTCATAAGAATAATCCCCCCAGTGGAGACAAAAATGACCACAAGACAGTCACTAATACCCATGTAGGCAGATATTCAAGTATTGGCCAAAGGATCACGTGAAAATATGCTGCAAAAGCTATTCCCAAGCTGAGAGGGAGGAAACCTGAATCCCCTCAAGGTTTCTTCCATCTCAATGCAGGATAACATAATAGTTAAAACAAAGGGTCTTGGAATCAGAGTGTCCCAGCTCAGCGTGTACTGAGGGACACAGTTTAACCTTCCTAAACCTAGCTTTGACCATTTATAAGTGGACCAGCTGGGGTTGCGGGGAGAATGCTGATGACAGTGGTACCCACCTGTACTGGTATGCCCGACAGATCCCCTTACACCCTTCACTATTCTTTCTGCCCCAGGAGACTGACCTGGATGAAACTCCTCAGCAGCCTCCCTCTTTGAGTCCAACAGCCTGCCCTGGTTGTATCCAACAGACTCCTGCCCCAGAAAGAGACTGGAGGAAGAAAAGAGTGAGTGCAGGCTGTTGATGGCCTCAGCTCCTTGTGCGGTCCTATCTGACTGGCTGTGTCCTCCAACTGAAGGTCACTGCTGCTCTCAAGGCAGCCCTATCTGCATAACTCTTTCCTTCTGGATTCTGGAACCTCCTCTCTTCCCTCAATGCTTCAGGCCTAGAGGTGGTAACCAGTTCTTTGTCACTAGCCTGGGACACTGCACTATCTCTTATGGATCCTTACCACAGGTCTTACTCTATAAACACTCCAGTTACCAAACCGCCTTCCAATTATCCTACTTGGAGTGGGCATCTGTGCTTGGCTGGGACCCTGACTCTACCTCAAAGATAACTGAGAGGATTAAAAGTGGTATTGCACATAAAATACCTGGCACTTAGCAAGTAACCATTACAATACTATTATTATTCTCCTTTCTCTGATCTCTCACTCCCCTTTTTCACCCATGGTTAATCCTTCTAGTCAGCTCCTCTTCTGATTCTTTAACACAGGAGTCAGCACACTTTTTTCTATAAAGGACTAAACAGTAAATAATTTAGGCTTTGTGGGCTACACAGCCTCTGTTGCAACTGCTCCCCTCTGTCACTGAAGAACTAAAGCAGCCACCAGCCAGCAATGCTTAAATGAATAAGCATGACTGTGTTTCAATCACATTTTATTTATGAGCACTGAAATCTGAATTTCATATCATTTTCATGGGTCATGAAATATTATTTTTCTTTTGATTATTTTTCAGCCATTTGAAAATGTAAAAACCATTCTCAGCTCACAAGTTGAGCAGTAACAAGTGGTGGGCAGGACTTGGCCTACAGGCCACAGTTTACCAACCCCTGCTTCAACAGAGTTCTAAGATTTAGCATTTCTGCTATACCAGAGAGCTTTTACGCCCCAGATTATGATTCTATATTTTTCCTATTTTCCTTGTTTATAAAAAAAAAAAAACCTCTAAAAATTCATTCTTTGAAGCCAAAGCTTGCTTGCCCTTTCCCATAATCTTTGCCAACTGGCTTTTGAAATCCCCTGCCATAGCACATTCAAACCATCCCCTCTATCATACCTTCCAGGGGCAATGTCCTTGAAGCTGTTCCCACGCTAGAAACCCATTCCAGCACTTTTCATCTAGGAAAGGGCACATCCAAGACTATCCCAGTGTGATTCACTCCATGGAAATAATAACAGGAACTCTGCTGTACTTGGGAAAAGGCTGGCCTGGGCAATGCTGGAGAGAAGGTGAGGTTTGTCTCTGCAGGACTCCACCCGACTGTGCCCACCCTGGGCTTGCACACATGTGGGGCCTTTACCAGCCTTGTGATGATGCCCCTCCATCCCTTTCTCATAGGACCAATCTGAACACTCTGCAAAAACGCAGGTCAGATGCTAAGGCATATTAACCTATTCCAACAGACATACAGTGCTGTGTAAGAGTCTTGAATTTTAACATGTCTTTTCAAAATAACCTAAAGCAGTGGTTCTCGAGCTGGCTACGTGTTAGAATCACCTTTTCCAGCATTTAAAAATGCCAGTGCCACCAGACCATGATTGAAATTTTATCTGCAGTTTTAAAAAGCTACCCAGGTGATTCTAGTGCAAGGTGAGGGTTGAGGGTCATGGACTTTGACGAATGGCTGAGGGAGCTATTTTCAGACAACTGAAGGAGGCCAGGATGCATCCATTCAAATCATGGTTTCTTTTAATTTTCCTTACTGTCCCATGCAAAGCTTCAGAAAAGAAGGCAACTGGGAGGATAGGATGAAAATAAACATTATTGTGCATCTAGTTTGCATTTGGATTTTATTCATTACTTTTCATTTGTGTATTCATTCATATAACATCATTCATTAAGCTACTACCATGTGCCAAGCACTGCAGATACAAAGATAAAGAAGATAGGCATGATTTCTGTCCACATGGAGTTTATATTCATATAGTGGAAAGAGTGGGGGGAATTGAACAACTCATTACACAATTATTATTTAATGGCAATTGTGGGAATTCTTATAGAGTTCAAAATGCACCTTCTGAGGAAATCTCACTTAATTGGAGAAGATCAGGGAAGGCTTCCTTGAGGAAGTGGTACTCTGGCTGAGCTCTAATATGATCGTGAGTCAACTAGACAAGAATGGGGAAGGCAGTGGGAACTACATAGGCAAAGGCCCTATGGTGGGCATACAGGAGCTTGAAGCTTTTGAAGAGCTAAAAGGCAGCAGTGTGGGTGAAATTCAGAGAGCAAGGGGAGAATGCTAGGGTGGATTAGGACCGGGTCGGACAAGGCATTGGAGGCCTTATTAAGACACATGTTATCTCCTCTTCTTCATTAACGCCGTCACTTTATGAACTCTGAGCATTAGCGACACGCTCAAGATTCCATCACTGGTAAGAGGTAAGGCCAGCACTCAAACCCACTTCTGCCTAACTCCATCTGTGGTTCCATCCATCTCTGCAGTTCCCGCCACCTCCAGGGGTCAGATGTTTCACCAGAAACAGAAATTATAAATCAAAGCTGAGTTTCTATATAGAATCTCTCCACACAGAAATAGAGTATCTATGCTTGCGTATAGATAGGGAGGAACAAAAGGAACAAACTAGAAAGGATCAAAGATACTAACTTTAGGGAAACTGACCTTCCTTCATAAAGGAAAAGGTTTGCCTGCATCTCCTACCCAGTTCTTTGCAGAATTCAAAAGGGCTCCTATTGCTGGACCTTAGTACAGGTCAGTGAGATAAATCATTCATTGATTACCTGGTATTTATTGAGCGTTTATGTGTCAAGTTCAAGAGACACCAATGAAAATACCAGATCCTGCAGATCCTGACACTTGGGGAATTTAGTCTTTTCTAGAAGAGAGTAGAGATGCAATAAACTTAGCCAAATTCAAAATCAGAAATTCCTAAAGGTTAATAGGAGATTAGAGAATAGAGTAGTAATCTCTTATGCTTAATATTTATGTCTATCAGAGTTAATTTATTTCTCCCCAACTCCATCATCCCAATATTTTTCAAAGATGACCACACAAAAATGGCAAGATCAATAAAAATCACCAGTTTTTAGTAGCTAGGAATATCACATTATGAATAAGATTTAAGCAGTGGGCTAGGACATTCTGGAACATGATCAATGAGGGAAAATTGAATAAATCTTAAAAAAAAAAAGTCTGACTCTGTTCCAAAATCAAAGATGTACATGAGATTGATCCAGTCCTCTTCCAGATGGTTTGAGGAAATCTGAGCTGAGTCCTTGAAGTAATGGTTAGTCTAAGATATATAAAATGAGCAAATAAAAAACTTCATTAAAATCCTAAAATAAAACTGAAAACTCTGCAGCAGATGGTATGGATCATAGATAAATGTCTGACAAAGGCAGTAATGATTATTTCTTATCAACAACAAGGATTTGGGAGAGAGACAAGGAGATTGAGTTATAGGAAATACAGTATTGATTTTGAAAATGAAAGTAAGATTGATTCTATCTAGCACTTCAGGTAATCTTCAATCTCTATTAAAATATTCAGTTTGATTCTAACAATTGCGGAGTCACCTCAGCAGACTTTCTTGACATCCAGGGCAGGTGGTGGGAAAAGAAGTGTCCATCTTCCCATTTTTCCTCAAGAATCCCTAACAGGCAGTCAACAATGTGCCCAGAGCACTCCCACCTCATGAGGCTGAAGGACCAGCACACTTGCTCCTGAGTGAAATCTCCAACATTCTCCAGGCTCCAACACATGGTTAGGGGAGACGGCTGAGTGGGAAACCCCTGCTAAACACCACACATCAGTATCCCAGCCACCAAAAGCACACTGCAGTTGTGTGTGTATGCCTGCATGTGCACACGTGTGTGTGTGTGCACACATGTGATGTTCACATCATCAGCTATCCTCCTTTCTTTTAGGATTGATTTCTCCTGCCCTTCATTGCAGCCAGAACATGGCAAAAGAGAGCAAGAAACTCTAGCCATCATAGCTCATCAGAGGCATCTTCCAATATAGCCCCCAAACCAAGATCTGGAATTTCTGCCTTGTCATCTTTGGAGATCCCTAAGTCAGAGCCGAGTCTAAGAACAGACTTCTCTTTCTCCCTTTCCAGAACCCTTCAGAGGCCATTGCCCCTCACATTCCTGCATTCACCCTTCCCTCAAGTAAGATGTTAAAATGTCAGGAGACGAGAAGAACTTTGCTTTAAAGGAAAACAAATCTTTACCATACAACACTTAATGCCAGCCCCATCTCCACCAACTTACTCTTACTATTATAACATAATATAAATCCCTTTCTCCTCTTCCCCTTTATGTGATCTGCCAATGTGTCAGCTCCCTAGTTTTGAGGGTATTGTAACTATCTCTTCCTCACGTCCATTGTGATGAATGTGCTGGGTGAGCTGTCAGCTGCCTTTGATGTGTAACTCTGTGTTCTAGACCCACGACTCAAAGCTTGGTGCCTGGATGAACAACGTCAGCATCACCTGAGAGTTTGCTGGAGAAAGAGAATCCCGGGCCCCACTCCAGACCTGCTGAATCAAAATCTATTTTAACAGTATTCACTAGGTGATACTAATGCACATTAAAGGGAGTTCTGACTAAACTGCAAGACACTTATCACGTCCCTGAAAACAGGTTGGCAGTAAGTCGCTAAAGGTTAACTCTGTCACTAGAGTGGGATTTTATAAAGAGATAGAGGGAAAATATAAGGGAGAATTGTTGTTACTATTTACAGCTTACCAGAATTTATGTCCCTTATATGAAGCACTTAGACTCAATGAGATCATGCATATACATGGTATAAGCATCAGAGAAGCTCAAAGAAAGGAGAGCCTGATGTGGGATTGCCAGTAGGGGGGAATATCACGGAGAAAATAGAAATTGAACCAAGATAAGTGGGTAAGATCTTGTGACAATCACTACACGGGAAATTTCTAAATCTAAAACAGATAGTTGTCAGGTAGCACTTACCAGAAATGTAAAGTTCTGGTAGCACTTATCAAAACTTTAATAAATTATGTTATTACTTTCACTTCACTTTAATAAATCATTATTACCATGAATTTTCTCTGAGCATTAATAAAACCAGGAGGGTGATGGTGATGGGTGTCATGGAAACAACAGGGTTTGGTGTCAGATGGATCTGGCTCTAATTCAGCCAGACTGTGTCATCTTGAAACAGTTACTTTCCCTTGCTGAGCCTCATTATCCTACTGAAACATGAAAATAATACCTGAGGATTAAGTAAGAGAAAGTATACGACTGTTACCAATATAGCGTCTGTGTCTGTAGCATAGTAGGCAGTCAACCAGTATCAATCTACCTTTCTCCTCTCTTCCCTCTGGCACAGAGTTGGCCCCAGACAAATGTTAACTAAACCTGGACCTAAGTCAGCAAGTGCAATCCAGATTAGTAAAGTCCTGAAGAGTTTAGGCTTGATGCAGCAGGAAGCAGGAGTCATGTGCAAAGACAAAAACAGTATTTCAGGAAGGCCAGCCTAGCAGTGGTATTCAAAATAGAAGAGAGAGGCAGGTGATGGTCAGCAGTGAATTGGTAAGCTCATTGAAAAGACAACCATGTAAAGGACTTTGGGCCAGGCTTTCAAGGCACACCTGACTGCAACTGTGTTGGTCATTTGTCCCTTTGCTCTCAATTCCACTGTCCTCACTTCCCCTGCTCTAATCTGTACTTTTAGGAACTGGATTTCTTGTGAAGTGGCTTCCAGGTAAGATCAGCCAGTGGGAGGCTCACCAGCTCATCAATGGAAGAGGGGAGATGCTAAGATTTGTGTCTTTTCATCTCCCTGCCTGGGTAGCATCTTAGGCAGCGCTGTTTCTCTTGAGACCTTCAACTCCAACAGGCAGTCCTCTCCTCTGTTCTCCCAGTTCCCAGCTCTGCCCGGTAACCTGAGCTGGGCTGTGGAACACTTCCCCCTCCTGTGCTTCAACCATGCTAGAGTGGAAGGATCTTCCAGCCATTGCCAACCTCTGTGGTACTTCACCATCTCCTCTTTGGCTTCTCAGTTTTAGCATCACCTGAGTAAC
The DNA here is from genome assembly GCF_000001405.40 of Homo sapiens. NCBI lineage: Eukaryota > Metazoa > Chordata > Mammalia > Primates > Hominidae > Homo > Homo sapiens. The sequence goes on from NC_000005.10 coordinate 68,671,634, forward strand.
TAGTTTCCTGTATTATATTTCCCCTACTGAATGAACAAAAATGGTTTATATTCCCTGACTAGACCTTAATTGACGATATCTAAATCAAAATATATTTCAGATTATTTCTGTATGACTATGTAGGTTTCTAAATCTTCGAAGATATACAAAATAAAAGCCTCATAATGATTTATCTGCCACTGAAAAGGAGGAGAGGAATTGGGCTTAGAATTCTCCAACCAAAAAACTCTAGTAGATCCATTAAAGCAGGGTAATTATTAACCTGTGAATGTAGTGATGTCCATAGGCATGTCATTTAATTTAGCATTTGCAAGCGTGATCTGGAAGGGTGAATAACAAATGCAGAAATTATTGGGAAGTATTGCAAATACCCAAAAGGAGAAGGAAATAATGTTTTAAAACCCAAACTGGCAGTTACAGAAGTATGTGCAGGATACAGTTATGGAATTGATAAAAATGCATAGCTGGATCAAATAGCAAAATGAGATGCTGCCTGAAAAAATGTATGGTTGGATAGGTAAGAGAAAGTAATCAAAAACACAGATACTCCACAGGAAGGAAAAAAAAAAAAAAACAAGAAATGAATATAGGGAAGAAGACTGAGGAGAGACAGTGCAAACTTAGATCTAATTTGGAAATATGATGGAAAGAACCTGGTTATTTTGAGCTTTAAGTATAGACACTTTATGTTGTTATTGTTTTTTTGAATGATGTTCTTTCTCTCTCCAACCTCCATCATGCCTTTCAATTTATACAGTATTTATTAGGCCATACCTACCATACCTTACCCAATTTTGCATACCTCAATAACAAAAATGAGAAAAATAGTAAGAATTGCAAGATCCTGGGGAAATCAAATCTGAAAGATAACAGGCTGGAGGACACAACTGATAACAGGAAGTAAAAAGAGCCACATTGGCTGAGCAATCATATTTCTAGCACAGACAGAATCACAGAAAATTAGGCATATTGTGTGGGAGAAACAAATTCCAATTAAAGAATAGATTTCAGTGTTGACCTAATTATCTAATGTCCAGCTCTCATTTTTATGGGATGAAGCCAGGCATGTAAAATAAATTCTTGGAGATAAATCTATGCTTTCTAACAAAGAAAATTACTTCTTTCTCCGTGAAACTCCAGATGATCAGAAAACAATACCCTAGTATATTATTTTTGCTCAGTTTGAACCTCAACTATCACTTATATAAGGATAATATTGATTTCAAGGGGTTCAGACAATGTATTTCTATGTGGTCAAGAAGGGATTCCTTTTGGGAAAACAGAAGTTCAAAAGGAGAACAAGAACTCTCAATTCTGAAAGCACACAGCCACCAATAAAATTCACTTGCTCCCTAGTAAATTATTAGGTCAAAGAAGAGTAAAGGATTAAAGCTAAATACTTATAGCTCCTTGTTAAACTGGGGCTGTTATAATCTAAGAATTCATGAGAAACCATTTTCAAACTTAGAAGCGGGTGGGAGAGAAGCAACTATAGTCAACTGTAATATAGTAAGGATCTGTCACATGATCTAATTACAGAAATGAAAGCAACCCAGGAATTATGTGGTCTATTCAAGCCTGCAAGGAGTACGAACAAAGAATATAATTATACATCAAGCCTGTTGATTAAACAATTACTATTTAAAGCAGATATAGATTTAAAATTAATTTGCTTCTGCATTCTGAGGATTTGGGGACTGAGATAAACAGTGTTTGAAGTTTAATTATCCGTGCGTAAGATGAAGGGGCTCATTTCAATTTGGTTAGCTCTGCAGAGTGTTTTGGATGGTGTAAAAGAATGAATCCGACTCTGCTGCAAGTCTCGGCACTGCTGAAATGTGTGATTAAAGTGAGCAAGAAGGCTCACTCAGCCTAATTCCCACAGAATGTGGTAATATCACAGGAGGGATTGTGCAATTGCAAATTAATATTTAAATGAACACTAGTTTGAAGTTTACCTGGAGGGTGAAACACACTATCTCCAAAAGAACAGAAGAAGGCCAACCAAACAGTTCCAGGCTCCACAGCAGTGAAATCTGAGGAGTGGAGACCTTCACGCTTGTTTGAGCAAATAGGACACCTACCTGCCAGCGACTCTGAATGGAGTGATTCTTATCAGAGGCCACATGTACAGTGTCCCACGGCAGAATTGCAGGGCTGAGGGGTGGGCAGGGTGAAAGGGTGAATTGGAGTTGGAGTAAAAGACAATAAACAGAGACTAGAAAATTCCAAAGTTAAAGAGTGATTGTCGAGATGCAAGGAACCGTGTCTGTGTTCCCACACCGAGATCAGAACGTGTGGGGACAGAATTCCCAGAACTCAAAGCCGACTCAACAGCTTCCATGAAGGGAAGGTGTGCTCCTGACCTGGCTGTGCTCGAAAGAACAGAAGGATGCCACAGAGTGTCCTGGTTCAGAGAATGGACTTCAGAATGAGAAAACTGAGTTTCATTCCCAGCTCTACCACTTTTCAGTCTTGTGACCTTAGCAAAGCATTCAGCTCTCTCAGAACCTTCTGTTTCTTTAGTAAAATAGCTTTCATTCCTTCCTCACGGTAGTTGCAAATATTAAATATGGTAATGAGGGCAGCCTAAGAGTGTCCTTTCCCTACTGAAAACCACTCTGTGGCTCATCACTGCCTTTTGGATAAAAATAAATCTCTTTAGCATGGCCTGTAAGGCCCTAAAACGGGGTGATGCCCACTCACGTCACCTGCCTCTCTTGTGTTCTCTTCCCCAGCATTTTCTCCACCCCGGCCTCACTGGCATTTTTCTTTTTTCAGTCCTTTATTCTCTCTTCTGCTTTCAAGGCATGTTCATTGCTTTCCCTCTTCCTCGGAACATTTTTCCCTCCCCTCTTCACCCAGTTGACATCTCTTCATTCTTTAGATCCCACTGCTAGTTGTCCAAGGTGGTAATTAAAAGCTCAGGCCCTGAAGACAACACGTTGTGTTCAAAACCCAAACTCCACCACTCACTCTCTGTATGACTTTTGCCCATGTAACATTCAGCTTCCTTCTCTGCAAAACAAGGTTGATCACTAGTACTTACATCATGATTTTGCCATAAGGGCCACATGAGTTAATGCAGGCTATGGTCTCAGAAGTGAGTCCAGTTCAAAGGAAGCATTGGAAAACTGCTTTTGTAGTCCTCCAAAAGATCTCCCTTCCCCAGCACCTAGCACGCTTGCAACGTTATGTTTGTGTGATTGTTCTAATACACCTCTCTTCATCATAACAAAGGCTCCACGGGGGCAGGAGTTTGCCAGTGTTTAGCCCACATTATAGATTCTGTTCCTAGTAGAACAGACACTCAAATATTTGCTGAGGACTAAACCAATGAAAATGCTGAGCACAGTGCCTGGCACATAGTGGGCCTCAATGAATACTAGCTTTTAAATAACAACTTACTGACAATGCCAATTGTTAAGTGAAAAAAATTCTGACTATTATTATTTACTTTGCCCAGTGGTTCTCAACTGGAAATGATTCTGTCCCCCAGGCAATGTCTCGGGGTGGTGGGAGTGCTACTGGCATCTAGTGGATAGACACCAGGGAGGCTCTAAACATCCTACAACGCAAAGCACAGTCCTCCCACAAGAAATTACCCGGCACAAAATGGCAATAGTGCCAAGCTTAAGAAACTCTGAATTTTGCCATCTGTCATTTTTCTCTGATGGCTTAATTTACCAGTTGAATTATAGCAACAGATCGGCCTAAGGTAATTATTCTTGCCCTTTATCCTGTTATTCCTATGGGTGCAAGGTCACCCCTGCTTCTCCCTCACTCCCCTAAACTCTACTGGCCTATCTCTCTCATTCCTCCTCATCCATTTGCCAGGTGTGAGATGAAAATGTGGGAACATGGGTAAGGCTGAAGGAAAGTGCACACTCAAGACACCCTTCCCCATTTGTTCACTCTTCTCTGTCACCCATGTATTCCTATTTTCCAAAGAGCTTCCAACAGGAACAAAATGTGAGCACCACTACTTGGCTTTCCAGACAGTGCTCTATTTCAAATATTACGTTTTTTAAAAAGTTTATGTAGCCCATAAAATAGGTCAGGGGCCAACATGTACAATCCCCTGTGTCTAATACAGAGATCACTCTAAGGCAAAAGAGAATTCGCTCCACCAATAAACACAGTGTTCAAAAATTATCAAAATGTAACATTACAGGAATGAGTTACAGGATCTGACAAAAAGCAGAGTAATAGAACAAAATTATTCCAAAGTGGCAAGCCAGATAATGTCGAAAGCTCCAGAACATGCAAACGTTAGAGGTTAATATCAAATTTAAAACCTAATATTTAATCAATTGCATAAAATGATGTGCACAATGGTTAAAAGTATGTTAAATGGAAATTGCAAGTGTTGGCTAAGATGTGGAGAAACTGGAAATGTCCTATACTGTTGGAGTGAAAATTGGTTCAGCCACTATGAAAAACATTTCGTTGGTTTCTCAAAAAGCTAAAAATAGAACCACTTTACAGACCAGCAGTTCAACTCCTAGGTCTATACTCTAAAGATCTGAAAACAGATACTCAAATAAGAACATGTACATGCACATTCATAGCAACACTATTCACAATAGCCAAAATGTGGAAACAGCCCAAAGGTCCATCAACAGATGAATGGACAAACAAGATGTGGTATATCCATACAATGGAACATTATTCAGAATATTATTCAGCTATAAAAAGGAAGGAAGTACTGATACATGTTGCAGCCTAGCTGAACCTCCAAAAACAGTATGCTAAGCAAAAGCTCACATACTGTAAAATTCTATTTATATTAAATATCCAGAATAAATAAATCCATAGAGATGGAATGCAGATTGGTGGCTGTAGGTGCTGGGGGAAGAGGAAAATGCAGAGAAGTGCAGAGAAACTGTTTAATGGGTAAGAGGTTTTACTTTGGAGTGATGAAAATGTTTTGAAACTAGAGAGAGGTAGTGGTCGCAAAACACTGTGAATGTACTACATGCCACTAAATCATTCACTTTAAAATGGTTAGTTTTATGTTATGTAAATGTGATCTCAATAATTTTTTTTAAAGTATGTCAAAACTATGCACACAAAACTGACAAACACCAAAAGAGAGGATGCTTCAAAATGGAAATAAATGTGGGAGCCTGGGGGAGTTATAAGTGATTTATTTTTACAGTTTTAATCTGACCTATTTTTCTGAAGTAATACATATTAGTTATAAACATTTTTAAAAATACATAAAAGCACTACAAAGGATATAGAAGTCACTATCAATAATATTTCCAGTTTTAAAAAATATTTTTGGAGAGGGTACCTGGATATGAACCCAAAATATTTTTTAATGTCAATGTTAAATTTCCTTTGAAATTAAAAAACCACCAAAAAGAACAAAACCAAGACCTTATGCATTAAGGAAGACAAATCCATACAGCTGAACATTGATTTCTGCCAAGGGTTTTGCTATAAGCCTATTTCTCTCGGTGGGCAGAAGCGAGGCTGGGAAACCAAGAGTTGTAGGGGGGTTGGTGGGGAAGCAGACAAGTCTGTGACTTTTTGGCTAAGGCCTTTCTTCCATCCTCCCATCCATCCCAGACCAGCATGTCTGGCATTCATCAGGCTGGCAAAGCCTGGTCTCTGTGGGACAGAATTTGAGAAAGTCTCCTTCTCCCTGTCTGTGCTGTCAACTCTCCATGAAGAAAACTAGAATATCCATTTCTCTTGCCTGCCTGGCCTCTTCCCCTGCACACAGCAATGGTCTCCACTAATTATTACTACTGTAAAGCTCTAGGAATGAGGAGATGGGAATTTAGTACCCTTGACCTCCTGAAGATCATTATTTCCAAAAGATTTGCAAATGATAGTGTAACCATAAGTCCCTTCTCCAATTTTTCTAAAGCTTTTTGAGCATAAACATAAATAAAATAATAAGAAACAAAAACAGGAACAAAAATTTGGGGTTTAGCTCAGTGTAGAACAGATAAGTCAGTAGTGAGTCAACCACTTTCTATCAAGGGCCTATGTTGTAACTAACTACTATCAACTAAACGTTTGTGTCCCCCCAGAATTCATATGCTGAAACTTAATCCCCAATGTGGTAGTATTTGGAAGTAGGGTCTTTGGGGGTGATTATGTCATGAAGGTGGAGTCCTCATGAATGAGATTAGTTCCTTTACAAAAGAGACCCTAGAGAGGTCTCTCACCCCTTCTGCCATGTGAGGACACAATGAGAAGACAGCCATCTAGGAACCAGGAAATATGCCCTCACTAGACATCAAATCTGTAGCATCTTGATCTTGGACTTCTCAGCCTCCAGAACTGTGAGAAATAATTTTCTGTTGTGTATAAGCCACCCAGTCTATAGCATTTTGTTATAGCAGCCACAACAGACTAAAACATCAGCACTAGGGTGGTATTGTTGCTAAGAAAATGCTCAAGAACACCATCCTGATTCACAGATTCAGAGCTTTTGTATTTAAATAGTCACTCTGCCTTAACCTATCAATGGCCTCTTTTGCAGTTCAGTTTAATCATCCCAGCTTCAGATGCAATATCCTCCTCTTCTTTGAGAAATTGCTTCTCTTGTTCTTGCAACACTGCCCTGAGTGATGCACCTCACTTCTTGAAAAGAAGACCAGAAGATGTTAAAGATATGTAAGTGCCCTAAAAAGATTCCCTCCCTAAAGAAACTTGTAGAATCAAAAGAGCTCCAGAAAAATAAAAAAGGTAAAAGCATCAACTTTCGGAATTATTGATGTTGAAAACAAAGTCTAGTGTATTTTCTATATATGGAGCATCCCATAGCTGATCTCTCTGACATGGGAAGGCTATCCCATAAATGATGGAAGGTACTGATTCCTTTCCATTTCCTTAGGGAATTTAGCATTAATGGTCTCCCTGAAAAGAGTTGCTTAAGGAAAAATGACCACAAGCAAGTACATAGAAAATGCCTAGCCATCTGGCCTTGCCTTAACTTCTTGCTGTGCATTTTATGCAGACACACAAAATGCCCTCAGCAAGGTTCATCAGAGTAGCACAATCAAGAGAGGTAGGGGGAAGGAGAGGAGAGACAAATAGTCGAATAACCCGTATTCTCTTGTTCTGTCTTGCCATAAACATACAGACATGAGATATCAATACAAACATAAAAAGAAATGAGTTCTGCTCCTTATACCAAGCATAACACTTCAGGCTCTACTTTTCTTCAGATTTTATGGTTTCTGTCTCAACCCAAAACCTGCCCTGGCCAAGACTTTGGAGGTCGGTTGCCTAAAATGGACCCTGATTGTTCTCTGGGGTATACAGAACCAGCTGTGGGTCCGAAGTGAAGATGCTGCAGAGGTGGAATTCCAGGTCCTCAAAAAGGTATGTTTCCATAGAAACTAAAGCAAGTGGCCACCTGATATGAAGGACTCATACCTCAAGCTCTGAGAAAACAGAAAGTCAAAATGCCCTCATGAAAAGTTTGGTATCATTGAACCAGAATACTCTGCCCTGCCTGTAAATATTACCAAATCCAATTCTAGGTGGCTTCTTCTGAAACAAGGCAAGTAATCAGGATTTATTCAGGTCAACATCTGGAAGCATGCATGTTCCACACAGTTAACTCTAAAAAAGGGAAGTTGTGCCCTAGGACTTTACCCCACCCACCCCTCCTCTACCAGCCTAAAAACCTTCATGGTACAATATGTCTCTAAAACCCCTTAAGATAGCATCACAAAATTAGACAATGACTGGCAGCAATTATCTCCCAAACTTACCAGACTTGGGGGTTTTTTTAGGGCAGAAAGCAGCTAATGGCCATGAATACTTCATTTAGCGCTTCTTTTTTCTAATGCATTGCAAGACGTTCACTCTCCAGCGCTGGACTCTGCCAAGTATCCCATCTCAATTTCCCATTCAATTTCTAGAGAAATTCCATCCAAATCTTTTATAAGTCCTGCTCAAATGTTCAGAGTTTGCAAAGTACTTTCAATAATTCAGTAATCCAGTGCCCTTCCCCCAAGTCACAATCTAAACAAAGATGGTTGTCCTCTCACTATTAACACTCACTTTGCAGAAAAAGACCCTTGAGGCCCTAGGGAGGTTTACAGCTAGTTGCCAGGATCTTTCTGAAGTCAGAAATGAAGTGCAAGTTTAGACTTTTAGATCTACACCCCAGGACTTGTCCCACACAAACACAGAAGGGACAGCTGACTCCACTGGTAAGGTGAGCAGTGATAGTACTATCTTTTCTTTTGGTCTGTGATAATTCTTGAGTTTCCCATCAGTGTTACTCCTTGGGAGTCCTTCCTATACAGACAAAGCCTATATTGAAATGCTTTAAGGCAGCAGTCCCCAACATTTTTGGCACTAGGGACCAGTTTCATAGAAGACAATTTTTCCATGGACTGGGGAGGGGTTTGGGGATGGGGAAAGGGCTTGGGATGAAACTGTTCCACCTCAGAACATCAGGCATTAGATTCTCATGAGTGTGCAACTTAGATCCCTCACATGCACAGTTCACAATAGGGTTCACGCTCCTATGAGAATCTAATGGTGCCGCTGGTCTCACAGGAGGAGGAGCCCAGGAGGAGCTTACCGGTACCAGTCTGTGGCCCAGGGTTTGAGAATCCCTGCTTTGAGGTTTTGCTCAACAGGGTAAAGTCATGTAAGTTTTACCTGGTAGACTGATAGGTGTTTCTTTATCTGGAAAACCTGGTGTCACCGACAAAGAGAACAAGTCTGGAACAACGGGACTCAGGACAAGTAAGTTTGGATAAGTAGGCTGAAAAAACAGAGGAAAACAGTCCAAAGTATGAGGTTATCTAGGACCAGAATACATGAAATAGTAAAAGGAATAGCAATGGGGGTTGGAGAAAGGGAATTAGAGTAGCAGACACTTGGCTGGCTTTGAAATAGAGCAAAAGGAACAGAGGAAATGAAAACCAGACTTGGCTGAATTTACAAAACTGCCTGAGGCCAGCACTGCTTCCCAGGGGAGGAGAGACCAGTGGAAAGGGTGATCTGGCTGTTTTTAGGGTGATGTCTTTGATACCCTAACCTCATTGGCACCACTCCTCAGGGAATGATAAGCCCTCAAAGAGCTGTGAGACTGGGAGTGTCAGGAGCAGAGCAGGAGCAGGAGAAAAACCTAGGAAACATCAGAATTTCTCCAGGCTGGGAGGAGTGGAGTGGGGCAAAGGTCTTGGAGTTTCCCATTGGGTAACCATGCCCAGGCCCATCTCCTGGGGAGGCAGGTGTGCCTGGCACAGTTTAAGTTGTGGCTGAGCATCTGTAAGTGCCTATCTAAGACCATCTGGGATCTCTGATCTCCTAGGGAAAGAAGCATGTGACAAAGAACTGGCAACATCAGATGGACCTGTCCTGACTCAGACATGAGAAATATGTTCATCAATTTCACCGACCCATCCTGCTGCTCGTCTCTCTCCCCCATCTCCTTCTTGGTGCCTTCTAGGACTGTCAAGAGATATGGTTTACTTCTTTGATAAAATGTAGTTATTTAGTAATCTATTAATACACCTTACTTCAAAAAATATTTTTAAATTAAATATGAAAAGACATCAGCGAGTTTTCCTCTACATCCAAACACTTCTCCAATTTTAGCTTCACAATTTCCCACGGTCTCACTCTTCTTTTCTGCGTTGCCCAAACCTTCATGCCGATCTCTGACTGCTTTAGTTTCTATCAGGATCCACCCACAAGGGACACGGATGGATAATCCTGCCCTTTCCTGACAAGCTCTTCTTATCACCAGCCCTTACCTGTTCTCTGGTCCATTCCCTGAGGGCTTTGTTCAGTGCTATCTATTCTGGTAAATCAACCCATGCCAAGAGGAAACAGTTGCTTAGACTTTGTAGAGAGAATCAAATGAGAGAAATCAATACACACAGGTGAAGTCTTAATATTATTTCTATCAGTATATTAGTCCTCACAGTCAATAAACTGACATTAGTAGGGACTCTCAGAACGTTAATCTAAATGAGTGTCTCTGTTCTAGGGAATTTCAAGCATCAGGGCAGGCTGGAGTTAGGGAGAGGCAGAAAGGAGAGAGGCTGCAGCTTTGGGCTCTTCTCCACTCACATTTTCTAAACCAGCTGCCCACTCCCCCTGAGGTTGCAGCCCATCCTATGGCCAGACCACATTTTGCTTCATTCACTTGCATCCACAAAAAGCCTAGATTGATCTATAGTTAATAACATAAACTGTTCAGAGGATACAAGAGCAGTAATGAATAGGTAGTACCCAATTATGGAAAATAGCATTTCTTTGGGGCAAATGTCCTACAAAATCTCCCAGTTGGGAAGAAATCATTCTTCAGGGACTCATTCCCCTAGACAGGGGCAAAATTGCTTTTGTTGTGGGGAGTCAGCACTGCCACTGTCCAGCTCTGTGAGATGAGACAAACTGTTTAGTATCTCTGAGTCTCAGTTGCTTTATGTATAAAATGAGGACAAATACACCTATCTCATCAGGTTGTGAGGATTCAATTTAATATTATGCAATATGTGCAAACCATGTAACTCAAGGCTTGTTACATAGTAAACAAGGGAAAATTGTAGCAACCACAGCAACTATTCCTACACATTTTGAGAGGGGGAATATTTGGCCTTCCAAAGGTACTTGAAGATAACTATGTGATATTCACATTATTAAAAAAATTAAAAGGCATAAAACTAGGAAAATAATTTGGGCTTGAGAATTCCACATTGCCCTTTGAGACAACTGGCAAAACCTTGAAATGTCTCAACCTCAGGGATAGGAATTTCTACACTAGAGATAGACATTACCTGTCTGGCAGCTCCCGGAGACAGAACAGAGGGCCTGGCCACCCCTGGAGAAGACTTCTCCCTCCCACTAAGCTAAGGGCATCCCATTCCCTGTCCTTTCCCTCACCTCACCCTTTTCCACCCACCAGCTCCCCTCCCAGCTGTGAGAGCCTGCAAGAGCCTGCCTAATCTGAACTTGGAGACTGCTCTTTTGCCTTTAAAATGCCTTGCCCAGCTTAATCAGTAACCAGCGATCCTCTAACTGCCAGTTAGTCTCCTGCCCTGACATGAGCTCCTTCTCCTGCCAGCCGGCAGATGTGACTTTTTTAGGAAGATTCAATTCCCAGCCTTTGCCCTTCCTGCCAATGACAGCTTCCCTCTTTGAAGGTTACCTGTCGCTAGCATTCTTGCGCATGAATGCAAACTAAAGTGGGTGCTTATCCTGACCTTGAAGAAGCACATCATTCTGTATATGAGTTCTAAAAAAGCACACTTGACATTTGCTGTCTTATGTGTGTCAGGACTGAGAAAAGGAAGCCCCACATGGCGGGATACCCTCTTAGGTCCACAGATCTGGCTTGTGAATGGCACTTGTCAACTAAATCTTGCAATGATATTCAGCAGGCATGATGTGGAGGAAATGTTAATGAAATCCTGCCTAACTGAAGGAACACATTTGAATAGAATCAAAGTCATATGTGGGATTTTTTTTCTCATATACTGTCTTCTCTGCATACATTAACCTTTTGCCAGCTTTAAAAAAATAAAAAGACATAAAACTAGAATGATTCACTCATTCAATCATTCTTCAAACACTTATGGAGCACCCATTATGTACCAGACCCTGGTACAGGGAATAAAATATTGAATGAGACACAGATTATTTTAGGCAAATAATCTATTATTCAGCATTTTATGGTGAGAACCCAACTTCTCAATTTGTTAAAAAAACAAAGTATTTCAAATGACCCTTTGCTTCATTTTAAAATAGGCAAAGGGAAAGGCGGGGCTCTTAGAAAGAGCAGAGTGTTACATTAGCTAAGTCATGCTGTGGACTTGTGAAAATTTTTTGAGAGGCAATAGCATGTTGAGTTATGGGAAACAGACATGCAAGCAACCAGGATGGATGGGATGATCTTGGACAGTCTTTCAGGAGAGTGCCTAGACATGCCATTGTTTGTGAAATTGTCTTTCAAACAAGAAGAACCTATAATGGCAAAGTTAGGCTAGCCCTCCCTTGTCCAGTCTCTTCCTCACTGCCTGACACCACTGATAGAGAAATTCAGCTGAGCACTGCTCTGCTGATAGTGGTGTGAGGCACTCCATTTAGCAGAAGCTTCCTGATGCAGAGTTTTTAGAGAACTCAAGGACTTGCTCTGTCATCATCATAAGTGCATGTTTCCATCGCTGAGTCAGAAGAATGAAATCGGAGCTGGACCAGACACAAATGGGTGAGTCAAAAGAAAGACTTGCTGCAGAGCAAGCCCCACTGCTGCTAAGATTGCTGAGGTGTGGTGTGGAGCAGCTCAGCAAATGCCTAGGGCCCATTCATTCATGCAACAAATGGATATGAAATACCTCGTGTGTTTTGAGAACTGTCCTAGGTACTAGGGACAGAGCATCGAACCAAACAGACAAGGCCACACCCTCGGGAGGCTTATATTGTAGGGAGAGTGACAATAAATGAATGGTATCATTTAAATTATTAAAAGAGTGAGGAAAAAAATAAAAGATGAGCTAAAGAGTAACCTATAAAAAAAGACTTACATTGGTCCAGACTGTATTGCAGACAACAGAATCCACTCTAGCTAGTTTAAGCAGAAAGGAATTCCATACAGGGAATTCAGTGATTACAAAATTGTTAAAAGGACTAGAGGAGGAGGCTCTAGACTGACCTCTCAAGAACAATCCCCCATCTATGCACATTCTAAGAAACTGTTGTATGGTGACTTCTGTTGATATCTGGGGTGGGGTGGGGGATGCTGTTGTATTAGGGAAGGTACTACACCCCTGCTGACTGCAGAACCATACTAGCCCCCAGTGCAATCAAAATAGCAGACACTGAATCAAGAAGCTGCCTCTTCCTGCTACAAGTCACAGCCACAGCAATGACTACTTGCTCCAGACTCAAACCACTTCTGCCACAATCCATGCCAACACAATGACACTTGGTCCCATCAAAATGGAGATCCTGTGAACCACAATATCGATGCCTTGCATTTTGTTGGGGGAAACTGAATCATTTCTAGTACCCAAGCTTCAAGACAGTCTGGAAAATGCGGGTTTTAGCTTTGCATTCTTGACATGGGATAAGGGAGTTTGAAGGGATGTTAGACTACCCAATCCATAGTAGCTACCAAACCACTTTGAGAAAGATAGTCAGGGCATGCCTCTGTGGAAGGTGACATTTAAGCTAAGACCACGTGAAGGACTGACAAAGAAACAGTCCAGGAGACACAACAGCAACAACTCTGGACTTAGTAATTGGGGGCAATAGAGAACTTAGAGAAGTTAGCAGAAGCTAAATCAAGCAAGGCTTTGAAGATCATATTTAGGAGTTTGGAGTTTATTCAGAATGCAAGAGAAAGTTTCATGAAGGAGACTGGCAAAATCTGATTTGTATTTTTAAAAGAAAATTTCATCCGTAAGGTGAAGAATGAATTATCAAAGGGCAAAAATTGAGCCAAGGAAGAAAGACAGAAAATTATTGAAGATTAGAGATGATGGTGCCTTGGGCTAGATGTTGTCTGCAGAAATAAAGTTGACACTTTCTCTGTGTGTTTTTTAGGGAGAATTACAGGGTTTCAGAAGGAATTAGATGTGAGGAGTTACAGAAAGAAACATTCAGGATTGCTCTCGTATTTCTAATCCAAACAAAGGGTGGGTGATATTTCATTTGCTGGATTGAGGAAGAGTGAGTAGAACATGTCTACAACTGACCAAAACACACAGTTCTTGATGTTTAAAAGAGATCTGTCATGTAGACAGGATGGAGGTAGACACAACCAGAAAGCTTCAGGCTTTGCTCTCCCAACTGGCCGCTAATTTAATTCTTCAGAGTATTCCTGAGGTTCTGGAGAAGTGGGTCTCCAACTCTATGTACCTAAGATTCTGACACAGGTGGGATCCATATTTAAAGACATGTGGAGCAGTGTAGAATTGTTTGGGGGGCTGGTATCTAATCTTCATGAGGAATGAAAGTCATAAAATAAAGAGTTCATTTGGAGATAAAAAGCAGAGTTCTGAAAAGTGCTATAAATTTAGAACAGTGGCAAATCAAAGCCTCGTGCTGCCATTTTGGCACAGCAAAATAATCCTAAGGTCACCTGCCCCCATGCCCTTCCCTTTCTTACCTCTATTCATTTCCACCACTAAAATATTTCTTAGAATCACTTGCATAGGATGCTTACTGGGTTTTTAGGAACTAATAATTAAATGATGAAATGATGTCAAAAAACAAAATGTAGATTACTGTCTCTTTATAAATATAAATGCTATAAATGATCAGCCTGGGAGTCACTCTTTACTTGGAAAAACCACAGCTCTAGACGATGCTATAATGTCTTCAACAAATAAATAAACCAACAAGAATTTAAAAGTCTCAGCAAGAGACAGAAGGAGAGGCCATGCCTGAGCCCTGCCTCTCTTAAGCAACCAGAGCTCTTAGAATAGCTCTGTTGCTGGGGCAGAAGCAAATCATCTTTTCCTCTCCCTGAGTATTAAATCTTCCACATGTCTTTAATACTCTCCATGAGCAGACCAGTGCCAAAGGAGAAAAAGATTTAATTTCATGTTGCTAGGTTTTCACAGTTCTGCAATTAATAAAGAAGTAAGTTCAGTCAGCTGGCCTGTTAGAAAAGTAAAAGGAGAGAGTTAAAATTGTTTATTTGACCCACTTCAAATCATGCAAAACTACAGAATAAAACAATTCCTAACTTGTTCCCAGCTCCCACACCTCAATCACTTTCAAGGAAAGTGCTTCTGAAAGTATTTCACACTTACAAATGAAAATATTTTGCCAACATGGGCACTCTGAGGTCTGCGTGAAAGACTTTTTGAGCCCTTCTCCTACCCTATAGAAGATGTAAGTATATAATATAGTAAGCCCAAGAGTAAAGTTGCCAGCTGTCAAACTGGTGATTTGTGGGTGACAGAGATACATACCCAGTGCTCTCAAGAGTTAAAGGTTAAGTCAGTGTAATATATCACTTGATAAAGGGAAGTTGGTATATATAAAAAGAAAGGTTGATTTTTTGAAGGATTCTATTTAATAAAATAGTTGGTTAGTAACTACATGGTTGACTGAATTTGGCCAGTTTCCTTGTTTTAGAGCCATCAATTTGGGCTCAGTTTCCATCGTTAGTCCTCTCCCTGGCTGTGTTGGGGTTTCTGTTAAGTGCTTATACCAAAGTGTGGGGAGGGGGATGCAGAAGGGGCCTGAGCCACAATTTGTTATTTCTGTCATCTATTAGGAAAACAGATTCGCGTGGAACTTTTCTTTAGAATCTCCTGGTTCTGAGCAGATGGCAGATATTTAATACACGTCTCTTGGCTGTGTCAATGAATCATGGTATCCATCTGGTACGGGCAAATTCTACACTGGGCATTGTGGTTGCCTCTGTAACATACATTCCACTTCTCTCTTACTGAGAAAAAGCAGTGGTGTCACAGGAAAGACCCTCAGTTAAAGAGATGGCCCTGGACCATTATGAGGAACCTCAACCTCTTTTCCAGAGACCGATTTAAAAACTGGGCATGTGATTCTTGATTCTGGCCAGGGAGACAGAAAGAGAAGCTTCTGGGAATGTTCATCTTGGTTCTTCAGAGAGAGAGAGCGTGCAATAGGAAGCTGGTTTTCTCTTCCTTGCTGTATGGGAATTAGGAGGCTTGCACCCCACAAAAGCTGCTGGCAGCCATTTTATGAACTCAAGGAAACCAGCCTGAGAATGAAGCCAAAGATTAAGACAACAGAATGTAAAAATTGAGAGAACCTGGCCCTTTGATAATTTTTTAACTCATCGAATCAAACACAAAGCTTCCTTTACCTCCGAATTGCCTGTTATAAGACCTAATAAATATCCTTGTTGTTTAAGCCAGTTTGAATTTGATATTTTGTTTCTTGCAGATGAATTTAAATGATATGAAGACTGCCCCATTTTCACAAGCAGATTTTGTAAAGTATCTATTTCAAATATCCAGGGTACCTTTCTTTGGAATGGATAATCAGTAAATAACTTTATATTTCTAGAATGTCTTTAACAGTCCCTTCTCACTATAAAGCTGATTTTTAAGAACTAAAAAGTTTACAAAAGTCATAGGAAATCGGGGCTGACAGTATAGAGCTTCTTTAGAAGTTATACTCTCATTTATGTGAGTGTTTGAAAGCAAATCTTATAAGTTTAAGTGCAGTTTTTAGTTCATGTCATTTGGTTATATTTAGATGAGTCTTTATATATGTGTGTATATATATATAAAATATATATATAAATATATATATAAAATATATATATAAATACATATATAATATATATATAAATATATATATAAAATATATAAAAATATATATATAATATATATAAATATATAATATATATATAATATATATAATATATATATAAATATATAATATATATAATATATATAATATATATTATATATAATATATATAATATATATAATATATATTATATATAATATATATAATATATAATATATAAATATATATAATATATATATAAATATATATAAAATATATAATATATAAATATATATAAATATATAAAATATAATTTATATATTTATATATAAATATAATTTATATATTTATTATATAAAATATATAAAATATAATTTATATATATTAATATATAAAATATAATTTATATATATTAATATATAAAATATAATTTATATATATTAATATATAAAATATATAAAATATAATTTATATATATTAATATATAAAATATATAAAATATAATTTATATATATTTATATATGAAATATATAAAATATAATTTATATATATTTATATATAAAATATATAAAATATAATTTATATATATTTATATATAAATATATAAAATATAATTTATATATATTTATATATAAAATATAATGTATATATATTTATATATAAAAATATATAAATATATATATAAAATATATATAAATATATATATATAATATATATATATATAAAATATATATATATTTTATTTATCCCTGGAAATTTCTAATCAAAGCCTATACAAAAGCAACTTAAGCCAGACTGTAAAATGGAAAGCCCCACCCAGGCATACCCCACTGCTCTGTAATCAATTACCCCTTCTACACATGCAATAAAACACCCATTCTCTAACTGGGTGGTAGCTGGGCATGAGATTGTACATTGCAAGATAGGATAGCTCATAAGAGCATGGAATTCAAATCTTCACTCTGTCATTTATTAGCCGTGTGCCTTTGAGTGAAATACTTAACCTCTATGAACCTCCATTTATCCTTTTGTATTGTTTTGTATTTAAAACAGTAACTGTGTTTATCTCATTATTACCATTACCATTATTGTGTGCATTGTATAGGATAACATGTGTGAAGCACTTAGCGTAGGGCCTGCCATGTAGAAACTGCTCAAGAAATGTTATTAATACTCACTTTGTGGTGCAAGTGATCAATGAGTTTTACCTGAAGAGAAGATGCTGGAATTTTTTCAGTGCAGCTTGACAAGCCAAATTATTAACTAAATAAGTGGGGTTTAGGAGAGTGCTGTCTGGGACAGCAGGCAGTGTGGGCTCACCTTTTCCAGGTACCTTCTTAACACTGCCCTCCTCCCTTTCTCTCATGGACTTAGCCTGCAGCCCTCTCCCTCCACAACACTCAAGAGTTAACTCTGATTCTTTCACATGGAGCTCAGAGTAGTAAAAAACAATTATAACAGAGCATGATGATGATATCATGGCTTGATATAGAAACTCTCAAAGTTGTCTTTTTTAAAATCTGGAATATAAAGAATGACTAAATTAACAAACAAAGGAAAAGGGAAAAAAGCAATAGAACCTGCTCATATTGGCTCAATTCTAAGAAATTTAAGAAACCGCTTAAGGGTTTGGTGGAAACAGCACTGCTGTCTCCAGCTTAGTGTGACCTTGTGCAGGTCATAGCATCACCCGGGACATCAAAAGCCTCATCTCTCAGATGAAGAGCTTGGACAGGAGCCAGTGTTTTCAACATGTGCTTCCTAGCACCTCTTCAGGGGCTGTCGGGGGTGTGAGTGAGAGGGGAGGGGTGCAGAGGGGGACACAGGGGCATACAGAGCTAGTCTTTGTGGTCCCCTCATTGGCTCTAACCACAGCAGTTTCATGGTCACCTGTTTTATCTACTGCTTTTCAATAAAAAGTTTGAATAAGCACACAAGGAAGTTTAACTCAATAGTCTTCCAGGTCCCTCCCAACTCTGACTCCCCAAGAGTCCCCTCACATGGCTCTGATCCCCAGCACTCCCACCCCAGCCCAATCTTTCCTTTCCACTGAACAGACAAGGGGGTGTCACCAGCTGTGTTGCCTGCACGCTGTTTCTGTACCAGGAGGACCTGGAAGACCACAACTTCATTCTCCTTGACCGGGAAACCTAGAACAGGTGTTAATGAACCCCACAGAGCCCCCCGATGAGGAGGGGTTGTGAGAACAGTAGAAACCTGATCCTGAGAGCAGAAATAGAAAGGTGACAAGCTTAGACTGGGTGCTGCACATGGGGTTGAATTTTTGAGATTCCTGAGCTGAGCTTTTCCTAAACCAACTTTCTTTTCTCCATTCCACCCCCAAGGTGCCCACAGAAGGAAGGCTAAAGAGATCATATCTGATCACTCTCCATACATTTAATTTATGTGTGTTCACCTAACCTCTTTCAAAGCCCTTGTAGAGCCTGAGTGGGAGCTCACGAGTCTAAATGCTATATATATATATATATATATATATATATATATATATATATATATATATATATAAAATCAGGATACACACACACACACACACACAAATATAGCATTATTCTGTAACTTGATTTTCTTTTTTTGGTTCAAGATTTCGCTTTTAAGATCCATTTATGTTGAGACATATAGTTCTAGAAGGGTGTCCCCAGGCTTTTGGCTTCCCCTGAGCCACATTGAGAGAAGAATTGTCTTGGGCCACACATAAAATACACTAAACACTAATGACAGCTGACAAGCTAAAAAGAAAAAAAAAAGAACCCACAGAAAACCCATAATGTTTTAAGAAAGTTTACAAATTCAAAGCTGTGCCATGCTCAAAGCCATCCTGGGCCACGGGTTGGACAAGGTTGTTCTAGAGATCATGTTCACTTCAGTAGAATATGTCCTGGCATGAAGAGACCTCAGCTTATCTAATCTTCAGTAAATGGAAATTAAAGCTGTTTCCAATTTCTATCCATTACAAATGATGCTACACTGAACACATCCATATGTGAATGCATTAGAGTAGTAGAGAATCGGTGGAGTGAAAATTAACCTTATTTTAAATTTTATTTTATATTACCAAATTGCTTTCCAAAGTGGTGGCTCCAATTTACACTCCCACCAGCAAAGTATGAATATTTCCTTGCCCCAAATCTTCACCATCACTTGAAATTGGCAGACTTCTCCATCTGTACAAACCTGATGGATGTGAAAAATTTATTTTACCATAATTTTAATTAACTTTTCCATAATCACTGAAGTTTTACAACTTTTCAAATGCTTATTAGCCATTCCTGTTTCAGCTTCTGTCAATTGCCTGTTCTTATCTCTTGCCTATTTTTGTTTGTCTTTTTCTTATGTTTTATGTGCATTCTTTAAGTATTCCAGATATTATTTCTCTGTCAGTTACATATATTACAAATATCTTCTCTCATACTGTGATTTGTCATTGTATTTTGTTTATTTAAGTTGTCTTTGTCATACAAAACTTTTCATGGACTCAAAGTTACCAGTATTTTCCTTTATGATATGTGGTTTTCAGGCCTTAAGAAACCCTTCCCTACCTCAAAGTCATAAAGATATTTCTGTATATATTATTGTAAAGTTTAATGTTTTATAATTTAAAAATATCCAGTCTAATTGAAATTGAATTTTTATACATGAAATGTGGCAGAAATATAATTTTATCTTTTTTTATCTTTTTCCATGTGCCTTACCTAAAGTCGCATCCTTTTCCTGGGAAATCCTATATACAAAGACTGCTTGACAGGGAATAAAGACTCGGCCCTGAATAAGAACAGCTCCAGTCTGCAGCTCCCAGCGTGAACAATGCCGAAGACTGGTGATTTCTGCATTTCCAACTGAGGTACCGGGTTCATCTCACTGGGGCTTGCCAGACAAGTGGGTGCAGCCCACAGAGCAGGGTGGGGCATCGCCTCACCCAGGAAGTGCAAGGGGTCAGGGAATTCCCTTTCCTAGCAAAGAGAAACCATGACAGACAGCACCTGGAAAATCGGGTCACTCCCACCCTAATACTGCACTTTTCCAACAGTCTTGGCAAACAGCACACCAGGAGATTATATCCCGTGCCTGGCTCAGAGGGTCCCACGCCCACGGAGCCTCGCTCACTGCTAGCACAGCAGTCTGAGATCAAACTGCAAGGTGGCAGCGAGGCTGGGGGAGGGGCATCTGCCATTGCTGAGGCTTGACTAGGTAAACAAAGCTGCCTGGAAGTTCGAACTGGGTGGAGCCCACCGCAGCTCAAGGACGTCTGCCTGCCTCTGTAGACTCCACCTCTAGGGGCAGGGCATAGCTGAATAAAAGGCAGCAGAAACTTCTGCAGACCTAAACATCCCTGTCTGACAGCTTTGAAGAGAGTAGTGGTTCTCCCAGCACAGAGTTTGAGATCTGAGAACGGACAGACTGCCTCCTCAAGTGGCTCTTTGACCCCCAAGTAGCCTAACTGGGAGGCACCTCCCAGTAGGGAGGTGACTGACACCTCATAAGGCTGGGTGCCCCTCTGAGACGAAGCTTCCAGAGGAAGGATTAGGCAGCAACATTTGCTGTTCTGCAGCCTCCGCTGGTGATACCCAGGCAAACAGGGTCTGGAGTGGACCTCCAGCAAACTCCAACAGACCTGCAGCTAAGGGTCCTGACTGTTAGAAGGAAAACTAACAAACAGAAAGGACATCCACACCAAAACCCCATCTGTATGTCACCATTATCAAAGACCAAAGGTAGATAAAACCACAAAGACGGGGAGAAACCAGAGCAGAAAAGCTGAAAATTCTAAAAATCAGAGTGCCTCATCTCCTCCAAAGGAATGCAGCTCCTCACCAGCAATGGAACAAAGCTGGACAGAGAATGACTGACGAGTTGAGAGAAGAAGGCTTCAGATGATCGGTAATAACAAACTTCTCTGAGCTAAAGGAAGAAGTTCAAACCCAACGCAGAGAAGCTAAAAACCTTGAAAACAGAGTAGATGAATGGCCAACTAGAATAAACAGTGTAGAGAAGTCCTTAAATGACCTGATGGAGCTGAAAAACATGGCACAAGAACTACGTGACACATGCACAAGCTTCAGTAGCAGGTTTGACCAAATGGAAGAAAGGGTAACAGTGATTGAAGATCAAATGAATGAAATGAAACGAGAAGAGAAGTTTAGAGAAAAAAGAGTAAAAAGAAACAAACACAGCCTCCAAGAAATATGGGACTACATGAAAAGACCAAATCTACGTCTGATTGGTTTACCAGAAAGTGACAGGGAGAATGGAACCAAGTTGGAAAACACTCTTCAGGATATCATCCAGGAGAACTTCCTCAACCTAGCAAGGCAGGCCAACATTCAAATTCAGGAAATACAGAGAACACCACAAAGGTACTCCTTGAGAAGAGCAACTCCAAGACACATAATTGTCAGATTCACCAAAGTGGAAATAAAGGAAAAAATGTTAAGGGCAGCCAGAGAGAAAGGTCGGGTTACCCTCAAAGGGAAGCCCATCAGACTAACAACGGATCTCTCAGCAGAAACTCTACAAGCCAGAAGAGAGTGGGGGCCAGTATTCAACATTCTTAAAGAAAAGAATTTTCAACCCAGAATTTCATATCCAGCCAAACTAAGCTTCATAAGTGATGGAGAAATAAAATACTTTATAGACAAGCAAATGCTGAGAGATTTTGTCACCACCAGGCCTGCCTTACAAGAGCTCCTGAAGGAAGCACTAAACATGGAAGGAACAACTAGTACCAGCCACTGCAAAAACATGCCAAATAAGCCATCGATACTAGGAAGAAATTGCATCAACTAATGAGCAAAATAACCAGCTAACATCATAATGACAGGATCAAATTCACACATAACAATATTAACCTTAAATGTAAATTGGCTAAATGCTCCAATTAAAAGACAGAGACTGGCAAATTGGATAAACAGTCAAGACCCATCAGTGTGCTGTATTCAGGAGACCCATCTTACGTGCAGAGACACACATAGGCTCAAAATAAAGGGATGGAGGAAGATCAATTAAGCAAACGGAAAACAGAAAAAAAAAAGCAGGGGTTACAATCCTAGTGTCTGGTAAAATAGGCTTTATACAAACAAAGATCAAAAGAGACAAAGAAGGCCATTACATAATGGTAAAGGGATCAATTCAACAAGAAGAGCTAACTATCCTAAATATATATGCACCCAATACAGGAGCATCCAGATTCATAAAGCAAGCCCTTAGAGACCTACAAAAAGGTTTAGACTCCCACACAATAATAATGGGAGACTTTAACACCCCACTGTCAACATTAGACAGATCAATGAGACCGAAGGTTAACAAGGATATCCAGGAATTAAACACAGCTCTGCACCAAGCGGACCTAATAGACATCTACAGAACTCTCCACCCCAAAACAACAGAATACACATTCTTCTCAGCAGCACATCACACTTATCCCAAAATTGACCACATAGTTGGAAGTAAAGCACTCCTCAGCAAATGTAAAAGAACAGAAATTATAACAAACTGTCTCTCAGACCACAGGGCAATCAAACTAGAACTCAAGATTAAGAAACTCACTCAAAACCGCTCAACTACATGGAAACTGAACAACCTGCTCCTGAATGACTACTGGGTACATAACGAAAGGAAGGCAAAAATAAAGATGTTCTTTGAAACCAATGAGAACAAAGACACAACATACCAGAATCTCTGGGACACATTTAAAGCAGTGTGTAAAGGGAAATTTATAGCACTAAATGCCCACAAGAGAAAGCAGGAAAGATCTAAAATTGACACCCTAACATCACAATTAAAAGAACTAGAGAAGCAAGAGCAAACACATTCAAAAGCTAGCAGAAGGCAAGAAATGACTAAGATCAGAGCAGAACTGAAGGAGACAGAGACACAAATAACCCTTTAAAATCAATGAATCCAGGAGCTGGTTTTTTGAAAAGATCAACAAAATTGATAGACCACTAGCAAGACTAATAAAGAAGAAAAGAGAGAAGAATCAAATAGATGCAATAAAAAATGATAAAGGGGATATCACCACTGATCCCACAGAAATACAAACTACCATCAGAGCATACTATAAACACCTCTATGCAAATAAACTAGAAAATCTAGAAGAAATGGATAAATTTCTGGACACATACACCCTCCCAAGAGTAAACCAGGAAGAAGTTGAATCCCTGAATAGACCAATAACAGGTTCTAAAATTGAGGCAATAATAGCCTACTGGCCAAAAAAAGTCCAGGACCAGACAGATTCACAGTCAAATTCTACCGGAGGTACAAAGAGGAGCTGGTTCCATTCCTTCTGCAACTATTCCAATCAATAGAAAAAGAGGGAATCCTCCCTAATTCATTTTATGAGGCCAGCATCATCCTGATACCAAAGCCTGGCAGAGACACAACAAAAAAAAGAGAATTTTAGACCAATATCCCTGATGAATATCAATGCAAAAATCCTCAATAAAATACTGGCAAACTGAATCCAGAAGCACATCAAAAAGCTTACCCACCACGATCAAGTTGGCTTCATCCCTGGGATGCAAGGCTGGTTCAACATATGCAAATCAATAAACGTAATCCAGCATATAAACAGAACCAAAGACAAAAACCACATGATTATCTCAATAGATGCAGAAAAGGCCTTTGACAAAATTCAACAGCCCTTCATGCTAAAAACTCTCAATAAACTAGGTATTGATGGGACGTATCTCAAAATAATAAGAGCTATTTATGACAAACCCACAGCCAATATCATACTGAATGGGCAAAAATTGGAAGAATTCCCTTTGAAAATAGGCACAAGACAGGGATGCCCTCTCTCACCACTCCTATTCAACATAGTGTTGGAAGTTCTGGCCAGGGCAATCAGGCAGGAGAAAGAAATAAAGGGTATTCAACTAGGAAAAGAGGAAGTCAAATTGTCCCTGCTTGCAGATGACATGACTGTATATTTAGAAAACCCTATCGTCTCAGCCCAAAATCTCCTTAAGCTGATAAGCAACTTCAGCAAAGTCTCAGGATACAAAATCAATGTACAAAAATCACAAGCATTCCTCTACACCAATAACAGACAGAAAGCCAAATCATGAGTGAAATCCCATTCACAATTGCTTCAAAGAGAATAAAATACCTAGGAATCCAACTTACAAGGGATGTGAAGGATCTCTTCAAGGAGAACTACAAACAACTGCTCAGCGAAATAAAAGAGGACACAAACAAATGGAAGAACATTCCATGCTCATGGGTAGGAAGAATCAATATCGTGAAAATGGCCATACTGCCCAAGGTAATTTATAGATTCAATGCCATCCCTATCAAGCTACCAATGTGTTTCTTCACAGAATTGGAAAAAACTACTTTAAAGTTCATATGGAACCAAAAAAGACCATGCATTGCCAAGACAATCCTAAGCAAAAAGGGTGCATCATGCTACCTGACTTCAAGCTATACTACAAGGCTACAGTAACCAAAACAGCATGGTACTAGTACCAAAACAGAGATATAGACTGATGGAACAGAATAGAGCCCTCGGAAATAATACCACACATCTACAACCATCTGATGTTCGACAAACCTGACAAAAACAAGCAATGGGGAAAGGATTCTCTATTTAATAAATGGTTCTGGGAAAACAGGCTAGCCATATGTAGAAAGCTGAAACTGGATCCCTTCCTTACACCTTATACAAAAATTAATTCAAGATGGATTAAAGACTTAAATGTTAGAACTAAAACCATAAAAACCCTAGAAGAAAACCTAGGCAATACCATTCAGGACATAGGCATGGGCAAGGACTTCATGACTAAAACACCAAAAGCAATGGCAACAAAAGCCAAAATTGACAAATGGGATCTAATTAAACTAAAGAGCTTCTGCACAGCAAAAGAAACTACCATCAGAGTGAACAGGCAACCTACAAAATGGGAGAAAATTTTCGCAACCTATTCATCTGACAAAGGGCTAATATCCCTTTGTCAGACAGGATATGAACAGACACTTCTCAAAAGAAGACATTTATGCAGCCAACAGATACATAAAAAAATGCTCATCATCACTGGCCATCAGAGAAATGCAAATCAAAACCACAATTAGATTCCATCTCACACCAGTTAGAATGGTGATCATTAAAAAGTCAGGAAACAGCAGGTGCTGGAGAGGATGTGGAGAAATAGGAACACTTTTACACTGTTGGTGGGACTGTAAACTAGTTCAACCATTGTGGAAGACAGTGTGGCAATTCCTCAAGGATCTAGAACTAGAAATACCATTTGACCCAGCCATCCCATTACTGGGTATATACCCAAAGGATTATAAATCATGCTGCTATAAAGACACATGCACCTGTATGTTTATTGTGGCACTATTCACAATAGCAAAGACTTGAAACCAACCCAAATGTCCATCAATGATAGACTGGATTAAGAAAATGTGGCACATATACACCATGGAATACTATGCCGCCATAAAAAAGGATGAGTTCATGTCCTTTATAGGGACATGGATGAAGCTGGAAACCATCATTCTGAGCAAACTATCACAAGGACAGAAAACCAAACACCACATGTTCTCACTCATAGGTGGGAATTGAACAATAAGAACACATGGACACAGGGTGGGGAACATCACACACTGGGGCCTGCCAGGGGTGGGGGGCAGGGAGGAGGGACAGCATTAGGAGATATACCTAATGTAAATGATGAGTTAGTGGGTGCAGCACACCAACATGGCACATGTATACATATGTAACAAACCTGCACGTTGTGCACATGTACCCTAGAACTTAAAGTAAAATAAAATAAAAAATTTAAAAAAAGACTCGGCCCCCTTCCATCAACTTGGGCCAACTTGTGAAGGGTCATCCTAGTTCTAGAGCTCCCCTACTAAGGTCTTCATTGAGACTACATCTCAACCCATCTTCTCCTCCATTCAGTCCTGCTCTTTTCAGTCTCTTCCACAAATATCAACCTCAAGAACATGCTCTAACAAACTTCTAGCACATGAATCTCTATTTCACAGTCTGTTCCTTGGAAGTGACACAGTTAGTCCATGAAAACAGATGCTAAAGAGGAGATTTTAAAGTCAGGTCATTCTATGACTGACTGGCAACCAGGGCCCATTACTGGCACAAGGTACTGGTAAAATTGCTAAAACTTCTGTCAGTGGTAAACCAAGAAGGTATCCTGACGAAAGAGAATGCACAAAAGAATGTGATTTATCAGGCATTTGAGAAATATTGGACAAATAATAACTAGAGAAACAGTGGAATGGGTGGCTATAGCTAAGATGTATTAATCCTTTGAAAAAGATAGCAAAAGGCTAATAGAAATTAACTGGTAATTAACAACTAAATTGAAAGCCAAAGGATCTTCATGGTATCATATGAAGTGGCTCTCACATCTTAGAATCTGAGGAAAAGGTGAAGAAGGAGTGCTGAAGACCAGACCCAGGACTTAACCATAAGAGTAGCAGAACTGCAAAGAAGATTAAGCTTTCAACTTGCACGGGTCACCTATGTAAATTCAGAACCCTTCCTGGGAAAGAATGAACCTTATCACAAGGATGCAGACATATGAGTTAATGTAACTGAAACTCTTAAGCCACACCCCATGCCTCTGAATCTTCTGAGCTTGCAGAAGTAGCCTACCCTCCCTGTTAAACTTTACTTCTTTCCCTCTTACTTGCAAAGATGGAAGACATCTCCCTTCTACAGTACAACATGCATCCCTCTTGGGATCTGCCTCTACTTACTTTCCTGGCAACTAGTATAATAACTAAGATTAAGTCACAAAATAACCCATGCAGGTACAATGCTGAGCCTGATCAAGAAGGAAAGAGAAAATGCCAAAAAGGAGCTGCAGGACCTAGCAAACATGTCCCGGCAAGAACCCAGGAGAGTGTATGCATTGGACTGGATTCTGAGGATGCTGGCTCAAGGGAGGCAGAATATAAAGTTGAAGAGGTAGAAATGTATTGATTTGGGGGCACTCTGGGAGGACACAGGATTTAACATAGGTTCCGTTTAGGACCCTGGGAGATTGTGCAAACACCCTGCTAGGATGGCTCCCAGAGCATGAAGAAGTGATGGCCCAGCAGGGGGGTTCACAAACTACAGTTTGCTGGCCAAATCTAGCCTGTGGCTTATTTTCATACACCCCACAAGCTAAGCATGAGCTTAACATTTTTAAAGGGTGTAAAAGATAAAGAAGGTAGGCAAACAAGGCTGTTTGTGGCCCACAGAGCCTAAAATATTTACTATCTGGGCCTTTATAGAAGAAGTTTACACAACCCTGGCCCACACTAAGCAAAGGCAGAA
The DNA here is from genome assembly GCF_000001405.40 of Homo sapiens. Classification (NCBI taxonomy): domain Eukaryota; kingdom Metazoa; phylum Chordata; class Mammalia; order Primates; family Hominidae; genus Homo; species Homo sapiens. The sequence goes on from NC_000005.10 coordinate 68,699,172, forward strand.
ACGCCTGGATTGCCAAGGTAGAAAGTAGAAGAAATTATTCAAAGACTCAGAGAAGTGGGCATGCAAGAGTGGACATGCCATGTAAGACTGAAAAATCTGCAGGATGATTATCCTCCATAGGAGGGCCCAAAGCAATAAAGAATGTGCTGGTGAGAGGGGCACCAGCCTCCCTAATTTCAGTGGTGGCTCCCCTCTGCAGGCCAGGGATGACAGTAGTAAAGGCCATAACAGAACTGGGCTCATTGATAGGAATGGGAATGCCAGGACTCTGAAATAATAGACAGTGGCACTTAACTGTTAAAATCCCAAGGTATGCAATTCTCATAATAAGTAGCAAGTTGGGAGTGGCAGAAGTATTAATAATGATTATTGGGAGAAGACAGGTTGCTGTTCCACAGTCTAGATAGGGAAAAGCATAACTGGCATCCTAGTAATGTACTTGGGTGCCTCTTGGTAATTTCTTGTTCATTTTGATGGTAAATGGACATTATAGCAATCCTGGCCTGAGAAAGGCACAAGTGACCAGGATCTCAGGCCTCTCAGTCATGAGGATCTGGGTCATTCACCAGGTGGGGCACTGAGACTAGCAGAGGTGCTAGCTAAGTGTTAGAAGGCTCTAGAATGCATAGTAGAGCAAGGGATCTGTGAGTATCAAAGGGTATTAATGTGTATCCTTTGTGGCCCCAAGACCAACTACAACAATGAAAGCTGTAGTCCATCCTACTAATCTTCCTCTTATAACTTTCCCCCACGACTCCCTCTGGAATCCTGAAAGAATGGCTCCCAGAATAAGTAGATCCCAGTGCCTCCAAGATCCCACTTTATGACTGAGAAACTTATTCCTCTACATGCATGAAGTAGTGCCAGCAGTTAGACCTCATCTGTCAGCCCTCTGAAAGAAGTGTCTTAGCAGAAGAGAGCTGCCAAGCCCAAAGTCACATTCCATCCCCAGGTATTCTCACACAATGACTGGTCAACATGAGCCTACAAAGGCCTGACCTCCTCACCCCAACTTGTGACAATTCTCAAGGGACTTGCCAGCTTCAGATCTCCCCATGGGGTTTTCTAGGGCCTACTTTAGAATTGCATTACAGCTCAACTTCTCCCTCTGCCCGATTCTGCTTCGTTCCCTTTCTTTTCACAGGCATTGATATTAAGAGCACTACTTAATAAGCTCTGCACACTAATCTCCTTCTTAGAGTCAGCTTCCCAGGGAACGCAACCTACAACAATCTTTTATCCAACAGTTGCATTACTTGAATTATTTGACAGTTTCTCTTGTATATGTACATTGTCAGAAAAATAATCAAAAGCATTTTCTTGCTTTTCCAATTTTTATATCTTTCATTTCTTTTTCTTGTCTAACACCATTGTCTAGGACCTCCAGTACCTTGGTGAATAGATGTCATGATGACCAGCATTTTTGTTTTCTCTTTGAAGGTAATACCATAGAGTATAATGTTTGCTCTTAAATTTTGCTAGCTATCCTTTATCAAATACTCCCCTTTTCTATTTTTGTTAAAAAATTTTTATTATCAAAATATGTTAAATTTTTCAAGGGCTTTTTACCCTTCTATTGAGATGATTATGATATTTCTTCCTTCATTAATATGCTTAATTACATTAAAAGAGGCCCCATTGTTAAATCATCTTTATATTACTTAGTAAGTCCTATTTGGTTTACACAACACACATGCACATACATACATATAATGCTCATAATGATATAACTGGATTCTGAGTTGCAAATATTTTATTTATGATTTTTGGTCCTTTGTTCATTACTGACTATTGGTCTGCAAGTTTTCTTTTTTATATTGACATTTTCTGTTTCTAATATCAGGTTTATCTGATTTTTTTATACTATCCCATAAAATGAATAGGAGAGCATTCACTCCTTTTATTATTTGGAACATTTGTATGTTTGACAGAATTCATCTGTAAATGAGGGATTTGAGATGTGTATGTGTGTGTACATAAATGATATGCATAAATTTTTATAAAATATTGATTATTGTTAATGATTATAACTACTTATCTGTTTCTTCTTGAGTCAATTTTGGGACATTTTTATTTGCCTATGAAATTGTCTACTTATTCAAAGTTTTTAAGCTTATTGGTATTTGAGGAGTCATGGTATGCTCTTTTTATTTTTTAATATCTACTGTATCTTGTCAATATTTCCTTATTCATTTCTAAAAGGATTTGTGCTTTGCCTCTTTCCTGCCCAAGTTATAAACAAATTGAGAAAACAAAGGAGTGTCTTTATTACTGATAAAGTCTAGGTGGAGGTGTTAGCTTAATATGAGAGCCAGAATTAGACTGGTTTGCTGACTGATTAAGCAGGAGTCCCCAAAAAGGGTTGCTCTGGTAAGATCTATGGCATGGAGGAGCAGAGGAGACTGTCCTGACTCCAGGCAGGTTTCCTCTAGAAAAAGAAAAAGGGCAGGGCTGAGCTGAGTAACCTCAATTTATTCTTCTCAGATTTACCAATCAGATGCCTTTCTAGAGACAACATGCATAAAGGAGCACAAGGAGGTCAGTTCTTGGATTTTGGTGAACCTTCCTATTTCTGAGCTTTTTATTATATTGGTTTATGTTCCCAGCCTCATGATTTTCTTCCTTTTAATTCCTGTGGGTTACTATGTTCTTTTACTAGATCTTTAATTCATAAATGTCTAATTATCTTCATTTGTAATGGAATGTAACTGATAGCTGTAAAGTGTTTTTTTAATTATCATTATTATACTTTAAGTTTTAGGGTACATGTGCACAATGTGCAGGTTAGTTACATATGTATACATGTGCCATGCTGGTGTGCTGCACCCATTAACTCTTCATTTAGCATTAGGTATATCTCCTAATGCTATCCCTCCCCCCTCCCTCCACCCCACAACAGTCCCCAGAGTGTGATGTTCCCCTTCCTGTGTCCATATGTTCTCATTGTTCAATTCCCACCTATGAGTGAGAACATGCGGTGTTTGGTTTTTTGTCCTTGTGATAGTTTACTGAGAATGATGATTTCCAATTTCATCCATGTCCCTACAAAGGACATGAACTCATCATGTTTTATGGCTGCATAGTATTCCATGGTGTATATGTGCCACATTTTCTTTATCCAGTCTATCATTGATGGATATTTGGGTTGGTTCCAAGTCTTTGCTATTGTGAATAGTGCCGCAATAAACATACGTGTGCATGTGTCTTTATAGCAGCATGATTTATAATCCTTTGGGTATATACCCAGTAATGGGATTGCTGGTTCAAATGGTATTTCTAGTTCTAGATCCCTGAGGAATCGCCACACTGACTTCCACAGTGGTTGAACTAGTTTACAGTCCCACCAACAGTGTAAAAGTGTTCCTATTTCTCCACATCCTCTCCAGCACCTGCTGTTTCCTGACTTTTTAATGATTGCCATTCTAACTGGTGTGAGATGGTATCTCATTGTGGTTTTGATTTGCATTTCTCTGATGGCCAGTGATGGTGAGCATTTTTTCATGTGTCTTTTGGCTGCATAAATGTCTTCTTTTGAAAAGTGTCTGCTCATATCCTTTGCCCAGTTTTTGATGGGTTTGTTTTTTTCTTGCAAATTTGTTTGAGTTCATTGTAGATTCTGGATATTTGTCCTTTGTCAGATGAGTAGGTTGCAAAAATTTTCTCCCATTTTGTAGGTTGCCTGTTCACTCTGATGGTAGTTTCTTTTGCTGTGCAGAAGCTCTTTAGTTTAATTAGATCCCATTTGTCAATTTTGGCTTTTGTTGCCATTGCTTTTGGTGTTTTAGACATGAAGTCCTTGCCCATGCCTATGTCCTGAATGGTAATGCCTAGGTTTTCTTCTAGGGTTTTTATGGTTTTAGGTCTAACATTTAAGTCTTTAATCCATCTTGAATTAATTTTTGTATAAGGCGTAAGGAAGGGATTCAGTTTCAGCTTTCTACATATGGCTAGCCTGTTTTCCCAGCACCATTTATTAAATAGAGAATCCTTTCCCCATTGCTTGTTTTTCTCAGGTTTGTCAAAGATCAGATAGTTGTAGATATGTGGCGTTATTTCTGAGGGTTCTGTTCTGTTCCATTGATCTATATCTCTGTTTTGGTACCAGTACCATGCTGTTTTGGTTACTGTAGCCTTGTAGTATAGTTTGAAGTCAGGTAGCGTGATGCCTCCAGCTTTGTTCTTTTGGCTTAGGATTGACTTGGTGATGCGGGCTCTTTTTTGGTTCCATATGAACTTTAAAGTAGTTTTTTCCAATTCTGTGAAGAAAGTCATTGGTAGCTTGATGGGGATGGCATGGAATCTATAAATTACCTTGGGCAGTACAGCCATTTTCACGATATTGATTCTTCCTACCCATGAGCATGGAATGTTCTTCCATTTCTTTCTATCCTCTTTTATTTCATTGAGCAGTGGTTTGTAGTTCTCCTTGAAGAGGTCTTTCACGTCCCTTGTAAGCTGGATTCCTAAGTATTTTATTCTCTTTGAAGCAATTGTGAATGGGAGTTCACTCATGATTTGGCTCTCTGTTTGTCTGTTATTGGTGTATAAGAATGCTTGTGATTTTTGTACATTGATTTTGTATCCTGAGACTTTGCTGAAGTTGCTTATCAGCTTAATGAGACTTTGGGCTGAGACAGTGGGGTTTTCTAGATATACAATCATGTCGTCTGTAAACAGGGACAATTTGACTTCCTCTTTTCCTAAATCAATTCCTAATTGAATACCCTTTATTTCCTTCTCCTGCCTAATTGCCCTGGCCAGAACTTCCAACATTATGTTGAATAGGAGTGGTGAGAGAGGGCATCCCTGTCTTGTGCCAGTTTTCAAAGGGAATGCTTCCAGTTTTTGCCCATTCAGTATGATATTGGCTGTGGGTTTGTCATACATAGCTCTTATTATTTTGAGATATGTCCCATCAATACCTAATTTATTGAGAGTTTTTAGCATGAAATGTTGTTGAATTTTGTCAAAGGCCTTTTCTGCATCTATTGAGATAATCATGTGGTTTCTGTCTTTGGTTCTGTTTATGTACTGGATTACATTTATTGATTTGCATATATTGAACCGGACTTGCATCCCAGGGATGAAGCCCACTTGATCATGGTGGATAAGCTTTTTGATGTGCTGCCACATTCAGTTTGCCAGTATTTTATTGAGGATTTTTGCGTCAATGTTCATCAAGGATATTGGTCTAAAATTCTCTTTTTTGGTTGTGTCTCTGCCAGGCTTTGGTATCAGGATGATGCTTGCCTCATAAAATGAGTTAGGGAGGATTCCCTCTTTTTCTATTGATTGGAATAGTTTCAGAAGGAATGGTACCAGTTCCTCCTTGTACCTCTGGTAGAATTCGGCTGTGAATCCATCTGGTCCTGGACTCTTTTTTGTTGGTAAGCTATTGATTATTGCCACAATTTCAGATCCTGTTATTGGTCTATTCAGAGATTCAACTTCTTCCTGGTTTAGTCTTGGGAGACTGTATGTGTCGAGGAATTTATCCATTTCTTCTAGATTTTCTAGTTTATTTGCGTAGAGGTGTTTGTAGTATTCTCTGATGGTAGTTTGTATTTCTGTGGGATCGGTGGTGATATCCCGTTTACCATTTTTTATTGCGTCTATTTGATTCTTCTCTCTTTTTTTCTTTATTAGTCTTGCTAGCGGTCTATCAATTTTGTTGATCCTTTCAAAAATCCAGCTCCTGGATTCATTAACTTTTTGAAGGGTTTTTTTGGTCTCTATTTCCTTCAGTTCTGCTCTGATTTTAGTTATTTCTTGACTTCTGCTAGCTTTTGAATGTGTTTGCTCTTGCTTTTCTAGTTCTTTTAATTGTGATGTTAGGGTGTCAATTTTGGATCTTTCCTGCTTTCTCTTGTGGGCATTTAGTCTTTTATTAGAAGAGTTAAGAGTTTTCTTTACTCTTTGTCTTTCTCTGCTACACATTTAATTTCTATTCTTTTAGTGTTTATCCTTAAAGTCTTAATATGCATACTTAACTAAGTCTAAAGTTAATCAATATCTCTATCTTCCTCCAAAACAATACAAGAACACAGAATACTTTAAATCCAACCAGTGCCTGTTTTGCATATTACTTTTGTACAGTTTTTAATTATTCCTTATCTTTTTACCTCTAAATCATGCCATTGTTGAAATTCTTATTTTATAGAGTCAATTCTAACTTAAATTTATCCCATGCTTACTAATTTATTTGTTCATCATTCCCACTTGTACCTCACTCCAAATTTCTGGATTTAACACGTTAATGCAAAATTCTGTATTCAGCCAAATTATCATTTAAGAGTGAAGGTAAAATAAACAAAATTGTATCTTGGCATTTTAAAAATATTCTTTTTGTTATTGAAATGTTTGTTGTCAGTGCTTATAAGTAATATACTGTTCCTTTTTTATTGTTTCTGAGATTTCCTCTCTGTCTTTTGAGTTCTGAAATTTCCTTTCAGAAAGTCTATTGTATTTTTTTTTATTTAATCTACTTGGGATTTGTTGTACTTTCTGAATATGAGGACATAGGTCTACCCTAATTCTGGAAAATTTTTAATCATTTTCTCTTCAAGTATTACCTTTCACCTACTCTCTTTACTCTTTCCTTCATGATTCTTTCCTTTATGATTAACATAAATAAGCCTTTCAATTCTATCCTACAATGATTTTTACCCATCTTACATATTCTCCATTTTTTATCTCTCAATGATAGTTTCTGGATAATTCTTTTAGATCTACTTTTCAGTTTACTACCTCTCATCTCAATTTCATCCAATTACATTCTACTTTAGAAGTTCTATGATGTTTTAGTTATTTTCAAATTTGTCTTCTTTTTTTTTTATAATTGCTTGGTGTTTTTTCTCATATTTTAAATTCCCAGTTATATATCTTTAATCATTTAAAACATTATTGTAATAGCTTCTACACAATGGCTCTAATATCTTAAATTATTGACAACTATCTAATTCTAAATTGCTTTTTAATATCTGGTAAAGATAGATTTCTTATGTATTTTGCAATGGAATATCATGAGCTCATGTTCAGCAGCTATTTATCTGTGAGAATCCTATGAGACCCAAATTAAGGGTTTATCCCACCATATCAGTTTTATGTTTGTTTCTTCCAAGCACCTTGGAAATAGCTCTTTTTATAAAGATATCTCATCTTGAGAGCTTCCCAATAATGTAGGCACAATAAAATCAAATGTCAAACAGACACAGGTCCATAGCAGATCTTTTTTCTTGTCTTTCCAGCAGTATCTCGCTAATACATAGAAAATAAGTGGATCATAGGAATCTTTTTCCATTTTTACTCATAGTGGATAAATTATCCTCTTTCTTACCCCTTTCCCCATCCTCAGGTGCAGTCAAAATAAGTCCCTAAATAGCAGGTTGGGTGGGGTTTTTTTTTCCCTCTAGTAATCCTCAGAATGTTTTCCACCAAAGGGAACCGTATTAGTGTATTTTCACACTGCTGTAAATAAATACCTGAAACTCGATAATTTATAAAGGAAAGAGGTTTAATTGACTCACACACAGTTCAGCATGGCTGGGGAGGCTTCAGGAAACTTACAATCATGGTGGAAGGCAAAGGGGAAGCAAGAACCTTCTTCACATGGCGGCAGGAGAGAGAATTGCAAGCAGGGAAAATGTTAGTGCTTATAAAACCATCAGACCTCGTGAGAACTCACTATCATGAGAACAGCATGGGGGAAACTGTCCCCATGATCCACTCACCTCCCACAAGATCCTGCCCTTAACATATGGGGATTATGGGGATTGCAATTTGAGATGAGATTTGAATGGGGACACAGGAACTAACTGGCCAAGGCAGAGTTTCCAGAAAGAGCAGACACACAGCCTACTTTAAAAGCAAAATGTTTTATCAGCTTCAAGGTTGACATCTACTAGCATATTAAAGAGGAAAGTCAACAGAGAAAGAAAAAAGAGAGGAGGAAAATAGAGGGAATCAGAGAATCAATGTTTCTTGGCCACTGATAATACATCACTCCTGAAAACCACTTTTGTGGCAGATTTTCCCTCAGTGTTAAGATGCTGCACAGCCAGGACTAGGATCTAACCAATGTCTCCCTGAATCTCCTTCTCAGAAGGGAAGTCCATGAGCCAGAAAAGAGGGCCCATGGTAAACATCAAGAAAACAGCCTCAAGTAAAGGACTGCTTAAGGCAGGTAAAAGTCCTGTTTCTAAGTAGACCAGGGAGCTTGCTCTTTTTGTAAATCCTGCTTTTGCTCATTAGTTCCTTCTGGACATACTGCCCCATTTCAGTTTTTCATTTCCTATCCTCTCTAACCACACCTTCTCCATCCCCCAAGTTTCCTATTGTAATTGTGCTGATTCTCTAGGCTAGAAGGCTAAGATGACAATAAAGAGGGAGCAAATATTGCAGGAAAGGCTCCCAATCTCCCAATGTCAAAATATCTGCAGCATTCCCCCTGGAAAAGGCCTTCTTTCCTTGAAGGCCAGATATATCTGTGACATACGACTGCAAGATAATGTGATTGCAGGATTCAGGCCTTATGGTGCTCCAGGACATTTTTAAAAATCATGCAGTCATCAAAAAGCTCCACTCCCAGCTGTGTGGAAAGTGACTCTGCAGCTCTCACTTAATTTTGGTTGCATTACCTCATTCTATACATCATTCATAACAAGCAAGGAACCACAGGGCTCCCTTTGCTGAATCTTCATGTCCTTGACCCAGCTCTAACTAATTTGTCCATTTACTTCATAAATGTGGTAAATCCTGTAGCTAAAAGAAGTTGTGCAGAAGTTTAATGCAGTGGGTTCTCGCCTAGTTGTCACAACAAGCAAAAGAAGCCAAGACAAATAGGAATCCTGACCTACTACCATTTTCTCGTCCTTCCCATGTGATTCACATTGCCATCACTCTGGCAGCTAGGATGGAAAGGTTGAGAAGAGAGGAGATTTTTTAAAATTGTCTTTGGATGGGCTATTTATGTCTTCCAACCTGGTACTTTTCCTTGAACTCAAACAGAGCACCAAGACAGACTGCAGCGTGACTCCTCTACCCCACATAAATGAATACATTTACACTTCATCAGCTGTATTGGGAAGGAACTAGGAGTCTCCATGTGCTTCATGGGCCCATATAGGTTTCTTGCATGTCAAGGCAGAAGCTTAGGAGCACATGGCCTCAGGCCTGAAAGTGAGGCAGTACCCAGTCATTCCCCAGGAGAATCGTTCTGTAAGGATTTTGTCTGGTTTGTTAACACAGCTCTTCTACCAATCTTCATCATCAGGACTTTATAACTCTCTTACAATTAGATAATATGGAAGCAAAGGATTCATTCTGGACCTGCTATAAAAGTAGCAGTATTTGGGGCTGGAGTCTGCAGATATCTTGAACCGAACCAAGAACTCCAGTCTGTCTCAGGATTCAGACACAATTAGATAAAGGAAACTTCTCAGCCAAAGCCTAGACCCATTACAACCTTCTGTACCCTTTACCCCTACAATAAAACACTGTTAGAACTGAGGGGCTAAAAGACGCTGAATCATCAGAGCAAGATTAGATCATGATCACGTACTGTGCCGAGACGAAAAGCTAATGTAGACATTTTAGAAAGGGTTTCAACATCAAGAGTCAAAGCAAAAGGGGTTTTATATTTAACTAGGAATTAAGCAAAAATTCTATTTCCCCAGAATCCCAATAACAAACGTTTTATTTCTGAAGTGTTTGGGCACACTGTACAGTCTTTGCTTGAGAGCTGCCACAGTAGGATAAATAGCAATACACAAAGGCACCAAGATTGACTGGAATTGCTCCAAATTATGCAACAATCTTTGAAAACCAAAAGAAGAGACTAGCAAAAAGATACATATTACTCTGTTTTAAATGGACTATTTTTACATTTGTTTAAGGAAAAGGGAGCCAGAAGAGAAGTTCACTCAACTAGATTATCTCTTGAGTCCTCTTCTCATAGAGGCCAGCTAATCTGGTAAATCAGACTTGCTTTCTGCCTACCCATGGGTCCTGCTGAGCTCTTTAATTCTTATATTATGGAGATTTGAAAACCAATCGTTAAAGAATGTATCAAAGAAAGTCTCAAAGTCAGCTTAAGGTTAATTTCCCTCAAGAAATTCTTGGCTTTTCTTCTTTTGGTGCCTCCCCGTCCCCACTTCTTAATTGCCTCTGTCTTCCTCCAGCCTAACCCCAGCTTGATCTTAGCACGGCTTGCCCCAGGACTGGCAGAACAGACAGGATAGCTCTTTAAGAATATAGAGTTGACTATTAATAGCAGTGACACAGGCCATTGAGAGCCAAGGCAGCCAAGCAAGGAAATCTGTCAGCCTGGATTAGCTTTCCAGCACCTGGGAGGTAGGACTAATTTATAAGTAAAAATAGACAGCAAAAATGTCTGGCCCTTCATAGGCCCCTGATGTCTGAGAAGGCTTGCATGGATCCAAGTCCAAGGGCTTTTTCCAGCTGTCCTCCAAACCTAGCAGCAAACTTTTTTAAAAAACTGGAATTAATAAAAAGAAGGCTTGTTTCAGTCTGAATCAAAATCTATGTCTATATGAACAATGTACCTTTTTCCATGGATTTCTAACCATTTAACCAGATCCCAAATAACCTATAAGAGGAGTCATGTATGCCATAGTATCCTGCAGGATTCACTTATCAAAGTTATTAACGAGTTATTTAGTAGAGTATGGTCGTGCCTTCTTTCTCTCTGGGCCTCCATGCATCCCCCCATGGGAGGGCTATACTTCCTGTACATGAGGTCTAAGCCTCTACTTCCCTAAGCTCTGGTAGAGTTCCTTTGCTCATCACAGAATGGACTGCAAGAATCACATCAAAATCTTTTGAAAGAAGTTTATATTTTAGAGGAGTATTTGAGGTTAATTTACTAAGTCTCTGTTTTTTATAAACCAAAATTCGGGCTGCATGCAGACACTTGCTGCCAAGTTTAGAGGTTAGGTGACCACATATAATTTATTTTGATCAAGTAATGAATTTATAAAATGAAATTATAAAATATTCACATAGGCCCTATTCTTAGGGCCCTATAGATTAGGTCACTTTGTGCTATGACAGTCTCTGTCCCAGAGAAATTTACAGTGCCATTTTACTGAAAATCTTTTTTCAAATATCTCAAGTAATTGGGTACACACACACACACACACACACACACCAGATACCCCTGAGAAGTGGCAGTCCTGTTGTGTAAGCTAACACAATTGGCCAGAGCATTTTCTTATGCTATCCAGTCTTTCAGTTCCCATCTCTTACCTTCTAATTATACTACCTCCTATTATAAATAAGTCTTTTTTTGTAGGGTGTCAGGAACTAGTAGACTCTTGCCAGCCCCATTAGCCATCCATATTTAGATCCTTTAATCTTTCCTCTAATCTGACTCCCTGAGTCCCCCTCCCCTTCGACTACCCCCTCTCCTTGTCCTTCTCCAAATTCCTTAAGATTCTATGCCCCTAACTCAAGCTTTACAAAATCAGAGTGATATTCCAGATGCTTGCTCACTGAGAAACTGAGAGACCAGCTGTCACCTCTGCTTTCTGTTACTCTGTGACTCAGGGTATGGTCCCAAAATAGGTCTGGCCTTTCATGCTGCCTTCTCTCATTGCAGTCTGGCTTCACCTTACCTGTCCACCATCACCCCAGTTCCCCTTTAGCATTCCTGCTTTCCAGGTTTCTCTTCCCCATGAAGTGAACATGTTTCAGTTTATTTCCATTCAAACATGAATATGCCACTGGTCAGCACTCTCAGAAAGAATGTGTCTTACTTTCACCCTGGTTTGGAATTAGCCCAAAAGTCTCCATGAACATTTCTACCAAAGGAGCTCTTATTTATAAGGCCTTCCAATCTGGAAAGAGAAAGCAAGAAAAAAAAATTATGATTTTAGACTCCATTAGTACTTCTAACAATTTTCTGGAGAAAGTAAAATAGCATTCCAGGAGGATCTGCCTCAGAAAAAAATTTGATGGGCTTATGAAGAGTGACTGTGTACCACCCTGGAGCTAAGGAGAGGAAGCTTTTCCCTACTAAAGTAAATTTCCCTGGGCTTACATGGAACGGCACAGTCATGGGCTTCATGGTGCTTTGTTGCTTGGGAACCCTGCTTTCTTCCCTCCTCCTCCCCCAGAATCTGTCCTACTCTCCCTTCTGGGAGCTCAGCTACGGCAGGTGGCAGGAAGGGTGTCCATGGGGACTGAGGAGCCCCACCCTCCTCCAGGAAAGTGCAGGGGCCCACGCTGTGCCCTGGGGAAGTCCAAGAGGCCCTCATCTCAGGAACTCCCAAGCCCACAGCACTAATCCCCACAGCTTCAAGAGGAGAGAACATTCCTATTTTAAGAGCTCCTGGGTAACGTTGTGCTCACTGAGGTCTGAGTCACTGCTCTTCTTTAAAGTTTTTGAAAGAAATCTATTTCTCAGCCATTAGCTTTGCATGTTTTTTTTTTCTGCCTCAAAGATCAATTGGTTTACCACAAAATGTAAAGAGAGTTAGTGAAGCAATGGTAACCAAGGAAGCTATGGTGTCTAGAAGTGCAATAACAGACAAGGGCAGAGCTAAGAGTTAAATAAGATCTAAAAATAAGTCACTAACTATACCCCACTTCCTGTAACATACAATACACAGGTACCTAGGAGAGAAAACCACTCACAGTTCAAAAGAACACATAAAGAACACTGCAATTAAACACAGCCCACCCTGACCCAAGTATCACCATCTCCTTAATTAACAATCTTGTAAGCAATGAGGATATTTCATTGTAAGCTTATTTGTCGTTATGATGCTTGAGAATATAGAACCACCATATCAGCCATTACAGTAATTACAAAAGAAGGTCACATCACAACCACGGCATTTGTTACCCGTTGTATAAACCACTGCAAGGTGAATGTGAGTTTTTCCACAGAGTTTGCCTGCAAGAAAAACCATGTATTTCTTCCTTATCAGCAAGCTACTGTCTAAACAATTTAATGTTTTCACATTACCATCAATAATAAAACAGCTAATGTTTATTGTACCTTTATACAATAATCCATTATTACCTCATTTAATCATTACAACAACCACATGAAGCATCCCCTTTTTACAAACAGGAAAACAGAGGTAAAAAGAGATAGAGTAACTTGACCAAACCAATCCCCGTTAATAAGTGTTGAAGTTTAATTTCAGATTTTCCTAGCTAGTCACCTCAAGAAATTAATCACATTTGATACGGTTGTTTACAATTCAAAATTTGAATGCCATCAGTTCCAACTTTATTTTAATGGCCAACTTTATCTTTCCCCCAGCTAGTTAAGCTGATTTTTCACATATGTAAATGACTTCTATTAAAATTCAGTTTGTACTCTTTTCTCAGACTTCTATATTTAATATCACATTTTGGGTGTGGCTCAGCAAAAAATGAAAGTAACTGGTTCAGAAAATAAACACCCAGTTTCCTCTTCATTCTTTTTCCTTTGAGAAAAAGAGTAGCCGGATCTAAATAGAATGACCCTGGCCCCAAGTTAGAAGTTTCCAATTCCTTGGGACTCCCTTGGTGTCTGCATTAGTTTGCTAGGACTGCCATTAATAAAGTACCACCTACTTGGCGGCTTAAACAACAAAAATTTACTTTCTCACTTCTGGAGGCTTAGAAGTTCGGCAGTGTAGCTTATTTCTGAGGCCTCCTTCCTTGGCTTGTAGATGGTTTTCTTCTCCCTGTGTCTTCACATGGTCTTCCGTCTATATGTGTCTGTCTTAATTTCCTTTTATTTTGAGGACAACAGTCACATTGAATTAGAGCCCACCCACGTGACCTTATTTAATCTTACTTCCCTCTTTAAAGACCCCATCTCCAAATACAGTCACATTCTGGGATACTGGAGGTTAAAACTTCAGCATATAAATTTGGGGAAGCAACAATTTATCCTATAGCACTATCCTAACAATTTTCTTTTACAAGGTTGTCTATGTAGCACAATATAAATGTCTTTGACCCTGACAACCAGGAGGTTAAATCACTGCTTTTTCTAAATGCTTTTGTATTACCTCCCTGTGATGATACACACAAGTTTTTCTATGATCAAACCAAGTTTTTATTCAAATACTGTTATCAGCAATACCGACCATATTATAGTTTTCACCTTAAAAGATACCGTTAATTTCATTTGTAAAGAAAATGCATTAAAGATGTATTTACCAATTATGAATTACCAATTGCCAATTAATAAAAATAAATTCTAGATTTGAAAAAATTTGAGGTCATTAACATCTTAAATTGCTATTATTATACACATGGCACTTAAAACTGTATCACCTCTCGTCAAGATAGTGCCCAGAATAACTTACCCTGGGCCTCAGCATATGTCTCAATTCCTGGTCATCCCACATGAAGATTCAGAATGACCTGATAAGAGGTGATTCAGATGTGTATGTTACATCAGTGTAGAAGCTACCACTTATGGGTACCTCCTGCTTTCACATGCTGTGCTACATGTGTTATGTACATTAAATCATTTATCTTCAAAATCTCTGTGGGAGAAATATTATTGTGTCTGCTTTACCAGTGAGTAAACAACATTAGAGAGATTAAGGAAATTGGCCAAGGTCACACAGTTGGTCAAGACAGGTCTTAGATGTGAGCCTAGTCCCATCTGACTGCAGAATTTTTTTTTTTTTAACCACCACATGTTTCTTCTTTGACTTCTTAAGAGATATAGCGGTGGAGTCTATGTGGCTCAGTGACTCAGTGATGCAGAACTTTTCCTAGGCCATAAAAATATCTAATCTAGTTTCACCAACTGTTAGTTTGGATAAATAAACTGACAACAGTATCTTTGTTTCTATGTTTTAGCTGAAAAACAAATCATGAGGTATTCACCATCAGAAATAAAATCTACATCTGTCTTTGGGAGATGATGAATAAGGTTACGTAAAACAATGGATGCATCTATTTTTCTAGAAAAGGTTAATTATATTGAGCAAAGCCAATTAGTAATCACAAGCTGCTATGTGGCATCTCTGGGACTGTGGTATTGCATTCCTACAAAACACTTATTTCATTGTTCAATTTTATCTGTTTTGTGTCCCGGCTTCCTAGTCAAAATGTGTTGAAGGCAGGCAGGAGCCTTTCTTCTTTCTATTATCTTGCGATGCTGAGCACTGTGCCTTGCACAGAGCAAGTGCTCATTAACCTTTCATTATCCGTTTTGAAGTCTCTACCAAGTGACCATCAAGAGAAGCACCTGAAGGCTTGGTGATAAGCCTCAGTCACACGACAAGGTGTGTAAGAAATCCCTAAAACCACTCCCCAAACCTTTTATTCATAAACGCAAAATGTCTGAGGGATGGCTGATGGTGCCGGGGAGGAGTGCTTTTGTAGTAATTGTGCAATTCTATTTATTTAGATAAAGTAGGACATGTCCGAAATCTTAACAGGTCTTAACTGGGGACCCTGAAGGCAGTTTCAAATAAAGCAGGATTCTGTATGGGGTGCTCATTAATGCACCTGAGCGATCCCAATTGAGGAGTGAGTCGGGCCAACCTACCAGCAGAACTCAGAGTGCCTTCCTCCTTCCTCCTGTTGGTCATGTGTCTTCTTTCTTAGCAGGACCTCTTCATCTTGACCAAAAAGTAGCTTATTGAAGTTATACAAACAGGCAAAAAAGCAGAGTAGTTATTTCTAGAGCTTTACTCTAAGAACTACATAACTAGCCACATTATACTTCTTTACCTAGCAGTAAAAATTAACAATAACTCAAAGAAACATATAAGTACACTGAATACTTAACACTGAGCCGCAAGGGCCCTTGGCAACTGTCATGGAAACCCTGATGCCAGAGATAAAGAGGGCTGTCTCAAAGGAAAGCATTGTCCTCAAAAGACGAACTAACTGTGAGAACATGATTGGATGGATACCAGTAGATCTCGTCCGCAGGAAAAAAGGCATTCTCAGGAAGCCTGCCGCAATGAACAGAACCTTTCTTTAGTCTGGCATTTCCTTTCGGTTCAGGACACCTGTCTTCAAGTCTGCCTTAGGCCCTTATATTTGTCCCAGAGTGACTCTGGGCACCTCTTCTAGAGCTTTCTATACCTCAAAGAACTAAGAAAACTATAAAATTATTCAGCCTATGACAGCAGGCTTTGAGAATGGCTAACTGATAGAGATGAGCTTATGGATTTACTGATCCTTTAAGGAGGCAGGGATATTTTCATATCCCTGGAATTTGAGGCAATATGAAGCCAACTAAGCTCCAGGGATTGAGGTGGCTCCCCTTAAGATTTTCAGTAGCTTGGGATCTCTCAAGACTGGTATGAAGCTCCTACTCCTCTGCCTAGGGAGGCTTTAGCTGCATCACAGCCTCAGGTAGGTTAGAAATGGATTGGCATCTAGCAGCTGGGGTGGAGTTGGAGGGCAGTTAGCTACTATACCCCACCAAATAGATCTCTCGCTAAAACTCTAAATCTGAGTTACCCTTCCTCAGAAGACACAGATGTGCATAAGACACTGATTTAGATTAGGGAAGGAGGCCATGAGTTTGGATAAGCAAAACAAGCACAAATAGGAAGAAAATGAAATCAGAGGTGCAAAGTATGATAGAAGAAAAAACCTGGACTACCCAAGCCACCACCAGTAATGCTTGTGAATACATTATCTTGGTGTGGACTCATTATACAGCCTAGTACCAAGCATTCCTCCTGAACGATTCTAATAATTGGAAGAGGACAGTAGGGCCCCAGAAGTGAGTCATATCAAAGCCATCACTACACAGCTAACCCACCCCTTTCATCAAGCAGAAATGATTCCATATTAGCCACAGCTTCCATGATCTCATTAGCAAAGATATTAAAAATCTGCTTTTCCTCTAGGAGGAAAGATTGAAGCACTGCCACAAATTATTTCACCCAGAATATTTTGGCTTGATTGGATGAATGGGGATGGGGAAAAATTCTTTCTCTCCATGGCAGTTTTCCTTAATCCTTTTGGGAGGGTACTTATGTGATGGAAAATGAGATACCTCCCGATGTGTGTGAGTCCAGGGAAAGGCCTAAACTTAGACTTGGGACACATTCATTGCAAGTAAGCAGCTTGGGCAAAAGGCAATTACGGGCTTACACAGACTAAAAGTTCACGGGTCGATCTGGTTTAGTGCATAAATGAACTCAGGACTCAAATAATATGATTAGGACATGACTTTTTTCCCTTCAATTAGTCCTGCCTTCCTTGTCTCAATTCCCATATGGCTGCATGATGGCATTGGCACCACGGACCTCTCAGCCTCTCAGGGTACAGACCCTGTACACAAGAAACAAGAGTGCTATTCACAGTAAAATTCTCAGAGCAGACCAGGGCCATGCGCGGTGGCTCATGCCTGTAATCCCAGCACTTTGGGAGGCCAAGGTGGGCAGATCACCTGAGGTCAGGAGTTTAAGACCAGCCTGGCAAACATGGCAAAACCTCGTCTCTACTAAAAAATACAAAAATTAGCCAGGGGTGGTGGTGGGTGCCTGTAATCCCAGCTGCTTGGGAGGCTGAGGCAGGAGAATTGCCTGAAACCGGGAGGTGGAGGTTGCAGTGAGCTGAGATCGCACCACTGCACTCCAGTCTGGGCCACACAGTGAGACTCCGTCTCAAAAAAAAAAAAGTCTCAGAGCATTTGATTGGGTCACGTGTTCACCTCCAAACCCAGACTGCAGCCTGGGTCATATGGCATCAGGGAATGGAATCAGGTATACCCCAAAGACACATGAACTGAGTTAGAAAAGAGGACATCAGGCTATAGTAATCATAAAAAGAAAGTGGTGCTGAGAAGAATGTATAATCTGTTGATTTGGGGTGGAGAGTTGTGTAGATGTCTATTAGGTCCCCTTGGTCCAGCTGAGTTCAAGTCCTAAATATCCTTGTTAATTTTCTGTCTCGCTGATCTGTCTAATATTGACAGTGGGTTGTTAAAGTCTCCCACTACTATTGTGTGGGAGTCTAAGTCTCTTTGTAGGTCTCTAAGAATTTGCTTTATGAATCTGGGTGCTCCTGTATTAGGTGTGTATATATTTTGGATAGTTAGCTCTTCTTGTTGCATTGATCCCTTTACCATTATGTAATGCCCTTCTTTGTCTTTTTTGATCTTTGTTGGTTTAAAGTCTGTTTTATCAGAGACTAGGATTGCAACCCCTGCTTTTTTTTTTTTTTTTTTTTTTGCTTTCCATTTGCTTGATAAATCTTCCTCCATCCCTTTATTTTGAGCCTATATGTGTCTTTGCACATGAGATGGATCTCCTGAATACAGCACAGAGATGGGTCTTGACTCTTTAACCAATTTGCCAGTCTGTGTCTTTTAATTGAGGCATTTAGCCCATTTACATTTAAGGTTAATATTGTTATGTGTGAATTTGATCCTGTCATTATGATGCTAGCTGGTTATTTTGCCTGTTAGTTGATGCCGTTTCTTCATAATGTCAACGGTCTTCACAATTTGGTATGTTTTTGCAATGGCTGGTACTGGTTTTTCCTTTCCATATTTAGTGCTTCCTTCAGGAGCTCTTGTAAGGCAGGCCTGATGGTGACAAAATCTCTCAGCATTTGCTCGTCTGTAAAGGATTTTATTTCTCCTTCGCTTATGCAGCTTTATTTGGCTGGATATGAAACTCTCGGTTAAAAATTCTTTTCTTTAAGAATGTTGAATATTAGCCCCCACTTTTCCGGCTTGTAAGATTTCTGCAGAGAGATCCACTGTTAGTCTGATGGACCTCCCTTTGTGGGTAAGTCCAACCTTTCTCTCTGGAAGGACCTCTTCAAGGAGAACTACAAACCACTGCTCAAGGAAATAAGAGAGGACACAAACAAATGGAAAAACATTCCATGCTCGTGGATAGGAAGAATCAATATCACGAAAATGGTCATACTGCCCAAAGTAATTTATAGATAGAGTGCTATCCCCATCAAGCTACCATTGACTTTCTTCACAGAATTAGGAAAACCTACTTTATATTTCATATGGAACGAAAAAAGAGCCCATATAGTCAAGACAATCCTAAGCAAAAAGAACAAAGCTGGAGGCCAGGCGCGGTGGCTCACACCTGTAATCCCAGCACTTTGGGAGGCCAAGGCGGGCGGATCACAAGGTCAGGAGATCGAGACCATCCTGGCTAACATGGTGAAACCCCGTCTCTACTAAAAATACAAAAAATTAGCTGGGTGTGCTGGCAGGCATCTGTAGTTCCAGCTACTCGGGAGGCTGAGGCAGGAGAATGGTGTGAACCCAGGAGGCGGAGCTTGCAGTGAGCCGAGATCACACCACTGCACTCCACCTGGGTGACAGAGCGAGACTCTGTCTCAAAAAAAAAAAAAAAAGAACAAAGCTGGAGGCATCACGCTACCTGACTTCAAACTATACTACAAGGCTATAGTAACTAAAACAGCATAGTACTGGTACCAAAACAGAGATATAGACCAATGGAACAGAACACAGGCATCAGGAATAATGCCACACATCTACAATCATCTAATCTTCGACCTGACAAAAACAAGCAATGGGGAAAGGATTTCCTATTTAATACACTCAAGATGGATTAAAGACTTAAACATAAGACCTAAAACCATAAAAACCATAGAAGAAAATCTAGGCAATACCATTCAGGACATAGGCATGGGCAAAGACTTCATGACTAAAACACAAAAAGCAAGGGAAACAAAAGCCAAAATTGACAAATGGGATCTAATAAAACTAAAGAGCTTCTCCACAGTGAAAGAAACTATCATCAGAGTGAATAGGCAACATGTAGAATGGAAGAAAATTTTTGCAATTTGTTCCATCTGACAAAGGGCTAATATCCAGAATCTACAAGGAACTTAAACAAATTTACAAGAAAAAAACAAACAACCCCATGAAAAGGTGGGCAAAGGATATGAACAGACACTTCTCAAAAAGAAGACATTTATGCAGCCAACAAACATGAAAAAAAGCTCATCATCACTGGTCATTAGAGAAATGCAAATCAAAACCACAATGAGATACCATCTCACGCCAGTTAGAATGGTGGTCATTAAAAAGTCAGGAAACAAGAGATGCTGGAGAGGATATGGAGAAGTAAGAACACTTTTACACTGTTGGTGGGAGTATAAATTAGTTCAACCATTGTGGAAGACACTGTGGCGATTCCTCAAGGATCTAGAACCAGAAATACCATTTGACCCAGCAATCCCATTACTGGGTATATTCCCAAAGGATTATAAATCATTCTACTATAAAGACACATGCACACATACGTTTATTGCAGCACTGTTCACAATAACAAAGATTTGAAACCAACCCAAATGCCCATCAATGATAGACTGGATAAAGAAAATGTGGCACATACACACCATGGAATACCATGCAGCCATAAAAAAGGATGAGTTCATGTCCTTCGCAGGGACATGGATAAAGTTGGAAAACATCATTCTCAGCAAACACTGGAACAGAAAACCAAACGTTGCATGTTCTCACTCATAAGTGAGAGTTGAACAATGAGAACACATGGACACAGGGAGGGGAACATCACACACCAGGGCCTATTGCGGGGTGGGGACTAGGGGAAGGGTATCATTAGGAGAAATACCTAATGTAGATGACAGGTTGATGGGTGCAGCAAACCACCATGGCACGTGTATACCTATGTAACAAACCTGCACATTCTGCACGTGTACCCCAGAACTTAAAGTATAAAAAAAGAAAGTGAATACTGAGTGCCAGAAACAACAAATGCCCACTATAATCAGTGAGTAGCCTTGCAGCTGGTATTGCAGAAACCTTTTGTCTTAGCTTAGGTTTTTTCCTAGAAAATAGGACCTGAGATCAAGGCTTGCTTGTCAGTCATTTATTTATGGAAATGAACCAGGTAATGGCTGAGAACTGGAAAGAATGAAACAAGAAAGAAGGGAAAATCAAAACAAGGTATACTGTGAAGGTATATAAAAGAAAGAATCAAAAAGGGAGCATTTATTGACCAGCTGTCACCATGTGTTAGTCAAAGATTGCCCATGGATGTTAGTTCTCACTTCTAGACTTATGCATGCATGAGAATGAACTAGAGGATTCCCCCGGGTGTCCCACACTGCAAAGTCAGAAAATCCTGGAGACAGAAAGCAGGAGATAAATGGTGTATCAGATTTCCATGGCAATAACCAGGGTAAAAGGTAAGGTAAGAGGATGTGAGGTGGGCATAAGAACTGTCCCATGTACTTTTTCTCTTGAATACTTAAATTGTTTTTGTTTTGTTTTGTTTATTGTTTCTGGTAAATTTTTAACAAAGAATAACTGTAAAGAGAGAACACTGCAGGATTGGATTTGGAATTAGATGAGGAACAGTATGAAAAGACTTGGGCTTGAGTCCTTACTCAGCCTCCAGCAGTGTCATTTAGTCATTTAGTCAATTAATCTCTCAACAGTAGAACACAGATGCAAAAATTGCCTACATTATATGATTGTTAGGAGTATTATTAGTAGGTAAAGTCATACTGTCACCTTATTAAAAATATTATTTTCATTTCTATCATTCTTAATAACAAAGAAATCTCCATAAATTTTAAATTGTGCATGCAAACTCAACAGACTTTTATTTTATTTTATTTTTATTTTTGTTTTTGAGACAGAGTCTTGCTCTGTCGCCCAGGCTGGAGTGCAGCAGCGCAATCTCGGCTCACTGCCAGCTCCGCCTCCCGGGTTCACGCCATTCTCCTGCCTCAGCCTCCCGAATAGCTGGGACCACAGGTGCCCACCAACAGACTTTTATAAGTGGCCTTTCTAACCACTTCCACTTCCCCTCAGTTTATGAAGTTTGCAATTCATGGTGTTTAAAACAACATCCAGCTTATTGCGGAACCAAATGGTGTACATACCACACCAACAGAAAATAAAAGCTGCCAAATGTCATTGAAATTGCTGCAGGACACATCATCAAAATTTCCCCCAAATTCTAATCTTATGAAGAAAATGTATCACCCATCATCTTTTAAAACCCACTTAATCTAACACAAGGGAGGGGTTATTTTATACCCCACCATGTGCTAAGGCAGTTTCCAGGAATTTAGAAAAAATATATACAATACATTTGTTATCATTGACAGCAGCTCGATGTCCAAGAAATTACTTTCTACATTTTATGAGAAATACTCTGGTAAAAAAAAAATGCTGAGCTCAAACAAAATTCCAGATTATTGGCATCACACTACACTGTAGATATAGCCAGGGCATCTAGCCACGCAGTCCACCCTTCGGTCCCTGAGACAACAGTTCCAGCCCCAAGCCTCTATTGTAGTCCCGCATGGTTTGGTCTCCCTGAATCTCCTCCAAGTCTTCTCTCTATGAGCTCATGGAAGCCCAGGGACTGAGTATTATTAAATCAGTCGTGCTGTCCTTTGACTGTGGAAGGGTCTAGCTTCTTAGGAACCAAATGTAGGAAGCCTCTTCTGTCTCTTTAATTTTCTCCTTCTATCTGGCTTTAATCCTAATGTGATTCAAATGTTTTCAGCAGAAAACCAAACCATCCCTGGCTGAGGGTGGGCAGAGATGGCTCCTACCAGACTCCTGTGAGAGAAACACATAAATGCTCAATTCTCCTTTAGTTCCCAAATGACCTCAACCTCTACATCAAATTACAGCATTCAAGACAGCTAGCGCCAATTGCCCAAAAGCAACTTGATTACAAATCAATATCTGCAGGTGTTTAGGAAACATCTAAAATTCCTCTTTGCGCTATCCTCATGCATCCCAAAAAGGTAAATTTCACATTTCATGGATTTCACACAGCCTGTATTTTAAGTCAGACCATCTAAATTTACTCTTCAAAAATGCGATGAGGAAGGGCGCGGTGGCTCACGCCTGCAATCCCAGCACTTTGGGAGGCCGAGGCTGGCGGATCACGAGGTCAGAAGATCGAGACCATCCTGGCGAACACAGTGAAACCCCGTCTCTACTAAAAATACAAAAAATTAGCCAGGCATGGTGGCGGGCGCCTGTAGTCCCAGCTACTCGGGAGGCTGAGGCAGGAGAATGGCGTGAACCCAGGAAGCGGAGCTTGCACTGAGCCGAGATCGCACCACCGCACTCCAGGCTGGGCCACAGAGCGAGACTCCGTCTCAAAAAACAAAAAAAAGAAAAAAAATGCGATGAAAATCCATCCAGCCATTCCTCCATCGTGTACTAGTAGGCAAACAATTTTTTTTATAGATGGGAAAGAAACCAACAGGTAGGTCATACCTGTAAGAATTTCTCAGTTCCAATTTTAGGAAAAGAGAAATGAGAGGGATGATAAAAGTTTGGGCAAAAGCATAATTGAAGTATTAAGATAAGGAGCAAACTCTAATGCATGGAGGAGGAGGAAGGTGACTCTCAGACAAGTCGCATACGTGAGGACGGGGGCACTAGAGAGCACATGTCTTTAGAATGAAAGCAGCAGCCGCTCCATTCCTGCGGCTTCTGGCCACATGCGTAAACTAACCCAGTGTTGCCAGGTCTGTCTCTACAGTCTCAAGCATGTTTAATTCTGAATCTGGTAGTTCAAATTCTTGAGAAAAAAAAATATATCACCGATCAGCTCAGCCTATGTACTTGTTCTCATGGGGGCAGATGTCTACTCCTATTCCAATTAGTTTTGGCTAGGGGACCTGAGACAGGTCACACAGTCTACCGCCTACATTGGAGGAACTTGGGAATGGGGAGTTGATTTATGAGAAAGGGACTGTGGGAGAAACTGGTACAGCAAAGCCTCCCTTTATAGACCTAAAGGGCAAACGTAGACTTATGATAGCCATGTAGTGATTTCTACTGGGGAAGAGATTCTTTCCCACAATTCCCCAGTGCACAAACAGGTACTATATTTGCCTCTCTGATCCTGTGTTGCTTATTTGAGCCAAGGTGGGTGTATTAGGCCATTCTCACATTGCTATAAAGAAATACCTAGGTAGGGCATGGTAGCTCACATCTGTAATCTCAACACTTTGGGAGGCCAAGGTAGGTGGATCTCTTGAGCTCAGGAGTTTGAGACCAGCCTGGGCAACACGGCAAAATCTCCTCTCAAAAAAAATATAAATAAATAAATAAATAATAGTTGGGCATAGTGGCTCATGCCTGTGGTCCCAGCTACTCAGGAGGCTAAGGTGGGAGGATTACCTAAGCTTGGGAGACAGAGGTTACAGCGAGCTGAGATCACACCACTGCGCTCCAGCCTGAGCAACAGAGCAAGACTCTGTCTCAAAGAGAGAGATGAGAAAGATAGAAAAAAAGAAAGAAAGAGAGACCTGAGACTTGGTAATTTATTAAGAAAAGAGGTTTAATTGGCTCATGATTCTGCAGGCTTTACAGGAAGCATGGTGCAAACATCTGCTCAGCTTCTGGGGAGGCCTCAGGAAACTTACAATCATGGCAAATGCAAAGAGGAAGCAGGCATGTTACATGGCCAGAGCAGGAGGAAGAGAAAGAGTGGGTGGGAGGGGGTGCCACACACTTTTAAATGACCAGATATCAAGAGAATTCACTCACTATAGCGAGGACAGCAAGAAGGGGTTTGTGCTAAATCATTCATGAGAAATCCACCTCCATGATCCAATCACCTCCCACCAGGCCCCACCTCCACTGGGGGTTTCATTTCAACAAGAGATTTTCATGGGGTCTAATATCCAAACTGCATCAGTGGGGATGGGGTGTAAATAGCAAGTCTTCACTCCTTGTTTCTCTACACTGTTATTAAAGGCTGAGTATATTTGGCCAAGGAGGAAGCTGCCTCAGAAGTATGATTGAAGATGGCTCCAAATATGCCTGTCACTGAAACACTATTGCCACCTTCAGAATATGACATTTGCATCAGGAGTAATGTATTCTTTGAAATATGGCAGCATATATTTAGGAGTGTCTTGCTGTAAAGAGAAAAATCTCCAAGAAAATAATCTCCAAGAAGCTATGAATGCCTAACCTACTGCAGCTTGGAAAGCTGAGGTGGGTAAATTTCGATCTAGAGAAGGATGGAGAAACCTTTGGTGGTGTGCCTCCCAAGACAGTATAATCAGGATCTCACTTCACAGACAAGAAATTGAAGCCCAGAGGGGTTTAGAGTCTGGTGTCTTCAAATAGAATATGAGCCTTACATCCAGTCAGGGCTTTTCAAATATTTGTAGCAGGCTCTGGGTTTGAGGGGGAAGAAACAGAGAGAATATGACACAACTCTAAAAGCTACATTTTTCTATAGTAGACTCCAAACTAAAGACATTTATCACTTGTCAAAAGTAGACAGTGTCTTGAAATACAATGATTGAAGGGCAAATGCTCTCTGACTTGACAAGAGTCTGTTTATAATTACAGCATTAGGATAGACACACTTTAATTAAAAATCATGAAAAGGACCTTAGCTGTACTGTGAAGCCTCCATTAAAATCCTGGCAGAGGAGCCGCTTTCTGGCCAAGCTTCTATTTTCAGATACCTGCCCTTTATTAAAGGATTTCCTTTAGTCTAAAATTTCTTAGATTTATGCTTTGACTGTTGATGACTTTTTGGCAATATCCAAAAAAGAAGAAACCAAAAAAGTACATCCCTCAAACCTGAACAGATAACATCATTCTATCCCTAGTCCAAGCAGCTGTGGTTGAGGGGCAGAGTAGTAGAGTCCCAGGACTACTGTCCACCTTGCAGGAACTTGGGGAGGGGGTATTATAAGTGGCCCTACAGGCCATTCAGCCCAGCTCTCTAATTTTATACACATGAGGCTCAGGGAGGACAAGTGACTGTCCAGGGCCACCATCCAGTGGTGGGAGACCTGGAACACACCAGTATCCAGTCTAGATGATCACTTTCGGAAGCTGAGCTGCTCAGTCAACTGAAAGAGATGGAATTCTGAAATTTCAAATACCATCACCTATTACTTCCCAGGCTGCACTCCCCAAAGCACCAATCCTGTAGATACTTGGTTTAATAAATAGAAAATAGAGGAAGGAAGGAAAGAAGGCCATCCAGGGCCAACAAACCTGGGACATGTTACATACCATATTTCCTTCTTGAAGATTCACATCACACACTAGGAAACCTGAGAAAGAAGCCCAGCAGAAAAGAAATCTGTTTAACTCAAAACTCTTTTTCCAAGTGACATCTATTAACATCCTGCAGACCTGATGTTCTAGGAAACATACACTGGGACATGCTGGCTTAGTGAGAAGACAAATGAATTTCAAAATAATTGGGCTGGAAAGTAAAGAAATTGAACCAGTCTGGCTCATGTCAAGCAAGAGTTCAGAAATGCTACCATGTCATCTTTATTTTCTTCCCCTGGGTCTTTTTATCCTGGCAACTTGGAAAGAAATGGAGGATAAGGGTGTCCCTGAATAGCAAAGATAAAGAGAATTAACTTTTTAGTTTTCCATTAAAGGTATGTGTAAAAAAGTACACACAGAGACCCTGCCTCTGCCACTCTTCTCCATGGGTATTTAAATTCCTACCAGAAATGTAATGCTTAGAATAGTATTCCTACCTATTTATAACTTCTATATGGTGAACTACCATGACTGTTCCCCCTCAAAGCTGGTAAAGTTACATTTCTACCTCAGAAACTGTGAGGAAATCAAATATGGCCTTTAAATAAACTAATTTGAAAGGTTTGAAAAAATATTAAGAGACTTTAAAAAAGGAATAGGGGACTTGAATATCCCAAAGTGTGAAAATGCCACATTTTTATACTCAAATGATTCAAAATAGATGAACAGAACGCTTCCCAACTTTCCAAAAATATGCACCTTCAGGCAATAAAAAAAATCAATCTAAAGGGTCATTTATTTCCAGAGCCTAAAAGCCCAATTTAGCACTCCAATGAGCCCCCACAGCTGACTGGATATGGGAGACAGGGCTGAAGGAAGGTCATTCACACTCCTCCCTAACTCCTTAATGATATGTTTAGCTGGGCTAATTTTAGACCTGTCGGAAGCTTTTGATTCAGTTAACCATAAGGTGTTGGTAACAAGACTGTGGTCAACAGCAGGCATGGGCTGCACTCTCTTGAAGTCAGTGGGTGAGTTCATTCCTGGAAGGAGGGTGCCAGTAGGTAGTCACAGAGAACTGCTCGTGATCCACATATATCTCCTGGGAGGTCTTTTCTCCCTGCCCTATTTACTCAGCATGGGCAGAAGACTCTGGGACCCATCTGTGGAAGCAACGTATTCTTGATGGCACCCATCTCATTATCATCTTTTCTACTGATCGATTCAAAACTATCTTATCCTTTGACTTGGCTCATAGTTATTTTGGTTTAGGCAGGAAGTAGTAGGCTTCAAGTCAACCTGAATAGGCTAAGTTTGTGATCTTCCGTCAGAGGAAATGCTTTAAGGATGTCAGAGGTGGAGTTGCATCATAGCTATTCAGGGATGGAGGCTCACTAACGCGTCTTTTAACAGGAGCTTCAGCATGGACAAGAAAAGCCTTTTTTTTTTTTTTTCTTGAATTCAGAGATGCCTGTACCTACATCAACTTCCAGAAAAGGCTACCCCTCCAGTTGCTATGTTTCACCTGGTAATAGCCACCCTTTTCTCTACTTTGCTAGATTTTACAGGGGAGTTTTATTACCCTAATTTCTTTAGCCTTGTTACTTTTTGTACCAATCAATTCATATCCTTTCTACTGTCTCAAGGTTTACTATGAATGGATTTTATTTGGTGCTGTGCAATTTTGTTCTACATATGCTCTGTAAAGGTATCTGTAGCAAAGAAAATGTCAATGTTCTACTCAAAAATTCACCAGCCCAATGAGGGAAAAATGCTTTTAGTACTGTCTCTTACAAGATTTCAACAGATTCTTATGCTATAAGGAAAAGTAGGGTTAATCTATCATCACCCTTTCATTTTATAAAATGAGAAAGCAAGACTTAAATTTCTTTAACTCACATTCAGGAGAACAAAAAAAAATTTCATTGAGCAAGAAATCTAATACTATCTTTCCAAATTCTATCAATCACTCATGGTCCTCACTATAGGTCAAAAAGTGTGGAGAACAAGAGGAAGGCAAGGGGGTTGGGAAAGAAACACAAAAAGGATAAAAAAAAATATGGTTAGACAAAGCCAATTAGAAAGTGGTTTCCTGTCATCCTTTATAATCATCCTTTTCTTTCCAACTATATATTGTGTTATTTTTGGCCTCCTCAGATAAACCAGATATCCTTAGTCATCCATATCCAAGGGGCAGAAGGAGGCAGAGATAGGAACATCTAAATGAGCCCCATTTTCCAGCTTTGGGACTATAGATGCTTCCATGGTTAATATTGCAACTGAGGATTTTAATGCTCATTTCATTGATTTGACAATCATCCACTGAACATCTGCCATGTGCTAAGAACTATGCTGCACACTCTAAGGGACATAAATATAAAGGAGACATAGTCTTGCCTCTAGAAATGTACCATTTAATTAGGGAGAAGAAAAATATGCCTCCTGGTTGCAAAATTCTAAGACTGTGACATTGCACATCAACAACTGTGCCATAGGGAGGAGTCAGCTAGGTGCCTAAAGACAAGCTCAGCCTGAGTATTGTGGGGTCCAGAGAGGGAGTCTGTCACTTCCAGTTGGAAGGATACAAGAAATGCTTATCAAAGAGGTGGCTTCTTGAGCGGGGACTTGAAGGATGGAAAGGACTTAAACACAGTAAGAGGTCACTGAAGACTGAGCTTTCTGGGAAAGGAAATTGACAAAAAGGCATAAAAATCAAAGGCCTGCTTAGGAACTAGCAAGTGGACCTGTTTGGCTAATATGTGGAATAGATAAACGAAGGGAGACACAGTTGGAAGCATGTTTTAGAAGCCAAGTTGCAGAGTATCAAGAAGAAGCCAGAAAGCTTGTGGTAAATTCTTTAAGTGACGGGCAGCCACTGACCATTCTTCAGAGGGCCTGTCTTTAGGCAGATTCATTGGGCCTCAATGAATTAGAGACCACAGATGAGAGACACTAGAGGAAGGAATCTGCTTATGATCATCAAAGTGAGAGATAAAGAGCACTCCAGCAAGAATGGAGAGGAGGCAGAATCACCAGGCACCACTGATAGAGGAAGAGCAGGAATAATTTGGTGTGAAGCCTGGAGGAGCAGTTCCTAGGGTGTTTGTGATGAAAATAAAATTCCACCGTGTCAAGCAGACACTTGAAAGTGTGAGATTTTGAACTTACCAATATTGATTGATGAATGATTTTGTTACAGGTTAAGGATGTTTCATTTGCTATGAGTTTTTTAACTGTATTGTCTCTTCCATATGTTTTCAGAGGGTAGAATGATAGAATAAGCAAATAGACATTAGATATCACAGATATGTCATACTGAAAAGAGCACAGGAGGTCTCAATCTTTTCTGTTGTGTACTCGTTTTGCACGTAATCATACAGTGGTGGGCCCATAGCTGTTGAATATAAAATATATTACAAACTGCCCAAATCAATTATTCTGCTATAGCATATTCTTCCTGTCAAATATATGCTCCTGTCTGCATTCATTTTTATTTATTTATTTATTTTGTAGAGATGGGATCTCATTATGTTGCCCAGGCTGGACTCAAATTCCTGGGCTCAAGTGATCCTCTTGCCTCAGCCTCCTGAGTATATGGGACTACAGGCATGCACCACTGCACCCAGTTCCCCATCCCTTTTTATATCAGCGATTTTGTTTAAAACTGACATTATTGAATTAGCAAGAACCTATCCATGAATGGTCCCTATTAATAAAGAATTCAATCTTCACGTGTCTCTAACATCTATTCACTGAGCAGCCTCAATCACCTAGTCAGATGCTAAAGAATTTGGAAACAAAAAGCAATAGCCCTTTCATCTTATTTAGCTGTGAATGCAGACACATTGTTGACCATCTTCCTCAGGTAGTCTTCTCTGATAAACTAGAAGCAACCTGACTCCATGTCATTCTCACTGAGCTCTCTATTTGATTTATACTTTATTTCTTTGTGCACTTGTTCTCTGCCTCTTTCTCCCTCACCTCCTCCTCTAATATTTAGCAAACATTTAGTGAGTACTTGGTATATACCAAACAGGGGCCCAGTGACACAATACAAAGATAAAAGGCAACAATCCTTTGCTTTGTGCAAATATTAATGTGATGAATTCATTTGCCCCATGGAATACCTGGCTTAAA
The DNA here is from genome assembly GCF_000001405.40 of Homo sapiens. Classification (NCBI taxonomy): domain Eukaryota; kingdom Metazoa; phylum Chordata; class Mammalia; order Primates; family Hominidae; genus Homo; species Homo sapiens. Next base: position 68,729,287 of record NC_000005.10, read on the forward strand.
GACAGAGATCATCTCTACCTAAACCTTGTGGCATCTGAACGCTAGTGCTCCAAGGTGGTTATGCTGAGAATGCCAGTGCCAGGTGGGCCAAGTACTAGGTGTGCAAGCATGACAAGTTATTTAAACCTTCTGAGCCTCAGTTTTCCTCTTCTGTGAAATGGAAAGGATCATACTAGTACCTATCTCAGAGGGTTCTGGTAAAAATTAAATAAGACAATACAAAGACCTTAGGATAACACCTGCTATACACTAAAAAACACTAGCTAAAAATTATCATCATCATTAATAGTATTAATATTTGACCCATGATCAGGCTGCAAATGACCACCAGTGGCTCTGATAGTGACCGTCCTTTTAGCAGGTAAGAATAAAAGACTGGCTGGCATTTCATAGAAAGATCTAGAAAGCAATGCCGTTTCAGTTTGCATGTCATAGAAGCAACTCCTCTTCAGCCTATATGTCATGTTTTCTGTTTTATTTCTCTCGTTTTCTTATACCAGCAAATTGTCATCTGCTCCCGATGTTTATCCCCTATTTAAAGACACAGTAGCAGTTTGTGAAGCCAGCAGTTCTCTGCCAATGCTGTCACACACACTCCTGTTCCCCCCAGGTCTGTGGCTCTGAAGGCCTGATCTTCAACAAGCAGTGACACAAAACCACTACTGTTCCATCCAGAGGGAGTTGCTGCTGTGCAGCGCATGTTACAGGATCAAGCCCCAAGTGAGGAACATAAGAGAAATCATAGAAGGCAAGTAAAATAGAAATGTGTTCCTCATGCAAACACTCCAAGCAATTAAAAATAAAATGAAGGAAAGCATGAACTAAAATAGAAAACTGTAGTGATGGAACACTTTTGAAATCAAAGATCGTGCTTCTTTCCTTACTCTCTGGAACTCTAAATCATTACTTAGGTGAATTTATGTCTGTTTTCAACATTTCTGTTAAACACGACAAAGAGCTGGACCCTAGTTGCTGGTTGCCAGGCAGGCTACACCCCAGAAGGTCAGAATGCATAATTAATCCACGGGAGGCTGCAGGAGATTTGTTATCTGGGAGCCTTTAGGTTCCCCATGCACAGACTTCTGCATGCCAGAGCAGGTTGCACCTAATAAAGTTTTCAAGGTGATTCTGACTTTCTTCACCACTCCTCACCCCCAGCTTCCTCCTAGGCATTTCCAGCCTACTTATCCCAATATTTCAGGAAAGGCACGATCTCCTTCAAACACCACACCCTCTCCTCAAACATTATCTGCAGAAACAAATTTGAAATTACATTATAAATTACATCACCACTTTGTGCAGATTACAGACCCAGACAACAATTTCCCACATGGGCCAAGGTGATCCAGGGAGCCTGGAGTACCAGTCTGTCCAAATTGGAAGGGGGCAAGACCTCTTGGTGAGCAGATGCTCTGCCCAGCAGATCTAGGAATTCTGTTTCATTTTTAATTTTTTTGCCTTTAAAAATGCAGATAGGAATATCAGACCTAGAAGTTTTCTGTGCTGCACAATTTATGCCAGCTCATTACCTCCTGCTAGACTCCAAGGCTTTGTAACGGAAATTGGCTCTGATTTCTGAGATGGGCATTACATCATAGTCTTCTTTTAGCACATTATGTCATCCCTGCTGAGGCGCATTATCTAGGGTTGGCTCAGCAGTAGCGATTTTTGTGGGCCGACTGCAGTGTTCCAAAAGAACTGCTGGGAACCACAGATTGAAATCTGAAACATTTATCTTCTAAAAAGCTGAAAAGGGGGAAAGATGTTCACACTGGACCCCATTTATTTTCCTTAACCCTCTCCTGTCTCAGCTCCCTTTATGTTACATTGCAGCAAATGCCCATAAACAATATGCTGAGTCCGTGCAGGAATGATCATTTTGAGGTAACCACCATTAAGGATGCCTAAAATATTGCTCCCTAGAAAGGGCTGATATATCTGATACTTGCCATGGTTGTATCTCAGGGCATGTTACAAAATGCTTAAAAGATATCACCTGGCACTCATATTGATAACATAGAACTTCTTAAATCTTGGGTTAAGAAAAGAATTTCTTTTCATGATCAGTCTATAAATGCATGTGAATGAAAACTATATGTACACATATATACATGCTTATCCTTCTGACCGTGTTGCAGCAACAAAGGCAAACTTCTAGAAGGTTTATATGAGAAATAATTTTTACGCAGGAAACTGAGCTGATATTATCTCTTCTCACTTCAACCATGAAATTAGAAGCCCATTTTGTATCTCTCCATCCTAGGCAGGATTAGAAACCATTGCACAGAGGGAATAGACAGGTGCTTTTAGGATAAAGCAAAGATATTCCCAAACCCCAGAGAATCCCAATACCTCTCTCATCACAAAAGCATAATTATAAAAAAAAAAAGTCTCAAAATACCAAAAGGAAATGGGATACATTCAACCATGACTAAAGTACAATTCATCCCTTATACACCAACTAATGAGATTCATTGGGTGGGGAATAAGTGCTGGGGGAGGGGCTAGAATGAAGGGCATGATGTTCCTTTCCTCCACCCATCTATGTGCAACTTTTTCACTCATTTTTAAATAGTGAGTATTTTCATGTTGTCACTTTTTGTAGCTCTAAAATGGTAGCCACATTCAAGCAAACAACCTCATAATTAAATTGGAGATGAGTAAAGTTATCATTTGGCCCAGCCTAAGAGTCTAGCCTTGTTCCTATTCCAATTAAAATGATTTTTCATCATGTTCAATTCTAGTGTACCCCTGCCATGGGTCATAAAGCAAGATGGCAGTCTTCATTCTTTTACTCAGTCCATGGCAAGGCCCTGTGAGCAGTCCCTGCATTCAAAAAGGAGTTGGGACCACTGGCCCCGCGCTCAAGGTAAAAAGTTACTTGAGTGACATTTTGCATCCTACTGACTCCCCATCTTCTTTCATATTTCATACCTATTGCCAGTTGCCTTTATTCCTGCAAGGGGACAGTGTGAGGATTGATGGTATGACCCTCAGAGTGCTCCAAGGCTTTCAGATGGACAGTGCTCTATAAAATAGTGTTAACAGCTATGGGTATTTGCAAGAATCCTCTCACCCTTCTTCCTTTCCTTTGTCCCTTCATCTCCACCCCTTCCCCCTAGCTCTAGGAATTTCATGATCTCAAGGCCAAAATGCTTTAAATCTTAATAACTACATGTGCCACTGGGGATACTGAAATGAAACTATATATACTCTTTACTTGACTCATTCCAAGCTTTTACTGCAGCCAAAGTAATTGCTGCACCATTTAAAAATTCCACTGAAAAAGCAAGTAGCCTTCAACACATTAAGCTGATTTTCATGTAAGTTGTAAAATATTAAATGATCAGAACTTCTATCCAATACTAAAATTACCTGGCCCAATCACCCCTTTTCCCCTTGAAGGAAGAAAGAAGGTGGATTCATAAGCCCTGAAGGATATACACCTGCCCCTAGATGTTGGCTGCCTGGCCACCAGCTTCTGAAGATGCACTGGGGCACAGGGCTGGGCATACTACTTCATCTTCCTCCAGTGACCTGTGTGTTCCAGTAGGCCATGTCCAATCCTAGAAAAAACGCCTTCAGAATGCCATCAGCCCTCAGTCCACTCCCCAAGCAGGACAACTGTGGAACAGAGCTGCTGTGTTCTTGGACCTGTGAAAAAACAACTGGCTGTGAGAGCCTATGGGAGGAGCTCTTCCTGCAACCCTCCTACAGGGAAGAAGAAACTGCACCCATTATCTGTACATACTTTCTAAGAGTAAGTATATAATGGGGGGACTAGACTGTACAGTGAGAAATCAATTATTCCCTGATGGATAGGTGGAGGGTAGGGGAAGCCAAATCAGAATGGAAGATCATGCACCCTACTTACTGGCTCTTGACATTACAATAAAACCAGGGCTTGGAGTGTAGAGGGAATTCTGGGCCTGCCTCTATCCTCCTTCACTAGTTGCCTTAGCACAAGTCATTACACAAGACACTGGTGCTTTCAGGCTGTCCTGTGCTGAGAGTACATGGAGAATTGGGATAGTCTCCCTTGCCCCACCTGCCTGCCCAGTGTCACTATCAAGACCATCTAATGCATTAAAAAAATTGTTCTATCAATGAAGGCCTCCATCCTGTCTACCGGGCAATGCCAGGATACCAGCTGTCCTCACCACTTGTTTCTCTGGGTGTCACCCCAGAGTCTCGTTGCCAATCCTCTGGGTCCTGTGGCATTTCCTAGGCTACAGAGACATCCCTGCTTCTCAGAGTAAGTCAACAGTGTACTTTCAGGCCTGTCTTCTCACAAGTAACAGAATACTTCTTTTCTAGAAACACAAGCATGTCATGAAAACACAGACCAAAACCCATCAAGGATTGTAATCCAGAACATCAAGGGTTATAGAGAGGTAAGCTTTATCTGGTTTAGGGGGGAAAAAATCACACAGGTTCCCTAACAATGCAAGTCCAGACTATTTCTGGTCAGCATCCTCTTAAAGTCTAGGACGTTTACATTCCCTTTACCTCTATTTCTAGTCCAGGCTTGGTACCCTGCCTTCCCCCTAAGAAGGTTTTTCCTTCTCAGACATCAAGTTCCTACTCCATTTCTCCTCCATGACCTGAGTGGTGGCTCTTGTTTACCCCTGAATAAAAATACTAGATCCTCACTAGTCCTGAACAGTAGAACTAGGTAGGGTTCATTCATTCATTATCTATTGAGCAGTGGCAACTATGTCACAATTATTATAAGAAGTTTTGTGGGGATGGGTCAGACATGGATTCAGCCTTTCGGTAACAGAAAGGATCTCAGATAAAGTGACGCCGTCGGCCCTTCACATCCGTGGGTTCTGCCTCTATGGCTTCAACCGACCGTGGATCAAAAGTTTTTAGAAAAAAACATTGCATCTGTCCTGAACATGTACAGACTTCTTTTTCTCACCATTGCTCCCTAAACAGCACAGTATAACACATAGTTTACATTTTATTAGGTATTATAATCTAGAGCTGATCTAAAGTATTTAGAAGGATGTGCACAGGTTATATGCAAATACTATATCACTTTGTATCAGAGACTTGAACATCCATGGATTTTGGTATCCAAGGGAGATCCTAGAACCAATTCCCCTTAGATATCGAGGGATGACTGTATTAATAATACGTGGCAGAAACTCCTAGCTTTTCACTCGAATTCTTTTTTTTTTTTTTCAAGATGGAATTTTTGCTCTTGTTGCCCAGGCTGGAGTGCAATGCACAATCTTGGCTCGCTGCAACCTCTACTTCCTGGGTTCAAGCAATTCTCTTGCCTCAGCCTCCCTAGTAACTGGGATTACAGGCAACCACCACCACACCCAGCTAATTTTTTGTATTTTTAGTAGAGATGGGGTTTCACCATGTTGGCCAGACTGGTCTCAAACTACTGACTTCAGGTGATCCACCCGCCACGGCCTCCCAAAGTGCTGGGATTACAGGCATGAGTCACTGTGCCCAGCCCAAATTCTTTTTCTTATTCCTGTGTCTAAAACACAGCTAGACACACTTTCCAACTTCCTCTACAGTTAGGCATGGCCATGCACCTGAGTCCCAGCCAATAAAAGTGGATGGAAATGGCACACACCACTTCCCGGCCCAGCCTGTGAGATCCTACGTGCACTTTCCCTCTTCAGGCTGGTTGGAGTAGGTGTGATCACTGGCATTTGGAAGCCACATGTTGAACAGATTAGCCTCGGATGACCTGAGCCCTTGAATACCCACTTGGAGAAAAGCTGCCCTTCTGGCCTATGCATATTCAGGATTCGTACAAGAGCAAGAGATAAACTTCTGTGTGGATTCATCACAGATTGAGTGTTTTATAATAGCAGCCAGGTTACTCTAATTCATACAAACTATAAGATAAGGCAGCTCAAATTGTTGAAATGATTATTTATTAAAATGGAAAGATATTCACTGAATAGTAGAGAGGAACAGATTGAAAAACTTACTATAGTGTGATCCTATTTTTTAAAAGAATATATATGCATATGTATACATACACACAGAGAAAGTTCTAGTATAGAACAAAGTATAGGTGTTTATCTATCTCTGGATAGTGGTAGTATAGGTAGGGCTTATCTACATTTTTTGATATGTCAAGCATGAATGTATTCTGATATTATAATGAAAAAATAAAAGCTATGTTTAACATTAAAAATGAAAGAATATCTTAAAACATATATATATAAAAGCATAGCATCTCAAAGTGAGTAGATTTCCTGAGGGAAATTAGAAAAGGTTTCTCAAACTGAACATCTATTAATGACTCTTCTAACACTGAAAATCTATAAATTAGCTACAGCCTGAGAAATAGATCGGTTCAATTTACAACACACCTGGCTCCCAGCCTTTACATATCGAGTCCTCATCAATGGAAATCAATTCACCAGAAAAAAAAATGGAAAAAATACATTTTTCACCTTTAAAAAGAAAGTGCCAGGAAACTAGTCTTAGTAGTTGTTTGGGGTGGAGTTGTTTATAGAAATAAAGAGAAAGGGAGGTTTTGGGTGTTGGAGGGAGGAAAAGTAGCACACTTAAACTCTTTTTATCTTCTGAATATTGCTATATGCATTTAATGCCTATTCAAAACATTCTTAGTTCTAAAACCTTTTGTAAATAGTAAGTCAGAGATTCTCATTGAATTGGTTAAGAGCAGAGACAAATGCTAAGCAAACAATTCATAATTTCCAGGTGGAATTTTACTGACCCATGAATCTAATTGGTCATTGCAGCAAAGTTTCCCCCTTTTATTTGGGAAGAGCCTAAATCTATTCTTCCCATATACTGAAGGACAAGGGACAATTAGTGAAGACACCTCCACTCCCCTCCACACAATCTTCAAAAGTGTCTGGAGAAGGATTTTGTTGTACAATAAGAACCAGAAACTGCAAAACATGGTGTGTCGAAGTCTCAACCCCTGTTCCGCTGTCATGAAGGCTTGGAGGAATGGAGTTGACCTGAGAGAGGTGGGGCAGGCCTCCAACTCTCTGGATTGAGGAAGAGTGTTGTGGGTTGAGGTTCCTGTGAAACAGACTCTGAGACGGTGATTTGGCTATAGGTGGCTTAATAGGGAGGACTCTTGAGTATAACATAAGTAAGGGAGTAAAGGAAGCAGAATGAGGCAAAAGGAGGAGTTGAGCCATGAAGCAGTGATGACAAAGGAGTCAGGGGATGCCACAGGGCACTCTGGGGCTGGGATGGCCCTTCAGTTGGAGCAAGGGCACCAAGCCTTTACATGCCCTCATGGTCTTGGAAAAGAAGCTCTCTTCAGCCAGTTTTCTAAGAGGGACTCAGTTGTGAGACATCAGGAGGCAATACTCACAGCATCTGAAAGGACAAGTGCCCAGGATCAGGGGTCACACCACAGCTCCACTACAGAGCAGCAGGAGGGGCTCACCTCTTCTCCTGATCACTTCATATACAGTTGTCAAACAGATCACACCACAATCTGCTCCTGCCATTGCTCACTGAAACCCCTCAGCAGCTTTCCATTACCCCTGGAAGCAAATAAACCCTCATAAGCCAGCCCCTGGGCCCCTCTCAGGCCCAGAGGCCAAGCCTCATGTGGCAGTTCCCGACGGAGCTGAGAGTCCAGCCACACAGGGTTATTCATCAGTCCCAGGAGCTACCATTCTCTTTCATGGCTCTGAGCCTTCATGTATGCTGCTGGAATGCTTTCTCCACTCTAATCTTTCTAGAAAATCCCTAATCATCTGTCAACCCCCACAGTAGTTTCCACTGAGAAACTTCCCTGGCTCCCCTGGACCACTCGGACTCACTCTCCTTCACATCCCCACCCATATTATGTGTATCTATACTACCACCCACACCAGCCCCTGTACGACACAACAATTTTGCATACCCCATCTTCACTGGACTGGGGGGTTCTTGAAAACAGAGCCAGGGCTTTCATCTTTGTTCGCCTGATACATAGGAACTACTGGATTAAATGTGCATTGAATGGATAAGCAACTCAATGTGAAAGACATGTTGCTGGCAAGGAAAAGAGGATGAATTCTGTCAACTGGTAGGAGACGGACAGTAACTAGAAACTGGGGTAGAAGATGTTTATAACCAGCCATGTGCCAGAAAAATGTGACCGTTTGCCATCTTTGGTTCTTGATATCTATCATCAAAGTTTCAATTTCACAGAATGCAGAGTATATCAGGGTCTTTTATGTGGACAGCAAAATCGCTGTTAGGGTGCAAACACCAGAAACTCTCCCAAAGGTAACTTTAACAAAGGAGGATTGAGCTGCATAGATCCCTGGCTTAGGCTATTTATAAATGAAATGGTGGGATGAGCAAGCAGCCCCCTCTCTGTGTTCTCTACAGAATCTCTGCCAAGAACAAGAGGATCCACTACACATGCATAACACACTATACTCATCACTGTTCTATGTGATGCTGATCAGCTATTCTTAATGAGGTAATGAGCACTGGGGCTGTATGAACCAAGACTATTTAGGACAAAGATCCCAGGTAACAAAGAGAAGGAAAGAAGGAACTTGGGTCATCCTGGAGCTCCCTTGGAAGGGGAAAGTGGAAATGCAGGCTCCCATTTTTCTTTGCCTCTCATCTCATACCTATCTTCATCTCATACTTCTATTCTCAGGAGGAATGGAACTAGCCCAAACTATGATGAAAAATGATCATATCTCATTCATATCTTAAGCAAGTAACATTGTTTTAGAACCCCTGATGCAAACATAATACTCTGAGTAATGAAGCAAAATTATCCAAGGTCATTGTAAACAGGCATCAAACCTAGTGTGGCTTCAACTGAGATGAATTTTAGGTGTATAGGTTTTTACTTTGAAATCTTACTGTCTCATTATAGAACCAGGGAACTGTCTGGGAGGGAAGAAAAAAATATCCTATTTCTTCAGAAAATGCCAAGGGGCCACAAGTCTTAATCTGCTGCAGCCAGACTGGAGGCCGGGGACTTATTCAAGCATACAAAGTGAACCTTCTCGAGTTTCCTTCTGCTGACACCCAAGGTCCTCCTTGACCAAAGTTCAGAAGGAGATGTTCCCATATCCAAAAGGAAGACTGCCTGGCCGAGCAAATGCTCCACCCACCTGAAAGCCTGATTATGATTCCATTGGAACGTGGGAGTCAATCTCTAAACATAGCCCCGAAAGCGGCCTCCGCCATCATCCTTGTGCTGTAGCTTCTCTCCTTCCAAAATAATAAAATGAGGTGGGTGGGCCCCAGGCTTTTTCCCTGGGAGGACAGCTTGGGGTAAAGAGACAAAGGGACCAGCCCTGTGCTTCGGGCAGCCTTCTACCCCGGAGTTGTCCCAAGCCCCACCCCTTTCCACTTCCCCACTGGGTCCCTCTCCGGGTAGATGTGCCCTGAGATTGGTCAGCTGCCCCAGGGCACTGATGAACCTCAGGTAAATCCTTGGAGGTGTGCCTCTCCCTGTCCCTGACCCAGGGCCCCTGCTGTAAAATTCTGAATCTCGTTACCTTGGGTGCCCCTCCTCCATGCTTCAACACACTCTGTTCCTAGCTACGATCTTTCTTATATCACTGGATGGCATTCTAATAACCAATCAATACCTGCTCCACCATTAGTCTTTCTCACTCACCCTGAGATCCCCGACAGCAGGTGTCTTTCCTCATCCATGGACCTTCAGCCCCCATCACAGTGCCAGACACATAACAGATGCCCAATAAATGCTGAATGAAGAATCGCCCCAGCATTGCACTTGGTACATAGAAGGAATGATAGGAACACAGCGCAAGAAGCTTGACTGCAGCTCTGCATTGCAACTCAGGCCATGATACTTGAACCCCACAGGGAGCTCTGGGGGCTCTGAGTCCAGCACAATGGTGCCACGTCTCCAACACTCTGGGTCATCCTGCCCAAAACTAAATCCAGCTGGGGATGAAGGTAGGTGCTTCCTAGCAGGCCCAGAAAGGAATCCAATTGGAATCACCTGTGGAACACAGAGACCCTAACAAAACCCCAGGCAGGCTTTCCTTTTCTTCACCTGCTGCTCCCCTTTGGAGGATCGAGGGGTGGAGGCACAGTTCCTTCCCTGGTCCCCAGCCTGCTGAGAGCGAGCGGGCAGGAGCTTACGGCAGCCCCTACTGCACCACTGATGGCTCATCCCAGCTATGGCTGAGGAGGGCCTGCAGCCAGGTGCAGCCCATGGGTTGTGAGGGGCCACAAATGTTTCCTTGCTGCAGGTGGGCTCTCTCCCCATGGGCGAAGCCTAAGGGGCCATAAGCCTTTGTGTGGATGGTAGTTGGTTTTGTGGCAATGCCATTTCACTGTCTGACTTGTTTCCCAGGAAAGGAGGGCCTTATTATCAAATCAAGACTGCTGAGCTCCTCAAGCATTGGCAGGTCTCCTGTGGCCAGGAAGAGAGAGCCACCAGCATCAGGGTACCCTGAGGTGCAGAGGGATGAAATTAAGCAAAGGAAAAATCAGGCTGATGCCAACTAATACTCACGGCCAGAACTCTGCTTTCGTTAAGACCCACTTTCTGAGAAGAAAGAGGCCACCACTTCTTCTTTACCCACCCTGGACCACCCTTCTCACTCAGCCCTCCCTGGCAGGTAAGGATCTAACCAGCCCTACCCATCTAACAGAGAGCGTCTCTGTCCCGCCACGGTTTCTCATCTGGCTTAGGCTTGGTGAAATGAACAGTTAAGAGCCTAATAGAAACCAAAGAAACCACTCTTCACAGAGGCTGAGGCCTGAGGCTTCCTGGCAACACCTGCCACTCTGTTTTGCTTTAATGACTAATTTTGATTAAAGCCAAAGCCAGAGGTTTTGGTCTCTGTTTTTGAGTCTTTTAATTGACTGAGATAAAGAACTACATTTCTATCATGATTTTATAGAAAATTATCCTGGTTACACATAAGTAGAAAATGTTTCTACAACAGTAAAGTCAAGAAGAGCAGGCTCTTGACATCTTTTGAATAAATCCTAGGTGCCTGCTATAAGGTGCTTCATTTTATTTCATTTCACTTTATCTTCCCAGCAACCCCATGAGGTAAGTATTAACCCTCAATGTATGAGGAAATCAAAGTTCATAGAAGTTGACCGACGCGCCCACAGCAAACAAGTGGGGAATCTTCCCTTTCTGCTCTGTGGTTTCCAGCCCTGGCCACAGAATAGAATCCCCTAGGGAGCTTTAAAAACAACAGGTGCTCAAGTCCCATGCCCAGAGCATCTGATTTAATTCATTAGGAATGGGTCTCAAATCTTATTGGTGGGTTACACCATATTCAAATAGAGGGCACCTAGATCCCGGGAGGAAAAAAAAATGCCTTAGAGTTTTCATTTCATCTTTACTCCAACTCTGGGAAGTCAAGCCATGTGACTGATACTCAGCTATGTAAGTGATGCCAGTAAGTCTCAGCTAGGGTGGAAAAATCAGGCTGACAACTGAGCATTTTCGTAGCTCATAAGTGCTTTTAGCCTATCTACGAAGTTATACCAAGTCTCCTAGGTAACTGGGACTATTTTCATTAAACTAGGAAATATTGAGCAGAGTGGATGGTGAATTGCATTGAGATTTTCATCTCCTGGCAGCTCCTTTGTTGGGGGGTTGGAGGTAACTTACCTCTCTGTGACTCAGCATGCTTCCCCAGTCACCAAAGGAGGAGGAAAGAAGAGAGCACTGAGTGGCCTTACAGGGAAAATTTGGAGGCATGAATCAATTAGTCCATGTTTATGAAGTGCATTGTGCTCCTTGAGTAATAATAGAGTGCCAGGGCCTGGTATTATTAGTTTTCACACAAGTCCCAAGATTAATTGGTCCTCTCAACCTCAGTCCCCAACTCACTAGTTCTGCTTTGTGTCCATCCTAAGTTACTTTCCTGGCAGAAAGCAACATCTGGGCTAGAGCTCTCCCTGTGGAGAGGCGAAGGGACCCAGTGCATCCTATAGCAACCCTTCTACCCAAGATGGACTCCTCTGAGCTGGAATTCACCTTCTGCTAACTCCTTGGCATTTGTTTAACACAGGCCAAGTAACCAGATCAAAAACTGAGGCTGCCGTCACATCCATGCTGTTTATAACTAGGCAGATTCCTTTTATAAAGCACAAATAACTTCAAAACATTAGGCAATCAAGGCCTCAACTTAACAGGTGGGAAGGGTCTGCACTTTATAACTGCATGCCTCTTTAGCATCATCTTCCCTTGCTCTTCTATTTCAGCATAAAGTCAACACAAAACCAGTTGCTTTTCATAAGTGAAGCCATTCCTTTCTTGAAGTGCCATTTCCTGAACAAAGAATGTAACAATAATCAGCTTCTCACAATCAAGTGAGTCTTGAATATGCCTGGCCTTATGACAGATTGCTGTTTTGTTAAGGAAACCATTGTTGAATGTGTTTGACTTTGACAATGTATAGTTTTAAATTCAAATCCAGAAGATTTATGTATTTGCCCTTGTTTCTATTACAGAATCTAAGGATATTAAGGTGAGAGGGAAGCTTAGGGACCTAATCAAAGTCCCTCATTTTAAAAGAAAACTGAAATTCAGGAAAATGAAGTGACCCATCCAAGGTCAGTCTGAGTGTCCTTAGTTCTCCTCTTTTCCTTATTCCACTTTCTCTCTCTAGAAATTTCATGTGGTCCCAAGTTTAAATGACCCTCACCTATTACTAAGTCCCAGACCTCTCCTCAGAACTGTGGTTTTCTATCCCAAGCCTCTCCTCTTATCCCCAAGTCCTAAGCCTTCTCCATCCCAATATTTTGCATCACTACTTCATACCTTCTCAGGTCCAAAGACCTTCCATTATTCTTTCATGTTCCATTTTTCATACACCCTATATCTAGGTTGGCATTTGTCCTAAATTAATTTAGGATATGGGTTGTATGAGGAATGGGACCTCTACTCCCAAAATAAATTACAAATTCAACCCTTTTCTTTACCCCTCTGCTATAACCCTAGTTCATACTACAGTCAGCTCCTGCCTATTTGAATAGCTCTGTAAGAGTCTCCCTCTTTTCACTCTTTCCCTTTCCTGTACATCTACCATGTGGTAATAAGAGTGGTCTTTCTAAAGCATCGATGCATTGTCTCACACCCCTGCTTAAAATCCCTAACACTTCAAATGCGACTTGAACTCTTTTTCTTTCTTTTCTTTCTTTCTTTCTTTCTTTTTTTTTTTTTAACTGAAACCTACAATCATGGCGGAAGGCACCTCTTCTCAGGGTGCCAGGAGAGAGAATGAGTTTTGAGTGAAGGAGGAAGCCCCTTATAAAACCATCAGATCTCGTGAGAACTCACTCACTATCATAAGAACAGCATGGCAGAAATCATCCCCATGATCCAATTATCTCCACCTGGTCCTACCCTCGACACATGGGGATTATTACAATTCAAGGTGAGATTTGGGTGGGGACACAGAACCAAACCATATCTCTGGGAGAGACCACAATGAGCAAAAATTGCACTGTAGCATCAGTTCCACACATGTGAGTACATACTATATACAAGGTCCTTTACTGAGGCCCTTCTGTGTGTCAAGCATCATGCTAAACATAGTACATTTAAGCCTTGAAAAAACCTGTAATAAGATGTACATACTCTTATATAGAGTATATAGATGAGGGAACTTCAGGCCAGAGAACTAAATAACTTTCTGAAGATCGTACAACCAGGAATTGCCAAACTAGGATTCAAGTTCAGATCTTAAAGTCTCAAAGTCTCCCACAAATCTAGGTCCTGGGGGGACACTGAGCCCCCAGAAACTTCCACTGAAGTTAGTGAGATAGGCAGAAATATGTTCATTGACAAGAAGAGGAAAATCAGTAGGGAAGTTGGTTACGAGGAGGAAGTGTTGTGTTTAGCCTAGCACACATTGGATTTGAAGTTAAGGATGGAGTGTCCAGGTGGGGATAGCCATGAACCAGAGAGAAATAGGAATGTGAAGGTCAGGAGATAGCCCAAGGCTCAGGCTGCTGAGATATGGAGATAAGAGTCAGATTTCTACAGGTAATTATAAAGCCTTTAACAAGAGGTTGGGGAGACAAGTAAGGTGACCACCCATGCCTAGGTCTATCCTAATTTTAGCACTGGCAGTCCCATGTCCCTGGAAGTCCCTCAGTTCCAGGCAAACCTGGACCACTGGTCAGGCTAGAAGACAGTATTTAAAGAGAAGGCATACAGGCCAAGTATGGAAACTGGAGAATATTTATGCTTAAGGGAATAAAGACAGGGACGAACTTGCTAAAGAGAGTGCAGTCAGAAAGGTAGACGTGACCAATGCATGCTGGGCTCTTGCTGTGAATTTGGGGCTGGGAATTCAGGTGGAAGGCATTGAAAGGAGAAGTCTCCATCAGAGAGGGCTGTGAGGAAAGTAGAACCATCAGATAAAACCTGGATTTCCATTAGGGCCAGGCAGAGAAAGGAACTTTGTGGAAAGATGGAAGACAGGACAACTGGAAGATACCAATAGTTATACCCACAAGAAGGCCTGAGACTGGAGAGGAGCTGGGCTGAGTGGGGAGGAGATTGCAGGAGGACTTGCTTTTCTAACTGGGGAGAAGGGCGTATCTCAATGGCATGGAGGAAGGAGCCAGGCTTGGACCTTTGGCCTTGAATCTTATCCCCTTCACTCAATAGCTGCGTAATTTTGGGCAAATACTTTCCCCTCTCCGAGATTCAATATCGTCTACTGTAAAACAGAGATAATAATATCCACGACCTTGCAATCCTAGAAATAGGATTGCATTTAGATCTAGGTAGCAATTAGTGGTAATGTACAAAGCAGGCTGTCAATAAAAGGTTTCATTGCTGGGTTATCAAATTTTTTTTTTACTAATATTGTGAGATTTGTCAGGGGCAACATATAAATATCAGAAGAAATTAACTAGGCAGAATTCTGTTGTTGAAGGAGTTTCAGGCCTTGTGTTTCTGCTTAAATATCACCAGGCTGACTGTGATGGAACTGTGAGGCACCCAGCTGATCATTTCTTAGAAGCTCGGTATAAGGGCAGATGGTAAGACAGGTCTAACTTTCAATGTCAAATGATATTATTAAAGTTAAACAGTCTGGATAGGCTTGGGGAGGTTAACTCCGCTTTCTATACTCTGCACACCCTAGAGCTAAGTGCCTAGAGCTGAAAGTGCTGCCAGCAAAGTGAAGCTGCTCTCGAGGGGAATACACTTGGCAAAAAGAGCGCTCATCAGGAGCAGGTGGTGAAAACTCCACTAAGTTAGTGAGAACATCTCAAAGCCCAGAATCTAGGCTTTAAATATTAATCTGACTTCAGTAAGAAAGAGCTAGTTTTTACCCATTAGCTGAGAAGCACTTCAGCTCTGACTTGTTATTTTTAAGCAGTAATGTTTTTTTAAAGAGTCCAATTCTGCTCCCCATAAGGGAGAGGACTAGCTTGAGCAAACCCCAGTGGTCTTTTTTCTTCAGAGTGTGGGAACAGAGAAGCAGTCGGCTATCATTCAGCTTGTGCCGTCCCGAGGTCACCACACCTGATGCTGGTTTAGAGATGAGATTAACCACAGTTCAAGAACAAACTCTCTCCGCAACGTAGGCTGGAATGGCTCCACGAGCCAAACCACTTGACAGAATTTTAAGAAACAGAAATCTATTGCTGTTTCCTTTCTATACTGGAAATATACAAGATATTGAGGCTACTCACCCCATCAGGCCACCAAAAATACGTGTATGTTCTATTGCCATCTGATGCCATCCTACCCCACATGCACAATGCCAGTGTGGGGGCTACAAAGTACCTCGGTGCCTATTTTAATCCATTTAGGCCACTCTAACAAAAATACCATAGATTAGGTGGCTTACAAACAACAGAAATTTATTTCTCAAAGTTTTGGAGACTGGGAAGTCCAAGGTCAAGGCACTAATCTTGGTTTCTGGGGACAGCACACTTCCTGTTCATAAGGCAGCAGTCCCTTTGCTATGGCAGAATGGGTAAGCGACCTCTCTAGGGTCTCTTTTCTAAGGGCATTAATCTTATTCCTGAGGGCTCCACCCTCGTGACCTAATCACCTCCCAAAGGCCTCACCTCCAAATACCCTTACACTGGGGATTAGGTTTCAACATCTGATTTGAAGGAGACATAAACATTCAGTCTATAGCAGTGCCCCAATTCTGGATTTTTTTTCCTCTCACTTTCAGAGCAGAACTCATCTGAGTGAGAATGATTACCTTTTCAAATAGATGTTAGTTTCATTCTAATCAGGGCTTTGGAAGAGAATCAGGGAAAGAGTCTTCTCAGAAAAGGAGTCTGAAAGAAGAAGTTGGCAGAATTTCAGCAAACAGGAGTTTAAAAAAATCTAACATCATGAATCTGTTCACTAGCAGGAAAGAAAATATATTGTATTTTCAAGGCAGGGTAACAATGTTGCATAACTTAGGGTTGGGGGGTTGGCATTCACTTTACAGTCTATGTGAAGGGTGCCCCCTAGAGTTGTACAGTGGGCAGCCTGTGCACCCAAATTTGAAAAGCCCTGGTTCAGGGTATCCAAGTCAGAAAAGTATCTACAATCATTTCCACACAGGCATGAAAGCTTTAGTCTATGGAAAAAATTAAGTTGTGATAGACTATTCTGTGGAAAATTCTTAATGCACACAGTGGAACCCAAATTTCCCACCGAAGTGAGTCCTAAATTATAACCGGGGTTGAGGGGGGACTTGGAGGTCATTTAGACCATCACTTCATTTTGCAGATGAGGCAACTTTAGCCCAGAGACATGTCTTGCCCAAGACCAGCAAGGCTATGCTAAAAAAGTGAAACAGACTTCCCCTGCTTCCCATAGATGGCAAAATAGGCCACTTTGCTGTGAATGGCATTCAGTCACCCAGACCCCAACCTGAGCCTAATTCATCATTATCATCACTCAGCACTTACGGAGCACCTTCTAAATACTAAGCCTTTCTTGAGAATACACAAAGAGTCTCTCCAAAGGTCCCAGCCCATGAGGCAACAGGAGGGCAGATCTTCGCATAAATCACACATCCTTTGGTCCAGGAAATGAAGACTTTGCTAGAAACGTTTCCAGGCACAAAAGTAGTATAACCCTCTTTGAGCCATGAATGGTTATGGTCCGTTGAACAAATCCTTATTTAGGCTTTTCTTTCTGAAGAATGTCCCCGTTGGAGTTGACTAACTTCTTTGAAGCTGCCTTGGTTTATTGGTTAAATATTTACTCATTAATATATTTAAAAGCCATATTATTTACACAATGGATTTGGAACCATTCTGGACTATTGGGTAATTATTACCTATTTAAAATCAGGCTATCCAAAGCAAGAAAACTGATGGTCATTTATAGGGAGAATGGGGAAATTTACAGGTTACTGAGGTTGATCTTTAATCTAAATTTTATTTTTAACCCAGTCATTCTACTCCTTCTAACGGGAGTTTAATGCATGTTTGAATGTGTGTGGTGAAAGTGAGGTGGGAGGAGAGAGAAGCCCTTTTACCAAAACCCAGTGCAATTAAACTGCTTTATGGACAAGCTCTCTGCCAAATTTCTTGTTGAAATCAAAGACACCTTTGAGTTTGTTATGCAAGAGCAGGGCAAAAAGCACCTGCAGTCACGTCTGTTTCTCATTTTGTACTCGTGTAACTCAGATGCCCTGTGGATTAAGTGGAATCTGCTCCTGAGTCGAAATCGTGTACACCACGTGTCAGCTCAGCTTGAATTTGGAAACAGGAGCTCAGAAGGTGCCATTCAAACATGTGGCTCTGGTTTTCCCCAGGTGTAACTTGAACGCGGGAGTCATGTTATGGGGCCCCTGCCCCCAGCTTCGCTCTAAGTAAGAGATACAGCAGCACCTTGTTTCCATTTGATCGTGCTGCCCCCCACTCCTCACCCGCATATGAGTGCCCATTTAGGCTTTCATGAGAGAAGGTGGAAAATGAGTGCTGTGAATGTGCGTGTGGACAGTTCATGACCTGTGCATGAATTTACAACCGTGTCCTGACACAGAGAAAGGAAGACAACCAGAATGCGTGACCAAACATCCCCAGGTAGCCAACATAGGTCACTTCTCTGGGCAGATACTGTTTGTGCCCTACTTAAATGTAAAAAGCATTCTCTGGGTCTAGAGAGGTTGCATTAGGGTAAAATAAGTACTCAGCTTTTATGTTAAGACTCCAACCAAATTCTTTCCAGTTTTAACCCAAAGAGGCCTCTTTTAAATATCACACTGATAAGGAATTCTGGATCTTGTCTCTTTGATCACATTTTAAAATATTAGCTTCTTATCTGCCTCTTCATTCACTCCGTGGATTCAACAAATATTTAATGAGTACCTGCTATGTGCTATCGAGCATCAGCAGCTCATAAAACACCAAGGACTTTGCTTTCATGGAGTTTCCTTTCTATCTGGGGAGGGGAAGTATTGGCTTTGAACTAGCTTGGTGAATATGTGTTCCAGTTAAAGTCAAGTCTCCATGTGGCATTCCAGATTTACACAGGATAAATTGGGATGTGATAATTTGCTTCAAAAAAAGATTCAATATTTTGCTAAAAAAAAAAAATCACAGAAGGATTCCCTTTAAATCTAAAACTCCTGTAGCGCCCCCTCCCAACCCAGTCATTTTATTTATTCTGCATTTTTTGAGGACTCCATGTATTATTAAATGGAGTGCCCTGCGCTGTTCTGAAATACATCCCCTAATCACCACCGTAGGTAGACAGTCACTTCCCCAGGAGGATTTGACTGCATAAAAGAAGTGCCTTATGAAAGCACTACTTATTCCAAAATAAAAACCCACCTATTCGGCAAGAGGCTACCGGCAGGCCCAGAGAGGAAAAACCCTTAGGGACTTCACTGTCAGTGGTTTCCCCAGAGCCTCTGTGCACCCTCAGTATTTAAGAACTGAGTTAAGGGCAAAAAAAAAAAAAAAAAATCTAGAGTCAAGTGGAGGTTTTCCTTTAAGTTTTTCCAGATTTTTCTCATTAACAAAAATGAGGTAAAAGAAAAACAAGCTTAACCAATACAATTTAAAAAATGAATCTGGCAAGGTGACGACATCACTTTTCTCTCTTGACACTTTGAACTACTTGGATACTTCATTATCTGTCACCAGCATCTCTCCTTGTAAGCACCAGCAATTTGGCCCATTAGCAGTTTGTGAGAACAGTGACTCCACTAAGCTTTTGTGTGAGAACATAGAGAGTCGCCACACAAACACACAGACTTAGAAGAAATGAGAGAGAAACTGAAATGAACGTTCCTAATATTACAGTGGCCCTCCTGTTATTTTCCCCATGTTGGGGTTTTATTGATCAGTGACCACATTGCTCCTCAGGACCATCACACTGCCAGGAAGCTTCCCGGTCCAGCTGCACAGTGGTTAGTTGGCATTTAAAAATAAAAAGAAATTCAAAAACAGGTTTTTGTTTTTTGTTTTTTGTTTTTCAGAAAAGTGAATGCCATATCATAAACTTCAGTTTTATGAGTGGGAAGCCCATCCCACTAATATCAGGGAAGGAAAGTGAAGCCAACCTTGGGTGGTGGTGTTTATCTGTTCAAGAAGGATTCATACTAAAAAGGCATCATATTAATTAGATAAGTTTAGCGGATACAGGTACAAAAGGGTATTCAGAAGTCAAATGAGCCATTCTTCAATTGAAGAACTTTGCTTTAGAATAATCATGCTCAGTGCAGTCATTGTCACTTAAATTAGCCCAGGAGGAAAAGTTTTCTTAAGAGAACATATGTACAAATAAAATGAGATTGAGGTAGGAAGAAATTAAGTGTTTTTTCTTTCCCAAGGTTAGATCAGTCTAAACAGACTATAGCAAAAGCCAAGCCTCATACACATGCCACAACCATCACTCTTCAAGGCCTCTCCTGGCCTCAGCATTTGGGTCTTCACTGACCCAGAGGCCAGGTCCAACACCCACTCTGTTACTTTTTCAGATAAAGACTTTCTGATTCCTCCAGGAGAGCCTGTGATAGCTGCCATCTGACACATTGCAGAATTATACTTGACTTTCTGAGAAGAACCAGATTCCTCTTGCTGCTGCTTAGACACAGCACTTAGAGTTTGTCTGTGGCTGGAATCCGAACTAAATAGCAACTATGCAGCTTCCTAGGCAGAATGGGAGGTGTGGAATCCACGTGTAGGTGAAGCAGAGAAACTCAGTTTTCCTTTGTCTATCACAGGCCCCCCTTCCTGGTGGAAGCACTGAGCAAAAGTATGCCTGGACTTCTCATTACAAGTCACCTGTCCAGGCACATCCTTCATTCATGCCACCATTTTCCTCAACTGATTTATTTAAATGAAAAGAACTGAGGAATATTTTCATGGAAAAAGAAAATGTCTCCTCAAGCATACCCAAGTTACTGGCAACTCCCAATATGAAAGTCAAGCCTGGAACTCTTGGTATCCAGGCTTTAGACCACATGGAAGCAGATAAAAATCTTTGAAAAATCACTCACAAAAGTCATCAACATCTTAAAGCCTATACGTTAAAATGCAATTCCTTCTAAGGCATTTACCACACAACAAGAAGTTAAGCCAATGGATTTAGAATGACACCATGGCTATTAAGAACTGCCTGCCAAGTGGCTGGTATGACACCCAGCACTGTGTTGCAACATCCTCTATTCCAAGTAACCACTTAGATCTTATGGTAAGATAAAACCTCAAAACAGACACATCGAAAAGGAGAAGGTAGACATTTGACTTCAACTCCATTTCCCAATTAAAACCTGTCAAACGAATGGTGGAGAAGAGTACGGAAAGACCAACTGCACTCAATGGCAACAGTCATCTGGAATTCCTAAGAGAGGTACAAGAAGATAATGAGAAGATTGAGGTTTAGAGTAGAATACATAGGTGTGTGCTTTGGAAATGTGGCATATTCATTTACTTTTTCTGTGTCTCAGTCTCTTCCGTATGGACTAGTGGAAGTTGATGATTCAGATTTCCTGAGGTTTCCCTGGAGATCATTTTTAAGACCTTGGGCTTACTGCCCCTATTCATGGTTCCATGTTCCTCTATTGCTTGAGCACAGTTTTTCAGTGCCTGCTTTTCCAAGACATCAGCATCAATTAATCCACTCTGAAATGCAAGGGTTATTGAAGAGCTAGGTTTCTTCTATAATAAAGGTGTATCAGGGCTTTTTTATTTCGTGAACTGTCCCAGTGGAGTATAACTATAGAACACTGTTCCGAAAATCCTTAGAGGTTTCGGATACACTGCTCAGAGATTCTTGAGAATAAAATTCTGCCATCTAATTGATTCTAATTACCAAACATTTTTGAAAGTTTATCAACTCTACTATCCATATTTATACTAATCCAAATCTAAAGTATTTCCTAGCTAGAATTCCATGATTCTGTAATTCTGGTCATAAGTTTTTTCCTCCCTCTATTCTTTTAAGAAGATCATATCAGTGAGGAGCTTCATTTACTATCTCCGTCTCTAATTCCTTCTCTTTAGTCCTCTGTGTGTCCATTAGAAATAAGGACCAACACATTCTTTTTTATGGCCATTTTCACTTTCATGGAAAACTCCATTTACAGAAAACTCCATTTTCACAGTGGACATTATTTTTAAAAACTGTGAAGTAGTTGCCATCAGTACATCTGACCACCTCATTAAAGAGCTACTGCTTCAAAAGCAGGTCTATCAGAAGGGACTCCTTGCTTAACCTAGAGACAGCCTAAGGAAACAGTTACCTGTCCATTCTACAAACGTCCTGATGTTCATTAAATATTATTAATGTCTACTTCAGAATTTTATTGGTATTAATGTCAATAATTTTAGACCTACTTCACATGTTTGCTAGTGTTGCTTAAAGATTTTGGCAGATTGTAAAGATAGCACGAATTCTGAGGTATACTTGCTTGATCATTTTGCTGCTTTTGTCCTAGAATGCTGAATGTGATGTGATTGAATAGTTCTGAAAGATTTAAACCTGCAGAAATTCCACACACAGTGCTAAAAGGCTCATAACAGTCTTGGATCCAATTTAGCCAAATCACAATCAGATTTGACATTCGTTGACTGACAGAGAGACCGACAAACCAATATTCAGAAGCTTCTTTCTTTTTCATAGTTCATTAACAGCAGGGGAGTTTTCATTTCTTTGTCTCAGTTATGCAAACATTTGGTGAATTTAACTGATGCAGAGAATCGCACTAAAAATCCAAGTCTCAAAGGTAATGTGCTCATATTTGTGGGTTTCTGTGACGAAAATGGCCACTTTCACAGAGCAGCCTACGAAGCACAACGCTTAAGTTGCTGGTGCCTGGCGTGGGATCTCCAGGCCCTGATCTCCAGGTCAGCCTTCCCACCAGCGATCTATACAACCTTGCTACAGAGGATCCCACTTATCATTACCCCATACATCAGTTCACTCATTTGGTCAATGACAATGAAAACGTCAACTGTTACTTCTTTTGCAACTCTGGTGATTTATTTATATAAGTAACAATCATTGGTTTGTCTCCGGACCTGTGCTAGGCATTGGGATCCTTTATGTACATGACTAGCTCTAAGGTAGTGAATGGGAATCAGAGAAAGAAGAGAGGAGGGGGGTAGTTAGTGCACAGTGTGGGCTGGAAATATAATTAACCAGCTTGAGATTTCCACTGCGCCATAATGCAAATGCAACCCACCAGATTCTGTCAATCTCCAGTTACACCCTTATTTAGAGAGAAAAAAAGATCTAGTTGAATAGGGGACAAATGCTGACATAGCTCGTTGATTTGTAAATGTAGAAATGACAGTCATAGTGATGAAAACTGTATACATTTATATACAGATTATGAAGCAAAAATTTTCCCCCGAAATATCCTATTTAATCAAGGAAAAGAGCTCTTACACCATTTTATACTTTCCTGCCCACCACTTCTCTCAAAATTCTTTTAAGCCTAAATATTCTCATCCTTTCATTTCACCAATGTCTAGGATACAGCTAAGACAGCTCAACAGTAATAATGCATCCAAAACCAAAATTCAACTTAATAGGCATTTATAGCATGATACTATATGCCAATATTCTTACGTAAGTTTAATAGCTTCAATTTCAGATGGCAATCTAACTTAGAAGGATTTTATTAGTTTGTATGAAGTTTCAGGGATATTCCCTCCTTATAGGGAAAGTGTGTGAGAACATTTATTTTTGAGAGTCATTTTTATACTAAATAAAAGACCATTTAAATAAAGAAACAATATTCCTGGTCATAACAAAATTGTAAATATTTAATTATCGTAAAACCAAAAAGCTTAAGGTTAAGGAAAAATATATTCAATAAATTCTTAAATGAAAATTATATATCCCCGGGGCTGGGCGCGGTGACTCACGCCTGTAATCCTAGCATTTTGGGAGGCTGAGGCGGGCGGATTACCTGAGTTCAGGAGTTCCAGAACAGCCTGGGCAACACGGTGAAACCCCGTCTCTAATAAAATACAAAAAATTAGCTGGGCATGGTGGCATGCACCTGTAGTCCCAGCTACTCGGGAGGCTGAGGCAGGAGAATTGCTTGAACCTGGGAGGCGGAGGTTGCAGTGAGCTGAGATCGTGCCTCTGCACTCCATCCTGGGCGACAGAGTGAGACTCCATCTCCAAAAAATTTAAAAAAAAAAAAAAAAAAAGAAAGAAAGAAAATTATATATCCCCAAAGAACAATTGTTAGTTTGGATTCTTTCATCCCACTAAATGTAAGTCAAATAGATCCTGATTAAATACCTACTATGTGCAAGGCACATAATTACTAGAAGAAAAAAGAAATGACTTCTCCCTTAAAGAATAACATTTTAACAACCAAGTTAACCAGCTGAACTTTCAAGCAGAGTGCTATTCATGCTTTTGAATAAATGAGTCTGAATATTACCATAAGAATAAAAAAAGAATTTGATTTCGCCATTTCCCAATGGAGCAGAGACTTGTTGTATCATGTACTAAATGCAAAGTCAAAACATAAATCCCAGGAAACATATATCCTACATGATAGATCAGCCTGTATATGGAAAGATGCATTCAAAATGGAACTTTTACTTCAATTACATTGATCACTATCTAATAAAAGGTCTTAGAGGGAATATGATTACACTTTCATTTTCATAAGCAGATATCCATAATGATAGAACAAATCAAAAAGGAAAGCAATTGCAGAATAAGTAAGTGATTGAGCTAATTAAAATTATTGCCAAAAAAAGAGTTTCGTCACTATGGAACAAATCAATCAATATCAAGTCTAAACCAGAAAACTATGCCAAGAAATGGTATAACATTTTGCCTTTCCACCTTGAATTTTGAAAGGAATGACGTGCATTTGAAGAACTTCTCAAGTGAGTAATATCAAAAGTACAAAGAAAGAGGGGAAAAACAAAGAGATTTCTGCAACTCTCATTTCTAAAATAACAGTATACAATCTGTTTTGTATAAGAAATATTTTATAAAGTTTTCTAGTGGTGATGTCAATAAAATTAGAATCTTTTTGAATTTAGACTGATGTCACCCAGTGCTTAAGTAAGTGTATCTGATGTTTGTTCATTATTATTAGGCTATGTTATAGACTGTATAAATAAGTATCTAATATTTTAGTAGGCTGAAAATCAACCATGTAATATGTTCCTAACTACATACGAAAATGCTATTAAATGAAAATATTTCTCTATGAAAACTGTTCTGACAGTTAAACTAATAGAACATTAAGTACAAAAAAAATTTAACAGGCTTACATTATGTTAGGTTCAAAGCTACTTAACCAGCACTATGTATACTGTTCCCATGTTTTGAATCTATTAAGATAGTTCAAATCCCATCATAGTCAACTCCACAAGATTGCCCCAGTTCTTTTGTTAGATTGACAATTTTCCATGTCAAATATAACTTGAAATAAATGAGCCATTATACCACCCTTGGAATTAACTTTATTATAAAGAGATAATTATAATAATTCCTGTAACTTACTTTGCTGTTTTGAATATGAAGGTATAAGAAGATTTTAACTACTTAGACTTCTAAGAAGGGTCCAGAAAAGGTGCATGTTTAGTTTGAACACTACAGTCAGATTCAAGCTGACATATGTTTTGATGGTGAACAAAAAATTCCTCTATTTTATTCACTTAGGGAGGAGTAGTGTACAGTAACTAAGTCAAAGAATAACTGACCAGTGGTGCAGCTATAGAGTTGGAAAAGGAGCATTCCCTTTCAAAGCCCTACTTCTTCCAATATTATCAAAGACTCAAAAATAATCCAAATGGCCCAAAAAGCTCCCAACAGTCTAAGTCTCTGACATGTAACAACTGTAAATTCCAGATGAAAACAAAAACAAGAAAACCAACTCCTTGAAGACACAGAACAGGTGGATTCTGGAAGTTGACACTGAGAGAAGAAAACAGCACTGGGTGGAGTTCCTATTTTCATGGCTTCCAGCATGAGGGCCGAATCCCAAGATGTGGAGAGCCAGAAATGGGAAGCTCTAAATTCCCTGTACAAACTCTTCCCAAATCTCTGGCTGACCACCGAACCACACATGTGAGGGCAAGCTTCCAAGCAGTCTCAATAAGAATAAGACAACCACAATGAGGTTGGAGCTGCTGCCCAAGAGGCAGCAGTCACAGTTTTTGTCTAGTTAAGTTAATTGCCTGTTGTAACAAAAGAAATCAACTCTATTCAAAGAAATATGTAATATCCAGAGGTTCCACAACACATCAGTCATCATCTTTAGGATATGATCCAAAAGTTTTCAGCATACAGAAAATGTCACCTATTCTCAAGAGAAAAAGACAACCCTGAGAGGCCAACCACAGGATGGCCAAGATGATGGAATTATCAGAAAAGGACGGTAAAGCAGCTATTGTAACTGTGCTCAATGGCATAAAGAAAAATGTGTTTTTCATAAATTTAAGATAGGAAATGTCAACACACAACCAGAAATTATTAAAAAGAACCAAATGGAAATTTTACAATGGAAAAATAAAATGTCTGAAAAAAATTTAGGGACAGGGTTAACAAAACAGAGGTAATAGAGCAGAGTCAGTGAACTTGAAGACAGAGCAATAGAAATTTTCTAATCTTAAAGAAAAGAGAGAAAACAGATTGGAAAACAATGAACAGGGACATATGGGACAATATCAAAAGGCCAAACACACAGGTAACTGGAGTTCTAGAGGACAAGAAAAAGAAAATGGAACAGAAAAAATTTTTGAAAAATTAAAAGCCAAAATTTTTACAAATTCAGTGAAAGACATAAATTCACAAGTTCAAGAACCTTAATGATCCCCAAGCAGACTTAATACAAATAGCACCACAGCTAAACATCATAAACTGCTAAAAACCAAAGACAAAGAAAAAAATCTTGAAAAAGCATTACAGACAGGGAAACAAAGATTCAAATGATAATTAACTTCCCATCACAAACAAGTCAGAAAATAGGAGAACAACATATTCAAAGTTCTGAAAAAAAAACTGTAAGCACAGAATTCTAGGTTCAGTGAAAATATCCTTCAAGAATGAAGATTAAATAAAGACATTTTCAGATCAGAGGAACAGAGAATTTATCATAGTAGACCTGTACTGTAAGAAATGGTAAAGAAAGTTCTTTAGCCTAATGAAAACTTCGATCTTTAGGAAGGAATGAAGAACATCAGAAATGGTTTGGAGTTGTTTGTGATAAAATGATGGACAAAAAAGAAGTAAAATCTATGTCCCTGAAACTTTACAAATCTCAATATTCTAGTCTAAAAGTCAGAATAATAAGGCTATGAGAATTAAAAGGTAAATGAACACATTTTGTTAAAAAGTTAATTATTATTAAAAATGTATAATATGCTTATACACATGCCCAGAACCAGGGAAAAGTCACAAGACTTTAGTGTACAGCTTGGCATTTATGCAACCAGCATTTATTGAATGGCCAGAATTTGCAACATAATATGCTATGTATGTCAGATGTTCTGCTTTTAAAAAAAGTGGTTTTAATTTCCAAACTAATTTGATAAAAATTCTTGCCAAACAAGGATTTTAGGGGAGTTAGGAACAAAATATAAAATAGCCAAAAATGTTGAATAATCTGCACCTTTATTCTAAAAGCCATCTCCAAAAAACCCAGTTTTAGATAATGAATCTATGTTTGTATATTACCTTCCTTAAGGTTTTACTTAATTTTTCCTTGCAAAACAATGCAAACAATGTTAAGTCATCAAATTTCCATTTTGCCAACCTGGTTTCCCTTCAAGATACTCAAAGATTACATATCTCAGTATAACCTAAATTACACAGCTAGTAAGATCAAAGAAATCAAAGTGTTTTATTTTTGACACCTAGAAATTTGCATCGACTGCAAACCCGTGGAAAGACAATCGCTACCCAATTACCCATCTTTGTGATATTACAAATAAAGAGAAGATTTATATCTACATAAACATAACGTATAGAAATATTATAAGCATAAAGTTCTGAGTATCTTCAGAAATGTTGATTCTGGGAAAAACTTCAAACTTCATGTTCCTTAACTAGTTCTAAAAATCCCTAACTTTTAGAGATTTCCCTTTTCCTTCTCATTCAGCATCACAAGCTATTTCTACTTTTACTTGACTCCATACCCTGACAGATTAGGGTCAGAAATTGCACATATTCCATAAGAGATTTCTCTATCACACATCACTGCGATGTCACTTAAAGAAAAAATCATAAATGAATGTCAAATATCAGAGTTTTATCCTAAAGTCCTCTTTTGCTTCCCCATGTTTCTGTTCTTCATTCTGTTTCTGCACTTTCTTGCAAACCACCTTCTGAGACAGAAGCAAATTTTTGCCTCAAATTTGCAGAGATATCTTCCTGTCCTAATTGAAAGAGGAATTGGGGACCAATTTGGTGTGTGTGGTGATCTAGCTAACCAGCTATTATCTTTTCACTTGACTCTGCTGTGGGGAATCATGCCTTTTTCAGTTGTAGGTGGAAGTTCATGTGTTACAAGAGGAAGGAAAAGGAGAACTCAGTATAAACACAGGTGCCCCTGTCAAGATTAGATTGTCATTCTGGCTTATTCATATCCTTGGCAAGCAGAAAAAGGATATTTATGGCCCATGTGGTCGTTGAGTGAACTAATTTTGCAAAGCAGTGATTAGGACCCATTCAAGACAGGACAAACTATCTGTCTCAGGATTCTATTTTGCCTACAAATTCAGTGAAAATCTGACCCACCCAAATATTTTGTACCTTTTATATAAATGAGTTTCATACAGTACTATTCTATGAATGCACTCTACTTTCCCAAGGCAACCCTTTTGGATTTCTTAACTTTAGAAAATTAAATCTTTCTATAATGTATTTCATCTTTGCATTTTAAAGAGCCAGCAAAGCTGACTGATCATCATCCAAGGGGCAGTCCACTTTGCTTGCTGTTACACTCAACTAGAAGTATATTTGTGGTGGTAATTGCCCAACGGATTGGGACTGAAAGGATGGATTGCAGTGGGAAGCCTGCTTAGCAAACATTGCAATTAGTGCCACCTAAGTGTTGGAGGGTGAGCAAGGTAATAAACAAAAGAGTAAATTAATATGCATGTTCATTCCCCAAAGATAGCCAGATAGCTGGCTGCAACATCAGATGTTTCCTCTTTGCCTTTGCAGAGAGAATCACTCCTTTGTGCAGTGAGTGGTACAGTTGACATTTGCTGTGAGCATAGGCATCTGATAGTGGATGACAGGAGCCATGAAGCAGCCTAGCTGGGATGCCCTGAGGACTTTGAGCTCAAAGCCATGCCAGGTGTCCCCAGGGACCAGGAAGCACAAGGAACAGCAGTCATAAATTGGATAAAGAGCAAATTTCACAAGCATAGTGCTGACCCTGTCACTACAGACTCACACTGCCCAGGGAAGAAAAGAGGGAATAGAAGAGTTGGAGAACTAGAAAAGTTCATTTTCTCTCTGCCTCAGAAGCTCAGAGTGTCCAAAGTTTTCCATTCTGTGTGGTCAGGCTGTGACTAAAGCCACATATGTAAAATCCTTGTTCCCACTTCACTGTTAGAAAACAAACGGGCCCTTATTTCTCTCTAATGTAAGCAGCCATATCCACAGCTTTTGTCATATTCCAAAACCAAAAGGTGGTCACCTAAACAAAGCCCTGGACACCTGGGATGGTCTCAGTGCTCAAGACTGGGCCCACTGGACACATATGCCACCAAAAAAGCCTTTCCAATGACCCCCTCACTTTTTCCTTCTGCTTATTTTGTCCTTCTGTCTTTCCAACTGCTCCATTTGTGTTTTACCAAAATTTTTCCAACTAACAAATAACTAAGCAGCCCAAAACAAAAAGTCCGGGCAACAGCACATGGTATCATAACAGAAGAGAGTGTCTCTATTGCTCTCTCCCCTCTCCCCAAGGATTAGAAGACAAATAAACAGCACACTGCCCTGCTGACCACGAGGCTACCCACACCTCTATTCCACACCTTGTACTTGATGCCTTTCTGTGGGCATGGGAGGAATGCTCTCCTCATTCTGCAGAATTCATCAAGAGGTCTTCTTGGGCAATGGAGGCAAAACACATTGGAGCTTGAAAAACTAAAACACTGTGGGTGTTCTTGGTTGACTCAGTAAGCATGGACCTTTCCAGTTTTGAATAAATCTTGATTTTGTAAATCAAATTCCATCTTAAAACCCTAGAAGAGCTCAAAACTTAGAGTAACACTGTGGTATATTAATTTGCTAACCCCTGTTCTCTAAAGGAGTTCTTAACTGGAGTCCATGACTTCCAAGGCATGTGTAGATAGACTTTACAGAATACATTAATTTGGATGGGAAAAAACATTCATCTTTATTTTCAATAATTACTCAAACTTTGTACTTTCTTTAATTATGACTGTAGGTACCAAACCATAGTATCAGCAGTCCTAGTCAATAATTGTACCACCAATTGAGATCTTAGATATTTTGGTATTACATTACTGTTATTGCAGATATCTCAAAATATCACTTAAACTCATCAACTTGGAGATTACAGTCATGATTAGATGGCCACTAGACCTTGTTGTTTATTCCAGTACTAATGAAATACTTATATTATTATATCATAAATTTGTGTATTTTATCGATGACTTTATTTCAGTGTAATTGCTTTCTCCTGCAATCCTATTATTTTGATTTATGCACTAAAATATTATACTAGGGATTCTATAGGCTTCACCAGACTGTCAAACAGGGCCACAGCACAACAAAAGGTTCAGAACCCCTGCTGTAAACTCAATGGACCACTCACTCTTTCCCCAAACACATTCTACACTTTAAGCCAAGGCAACTTCTACTTTCAGAATATCTCATTGACTTCTTTCATTACCACAAATTAAAACCATATTACCTTACCTGCCCCTCAACGTATAGACCAAATGCCACTTCCTTTAGAAAGCTTCCCCTGATTCCCTTCAACTGGTCAGATGGCATTTTCAGTCTTTCTTTTCGCGTTATCACATTCTACCTTGTAACTATTTGTGTACACATTTTATTTGACTTGATTAAAATTTCCTGGTGTTCTTCATTGCTGAGTGGCCAAAAACAGTAACCTTTGCACAGGTCTGCTGCCCTTGTGGCCCCGTTCTCTACACTGCCCTCATTTCTCTACATTTCTACACCGCAGTCCTGTTCATGACACTCCCCTTTTATTTTACAGGATAAAATCAAATTCCTTGGTCTGGCATTCAAGGCCCTTCCCAATGCCACCTACAATTTAAGTCTTCACCTCTTCAATCTCTGAGCCCTATGTTCTAGTCATTCCTCAAATTCCCACACTGTTTCATACTTCCACACTTTCATGTCGTATAATCTGTCTTCCCAGAATATTCTATGTCCTTTTTCACGGAGAAGAGAAAATGACAGCCCCATTTCCAAAAGAGCATTTATTTTCATGGGGTTCCTACTCAGATGCACACAGACAGACACTTTGCAAAGCTGGCTGCAGCAATAGCGCTCCATTACCTGAGTTTCATTACTGAAAAACTTGGTCACAAAATTCCATTCTAAAGTGCCATATTTATGTTTTATCACTTTGTGACAGAGCTCCAAATGTTCCAGAACCATGAGACAGGTTGAAACTACTAGTACATCCCTCTCACCTGTCACCATCTGAACTTCAAAGCCATTGCCAGACCCTCACCCTCTTTTGCTCTGGGCCTGCCGCATGACAGCCTAGCCTCCAAAGTTGACCAACCACCCAGTTATTTCCACTGATCCCTATAGAATTTCCTTAGCTAACAGATGGCTCCATTACCATGGAACCACATAGTGGAATGTTAACCCTAGATCCCTTACAGTCATCTCTGGGAGATACTGTGAAGGCAGATAGTAATGTAGGCATTCTCCCAGCTCACCACTGATCCTTCCTGCATTTGATGAAGCTCATGCCATTCAGCTTGCCCACCTTCTACCTTTGCCTTATTTCAACCCCCATCTACCACCAGTGGATATTTAATGATGCCTGGTAAGGATGAAGGCAGCTGCTTCACAGACTCCACCACAACTTGTGCCATCTTCTGGGATGACTTGAGTCCCCCATCTCCTGGTCTTACACTTCCTAAACCTTCTAGACTCCATTGGTCACTTGATCTGCACATCAGCAACTATTCACATGGTTCACACAGGACCTTATCTCCACCTCCTAAATCATTAAGCCTGAAGTCCCATTCTCTGAACATCACCATCCATCCTACCAGTACTAACAGTTAGTCATTCCATCTAAATATTCTCTCCTACCTCATAGAATCCTCTTGGCCCTTTATTTATTTACTTTCTTTGAATCTAGAAAACAAACAAAAACAACACACTTCTTTAAGATTCATTCTTCCCTCCAGAACATAATTTTGTGCTCCCATCCCTCTCCCTGAATCCCACATAAACCATAAGACTTCTTGACCACATAGACTTCTCACTCTACAAAGAGGACTAACACAGGGCTTTGAAAGGCAGGGCCCAGGGCAGGAGACCCAGTGCAAGGGTCTAGGGGTGATGTTGCCACTCTGCCTGGAGTAGAGGCATTGTACCCTTGCCTATGTTCCCAATAGATTGTCAGCTCCCTGCAGTGTAGGAGTTTTCTATCCCACTTCCCAGAAAATGAGAGAGAGGGTGCTCTTATTAGGCTTCTAACCACACAAAAGTACTGAGTTCACCCAGGAGAGCTTGCTCATAAGAAATGCTGGATAAATAGTTGTTTTGTGAATGAATTAACAAAGACTCCTTTTATACTTGGAACAATTAAAAAATCTATCATTTGGGTTATTTATTAGTAAGTCTTACATTGTTATTCAACCTTATGGTCCTTCATGTCTTGTCTCCCCTAAAAGATTTTAAGTTCTTAACAGGTTTTCTTTTTTTTTTAATTTTATTATTATTATACTTTAAGTTTTAGGGTACATGTGCACAATGTGCAGCTTAGTTACATATGTATGCATGTGCCATGCTGGTGTGCTGCACCCATTAACTCTTCATTTAGCATTAGGTATATCTCCTAATGCTATCCCTCCCCCCTCCCCCCACCCCACAACAGTCCCAAGAGTGTGATGTTCCCCTTCCTGTGTCCATGTGTTCTCATTGTTCAATTCCCACCTATGAGTGAGAATATGCGGTGTTGGGTTTTTTGTCCTTGCAATAGTTTACGGAGAATGATGATTTCCAATTTCATCCATGTCCCTACAAAGGACATGAACTCATCATTTTTTATGGCTGCATAGTATTCCATGGTGTATATGTGCCACATTTTCTTTATCCAGTCTATCATTGTTGGACGTTTGGGTTGGTTCCAAGTCTTTGCTATTCTGAATAGTGCCACAATAAACATATGTGTGCATGTGTCTTTATAGCAGCATGATTTATAGTCCTTTGGGTATATACCCAGTAATGGGATGGCTGGGTCAAATGGTATTTCTAGTTCTAGATCTAGATCCCTGAGGAATTGCCACACTGACTTCCACAATGGTTGAACTAGTTTACGTCCCACCAAGAGTGTAAAAGTGTTCCTATTTCTCCACATCCTCTCCAGCACCTAAGTTCTTAACAGGTTTTCTATCTCCCATAAAAATCTCAGTGTCCTAAACAAAACCTGCACTCAATAAATATTTGTTGGATTTTTTATGAGTCCTTTTCATTAACATGTTGAGGTTTTTATTTTTCCCATCATCTCAGTAGTTATATTGTGAGTCATCATAGCCCAAAGGGTAATAGGATTATAACAGAAAGCTTCTGAGAGTCATTTCAACTGGTTGTTAGTAATAATTTATTTTTAATTTTAAAAATAAACTGTAGCTGTAGCTATTTTACTAGTAAAACACAATAGCTGCTGTTAATCATGCTCAGGCAATTGTAAACTAACAATTGAACCCGTGTTAATGAGTCAGAGAAAAAAGTGAAAGAAAAAAGGATAGGTTTAGAAGACAGAATTTGAGAAATTGAATTTGTGTGGAACTGTTGCAAAAAAACTTGGCTGAAGAAAGAATTAATGATGATCCCTAGAGCCAGGACTTTTCACAACTCTAGGAGCAATTTGGCAACTCCATCAAAATTAAAGCAGCCTCTGATTAATAAATGGGTCTTTTGAGACGATCATTTTAAGGAAGGAGGGAGACCTACATAAAGCTTCTTGAACCTGACATCCTATGGCCACAGAAAAATGAACTCCTCAGGAGCATTCATTCCATTGATACTATCTTGCAAGTTTCCTTGAACTTTAATAAACCTAAGGAACCTGACCAGAATGAGTATTTTTGCCCAGAAGAATCAGGAACAATGTAGGCAGAAGAGTGAACAAACCCCTTCTGTTCATTAATAAGAGTTTTTTTATAACAACTTTATTGTGACATAATTTACATACTATAAAATTCACCCTCTTAAAGTGCATTTCAATGGATTGTACTAGGTTCACCAGGTTGTGCACATAATCTAATTCTAGAACACTTTGTTTCTGCAAAAGAAACTCCATACCCATTTGTAGTCACTCCCCAATCCTCCTATCCCCTCACCCCTAAGCAAACATTAATCTACTTTCTGTCTCTATGGATTTATCTGTTCTGGACATTTCAAATAAGTGGAATCACACAATATACGGTCTTTTATGACTGGATACTTTTAGCATAATGTTTTCAAGTTTCAACTATGCAGTAGCAAGTATCAGTGCTGCATTCCTTTTTATTGCCAAATAACATTTCATTGTAAGGATAGACCACATTGAAATTATGTTTAGAGAATAACAATTCTGTGTCTGTTGGTGCTTCTACCTAAACCCACCTTATAAGATCTCCAGTTTCTAGATACAAGGATACATGATCGAATAAGTTCTATCAGTGTATGAACTTCACAGGTTACTTCTCCAAGCTTCAATTTCCTTACTTGTAAGGTAGAACTAATACTAGTACCACTTTGTAGAGTTATCAGGATTATTATAATTTATTAAAGACTGGTACAGTGATTTCCCATGGGAATAACTTAATAATCATTAGATGTCATGAGAACATAAAAATGTTAACATCTTTCTTTTAAATTTGATTGGATTTTTAATTACAAAAGGAGATACATATTGATTATAGCCAATAAAAAACACAGAGATGAGTTTTTAGGTTCGTAATCTTTCTCTCAGCTGTCTATCCATCCTCAGACATTGTCAGTGTAAAGTGTGGTGTGTATCTTTTCACACCACTCTCTGTGCTCATACAAACTCACAAAATCAAAATGCACATGCAGAGAGGTTTTTCCCTTTTATTTTAATATACACTATACACATTGCTTTGCAATTTACCTTTTTTAAAACTCAAAAACTTGATTATTTTTTCCAGGCCAATATGTGTCTATCTTTTTCTCTTTAAAAGCCATGCCATATTCTCAAAATATATTCAACTCATCTACTACTGATGCACATTCAAGTCATTTTCACTTGCCATTATAAAAATTCTGTGATAAACATTCTTTTAATGAGCAATCACAATCACAATTTTGATATCATCATTATATCCATATCTTTGCATTCTCAAGGCCAATCTAGGTCCATTCTCTACCTCATGAACACCAAGGATCAGGACTTCTATGAACCAAGGATGGAGAACCAAATTATCTATAATAAGGAATTTCAAACAGAAGGAATTTGAGGAAAAAGAAACTACTTCGGCCAATGAACAACTACAGAGACCTAGACCTGCACAGAAGATAGTACAGGGCATTCTGAACAAGAGAAGAAGGACAACCGAGGAGAAGGCGGAAGAAAAGGTGATCAAACCAGAAGAGGCAGGACCAGTAAGCTTCCTAAGAAAACTCTGCTCCTCCCCCTGGGGAGAAAGTGAATTTTTGGCCCTCTACCCAACCTAGTTATTTTCCTTAGTATTAGAGATAGCATTGTCCTTTAGATTACTTCTTTCTGGAAATGATTTTCTAAATTTTAATTAAAACTAAACCCTTTACAATGAAGCCTTACTATTACATTCTAAATTAAACAAATAAAAACATATATCCAAATGTATTTAAAATGGGGCAATGGAAGGATATGGTAAAGCTATGTGACAGGCTGAATGAATTTTAATGTCATCCTGGAACTTGACTGTATGTAGTGCTTTTGTCCGTTTCATGGGAGAACCTGCTGTTGGGCATATATGCTTATAAAGCCTCTTGATGAACTTCCTTCAGTGGGTTTTAGTCACTAACGTACTAAAATAAGATCTGAAAATGATTAAATTGCAAGGTATTTCAACCACGGTTTTCTCATGACACAGGCTCTGCTTTACCTTACAGCTGGTTCCAGTGTCCACGAATGAATTTTCTATGAACCTCACATATGTTACCCCCTTCCCAAAAGCCAAACCAATTTAGAGAGAACACAGGGAAAATGATCCTTTTCTTTATTTCTGGAAATACGTGCTATGCGGAAAAAGTTTCTATCCAGAGGGAAAACTTCTGGATTTTACTGGCTCACTGAAATATAAACCATTTAGTGGCTTTTTTCTTTAAACCCAAGATTAAGCTTTCTTTCGTCTGTTTGCACATGTCAACCAAAAATAGCAGAGTATATATAAGAAAAACACTGTTTGTATAAAAATGAAAATTTATACCCCAAAAGCCATGATCTCCTTTTGCTGAAGTGTTGTTTCATGAATTTTTTTATTCAGGTGGTTTATTAGATTACTGTAATAACATGAAAGAGAATAGTGATTCCCTATCAACCCTGAAAATTCTCACAAAATTTGCAAGGGGATCACTAAAGATAAGTGACTGCTGACAGCTCAGGGCTAGCAATTGCACAGAAACCCAGCCAGGTAAATAAATATGTTCACTGAGATTTAATATTCTGTTACAGTATAAAAAAATTAATAACTCTTTTAAT
Source organism: Homo sapiens (assembly GCF_000001405.40). Lineage (NCBI taxonomy): Eukaryota > Metazoa > Chordata > Mammalia > Primates > Hominidae > Homo > Homo sapiens. The sequence goes on from NC_000005.10 coordinate 68,765,574, forward strand.
TGACAGATTCTTTATTTCCTTTTACCAAGGTATAGATGGCCCCCTAAATAACCTCTAGATGTATTAAATCTTGGCAGCATACAGCTATTTCCTCTGTGGTCTTCAAGGTCCTGACACCCTTCATCTTACACAAGGCAGCGTATTTAAATCTTTCAAGGGGCCTTTTATAACTGGGCCACCCTGTTTCTCTTCACAGGAGATACTGAAAGCCTATTTGTCAGGAGCAATAAAGGGACTTATCAAGGCCTGCTGTCAGGCCAAGAGGAGGCCCACCTGCTCAACTCCTAACTCAAGGATTATGTTTCTGTTTGTTGCGGTCTTTCCAACAATTTTGGAATCAACACTTCACACCTTATCCTTGATAATCTATTTCAGCCATAAGTAGGAAGCCATTTAGCATGAAGAAGTTGTTGATTTGATACAAATTCACATTTCACACATGATATCTAATAAAGCCCCTATCATTAACTCAATGCCATTGCATTATTCATACAAGTCAGGAGTTCAAGGCAGTGTGCCTTTACATTGATCTAGCTCTCTGGGCCCCTAAGACTTAAAGCAGTACACCCAGAAAAAAGTTGTTCTCTCTACCTCATCTCCTGCTCCCTCGATCCCTCCCAATCAGCCCTGCCTATTCGAGTTCCCTTCCTGACTTCACTATTCTTCTTACATCCACACCTACAAACCTGATGTTTCTCTTACTGATTAAGATCTCCCAGAATGAATCCACACACAACCTACCCGAACCGGGTCATTTTTCCTAAAAAAAGACTCTGGAATACCTTTTTGCCATAAGTCATGAACTCTTTGATGGCAGGGACTGGATTTAATTTATCTAGGGCCTGGCACTAGTATATAGTAAGTGCTTAATTTGAAAAAATTATTAACAGTAGCAGTAGTAATAATAATGATAGATGGCAAACATTTCTTGAGCACTTATTTTGCACCAAGAACTCTGTTGACCTTCTTATTTGCATCGTCTCATTGAGTCTTCACAACTGTAGTGTTAAGAGAAGCATAATTATCCCCACCTTACAGATAAATAAACAGGTTTGGATAAGTACTTTGCTCAAGATCACACTTATAAGTGGGAGAAAAGAGGTTGAAATCCGGGTTCATCTGACCCCAGAGCCCAGACTCTTTAACCCAACCATTATTGCATTTTGATAAATGAATTTAATTATATGTCCAGCTACGTTAACCTTTAGATGCTGTTAACAGGGATCCTGCAGGCAGAAAGAAACAGTCAAGTCCTTAGAAACTTTTTGAGCTATTAAGATTTCTCTTTATCACTGATAATTTGTGGTACCAAAGAACTATGCTACCAGGAGACAATGTTGTCTATGAGATCAGCACTTATCTATTTTGGGACCATGTGGGAGTGTACCAAACAGTGCACATGTAATTTTATACTTTGCTTTTCTTATGGTGGGCTCCAAATTAACCAATGCTTGACAAAGGAGAACTGAACAGGATCCAGGCAAGGAACACGAAGTTGCAACTCGGTTCTAATTCATCCAATAATCAGGACACCTTTCACGTGGTGTTTATTCTGCTCCCATTTACCTCTCTTGCATAATCACCATCATTTTAGTTTCCAGCGGTTCTGCTTGCTGAGCAGGTGATGAACAACTTCCAGGCACTAACTTCAACCTGCAAATGGTCCCATCATCACTTCTCCACACATAGTCTCTTATGTCCCCAGGTGTTATGCAAGTTCAGTTACTAAGCTTTCTGGTCTGTGAGCTGCTTGTCTTCCTGGAACTACATAAGCAGGAGGAGAGGACTATAAGCCATTAGCTTGCTTCTCAGATTTGGAGACCTGAGGCTTAACTGAGGTTTACTGGCAACTAGGTTTGTCTTTTTTCCAGATCCTTCCAGCTCTGGCCCCTGTTAAGTTCTTTGAGCACACCCGCTTCTTTTCCCGTTTCCCAATCCACTGAAATTTCATTTCTGGGATGGAATCATAAATTACAAGGTGTAATCTAAAGGAAAACATTTATTTTGGAGTCTCATTAACAACTGAGAGGAGAGTAATAGTGTTTATTCCCAGCACGATGGCGTAGACTCCTGCAGATGCAAAAAAAGGCCAAGCCCTCTTCCTAATCCTTACACACACACGCACACACTGGGTCAATATTCACAATAGTGAAAGTACCACATATAGGCAGAAGTAAGAAACACTCCCACAGAGACAGTCTCTTAATATTCTGTTCAAACATCAAGTTTGAAGCTCCTTTTAATTAGTGATTTACTGGCAACCATACATCATTATTCACCCTACCTGCCAGTTTTTATATTGTCTCTCAGCCCCAAAATTCAGCCTTCTACACTCTGTGATTCTAAGGCCAAGGCTCTGCAAACCACATCTCTCCTTTGCCAGGTGACTCTATATTTGACTGCCAATGAGGCACACCAGAGGGAAACTGCAAGGTAGAAGCCAGAGAAGGCACGTGGTCCTTCCTGCTTGCTCCCTACTCCTGTCAGCATCACCCAAACACTGGCCCTTCATCCTGGAAGTGACCACTGGTTTTAGTCTTCTACTTCTTTCTGCCCCTTCAAAACCACCCTCATCACACCTCACTCCCATTGACCTCTCCCCCAGGCTGCTGAGATATCTGCACCAGTTGGGTGGTGCCCTTCCCTCAGAGGTCTGAGTCTTAGCTCTGTGAGACCCTCCTCTGAGCTTCCCAACCTCTTCCCTGTGTTCCCCAGCCAGCTCTGTGGTTGGTAGCTGCATCATGTAATTATTACCTCTGTGTTACCTCAGTGTTCCCTTTTTGCTCTATCTGAAACATGTTTAACCAATTCCCCGTATTCGATCTTCTCTGTTGGAAGACCTGCAGTGGCTTCTATTCTTCTGACTAGCAACAAGGGGTACTCCCTGTTTTAGCCATACCTTGTTTTAACCCTACCTGCCTGACCCCCAATCCTAATCATTTTGCTCCTGCAAAAATTTTCTAACTATAATATTTTCTGGTTTTCACACTCTAATACCTGGGTAGTAATTGATGTTAGTGGATGGCATGGAGGACAGGGCAAGGCATCAGGAATCCTATAACTCAAGAACTGGAAGCAACCTCAGAACATAAACTATTAATGGGCTCACTTATGGGATGGGGCTTAGGGAGGTCAAATGAAAGCAAACCTTCCTGTCAGCTTGCTCCAAAGTGGAAGCAGTAAAGATTTCTTACCAAAATACTTGGAAAAGAGGCTCAGAAACTAATGAACAATACTCACATTTGAATAAGTCCAGGAATTTGAAATGACACAATAAACAGGTATCACCACTGAGTGATTAAAAGAATACCAGAAATAAATTATTGCCCAATGTTACTCTCTACTCTACCCATTCTTTTCCACCGTCAATGAAATCCCACCTTCCAAGATTCACTTTCTTGGTTTGCCTCTCTTAGCATTCTCTGAGGTTCTCTTCTAGAATTGCAGGAAGAGGAGTGACTTAGTAGGAAATTTTCAGTCTCTACCTTTCTACTGAGAATTGGCCTGTGAGCTATCCTTCACTCAGGATTGCTAGCTGAGATAAGAGCTTTGGGAAAGTTGGGAGCATTCATGAAAACAAATGAAGAAAGTTCTGTAGCACCAGGGCAAAACACATAATACATGTTACATCAGACACTCATGAGTACAAATCCTGGATTTACCACTTTCTAGCCTGAGACTAGGTCAAGTAACTCAGTTTCTGACCCTAAGCCTCAGATTCTCCAGCCGCAAAGTGAGGGTAATGACCTTTCGGTACCTCTATAAGGGTAAGATCTAAGACGTAGAACACCTTTGGTGTAATGTTCTGGCAGGGCATCACTTGGCAGTGGAAGTTTGTGATTAAGCCTGTCTGGAGGGGGGTCACATGTTGTCTCAGCCTCTAGCAAGCTCTCATCTTTTCTTTTACTCTTTGAAACAAGCCCAAAGCCTCAGTCTCAGCTTTTCATTTTCTCTCAAAGTCCTCTACTGCTTACCCTGCTTCTAAGGGCTTTTCTGCCCCTTCTCCAAGATGTAAAGGGAAGCATTCACCCCAGCTCTTTTGCTTTCTTGTAGCCTCAGAAAATGATCACATGGTATTTGTTTTCCTTTTAGAAGTTTACTGCAAAGCACCACTAGGATGGGAGGAAACACAATTAACAAGATGGGTAAGGCTCAAAGACCACAGAATCCTCACTGTGGTGGTTTGTAGTTTCTAACTCGTCCGGGAAGGTGACCCTGGGCTTCTGCCCTCCTGTCATATCTGCGGGTGAAGAATGGAATAACCGATGCTTTCTCTTCAGTGCCTCTCCTCTCAGGCTGAAGAGGAAGAGAAACATACATGTCTTTTGTCTCCAGAATGCAATTGGCATCTCCAAGGCCCTGCTCCAGGATGACAAAAAGAAAAAAAAAAAAATCTGCCCTGCCCAGGCCAGAACTCCTAGGGCCATTACTTTCTGGTGGTACCATATGTGTGCCTCTGGGTATCCTGAACAAGAGGAATTTGCATTTGGGAGAGGAAAATAAAAGTGTGGCCAACAATGGGGAGAGAGAGAGAGACCCTTAAAAGATATTCTTGAGTTACTTCCCAATTTACCTTCAGGCTACCACCTGCAAAGGGTCTGATCCCTCCCTCCTTCCCCTGCCACATTCTCATTTATGATTCTATTTTAACAACCACAAAACCAAGAGCATAAGTCCAACACTTACTATGTTCCAGGCACTGTTCTAAATGCTTGCCTGCATTAATTCCCACAACAACCCATAAAGTAGTTGTTATTGCCCATTTTACAGATGAAGGAATTTAGGCCACAAGAAGACAACTTGTCTGCGATCCCATCCTAAGGAAAGGGCAGAGCTGGGATTTGAACCAAGGCCTGTCTGACTCCAGACCTTGAGTCTTCATGATATTATGCTTTTCCAATAAATCCCTCTCCCCATCTCCCTCAGAAAGGCCCTTCCTAATCCTTTACAGGATCTCCTAATCCCTGGCAGAATTCTCCTAGAATGTTTGCCGTGCAGTGAGAAAAGAGTGAGCGCTACCAAACAAATTCCCCAGATTTCTTCTTCTCACTCTAGCTGGAGCAAGGTTTCAATAGATATGCCTAAGTTTTAAAGATAGCATTTGGATCTCAGTAATGAAATATGACACACAAAGGCACATGTACTTTGGAACAGGAATTAAAACTGGCCTGGGGAGATGCAGGCAGAAGGCAAGCTGAGGGTGAGGTCATTGACTCAAGTACTCTCAGCCCTTTATTTGATGCCTGGTGGGCTCAGACCTTGGGACTAATCTCCCTTCTCCTCTAAGCTGATGAGCTTTGCGGGAATCTGTGCATTGCCTTGGAAAGAGGAGTGGTAATAGGAGGTTGGGATGAAGGGGGCTGAAATTTTTTGGAAATTTTATTTTTTCTCCCTTTGTCCACACACTTTTTAATTAGTTTGCTGTCTTTGGGGTCTTGATATTTTTAATGGACAACCATGTTATTTCGCTTTAATTCCCTTCAAGATTGGGTCATCTCTGAGCCAATAAATCAGAGGCTTCTTGAACTCCTTGCAATCTGTGACTTTGGGAAAGAAAAGGGTTTTTCTGTATTAGTCAGTGTCTTGTCTTTCTCTATCCCATAATCCATGCCAAAATAACACTGGGGAGAAGGATGTTTTAAAAGACTGGGCCACAGTGGTCCTGGCTACCAGGCTGTTGCTTGCCAGCCCCATTTTAACCTGCCTTTTTTTTCGCCATCTACCTGCACCCAAGCTGGCACAGGCCCCCAGCTGCAGCTGATGGGGAAACTCTTGCCAGCCACTCCCGTGGAAATAAGCAGCCCTGCTGAGACCATTTTGGCACCACAGTCAGATAAAAAACAATGCTCTACTCCTGGCTTCATCTCACTTCATGTCCCTTCTCTCCCAGCTGGCTGCTTGGACAGGTCACCTCTCAGCTCACTGTTTACCCAATTCCACTTCAAAGAGAAAATACCTGTTCCTTCTGGTCTAATAAAATTTCATCGCTTTTCCAGGCCCCGGGACAGGAGAAACTTTGGTAAAATTTGCCCAACAGCATGAATCTAATGCAAAAGAAAAAAAGTTTAACATTCCGAATTTTTAAGCCTTTCCTCACCTTATTCAATTAATAATATCAGCACTTCTTTTCTTAATTCCAGAAATATTTATTGAGCCACTACAACAAATTGGGTACCATGCTAGGCACTGAGAGGGCACCCAAGAATACAGCACAGACCCTAGCCTGAGTGAAGAAATCAACTCAAAGTGGGAAAAAAAAATACATGGCTAAATAATCTTCACCATATGTAGCTTGCCTGTCATCAGTAATAGTCACCAGACGTTTTCTGCTAAAACACTAAAATAGTCCTACAGTAAGGCATTAATCTCATCTCATAGGCCATATTCAGTCGGCCCTGATCTTGGCTGTTGATTTTCTCACATATCCAGAATCAGAGTAGAGCTGATAATAATGTCTATTAAGATATAGCACGGCAAAGTGCCTCTTCTAGCAAGCAAGTGTGGAAGAGTTTCCATTACCCATTGCACACACTGACAGTTTTTCTGATCCAAAGCAGCTGGGGCCCTGAAAAGACTGATGGCTGTGTTTTGATTCTTCTTCAGTGCCAATGAAGAGCCTTGACTTTGTGATGCCAGTGCTGGCACCTTCTTCTGTGTCCCTCATTGGCACCTTCTCACATGCCCTTTTTCTGTTTGTTTATGTACATCCTCCTGACAGCAGAAGAGGCCTGAAGACAAAAATCAAATCCACATGGTCTGGGGAAGCAAATTATTAGCACAGAGGCCCTCCAGCCCCTGGTCTTCACTGCAGTGAGTGTCCCACAGTGGCTTCAGAGCAATCCTCCATCATGTATGCACAGATAATTAATGAGATTTTTTGGAACGGGTGGGTGTCTCAACAATGTCAAGGAACTCAACAAAACAGAGTGAAGGCAGAGCCCCAGCACCTCGAGGAACTTATGGATGTACAGCCGAAGGACCTGCATGCATGAATGCATTCAAGCTCTAAGGCAGAGAAAGAGGGAATTATGCTTTGAGGAGATGAAGGGAAATTATACTTTAGGAATAATGATCACTTACCCACCCCTACCTAATGAGGTAAATACACAGCAGTGCACACAAATTATGTTGGAAACGATAGAGTAGAATTAAAAAAAAAACTATAGAGATTTACCACATGCTCTCACTTGCACTTTATTTAATTCTCCTAGCTACCATATGCAGTAGGCCTTTCTATCACCACCATCATTATGGATGAGAACACAGAGAGTCAGAAATAGTAACTAATTCACCTGAGAAGCTACAGGGCACAGGGTAAGCATTGCGGCCTGGCGTGCACAGCCTCCCGCTGTGCCCGCTGTCCTGGGGAGCACAGGCCTGGAGGGTCTGCAGAAGAGGAGCTCGTGCCCTGAAAGTCACATGGAAGACCCTGGCGAGACGGTCAACGAAACATACATGGACTGGGAGAGGTAGGATTTACTTGACCCAGATGGAAGAAGACAAGGAAAAAGGCAAGAAAAAGAATGTAGAGAAAAGATAGCCAAGGGGTGATCAAAGAACATCTGGTTTTATTTCAGATTTGGTTGCACTTGTGACTGAGACTCTCACCTTTGCCCTCTTGTCCTCATTCATCCTCTCTCCCTCCTTTCTCCTCCCCCCACACGTCTCTGTGTCTGTCTCTATCTATCTGTCTATCTATCTATCTATCTATCATCTATCTATCTATCTATCTATCTATCTCTCCTAGAGCTACCTCTGACCTCTCTAGCACCATATACTCACATAGCAGTGCATATAATTATAGTCAGATTTAAATGTAAATCTTCCTTTCTTCCGATGGCCTCAGACTTTTAGTAGAGGACCTCAAAGAAATAAAGCCATAGTTTTAAAAATGCTGGACCATCCTTGCAAAACTTACAAGTAAGTGGGGATGTGGATAGGGCCCTAAACCTACCTCTAGTCCATTAAAAAAAAAGCTCAAGTTGGGGGGTCAGGAGAGAGGATTTCTTTGGAGAGAGTTATCAGTGCCCTGTGCATTTCCAACACCCACCTATCCCAACAGAAGAGGCTTGAAGGGAACCATGTGAGAGCTTGGCCTGTGTTCTCTGGAGTTTGAAGGGCATAGAGACTGGCCTATGGTGCACACTTTCTCTGTTAGAATATACTCCATGCATATATTAAAAGTCTAGTAAATATTTGTTGAATGATGGAATAGATGGTAAAAGAATGAGTAAGTGAATGAATGCTGAAAAGAGTAAAAGGGAGAAGCTGTGACTAGAACTAAAGGGAAGAGATAGGTATATTAGCTACACAACAGTGATAGAAAGTATATTTACACACATTGCACACAAATTTATGGAATGAATGAATACAGTGAGGAAACCAAGGCTATGTTGGCTAAATAGACCTTTCCTCATATTAGACATCCCGGCTAGCGGAAAAGCCCACCATGGCCCAGGACTTCTCCATATTGTCCTTCAAGGGCCCTGGCCTCAAGTCAATCCCTAAAAAGTAGACAAGAAAAATATACAGGCAACATCCCATAAGAAAGAAATCTCTAGAGTTAAAAGGTATTTGGGTTCTATATCTGGCTGATAAGAGATTCTGATTCCTGAGTCTATTTCTTTGCTTCTGTCTTTCATATCATTCTTTCTTCTACTCTGAATTCTTCCCCTTAACCTTAGTCCAGTCTTTGCTTGATAACAACATTTGACAATAGAAGGGAAAGGAAATATTGTCCCACTCATTTATCTAATCAGCACACTGAGTGCTTTCTCCATGTGCTGATCTCAGTATCTCGCCCAGAGACCCAGGTAAAGTGCCCACTGCTATTCCAGCGATGAGCATCACTTGCCTGTACACTTCAGGACTTCTAACGTGGTAAAATCCTCCATGTAATTAGGTGGTAAAACTGCATTTATAATCTATCCTAATGCTCCAGCACAGGTTCCTGAATTACAGACCCAGTATCTGTGCTCCACTACTCCCCATAAAAGACAGCATGTGATATGGTTTGGCTGTGTCCCCACCCAAATCTTATCTTGGATTATAGCTCCCATAATGCCTGCATATTGTGGGAGGGACCCAGTGGGAGATAATTGAATCACGGGGGCAGTTTCCCCCATACTGTTTTCGTGGTAGTGAATAAGTCTCATGAGATATGATGGTTTTATAAGGGGAAAACCCTTTTGCTTGGCTCTCATTCTCTCTTGTCTGCTGCCATGTAAGATGTGCCTTTCGCCTTCCACCATGATTATGAGGCCTCCCCAGCCACGTGGAGCTGTGAGTCCATTAAACCTCTTTTTCTTTGTAAATTACCCAGTTTCAGGTATGTCTTTATCAGCAGCGTGAAAACGGACTAATACAGCATACTTCTGGAAACACAGTTAATACAGCCACAGCAATGAGAGAGAAGTATGGTTGTTCAAGCAAACACATACATTTGAAAGACCAGATCCAAAGCAGAATCATCACAGTGGACCTTGAACGCCCTTCCCCAGGATGGATTCCCTAGGCCTCCTGATGCTCCTGTGAAGGAGGAAGATCAAGCCAGTTTCCGAGCAGTGACCAAAACCAAATCCCACCATACTTCCAAGATCTAAGTTATCAAATGAAAGCAGCCAGGGTCACCGAGCATGGCAGTGTGATATGCCAGATCTATTTATCCTGTCCTATTTGGAAGAGGGTGGGATTCCAGGGCAAGGAAATTCCAGAAGACTCCATGTGAGAAGCCAAGCCTTTGATACAAATTTCTTTCACTCCTTGCTTCCCAATGCAAATATCTCATTACTCCATGCAAATAACTTTCAAAACCACAGCTTCCTCTGTGTCTTGTCATAAGAAAATCTGTGAACGGGTACTGGGACAAGCACCGTACAGAGTACCTGCTCTCCCCCTATCATTTGGAGAGAAGGAGCCTTGAGCTCATCAATGGCTTGGTTCCATGTGTCCCCGAATAGGAAAGGGAGGATCAAAGGGCCAAAAATATTCATTTCTGAGGGAAAAGTAGAAGAATTAAATGTGTAGAATATGCCAAATGATGCCTGAAGGGGGATATAAATACCTATAAGCATTTGAGGGTGTAACTAAACACCACAAGGAGGGACTTTTTTTTTTTTTTTTTTTCAGACGGAGTCTCACTCTGTTGCCAGGCTGGAGTGCAGTGGCACGATCTTGGCTCACTGCAACATCCACCTCCTGGGTTCAAGTGATTCTCCTGCCTCAGCCTCCTGAGTAGCTTGGACTACAGGTGCACGCCACCACACCTGGCTAATTTTAGTATTTTTAGTAGAGACAGGGTTTCACCATGTTGGCCAGGATGATCTCGATCTCTTGACCTTGTGATCCACCCGCCTCGGCCTCCCAAAGTGCTGGGATTACAGGTGTGAGCCACCGCACCTGGCCAGCTTTTTGTTCTAAAGGTGGTTCAACTGGCTTAACTAGGAGAGACTGAAGGAAAGCAAAGGAAAATCTGAACCAGGTGTTATGAAAATTTTGCCCTCGACAAAGGCTACTATGCAGAGGGAACAGGCATCAACAGAACCTCTAGATGGAAACTTCTATTCTCTAGAATTTTTGTCATGTCTCATTTCCAATCATTTCTCAGATGCATTTGTTTGGACTTAGAAATATATGCAGTCCTTTGTGTCTACATTTTCTACGTACATTGTTGCCTTTTGTGTCTTTGTTCTCTATGTACTTTTTGGCATGTACTCTCCACGCCATAATTTGTAAATGCCCTGGTCTTGCGGTCCTATAGGGCAGTAGATATGCTTCATTTATCAGATCAAACAATCTTAGTAATGGTGATTTTAGGAATAAAATACCAAACAAAGAATCCCTCCATTTTAGTGACTTCAATGCCTCAAATAGATTTGAAGTTCTGGAACAGGCCTAAGTGCTTCTCAGTCTTCTCCAAGTTCTCTGGAGGGAAGAGGGATCAAGTCAGCTGAATATAGTCAGAAAATATATGTTGACAGTTTTCTCCGGAGATGCACTATATGGCAAGTCCTTCTGGAATTTCTAGATGGAAAGAAATATGTATGGTGAGAACAGCTTTTCTGAGAGTCTTTCAACACATTTATTCCCAGATGGGTTCAGTGCAAAAGTGAAAATCATTTTTTTAAGGAGCGAAGAAATTTCAACAAAGGTTTGGTTTGAATTTAAACTAGAGAGCTAGGCCTCTCCTTCATACGAGTGGTTTATGAGGGGCTCTAAGCTTCATTTACAGCTCCTACTAGGTTCATGTTCTACCAGAGAAGAGGCCCTGACCTGGTGGTCTGTAGAGTTTATATCCTTCCCTTATCATTTAAATATCTAGATGACCTTGGATAAATCAACTTTCTACTCTGGATCAGCTTCCTGACATATAAAAGAGGGAATTGGACTAAACTGGTGGGGTTTTTTTTTTAACATTTTTTTAGGCAGCAGAGGCCCTTTTTAAATATCATATTACACAAAAATCCAATAATAGAAGCAAGATAAAAATGTAGCCTTTCTGATTAAGGCAAATGGAGTACCCAGAGCTTTGACTGCCCCATACCCCCCACTGTAGATCCTGACCCTAAGTCCCCTCTCAGGAACCCCTGGGGCACCTCCAGGGGACAGTATCCCTCTCCAAGGAGAATATTTTGGAAGCCACTGGATTCCATGCTCCCTCAGATCTTTTCTAACTCTAGTTCCTTATGAGTTTAAATGACAGCAAGCAAAGAAACAAGCCAGGCAGCAGTGACACAGCTGATCATAAGGCAACAGATTAAAATGACTGCGAAGTTCATGGTTCAAAGTCTCCTTGAAGATTCAAAATCTAAAGAAAACAAACCCAGAAGAGCACTGTGTGAGCGTGAGCAGAAACAAGGAAGTTAGCATCCTCAGTCTCTCTCTCTCTCTCTCTCTCTCTTCCCTTCCCATCCCCTGCTTCCCCCTCTCTCTTCCTCCTTCCTCCTTTCTCCCTCCTCCTCCCCTCTTCTTCACACTCTTCAGACCAAGGCCCAGTGAGACTCCAAAGGCCTGAAGTCATGTCTCATGAGAAATAACCAAATGAAATATACATTCAGGAACTGGAGCCGGGTAAGCCAAGGACTTAGAGAGTAGTGGCACAGGGAAGCTCTAAATCAAGCATAGAGGATGAACCAGGAGAGAGTTCAGCTGCCCTCTGGATTTCTGGTGCCTGCAGCCTCAGATGTGAATGTGCTGGGAAGAGGAGGATGCCCAGGGCAACCCCAAGCAGAGAAGTCTGAAGGCTTCTCCTCAAGGCCCCACCCCATCAATTTAGGCTGGCTTCACAGGAAGAGACTGCTCATTACCCAGTCACCCAGCTTGAAGATGATTCTCCTACACACATTTGTTGGGCATGTCCAACCCCTCGGAAGACAACTTGGTAGCATCTATCAAAGTCCAAAATATGCAAACCATATGACGCAGCCATTCCACTTCAAGTGGAATATCTTACAGGTAGACTGGCATATGTGCACAAAAATATCTCTGCAACAACTTCCATTGCAGCATGTTTGCAATCACAAAAGACTGGAAACTGCCTAAGTATTGATTGACTGAAATGAGATCAATATATTTAGGTTTTCTCATACAATGAAATGCTCTGTAACCGTTAAAAAGAATGAATCCAGTTTATACTAATGACAAGGAAAGAGCTGTAATATCTAACGTTAAGGAAAAAAAGCCAAGTGTACACATTGTGTACAATGTGGTATTTTGTGTCTTATGTAAGAAAGGATATGTACACATATATGCATGCATTTTCATAGATTATTTGTAAATGAATATACACAAAATAATAACAATGATTACCTTTAGGGAGAGAAATTGAGGTGGGTGATGGGGAGCTATGTCTGCAAGCAAAAAGGCTTTCTTTAAATGCCTATACATATACTGATTCAATTTCCTTCTAATGTGCATATTGCATTTAAAACAGAACAAAACAAAAATGTGTGCTAGAACAAATCCTATCAAATTGATTTACCATTCAACAAACCATTGTATACTTTAAGAGTCCAAAAGTCAACCAACTGCTCATCAGAAACTAGAATCAAATCATGAAACTGGCTGAGTCATTAAAACCTTTACTGAAAACCAGTTTGACAGTGGTGTACAATGAAAACTCCTGGACTCAAGGGCAGGAGACCTGGTTTCTTGTGGTGTCCTCATCACCTTTAACAAATTACATATGCTCTCTTGACCTATTTTTTCATCCATGGAATGACTGCATGGGCTGTAGCTTCCTTTCTTCCTGTAAGATGTGCAATGTCTAACATGTCATAAACTTCTAAGATGTGCAGTGTCTGATGTATCAGGCCCTTCTTGCATTGCCATAAAGAAATAGCTGAGGCTGGGTAATTCATAAAGAAAAGAGGTTTAATTGACTCATAGTTCTGCAGGCTGTACAAGCATGGTGCCAGCATCTGCTCAGCTTCTGGGGAGGTCATTTTACTCATGGCAGAAGGCAAGCAGGAGCAAGCACTTCACACAGCAAAAGCAGGAGCAAGAGAGAGAGAAGGGGGGCAAGGCCACACTTTTAAACAAGCAGATCAGATAAGAACTCACTTACTATGGTGACGACAGCACCAAGCCATTAGGGATCCACCCCCTTGACCCAGACATCTCCCACAGGGCCCCCCTTCAACACTGAGAATTACATCTCAACATGAGATTTCAAGGAGACATCCAAACTGTATCATCTGTTCATAAATTTTAGCTTTGGAATTCTAATTTCAGCCCCGCCAACCTATTACTTGTGTGATAGTGGGCAAAATATTCAATCTTTCGAACTTAAATTTCCTGGCCAGGCATGGTGTCTCACGCCTATAATCCCAGCATTTTAGGAGGCCAAGGTAGATGGATCACTTGAGGTCAGGAGTTAGAGACTAGCCTGGCCAACATAGTGAAACCCCTGGCCAACATGGTGAAAAATACAAAAATTAGCTGGGTGTGGTGGTGCACACCTATAGTCCCAGCTACTTGGGAGGCTGAGGCAGGAGAATCCCTTGAACCTGGGAGGCAGAGGTTGCAGTGAGCTAAGATCACGACACTGCACTCCAGCCTGGGCAACCGAGTGAGACTCCACCTCAAAAAAAATTTTCCTTATTTGGAAAACACAGATATTTCTTTCTGCTTCATTGAGTTTTGGGGAATTGAACAGGAGACTGCACTAAAGCACTTAGCACAGGGACACTGTCTGATATGCTCATCCCAGATATCCTCAACTGAGAGTTCCTAGCTCAAATGTCACCTTCCCTGACCACCTGATGGAAATCGACCTCCCTGGTTATTCTCTATCACACCACCTTGTTTTCTTCCTTTATTGCATAAGTCACAATTTTTAATTATCTTGAATGTTCATTTATTTTTCTCACTCCAACCAGAATCTAAGGTCCATGAGGTTAGTGATTTTATTTTTTGTGCTCACCACTCTGTCTCGCCCCCAGCACAGTGGCAAGTTCATAAAAATTTGTTGAATGAATCAATTTTTAAAAACTGTGTTAGCTACTAGCTGCTGTTGATCCTCGCAACAACTCCATGCCAGAGGAGACTAATGATATCACTCTCCTAGAGTGGTTGTGAGAATTACAAATCCCACTTTATGAAGGCTCAGAGCACTTAAGCAATGTGCCGAAAGTTATCTAGTTCATAAGTGGCAGAGCCAACATAGAAACCCATCCATTTTTTTACTCCAAATTCTGTTCCCTTAAACAGTGGATTATTCTAAGACAGAATTCTCTCAACTGGAGTTCATACTTACAACTCCTGCCTGGTTCCTAATGACATGCCTCAAACAACAATCATGTTCAACCTTTCAATTCTACATTGCCTGAAACACCACTAATGGGAAATCCTGTAATGAATGGGAAATCTCACTAATCTATGCCATCACACATTTCTCCCCTGCAGTCCCCTCCTGCCAACACTTTAAAGATCTTTGCTGGAGGCAGAAAACCAAAGATATTCTTGGGCCATTCAACAACACTTTGAAACATCCCAGTTGAAACTCAGAATTACTCACAATTACCAAAAAACAAAAGTGGCTAGTTGTCATTTGAATATCACCAAAGTCAAAAGAAGTGGTCACACAGAAAGTCTTATTACATTTGGAGAAGGAAACAGAAGCAACTGAAAAAGAAACATTAAAATCTTAGAGGCTGATTAATGGCTCACTATGTTGTAATTTTGAGGTTATGTAAAGTTTATGAGCAATGATTGCCTTAATGCTGTTATTGTTATTGAGCTATTCAGCAATTGTAAAATTCCTGGCTATAAAGCACACAAAAATACAAGTATCTGTAAATAACTCCTTTGTTTTTAGATAGAAGTTCTACCATTGTTAAGCAGAAAAAATCTTTTTTTTTTTTTTGAGACGGAGTCTTGCTCTGTTGCCCAGGCTAGAGTGCAGTGGCACGATCTCAGCTCACTGCAAGCTCTGCCTCCCGGGTTCACGCCATTCTCCTGCCTCAGCCTCCTGAGTAGCTGGGACTACAGGTGCCCACCACCACGCCCAGCTGATTTTTTGTATTTTTAGTAGAGACAGGGTTTCACCGTGTTAGCTAGAATGGTCTCGATCTCCTGACCTTGTGATCCACCCGCCTCGGCCTCCCAAAGTGCTGGCATTACAGGCGTGAGCCACCGTGCCTGGCTAGAAAAAATCTTTTAGACACAAAGCTTTGGAGAGAAAAAAAGAGATGTAAACATTGTCTTGGCCAAGGCACCAGTAATAGGTAACATTGCCCTGAGAAGAGCAAATCACAGAATAAGCAAGCACCTGTTATTGATTAACCAATTACACACATGTTCAGAGGTAGATGGCTTTGAATCCCAGGTTGAAACCATTTGGTTAGAAAAAGCTTCCACATTTCTGTTTTGCTCTTTTAAAATGGAATGGGAAAATAATCACTTCTTTATGTGTATATATATATAGATAGGTTGGTGCACAAGTAATTGCGGTTTTTGCTGTTACTTTCATGGCAAAAACCACAATTACTCGGGCACCAAACTAATACTTGCATTCTCCCAGTGAACAAGAACTATGGCTTTGTCTTTACAGGTCAATTCATTCAAAATCTGTACTTAGGCCAGACATGGTGGCTCATGCCTGTAATCCCAACACTTTGAGAGGCTGAGGCAGGAGGATCACTTGAGCCCAGGCATTCGAGGCTACAGGGAGCCATGATTACACCACTGCACTCCAGCCTAGGTGACAAAGTGAGACCCCATCTCTAAAAACACAAACTCACACACACACAATAACAACAGCCAAACCTGTACTTAATTCCATCTGCAAGGAAATCAAACTGGTTTTGATTTTTTTTTTTTTTTTTTTGAGACAGGGTCTGGCTCTGTCATCAAGGCTGGAGTACAGTGGCACAATCTCAGCTCACTGCAACCGCCACCTCCTGGGCTCAAGAGATCCTCCCACCTCAGCCTCCTGAGTAGCTGTGACCACAGGCACGCACCACCATGCCTGGCTAATTTTTTGTATTTTTGGTAGAGACGGGGCTTTGCCATGTTTCCCAGGCTGGTCTTGAACTCCTGAGCTGAAGGAAGCTACCTGCCTCGGCCTCTAAAAATGTTGGGATTGCAGGCATAAGCCACCACACCCAGCTTGCTTTTTACTTCTGTAGATTTTTCATCCTATTAAAAAACACACACAGCTCAATGGGATGTTATTTTGTACACATATAAATATGGCCACCAGTGGGATCCATACATACAAATTATACAGATTCAAGCCACAAAATACACTGGCATCTCAATTAAACGGGTCTTTCAAGGACAGAGATCTTTAATAACTAAAGAAAATGTCAAACAGCAACTAGTAGCTAAAATATACTATGATAGTGTTTTTCAAAATGTGGTCTGTGAACCACTTTTCTCACAAATGTCTGGAAAGCATCTGAAAGCACAAATTTCTAAGCCACACCCTAGTCCTAGAATTCTATGGAAAGGATCCATTACTACTATGTTGCAAAAACAAGAACACACAAAAACCGCTTCCCAGATAGTGAATCTTTTACCCTCTAAGGTTTGAGAACTATGGGACTGTAAAAATGAGGGTACCTGTTCAGGCCAAGGAAACTAGGCTTCTCACATCACACGATGTAAAGCAGGTTGTAGACAGCAGCAAAGAGGGAGATCATTTCTACTTTGGTGAAAGCAAAAAGAGAGCATTACATGGAGAGTTATCAAAACTATAGCTTAAAGACATCTAATTCCACCTTTTCCTTTTCTTCCTTCAATAACATGGAGGGGGGCTTTTTCAAAAGAGCAGAAAGCCTCAGACTTTATGCTATAGGAAATACATGGTCATTTCTTGTACATAAAAACTAGTAAACAGTAAGAAAAGCAGAACTGAATACGTAGAGAAATGAACAAGTTCTGGACATGGATTTATAAAACAATAATTTATTAGTAATCATTTTCAGTTTGAGCAGTGTAGGGTCATCCAAGTAGAGTTTTCCTGTGGGCAGCTAAATATCCTGGTCTCAAGCTCAAGGAGCAGTCTAGAGTCAACAGCATGGAAGTGACACTAGAAGCCTTGAATATAGAGGATATAGAATGGCAGAAGAATGAGCACAGAACCTTTGGAAACATCAGAAAGAAAATTTGCAAAGCCAAATAATGGATAATGAAGATTACTTAGGAAGAAGAAGAAGAGCTGAGAAAGTGACATGATGAAAACCAAAGAAAAAATGTCAATAAAAAGGAATGGTCAACAGTGTAAAATACACAGGAGAGAACATGTAATATAAATCCAAAAAGTACCTGCCGCATTTGACAACTGGGTCACTGGTAATCTCTGTAAGAGAGGCTTTCATGTAGTACTATAGTATGAAGCCACATTGCAGAGAATTGAGGAGCAGCAGAGAGACGAAAAAGTCAAGACAGCTGATGGGAAAAATACTTTGAAGATGTCTGGCTGAAAAGGAAGAAGGTGTCATGTTAGGAGAGGGATTTTTAAGAAGAAATAGAAAGGCACTTATATACCAAGAGAAACAATTAGTGAAGAGGAAAAAAAAGATATAGAATGAAATGAGAATCATTTGTGGACAAGCTCTTAGAGAAAAAAGAAGTGTATTAGCCAGCTTGGGCTACTAACAAAAATCCATAGATGGTGTGGTTTAAACAATAGATGTTTATTTCTCACAGTTCTAGAGGCTGGAAAGTCCAAGACCAAGTTGAGGGCAGATTCAGTTCCTGGTGAGGACTCTCTTTCTGGCTTTCAAATGACTGCCTTCTTGCTGTATCCTCACATGAGGAAGAAAAAGAGGGCTTTGGCCTCCTCCTGTTCTTAAAAGGACACTAATCGCTACTACCCAAAGTGATCTACAGATTCAATGTAATTCTTATCAAAATACCAATGACATTCTTCACAGAAATAGAAAAAAAATTCTAAAATTCATATGGAACCACAAAAAAACCCAAATAGCCAAAGTTATCCTGAGCAAAAGGAACAAAGCTAAAGTCATCACACTACCTGACTTCAAAATACACTACGAATTAGAGTAACCAAAACAGCACGGTGTTGACATAAAGACACATAGACAAATGGAACAGAATAGAAAACCCAGAAATAAATCCACACATTTACAGCCAACTGATTTTCAACACAGGCACCAAAAACATACGTTGGAGAAAGAACAGTGTCCTCAATAAATAGTGCTGGGAAAACTAAATGTTCATATGCAAAAGAATGAAACTAGATCCCGTATTTTCACATATACAAAGGTTAACTCAAAGTGGATTAAATACTCAAATGTAAGACCCAAAACTATGAAACTACTAGAACAGAGGAAATTCTTCAGAACATTGTTCTGGGCAAAAATTTTTTTGATAAGACCTCAAATGCATGGGCAACAAAAGCAAAAATAAACAGGATTATATGAAGCCAAATATCTCCTGCACAGCAAAGGAAACAATCAACAGATTGAAAAAGACAGCCTACAGAATGGGAGAAAATATTTGTAGACTATCCACTCAACAAGGGATTAAAATCCAGAATATGCAAGAAACTCAAACAACTCAACAGCAAACACACACACACACACACACACACACACAAACATACACAAATAATTTGATTTAAAAATAGGCAAAAGACCTGAATAGACATTTCTCAAGAGAAGACATACAAATGGCCACAGGTATATGAAAAAATTTTCAACATCGCTAATAATCAGGGAAATGCACATCAAAATCATAATAAGATATCATCTCACCCCAGTTAAAATAGTTATTATCAGAAAGACATAAAATAACAAATTCTGGTAAGAATGCAGAGAGAGGAAATTCTTACACTTCATTGGTAGGAATGCAAATTAGTAAAGCCATTATGGAAAATTATGGAGGTTTCTAAAAGTACATCTATCATATTAACCAGCCATTCTGCTACTGGGTGTATATCCAAAGGAAAGGAGGTCTGTATGTAGAAGACATATTTGCACTCCCATATTTATATTGCAGCACTATTCACAATAATAAAGATATGAAATTAACATAAGTGTCCATCAACAAATGAATGGATAAAGAAAATATGGAACATATACACAATGGAATTCTATTCAGCCATTAAAAAGAAAGAAATCCTGTCGTTTGCAACAACATGGATGGAAATGTACATCATCATGTTAAGTGAAATAAGCCAGCCACAAAAAGACAAATACTACATATGCTCAATCACATGTGGGAGCTAAAAGAGTTGATCTCATAGAATTAGAGAGTAGAATAGTGGCTACCAGAGGCTGTGAAGGGTGGGGGGAAGGAGAATATGGAAATGTTTGTTAACAGGTACAAAATTACAATTAGATTGGAGAAATAAATTCTAATGTTCTCTAACACGATGGCGTGACTATAGTTCACAATAATTTATTATATGTTTCAAAATAGCAGAAGAGAAGATTTCAAATGTTTCCAACACCAAAAAATGATAAATACTTGAAGTGATGCATATCCCAATTACTCTAATTTGATCATTACACATTGTATGCATGTATCAAATTATCTCATGTACCCCATAAATGGGCACAATTATGTATCAATTAAATTTTTTAATAAAAAATTTTTTAAAAGGGCACTAATTTTGTCATGGAGGCCCCACCCTCATCATCTCTTCTAAACCTAATCACCTCCCTAAGGTCCTATCTCCAGACACATTGGAGATGCATGCTGAAGCCCTAAACATTAGGGTTTAGGGCTTCAACATATGAATTTTGGAGGAGCACAAACATTAGTCTATAACAAGGAGGATGTGTGATATAAAGCATGAGAGAATTGCCTTTAAACAGGAAAGGCAAATTTTGCTTGGATACTAGATTCAAGGCTATAGGAAAGTCAGGAGCACATAACTTTGCAGGTTAAGAAGGAAGGAGAGAAATGTGCAAGGTCACAATTAATAATGTCAATGTCCCCTATGAAATAGAAAAAAAAAGGTGTCTATTTAGACGTAAAGTGGTGGGATTAGAATAGAACTGCTTGAGAGATTAGAGGACTGAGAACAGCTATGATAGGACATGGAAACAAAAACTTACCTAAGCAAGAGATAGGACTGATGAGCTGAGTTGAGATCCAGTTAAAGTCCGAGGTCACAAACTATTAGTGGGACCAAATGACAAGGTTATTCAATTTTCTCCAGCAGTACTTAGTATCCTGGTAATAGAAGTAGAGAAGGTCCTGACAGCAGGCACCTTAAGTAGGATAGAGGTGAAGGTCATAGAAGACAAAGAGGCTAAATAATTCTAAGAGGAAATATTAAATAGAAATCAAAATCAATCAAGACTTGGAGCAAAAAATAACCCATAAGCCAAGATGCATGGTCCTCATAAATGTTGGATGCAAAGTTTTCATAAAACCAACATTTATGATAAGGAGGGGGGAAAGTGAAATAGCTAGATTGCATAAAATCCAAAGGAAAAGAAATGTTTGCATGGGGATCTAAGAGAAATGGTTTAGTACAACACGTAGAAATACAAACCCCTTCCTTGGCCCAGTGATGTGCAGTAAATGGCCTTCCTGGCCTCAAAAGGGCCACTAGGAAGCAGGTTCCAAGGAGGAATAAATTTCAGTTAAAGCCAGGAGTGAAGAGAATATTCTGTAAGAAACCTAGAATATAGGAAAGTTAATTTAAAATACAATGAGGCTCAGCCAGGGCAGCAGACGGATAGGGAGGGAAGAAACAAGATGGGTCAGTAAGGAGGGAGTCCATGACAATGGGCAAGTGGATGGAAGTTCAAAAGGATGTTCTTGTTCTCAGCCCCCACTCCATTTGATTCTGGCCAACTTTTAAGCCTATGGTTTGCCCCTCCCTATCTGGCTTTAGCCCTACCATTGCCCCTTCATCATGACTGACCTTAGCTTCCTAGCTTAGATGGGAAGGCTTTTTTTCCTGCATATTCCTGGCTACCCAACCCAGCCTCTACCCACCAGTGTGCCCTGTTTCCAACAATCTCAGGATCTGAGTCCTGTTCTTAGTCCACCATCCTTCCCTGACTTTTTTTTTTAATTACAATCTAAGCTCCAAATTTTATCTCTGTCCTCCTCCCTGAAATATAATCCTGATCTCTGACCAAATTTCCCTGGAACACACCACATTCAACTCAACAGAGGCCTGCCTCAGAATGGCTTCCTACAAATGTATCCTTAGGACTGTTGGCACAACCCCACACACATTCAAAGGACCATAAATGCCCTTTCCTGTATCCCGTTGAGCTGTAGCTCATTGCCTTACATCCAGCCCCCTACGAGGATTTTTTTTTCTCTCCTTTATTCAGTCTTCTAGCACCCATGGGACAAAGATGTGAACCCCGTGCTAACTATGACATTGAAGGAACCAGAGTAAGTCACTCTGATATAATCAATCAGGTATTGGAGACAAAATGAAACTCAAGGGATGTGGCCAGGACATTGAATTGTGTGATTGTCAGGAAGGTAATAAGTGGGTATAGTCAAATATGTGCCACAGGCTTTAGCAAGGCAGATTCCAAATCCTGAGATACCAACATGATCACATTGTCTGAGACTCTTGATAGACAACAAGGAGCAAGAGGATTAGGAAACTTCTAAGAAACTAAATTCCAACAAGACAATTACAGACGCATGTCAACAATCAAGCAAGTAGTGAAAGAAAAATACAAATGGCCATAAACATGAAAATCTTATTAGCAATGAAAAAATGCAGATTATAACAAGACATGATTTTTTTTACCTAGACAATTGACTGAACCTTTTAAATTGTTGTGTTGAGAAGAATGCCAGGAAATCAGCAATGGTACTCTTAAATACTACTGATGGAAGTGTGCACTGTCATCTCCTTTTTGGAAAGCAAATTAGCGCCAGGCGCAGTGGCTCACGCCTATAATCCCAACACTTTGGGAGGTTGAGGCAGGTGGATCACTTGAGGTCAGGAGTTCGAGACCACCCTGGCTAGTATGGCAAAACCCCATCTCTATTTAAAATACAAAAAAAATCAGCCAAACATGGTGGCGGGCGCCTGTAGTCCCAGCTACTTGGGAGGCTGAGACAGGAAAATCGCTTCAGCCTGGGAGGCAGAGGCTGCAGTGAGCCAAGATTGTGCCATTGCACTCCAGCCTGGGAGACAAAGCAAGACTCCATCTCAAAAAAAAAAAAAAGAAAGAAAGAAAGCAAATTAGCAATATGTGTCAAAAGCTTGAAAATAATTTGTAGTCATTAAGAATAATGTTCTAAAAGAAAAAAACAACAGGAGAAACAATCATAGTATATTTTAGGTAAAAAAGTTTACAAAATGTCATGTGTGGTATGATCCCAAATTTGTAATGACAGTGTATACTTACATAGATCCATGCAAACATATACATACACACATATAATGTTTGTACAGATATGCATAGAAAAATGACTGAAAGACATCAAGCAAAGTGTTAATATTAATTATCTCTGAATCATGGAATTGCGGTAATTTTTTTCTCCTGGATGAGTCTCTCTACTTTCAAATTTTCTGCAGTGTAAATTTAATACTTTTGCATTCAGAGGAAAAAAATTTTTAAGTTGGTATTTTAATAAAGAAAGAATAAGAAAGACAAGTTTACATCCTGACGGGAAAAAAGTGGGGGTAGGGGAGAGAAAAGATACTTCCGAGGACAATATGGATGTGAAGGGAACTTACTAATATACTCAGGCCTTTAAAAATAATTCAAAAGATGAAGAAAAGAGAACACACCCAGAGATGATTATAAAAGGCTGAAACACAGGGTCAGGAGGTGGAAGCCCAAAGTAAGCTCAGGCTTGCAGTGAATGGAATGACAACAAAAAGGACCATTTTACTTATGTTTAGTGTAAGAAGAACAAAAATGGTCTAAGTGCTGTTGGGACAAATGGAGTGAAACTAATGACAACTTGTATTTCCCACCCCATTTGCAAACCAGAAAATAACAATGAACACAAAATAGTATTCCTTTGGCTTCAACTCTACCCATTCTGCAGAATTTCTAACATATGCACACACACACACACACACACACACACACACCCTTCACAAAGTTCCTTTCATATGGCTTTAGGAATGAATCCCTAAGGGTAAATAAAGATAATACCAAATCATTCAGGTTTCCTTGCTGTACTTACCATTTTTTTCTTTCTTATTCTAACTCCATGTTTGGAATTCTCAAGTTATGGTCAACACCCAAGGCGGGAGCTACTGCTGTTGCTGAAAGAGCAACCACCACTGTTAACCTCTCTCCTGACACCACTAATGCCTACTCACAGTTTGCATTCTCAAAGTCCCACAAAATCTACTGAGAAATAGTCCTTTCGGCATTTACCTGCTTTTGTGATGGCCTCCTCACCCCTGGACACTGCTGTGATTTCCCGGGGTCTAGATCAGAGGACAGTTGCAGTGACACATGTTAGGCTGTGCTCTGAATCACCATTCCTTCTGATAACTGTTTGTTCTCCTTGGACCAACTTCTTGGCCTCCACTCTCATTTCCTTCTGTTCTTTCTGGTAATTCTATCCCTGAAAAGTCCTTAGACCTTCAAGTTAACAGCCCTGTCAGGCTGGCCCCACGTTACTCTGGGCAAACAGGCTCACCTCTGACTTCTAGGACAACTGCTCTTTGGGCTACAGCTGGGATTCTTGCTATGCTAATGGAGGACAGTCAGAAACCATGACACTTCTGCTCTGATTTGGCTTCTAGCTTCTTTGTCAAAAAAAAAAAGAGCTTCTGGAATTGGTGGGATAAATCTCACTCAGAGGGAATTAAAACCCAAGGTAAGTGAAGAGATCATGAGATATTACCTAGCTGTTCAGAATCAGTTATGGACCCTGGCTCCGATGCATCACAAACTTCTTTTGTGAAAATCTGCAGATAAAATGACCATGATCAGTAACCAGCGAGGAACCTCAGAGAACCACAGGAGAGGTGCTAGGGATAGCCAGTCCCACTTCTAACCAGGGAAAAGAAAAATAACCTACAAATGAGAAATGGTGACTTTGTTCACCACACAGGCAATAGTCTAGATTTTTTTTTAATGTAGTAGCTATTCATCTCAGTCCACTGACTAAAGAGCACAAGAAATATAACTTTCTTGATTTTCTGTAACAACTAATTTCTCAGTCTGCACCCTTATTTCCAGGCTAATGGAAAACCTTAACCTCAGTCCCTCTGGAGACTGCTCCATGATTCCTGAGTCTTCTACAGAGCCAAGATGTGAGCGACAGGGGACGCAGATCCTCTAGTTTCCTCTGAGACATCTCTTGTCCCTGTTCTTGTGGTTTCTTTGGATCCAAAAATGCTTATCTCTCAAAAGAAAAAAAAAAAAAGCACTGATCACTGAAAATTACTCCTGCTGCACCAGCTTTATTGCATGTTTTCTAATAGGATTATAGTCATGGTATCTCCAGGGTACCAAGATTTCAATAGAATAATTAGAAAGGTTATTTTGATGTTCCTGAACAAAATCGATAAATGCTGTCTGGATGCTGGTACAGTCAATATATTTATAACCTAGTGGACCATGATAAAAGATAAGACACAACCTAGTACAGTGGCTAAGAGCACAGATTCTACAGCCTGACCGTCTAGGTTCAAATACCACCTATTTCACTGCTAGACAGGCCCAAGGAAAAGTCCTTAAACTTTCTGCACCTCAGTTTTCTTATATATAAAAATGGGGATAATGATTTCAACATAGTGACAGGGATTATTAGTGTTCACTAAATATTTAGTGCTCTATTTATCAGCTCTGGTGCATCTAGACGAGGTCATGTGACTAATACAGGCCAATGGAATGTGGGTAGAAGTGATGGGAGCCAGTTCCCATCTTGGTCCTTAAAAACATCCACCAGGTTCTTCCTCCATCTCTCTCTCTCTCTCTCTCTCCCTCTCACACATACACACTTTGCAATGGCAGCCTTGCCAGCCACATGTACCACATAACCTAGTTACAAGATGGAAGCAGCCTAGATTCCCACATCACCACTTGGAGGGAAGAGCCACCCTGGAAAGCCATCTGACCCATACTGAAATATGACGTGAATGAGAAATAAACTTTTATTGTGTGAAACCATTGAGATTCTGAGGTTTATCTACTGAGGTTGGTAGAGCTAATTATTCTGCCCAATAGGGTAGTACAGAACTCGCATCAATGCCTGCCACATGAAGTACATTCAATAAATGCAAGTAATATTTGGCATCATCTTCATCACCATTACTGAAAAGAACATTCAGGTTTCAGAATATTTGGGATTAAATGCTAATTTGTGTTGATGAAAAGAGTCAAACTCTGTAAAATATTTGAAAAGATTCATTCTGGGCCAAATGTGAGTAACCATGGCCCATAAACACAGCCCCCAGGAGGTCCTGAGAACATGTGCCCAATGTGATCAGGGTGCAGCTTGGATTTATATACATTTTAGGGGGACATGAGACTCAAATACATTTAAAATGTACATTGGTTTGTCCAGCAAAGTGGGACAACTCAAAGCTGGTGGAGGGTGTGGGCGCACAGCAGGAGTTCTTTCAAGTTGTATTTCAGGTTACAGGTATATTTAAATTTTTTCTGGTTGGCTATTGGTTGAGTTTATCTAAAAACCTGAGATCAATAGAAAGGAAATGTCTGGGTTGCAATAAGAGGTTGTGGAGACCAAAGTCTTATCATGCAGCTGAAGCCTCCAGGTAGCAGGCTTCACAGAAAATAGATTATAAAGGTTTCTAATCAAACTTAAGGTCTGTGTTGATGTTAATGCCAGAGAGGTGTGATGTGACATGTTCAACCCCCACTTCCCATCATGGCCTGAACCAATCTCTCAGGTTAAATTTTAAGAGCTCCCTGGCCAAGGAGGAGGAATTTCATTCAGATGGCTGGGGGGACTTTAGAATTTTATTTGTGGTTTATACTTGCTAGTGATAAGATGACACTTCATGTCTCAGGATTTAATTTGGTAAATAGAGAAAGCAACCCTTTTCTCTCAAGGTTGTGGCAATTGACACAGAGAGATGTGAAGACACTTTGGAAACTGTTACACAAATGATACATACTTTTACCAAATGACTTAGTGTTTCTAATTATTCACTGCCACTCATTCCATATGAGTTCTGCAGCGTTCCTGCACGAGTATGCATCCTCCTCCCATTGATGCTGGGATTGGTCACATGACTTGCTTTGGCCAACAGGAGGTGAGGGGACATGTATATTTGAGCAGAAGCTTTATGAACCATTGTGTGTATATGAATTAGTGAAACAGGAGAGTTCCCTGACCCCTTCACAGGATGTGCAACAGGGGTGTGGCTCATATATTCAGCTGCTGCACACTCAAACCCCTTATGGGAAGGGGAGCACACAGACGGGCAGATGCAGGAGCCAGGGTGAGCACTTTTGGGCTCCAGCCCTACGGTAGCATCTATGGGTGGGTGCCTGCAACTCCCGAAGCCCCAGTGGGAATGTTACAGTGCTTCTTTAGCTCTCCTGATGGCTAAAGTGTTAATCAGTTTAGTGTCTTCTTCTACCCAGGTCCTTGTCCGGTGTCCAGAAAGAATCAGGTCACACACAGACTCAAAGGATGGTAAATGCAGGGGTTTTATCGAGTGGTAGAGGTGGCTCTCAGAGGGATGGATTGGGGATCTGGAAAGGGGATGGAGTGGGAACATAATCTTCTCCTGGAGTTTGGCTATCCCATGATCAGTCTCCTCTCTGACCATTTCTAGTTGAACTCTCAACGTTCAGATGCTCCTTCTCTTCTCTCCTTCTCTGCTGTGCCATTCATTCCTTCTCGGCTGTGCTGCTCTTCTGCTCTTCTGTTCATCTGCTCATCTGCTTACAGGACCTGAGGTTTGGGGTTTAAATGGGTACAGGATAGGGGGGCGTGGTGGGCCAAATATTTGGATGCAAAAACAGGAATGCCTGTTCCCATTTAGGGCCATGGGTTTCCAGGCTTGAGGGTGGGGCCTTTGCTGGGGAACCACCCTCTCCTACCCAGTATTTCCTTGCCTCCTGTCCATACCATTAGCAATATATCTTTTTCTCCCTTTAACATGAGGAAAGCATATCCCAGATTGGGACCTCTTCTTGCTGGCCCTGTAATGAAGACAAATGGAGCAGAGTGACAGCTGAACCACAGTCAGCACAAATTGTAAGAAATAAACTCTTGTTGTTGGAAGCCACTAAGACGTGGCAATTGTTTGTTACTGCAGCATAATGTAACTTAACTTTAGCTAAGTTATATATTAACCAAAGGGAATTGACTAATAGAATAATGCTAATGTAGACATAGGCACCTGGCAGTTTGCTGCAGTTTTCCTTCCTCAACATTTTTTTCTAAACAGCTTTTATTAAATATGAAGAGGAAATAGTGCTCAGGTGTACACATGACAAGCTCTTGAGGTTAATAGCTAATAGTTTGCATAACAGAATCAAGAGCCAAAAAGAGAGAAACAAACTGGAACAATGGTTTCCCAAGATGCCATTTAACTGGGAGAAATATAACGTCTTCCACACAACTGCAGGATAAGGAAGACGGCAGTTATCATGAAAATAATGTAAACTTTTATTTTATAGTCAACAGAATATAAGGCAAGAAGTTGTTTCCAAAAAAAAAAATGGACTTAAGGCTATATTCACAGAAATGTGGTACCCCAAATAGTTAGTTTTAAGTATCTTCACAACTGTAGTCACTTTAATTTGTTGAATTCCCTCTTGGTTGTAGAACCTAAAGTGAAAAGAATTGGATTTGGTTTAACTCCAAAAAAACAGTGACTAAATTGTATAAGGCATGTGTAAATCCTGTAGGAGAGGAAAGTAGGAAAACTTAAGAGAAGAGAGGAGAGGAAAAAGAGGAGGCTACCACCTTAGGAGAGTTTAAATAAATGAATTTAAGCATTTGAAAGCCTCTCTTTTAGAATAAGTATTGGAATTATTCTGCGTGACTTTGAAGTACAAAACAGACACGGCAGGGAAAAGAAAGGGATTTTTAACAAATAGATCCTCCTCGTCACCCCCAAATTGAAGGGGCTGCTTAGAATGTGTTGGAGAGGAGATCCATGTATGAGTAGGAATAACAATTAGTCTCAAGGATAGCAAAAGTCTCTTCTAAATGTGAAGAATCAAAACCAATTTGCAGAGGGCAAGACTGGATTAGGCCAGTGGAATACCTTGGGGAGGCTATTAATAAATCACAATTTGCAGTTCATGTTGGAAAATGAATTTCACTTACCAAGGAGAAGTGCAAAATTGGTATTATTTAAGATAGTTCTACCCTCACAAAGCGGGGAGTCACCCTCACTCCCCCACAGCCAGGACAGCCAATGTGCCTTTAGATTTAGAAATGGGCTGGTCTGTCACACGTGCACTTTCTTTCTCTTGTCAGCAAAGGAAGACACATCTTTGGCAAACCCTCTGTTTTAAACCTGGCATTTCCATTTTTTATTTGTCTAAAACAGAGGGAGGGAAAATAGCTATGAGAATACAACTAGTCCCAACTGGTAAAAAGAAAGGCAAGTGGCCAACAGAAATATTATAGCATAAGGCTGAAGCAGAGAAGAAATGAGAAGAAAAGATCAGCCCCTCTGAAAAGGTTCTCTCAAAATAAAAGGCCATGCCAAGGAAAGCCACAGGGGCAACACCACAAGCCCAAGGAGAGCTTTAATCAGGAAAACCTGGCCTCAGGCACGCGCATGCAGCTTCCTACCTGCCTTTCTGCGTGCCATTTTCTGAAACTTAGGAGACAGGAGGTTTGTTCATGGCCAGATGAAAAAGCAATGCACGCTTTCAATGGCAGCCCTGCTAGGATTCATGTTTCTACAGGTTTTTTTCCTCTACCTCCCGTAAATCTCATGCTATACAATCTCCCAGGGCCATCTCACCTGATCTTACAGTTTCAGTCGTAAGACTGTGGTAGTCTTTAAGCTACCCACCCCTAAATCTACACCTGCAGATTGAATCGACCAAAGGAATCAAAGACATTTGTATCCTATTGTTTATTAAGTAACTGTCCCTTGGATTTCCTACTGACACTTCACATTTACAAGGCCCCAAACTCCCACATTTATCCTCCTACTGATGCAAGATTTTTCCTTGACCCCCTTGCAGAACAGGGGTGCCATGTTTACTCAGCCAATCATGCTCAGCCCCTCGCAGGAGGGAACATGCAAGTGAGTGACTGCAGGAACCTGCTGGCCACTTTGGTGCCAGCAGAAACAAACTCTGTGCAGGCCCCGTGGCAGTGTCCAGGTAGGGGTGCCTGTGACCCCAAGGCTCCAGAGGGCATGTTACAGTGTTCTCTTAGCTCAACCAACCATGGACAGCAGTGTGCTATCAGCTCAGTGGCCCCTTTGCCTCGGCGAGGGGGGTGGCTACCTCCCGCCAGCAAGGGAAACAAGCCAGTGTGATAGCCTTTTTGGGTATCCACACTTGGTGGGTCCCAAATTCTTGTCTAATATCCAAGAAGAATGAGGTCATGGAGATAAATTGGAGGATGGTGAATGTGCAGAATTTTACTGAGTGATGAAAGCAGCTCTCAGCAGAGAGGGGAGCTCGAAACGGGACGGGAAGGGTAGGTTTCTCTCCCCTGAAGCCAAGTTGCCTCTCTGCCTCTTCCTCCAAAGTCAAGTTGCCTCTCTGATGTCCCCTATCTGCCTAGAGTTTCTCCTCCTCCTGCCTCTATCACTACTCTATTTCTATCTCAGGGAATAATAGACAGCAGGGTCAGGAGTGTGGAAGTCATATTCCTTATCTTCCTCTCTCCCTCATCATCTCCCCCATTTATATTCCACCTTCCCTCACCTCCCACCTCCCCATTTTGATGCAACTCCTGTTAATTACAACTCCCAAGCATTTCTTCCATCCTGGTGAGCACTATCGTAGTTCACCACCATCATCTCTCACCTGAATTACTGAGACAATCTCCTGGCTGGTTTTCATGATTCTGATCTTACCACCCTCTAATCTGTTTTTCACATAGCATCCAGAATAATCTTCCTAAAAGTGCAAATTGATATTACTCTCCTATTTAAAACCCTTCAAAAATTCCCTTTGGCCATCAGGATAAAGTTCAAGATTGCTAATGTGGAATAGAAGACCCTTGTATTTCATCCCGTGCATCTTCCCTGACCTCTCTCTAGCCTTTTAGCCCTCTTCCCACACACTCTCAAAACAGCTTCATCATGTCACTGAATTTATCATACTCTCTTTTAATCTTTGTACATTCTACTCCTTTTGTCTGGAAAGGTCTGTCTCTTCAGAGGTCACTTGCAACCAGTAAACTCTTACTCAAACTTCAGGTCCGTTGAAAAGTCTAGCAGACCTTGTTAATGCTCCCCTCTTCCCCTACCCCCAAACAGTACCATTATCATCTGAGCCCTCTGCAGGCTGTCCCCCCACAGACACACCAACAGTTTCTTGCCTAAGTCTCATGGCCTAAAGGAACATTCTGATCAGGAGGTGGTGCTCTGCCCACTTGTCAGGGAGCTATCCCAGGAGTGACCCTCAACTAATGAGGGTTAGAAATTGCTGGATAACTTGCTCACCCCTCCATAGGACAGCTCTGAGATGTGCTCTATACAGTTTCTTAAAGAGTCCCTAGTAGGGCCAAGTCCTATTTACCCATAGCAGAAACCTGCTCATTAATTCACCCAGTATTGGCTTCTCTTCCTTTCCCCTCTTACTCTCACATTCACTCACTATGGTTCTTGGACTCTCCCCCCAAAAAAATTCCCATAACGTTAGGGGAAGCTGGATGAGAAGTCTACAGGAATGCCCTGTACTATCTTTGCAACTCTTCTGTTAGTCTATAATTGTTTCAATATCAAAAATAAAAACAAAGATAAAGTCACCTTTTCCCTGTAAATACCAGAATTGTAGTGGCATGCACCCCTGCTGGTTTTATTCAAAAACTCTGACCCCTGGCCAGGCACAGGGGCTCACACCTATAATCCCAGTGCTTTGGGAGGCCAAGGTGGGAGGATCACTGGAGCCCAGAAGTTCAAAATTTGCCTGGCAACATAGCGAGACCCTGTCTCTACAAATAAAAAATTAAAAGTTAGGGCATGGCAGCATGTGACCATAATCCAAACTACTTGGGAGGCTGAAGCAGGAGCATCAGTTGAGCCCAGGAGTTTGAGGTTATAGTAAGCTATGATCATACCACTGCACTCCAGCCTGGACAACAGAGAGAGACCCTTGCTCTAAATATACATATTAGGTCCCCAAAAATGTCCTCCAGCTTTTTCTAGGAGTTCTTTCAGTTTTCTCTCACATGTACTCAGCATTGCTGCTGCCTCTACTGTAAATACTTCGTATTAAGTCATTACTTCACTGGACACAACTAAGATTCACCATCACCTGTTGCTGCCATAGTATCTACCCTTGAAGGAAGGGAAGCTCTTCCCTTGGCTACTCCATCTCAAGGGTGCCACAAGATTTTCCATTAATTTATCACTGCAAATTAGAGAGTAGGCTGTTTTCTTCTGGAAGACTTCTGGCCTTGAGTTTTATTTTTCACTAAATTTTTTCTCACTTCATATATTAACAATAATTTTTTAATGGGTCATAGGCTTAAATATAAAACCCAGAACCATTAGTCTTCTAGAAAAAAAAAGTAAGAGAATATCTTTGTGACCTTTGTGTAGGCAAAGCTTTTTGGACAGGATGCAAAAAGCCATACAAGAAAAAATTGATATGTTGGACTTCAACAAGACTGAAAATTTCTACTCATTAAAGTATGCCATTAAGAAAATGAATTAAGCCATAGACCAAGAAATAATATTTGCAGCACACATATGTGACAAAGGTCTTGTATACAGAATATGTTTTAAAATATCCTGCAAATCAACAATAAAATTCTGTACAATTTAATAAAAAGTTGGCAAAAGACATGAACAGACATTTCATAAAAGAAGATATATGAATGGCCAATAACCACATGAAAAGGTGCTCAACATCATTAGTCATCAGACAGATGCAAATTAACATATGTAAAATACCATTTCAACCCCCACCAGAATACCTAAAATTTAAAAAAATACTTGAAACACAAAATGTTGATAAAGATGGAAAGCAACAGGAACTCTGATAAGAAGGTAGAGTAGTACAAGTTTGGAGAACTGTTTGGTAGTTTCCAATAAAATGAAGTGCATGTCTTAACTTTATTAGTAGTAGAAAATTCTAATCCTAGGTATTTACCCTGGGTTGGGGAAGCAGGGAGGGACACGTCCACAGAAAGATTTGTGAAAGAATATTCATTCATAATAGCCCAAATTAGAAACAACTCAATGTCCATCAATAAGAAAATTAATACACAAATTGTGGCATATTCATGCATTGGACTACTACTCAGCAATAAAAAAGAATAAACTACAGGGCAGGCACAGTGGCTCACGCTTTAATGCCAGCACTTTGGGAGGCTGAGGTGGGTGGATCACTTGAGGTCAGGAGTTCAAGACCAGCCTGGCCAACACGGCAAAACCCTGTCTCTACTAAAAATACAAAAATTAGCGTAAGCATGGTGGCGCACAGTAGCTGTAGTCCCAGGTACTTGGGAAGTCCCAACTACTCAGGGGACTGAGGCAGGAGAATCACTTGGACCCAGAAGGCAGAGGTTGTAGTGAGCCGAGATTGTGCCACTGCATTCCAGCCTGGGCAACAGAGCAAGACTCGCCCTCAACAATAAAAAAATGAACTACTGATTCATGTGACAACATGGATGAACCTCAAATATATTATGTTAAATGAAACAAGAAGAAAGAAAGACAATCAGCTGCGGGAGGCAGTGTTAGGGCATTACTTTATTTCTGAGCTTCTCTCCTTGACTAACCCCAAGGCCAAAATAAGTAAAGTGAATTCATTAGTAAGCATGTCTAACACCCAACCAATACCATGTGTTCCACCCATTCAGAGCTTTGGGATGTCAGGAATTAACCCCCAGTGGGCATCACTCATCAAGTATTAATTACAATTGCTGCTTGCTCAGATTTTTCTGGAGATAGGATAGGACAGCCCAGATTTCATCCAAATCCCAGAGGAACATTTCCTCTAGAAACCGGACCCTGCCACATCAGACATGACAAGGCTTCCAAGCAGTGGACAAGGCAACCATCCAGGAGACTGGCAGTCACTGGCTGGCTCTGCCAACACCCCATGCAGCTGTCAGCATGACAGGACAGAAAGGGGCAGCCCTCCTACAGCCCCCAGCAGAAGCCACACATTGTATGGTGGGGCAGGAGCCACTGGAAGCAGGACAGGGCTATTTCAAACTATGAATTGGGAGCAAACATGGCAAATTGTGGCCTCATTCCTAAGCAGGAGCAAAGTCATTCTGGTTACCAACAGTGCCCAGCCCCACTGCCAAGATTGCATAGGCTTTCAGTGGGAAGAGCCTTCTGCTTGGGGTTTTAATGGCCCCTAAGAAGGTGAAGGAAATAGGCTAAGAGAATGGTCAGCAGGTTTTTTCCTTGCTGTCCGGGGAACACAAACAATGCCATTACTAGACTCCTTGAAAGGGAAATGGCCATCCAGGTACCCCTTCCTGAACCCAGGCCTGGGGCCTCAGGCCTGCTGGCCAGTGGGCAGCCTGCTCAGTGTGCTGCTTCCAAAGCAGTTTCCAAGAGCAACTGAAAGCTACAGCATGGGTGAGCCTGGAAGACATAGCACTCAGTGAAATATGCTAGTCACAAGAAAGGACACATGCTGCATGATTCCACTTATACAAGGTACCTAGGAGAGTCCAATTCTTAGAGACAGAAAGCAGCATGGTGGTTGCCAGGGATTAGGGGTAAGGGTGGAAGGGGATGGGGAGATATAGTTTATTGCCTATGGGGTTTCAGTTTGGGAAGATGAAAAAAATTCCCAGAGATGGGTGTTGGTTGTACAATAATGTGAATATATTTTATGCCACTCAACTGTACACTTAAAAATGGTTTACATAGTAAATTTTATGTTATGTATATTTTACCACAATTTTCTTTTAAAAAGTAGCTGGGGAAGGGATATTCCCAATCATGTCTCCCATGCTATGAGGTCATCTTGTCCATCAGTTCTGCTCCTTGGACTGTGTCCTGACCCAGGTCTATACGTAAGCACAACTCTAATTTTTCCAGAATGTGCATTTGGGCTTAGAAAGACCTTTCTTCCTCATCCTTCCCCCAGCATACCGCCTCATCACACACCTATCAGGGAGGTGAGTTGGTCAGTAGAATTATACTGAAGGATTAAGTCAAAATATTTAAAAAAAAAAAAAATTCAGAGAGGTGATCCTGACCAAGATAGCAGGAAGAGGGAGGTAGGTAGCCATCCCTGGGTGGTGTAGCCAATAATGTTTTCCTACACGACTCCTCGTTCCACTACCTCCTTTCCTCACCAGATATTTCTTCCCCAAACCTGGCCTCAGGTCTCCTGCTCAAGAAAAAAATCCTATTTTTAGGAAAGAAGCTCAAGACTCATTCCATGGAAATATAAAGTAAAAGTTTTAACTTGTTACCTCTAGCAGGGTTATTGTATCTGTAAACATGGTGTTAGCAGGAGAAATCTAGCTGTGGGATTTTAGGGAGTAAATAAAAGGGTGGTAGGGCAGGAGGTACAAGAAGGTCTTCAGAAACTCCTGAAGGAGTATTTAAAGGCCGTCTACTCATCAACTACAGGCAGCCTTCAGCTTTTTCTCTGCAAAGATTTATTTCTACTAGGGCCCACTCCCAGATTCCTGAGCATAGGAAGAAGAAAAAGCAAAAACTCTGAAAAGTAAATACGATAGCTACTTTTTGTTAAGCATTTACTCTATAAAATACATTATCTTATTTAATCCTTCCAGCTGCCTTGGGAGCTG
Source organism: Homo sapiens (assembly GCF_000001405.40). Taxonomy (NCBI): domain Eukaryota; kingdom Metazoa; phylum Chordata; class Mammalia; order Primates; family Hominidae; genus Homo; species Homo sapiens. Next base: position 68,800,860 of record NC_000005.10, read on the forward strand.
CTTGGGAGAACATTATTATTCACATTTGACAAATATGGAAACAGACTTTGAAAGCAAAAGCAATTGCCTTTTTTAAATATCTACATAAACACACGGATAGTCTTGGAGTTGTTTATTTTCATTTTGGGGGGTTTTGCCACATTTTCACATTTCCCTTTTCCTCCATTGACAACTCCTTCTCTTGGACCCAAAATACCAGCACCGCAGGCAGGAGATTATAGAAGTCAAGAGCACAGTTTGGAGTGAGAGAACCCCATGTTTGAACTCATCACTTATTTGTTGAATCGTGTGTGTGTGTGTGTGTGTGTGTGTGTGTGTGTGTGTGCGACATCAGATCATGTCTGAGAGAGCGTGCATGTGTGTAAATCAACCCTATCTAAGGACCAGTCTTTATGTAATAAAATTACTCATCTTTAGAATGAAAATCCTTAAAAAGATGTCTGAAAACATACATCAGAACTGAAAACTATGAACACACTCTATCTGGTTAGGTCTTCATCAAAGAACATGTTTTTGCAATCCAGATTGTATATAACCCTCCAATATTTATGATTCTGTAAGCATTCTTTTAACAACAAATATATTAGGCACCCCAGTGGGATAGCAGATAAAAAAATTAATAAGATTCCACCCTTATCCTCAAGTAGTCCACAGTCCTGTAAAGGATATAGACAGGAGACATGTAAATGAGTAGAACAATAAGTGATAATACAGAGATGGACGCAGTGCTGTGAGGTCACAAAGAAAGGGGTGCCTCAAATAAGTAGGAATATGCCAAGGGAAAAAGATGGGAAAAGCACTCCAAGCAGAAGGAAGATTGTGTGCAAGGATACAAAGGCTTAATAAATACGTCACTTCCAGACAACTACAAGTAGTTCACAGCTGGTACACAGGTAAGGGCTGTGGCAGGTGACAGGACCAGTCCAGTAGGCCAGGGCAGCTGGAATGCCTCTTCAGTCTTGAATGAGCTTGAATTTCACCCTATAAGCGACAGGAGGCTGTTGGAGATTTTTAACCCAGCGGTAACATGATGAATGTTCATGTCACAAAGATAGCTTAGGCCATCGCTGTGTGGAAAATGGACTGGAAGGAAGTGGAAACATGGAGACCCATGAAAGTTCCTGCAGTGATTCAAGTGAGAGAATAACGGAGCTTGAACAACAAATTCAAAAGACTGTCAGGGACATTGGACAGAATTTGGTGAAGAGACGGGTATTAAACAGGAAATTATTTAAAATGATTCCAGTGTTTTAGGCTCATACATTAGCCAACTTTCCAGCAAAGAGAGGGACACACCTTCTCCAGTGAGCTTAACAGCACATCATGGAAGCACACAGAGCATCTAAAGCCCCATGAGTCCCCTCTACAAGGTTAGGGTGCCACATAAAAGCAAACTTTCATTCCTGTCATCTGCTCCCCTCGCCACTTTGTCTCCCATCCTGCTTACAATGGTTCCATATACAAAAAACCCATCTTGAAAGCTGGTCCTTCTGCACACCCTGCTGCCCATGCCAACCCTGAAGGCACAAACACAAGCTTTGCCCAATTCATTTTTGTGGGCTTCCCTAGAATTCTTTCCTTGGGGTTTCTAAAATATAATTTCAAGCAACTTGTCATCATGGAGCAGCACACCTTTATTTTTAAAGCCACAGTGAGTGCATCTGGGCCTCTAAAGAATTCTGAAACCCATACATGTCCTTAATTGATCCAGCGGTCAAGTGCTGCCAGACAGTCCACGTGGGTCAGCTGAAACACCCACATGTGGTTTGCCTGCCCCAACCTAAGCCATGCAGTTAGCCAAGTCTGTCAGTGATACCCTCTGGGCTCAAGTGTCTTTGGGACTAATTGCCTGCCAGTCACAGCCAGACAGGGCACATTTATTCCTCCTACCTGGGGGAACATTTAGTTTTATGAATTTTTCATTACAGCTTTTATCTCTAATAAAGATGTACATGAATATTAGCTACAAAAATGTTCATCAAATCATTGAATTAGCAAAAAGTTGCAACTCATCCTGTTGGAAACAATAGGATACAATTAAATTAAAATCTATCAATACTAGGGAATAGTATGTGACTCATAAAAATGTTGTTTCATAAAATGATCTATTGATATGAAAAGATGCTCACTACAGAATGCTTTCCCTAGAACATAAGTTCCATGTAGGCAAGGGCTTTGTTTTCATCAGTGTACTCTCTGTGCCCAGAACAGGGCCGGGCACACCACAGGCATTCGTTAAATATCTACCGATTGAATCAATATAAGTGGAAAAGCAGATGACAAAAGAATATGGTTTCATTTCTGTAAAAATATACATGCACAGAAAAAATCTAGAAACATATACATCAAAATGTTAGCAGTAGTTTTCCCTGCATGGGTGGGCCATTTTATACTCTGTTTTGTCTCTTTTTTTCCCACTCTGTGAGCGGCACAAGGTGCTATTACAACAAGGTTCAAAACACAAAAGGAACTATCTGGGGGGTTAAAATGCCATTACAAACTCAGTGCTAACTTTTCAAGGTCATCTATGAACCCAATGCCCCTTACATGCCCGAATAACATTACGTTATCTATCCATAACCCCACATGTAACCCAAAGCACTAATTTGCGCTAACATAGAACAGAATCCCTGTATCCTGCATCTGAGTTGACCCCTTAGCTTTAGCCTCATTCTTAACCTGGATTCCACCCACTGCCCTCAGGACTCCTATCACTCTTGCTAGAGCCCCATCCTAGCCTCTCCTTACTGAGCTCTGCAAAAGCATCCAATTCCTCTCAAACAGGAAAAGGACATTTTACCACTCTCTCCATATAAACAGCTTGCCCACGTTTGCAGTTGGACTCCTCCCCTTACTACACCAAGCGTGAGAGTGTGAACACTTTTCACCCAGTTTCTCCACAGGCAATTTGAAAAGTACCCGAAGGCGTCACCTGCTGGGGCCTAGCCCCAGTTAAACTGTGACTGCCCTGGAGGAAAATATGGCAAGCAAAAACACTGAAACTTCAAAAAATCAGCTTACATCAATTGCCTGGTACCAACACCAGTGCACATAATCCTCTCCTGGCTGAGCTAATTGGCTTAGCTTGCTGATGATTTTACAGCACCAGAAGCTGTTCTCTGATTGTAGGAATGAACGTTGCCAAATGATCTTAAACCATAGCCCAGACGGCCCAGTGCCACCAGAGGCATATCTGGGAAAAGAGCTATTTTAAACGAATGCTCCTGTGGGTATAAGGATCCTTTTCTGTCTAGACTCCTGCTAACACCTGTTGCTCACTCATCCTGCCCCAGTTCACCTCCTTTTCGACAGCCATGTGGCCAAGACAAGCCATGGCCACCTGACAGGGCCTGAAATGCGGCCACGTGAACAGCAAATCCAGGCAGCCCAGGCATCGCATGCTCTGGCACAGTGTGTTGGGCCCCAACAGCTCTGCTGCCAGGTGTCAAGGAGCCATTTGCAGGCAGAAAGCAGACCTGGCAAGGCAATATTTTAAACTTTCAGCATGGCCAGGGAAAGGAGACTTCTTCCAGAGACTCTGCCATGCAAATCAGCATCAAGCAAGTAGAAGGAGAGGATGGCTGCATTTTGGTTCAACCAAACCCTTCATACCTAAAGCCCCTTTACCACGTCCCCAGTAGGTGGTTGTCTAGCCTATCCTTGAATCCCCCTGGTAACCAAGAAGCTCACTACCTCATAAATAGCTCATGAGGCAGTCTTCCTTATACAGTGCTGAATTCCTTCCTGTGGCCTTTGCTCCTCTTGTTACGCTTTAGAAAGTTATATAGAATGAATCTCATATGTCACTCATGTAATTCCATTCAAATCAATCTATGTTTCTGCATAAAACAGTTCAGATTCATGCGAGTAAGTGAGCACTGGAATCTTGGGGGGAGTTTTTCAATTTCTGGAAGCTTACAGCCTGGGTTTTAATAAGACCTGGGGATAAGAGACTAAGCCTGGGCAGGGTTGGAGGTCAGATCTGAGATCACTGCATAAAGCCAGGACTCCAAAAGGGCAGTCCTCAGAGGGATGAAAAAACAGTTTCATATCAACAGTAAAGATCCTGTTTGATTCAACCTAGATTCTGGACAGAACAGGGAAAAAATATTTTCCCAAAAGCTTCCTAAACACAAGTTCATATTCTTTGAAGAAAGTATTCACACTACATATGTAGACTGAAAAATTCAAGCTGAAATCTTCATTTAAAATGGTCCTGAGTTAGTCATGGAAAACCAAAGCAAATCCACTCTGAAGGAACACACTTTAAACCCAAGCCTTAAAGAATTATGAAAGATAAAGTTTCAAGTAACATCAGCTCAAAATCAAAAACCACCAAACATACAAGGAATGTTAAAGAGTAAAAAGTATCTACGGTGATACAGAGTAAAAAGAAAGAAAAAAATGTAGAATCAGAACCATACAGATTTCAGCTATTATAATTATCAGATACAGAGAGTAAAATGTGCTTAATGTGTTTCTTTTTAAGTTTTTTTAAGTTTTGGGTATATGACAAAGGAAAAAAGAAAGCTTATCAAAATTAACAGTTCAGATTGGAAAAATAACAAAATAGAACTTCTACAAATTTTTTTAATGTAAGAATTGAAATTATAAACTCAGTTGATGAGTGAGCCTACAAAACTGGAAAGAGAATGAGTAAATCAGAACACAGGTTTGAAAAAATCCACAAAATGATGCACAGAGACAAAAAAAATTGCAAAAGATGTTAAGAGATATGGATAAAATGAGAAGGTCCAACATATGTCCAATCTGAAATCTATAAAGAGATCACAGAAATAATGAGGTAGAAGCAATATGACTGGGAATGTTTCCAAGGAGAAATTCACAGATTCAAGAAGCCCAATAAACACCAAGGAACATAAGAAAGAAAGGAGAAAAAAACAAACAATCTCAACCCATCATAGTGAAACTGCAGAACATCAAAAGCAAAGAGATATTTAAAACAACTAGAGAGGAATAAAAACAGATTATCTATAAATAATTTATATGACAGTGACAGCTAATTTCTCAGTAACAACAATGTAAGCCAGAAACCAGTAAAATAAGCCTAAAGCGCTGAGGAAAAAAAAATGTCAACCTTGTGCTGTATTTTCTACCAAATGAAATTTACTTTAATGAATGATGGTAAAATAAAGATATTTTCAAATAAATCAAAACTAAGACAGTATGGTATTAGCAAAAACTTACTAAATAATTTTCTAAAGGAGATACTTAAGAAAGAAAATTATCCTAGGAAGTAGCTCTTAGACACAAGAAGTGGTGGGCAAAGAAAATGGTAAACATGGAGGTAAGCCTAAACAGTGACTATGTAAATAATAACAATTATAGTAACTAGAGGAACTAAAAATCAATGCATAACTAAATTTACAGCAACAATAATTTATGATTAAAGAAAGGGAAGAAAATTAAAGTTAAGGCATTTGATTTCTTGTATAGAAAAAGAATAAAAATATTAATTACCTTTAGACATTGTTAAATTAAACGTACCTCTTAAAATTTCTAGGGTAACAATTAAAACTATTGAAATAGTATATGTAATTTCCAAACTAGTATAAACAATTTTGATAACTAGTGTTAATACAAAATAAAAGTCAATAAATGAGAAATAAACATTGAAAAAGTGGGGGGAAGTATGAAATAAGGTAACATGAATTCAAATCAAGCTGTAGTCATTATTTAATGTATACAGATTAAATTCACCCATGAAAAACAAATATTGTCAGTTTTTTTAAATCCAGCTATATGCTAACTATAAAAATAGAAAAGCATAAGGATGCAGTAATATAGAAAGTAAAAAGATAAAATATGCCAGCAAATAATTAAAAGAAACCCGAGATTGCCAAAATACATTTTGAGGCAAAAAAATTTTATTTAGAAGCTAAAATGATCATTGCATATTGATACAAGGTTCTATTCACAAGGAAGATATAACAATTTTAAACCTGGAAACCCAGGGTTATCATATTTATACCAGATGAAATATATTTTAAGGCAAAAGGTACTATTTAGACGCTAAAATGATTATTGCATATTGATACAGGGTTCTATTCACTAAGAAGACAGAAGTTATGAACCTGCATGCCCCTAAAAGGCAAATGTTTGAAGGAAGTACAAGAAGAAATTGACAGGTTCACTATCACAGAAGGAAATTTTAATACATCTCTCTCGGTGATTGGTAGAGCAAACAAACAAAATTGTCTCTATGGACGTGTGGATTTTCTCACTCAACATCTACTCTAACCTCTCTCTGGTATGTCCTTCTGTACTGTGGGGCAAGAACACTCAAAAACTACATTTTCCAGTCTTCTTTGGACAACCCAGTTTTTCTGAGACAATCCTGGTTGATGCTCATTGCCCTGCCATAATTATTAACAGCATTCCCCTTTACCTTTGAAAATGTCTGATATAGATAATAAATTTTACTGTTACTCTACCTGTATATAAAAACACCATAAATGCAAAAGGTTCTTGCAAGTGTGCCGTATTGGTGATTCAAACAGCAAAGCCACATTACCTTCAGTGGTGTAATTTTTCCAAATAAGTGAACAACTTTTCGAAACAAAACAAGCTAAACTTCTTTTGGATTTACATGAGAGTGGCATTCCTGGAAAATTAAGTGTATGTTAAAAACATGCAAAAAATACTCAAGGTTTATACTGAAAAAGGAGATCAAGTCTGGTCTTAGATTATTTTAAACAGGTTTTCCACCTAAGTTTAGGTTCCACCTCAGTTTAGGTTTTCTAAAGTATAGAAACACTTCAGGAAATCACGCAGGCTGGGTACAGTGGTTCACCCCTGTAATCCAGCACTTTGGGCGGCCAAGGCTGGCAGATGCTTGACCTCAGGAGTTTGAGACCAGCCTGGCCAACACGGCGAAATCCTCGCCTCTAATAAAAATACAAAAATTATACAGGTGTGGTAGCCTGCACTTGTAGTTCCTACTACTTGGGAGCTAAGGTGGGAGAATCATTTGAACCTGGGAGGCAGAGATTGCAGTGAGCCAAGATGGCACCACTGCACTCCAGCCTGGGCAACAGAGGGAGAACTTGTTGAAAGGAAAGGAAGGAGAAGGGGAAGGGAAAAGGGGAAGGGAAGGGGAGTGGGAAGGGAAGGGAGGGGGAAGGGATGGGAAGGGAAAAAGGAGGGAAGAAGTGGGAAGGAGGGAGGGAGGGAAAGAAGGAAGGCAGGAAGGAAGGCAGGAAGGAAGGAAGGCAGGAAGGAAGGAAGGAAGGGGAGGGGAGGGGAGGAAGGGGAGGAAGGGGAGGAAGGGAAGGAAGGGAAGGAAAGGGAGGAAGGGAGGGAGGAAGGGAGGAAGGGAGGGAGGGAAGGAAAGGGAGGAAGGGAGGGAGGAAGGGAGGGAGGAAGGGAGGGAGGAAGGGAGGAAGGGAGGGAGGGAGGGAGGAAGAGAGGGAGGAAGGAAAGGAGGAAGAGAGGCAGGAAGGTAGGGAGGAAGGCAGGAAGAAAGAACATCATGCAGGATGAAGGCATAAGGGTGATATAATGGACTTTGGGGACTTGGGGAGGGAGAAGTTGGGAGGGGGTGATGGATAGAAGACTACATATTGGGTGCAGTGTACACTCTCAGTGACAGGTGCACTAAAATCTCAGAAGTCACCCTAAAGAACTTATCCATGTAACAGAAAACCACCTATATCCCAAAAACTATTGAAATAAAAAGAAAGAAAATCATGCAGGATGTGGGACACTCCTTCACTCTATGCTGCAGTTCCACACCTTGCAGCACACTGAGGATTTGCTGCTGTTTGCCCACAAGGCCCATTACGCATCCCCCAGTTGTTGTGACAAAATCAAAACACTGCCTATATTTCATATTATAGATGAACATCAAGAACCTGAATAATAACATGCCAGAGGCTCTTAGGCCTTTCAGTACATACTGTTTTCCTATGAGTAAATTGCCTCCCCTCAGGCTCCAAAGTGAGTTAGACAGTGTCTGTGGGCCTGGATTTACCATATCTCAACCCCAACAGGCACTTCCAAAAGTTTCCTTTCTAAAATAAAAATACACTTTATTTTAGAACCATTTTAGGTTGATAGAAAAACATTGTAAAGGTGGTACAGAAAGTTCCCATAAACACCATGCCAAATTTTCCCTATTACTAACTTCTCACATGAGTGTGGTACATGTCTTGCAATTGATAAGCCCACAGTGGTACATTATCATTAACCAAAGAGCACAATTTCTTCAGATTTCCTTAGTTTTACCTAATATCCTTTTTCTGTCCCAGGATGCCACATTATATTTAATAGTTATGCCTCCTTAGGCTCCCCTTGTTGATGAATTTCTTAGAATCTCCTTGTTTTTGACGACCTTAACAGCTTTGTAGAGTCCTAGTCAGGTATTTAGTACTAAATCCCTCAATGGGGATTTGTCTGATGATTAGATTGGAGTTATAAGATCTTGGAAGGAAGACCCCAGAGGTAAGGCGCCATTGTCAATGCATCATATGAAGGATACGCACCATCAACATGAATGACTATTGTTAATGTTCGTCTTGATCACCTGGCCGAGGTAGTGTTTGTCAGGTTTCTCCACTATAAAGTTACTATTTACTCCCCTTTTCTATGCTGTGCTTCTTTTTCTACTCTCACCCATTTGTTTATTTATCCAATTATTTATTTTTATATCAGTATGGAGTCACACTCATGGATATTCATTTTATATCGTGTGTTGTAATCCAATGCTGTTTTGTTGTTATTGTTGTGTGATTTTTGTTTGGTTCATTGGTTGGGCTTTTTGTTTTTGGGGTTTGAGTACTTCCTTACTTTCTGGCACTACAAGATGTTCCAAGATCATATATCCTGCCCCAGTCCTAGAATCAGCTATTTTTCATTTTTTTTAATAGAAGATGGTGTTAGAAACCAAGACCTGGGTGCTACGTGTGCTTGTTGCTACAGGGGTGTCGTTTCCAGATCCCTTCAACTAACAGAGTGAGGTAATATATGTGTGTATACTAACCCATGTATATAAACATTTCTAAAAAATGTATTCATGTATTCATAAATACATGTATTCATACATGTATTCATCTGTGTCTATATTAGGCTAAGCATGAGTTCATACTGATATCCTCAACTCTAATCTAACTACAAAGGATCATTCTAGCCTCTTCCCCTTGCTGATCAAAAATGTCCCTCTACAGAAGGGAGAAACCTGGCTCCCACCACCCATCATTCATTTACTTAGTTATTCCATGTCAGCTGGGTGTGGCGGCTCATGCCTGTAATCCCAGCACTTTGGGAGGCCAAGATGGGAGGATCACTTGAGCCCAAGAATTTGAGACCAGCCTGGAAAACTTGGTGAAACCCCGTATCCACAAAAAATACAAAAATTAGCTGGGCACGGTGAAACGTGCCTGTGATCCCAGCTACTTGAGACACTGAGGTGGAAGGACTACCTGAGCCTGGGAGGTTGAGGCTGCAGTGAGCCATGACCATGCCACTGCACTCCAGCCTAGGTGACACAGTGAGACCCTGTCTCAAAAAAAAAAAAAATTATTCCTTTTCAGTATACATGTGGTTTCATAATTGTTAAGCCATGCTCCCATAGGAAGCACCTTTCTTAACTAGAGTACAGTGCTTATGTACACTTCCATTTGTCTTTACTCCCACAGACTCATTTCTAGCATTACTTAGGTCAGCACCTTTTTTCTCCATCTCATTCATTGAGGTTGTTTCATACTTTTGTAATGCAGCTAGTTTTATCACATTCTGCATTGCATCTGGGGATCCTCTGAGTTTCTAAATGATGTTTTCATTTGGACACATTGAGGTTCACTCCTTGTACTATAAAGTACTGTGGGTTTTGACAAATGCATAATGTCATGTATTTACCATTACATGATTACAGTATCCTACAGAATAATTCAATCACTCGGAAAAAAAAATTCCTTGTGCTTCACCTAGTCAATCTTCTCTCCACCTATGAATCCCTAGCAACCCCTGATCTTTCACCATCTGTATAGTTTTGCCTCTTCCAGAATGTCATATAAAAGGAATTATACAGTATGTAGCCTTTTCAGACTGGCTTCTTTCATGGCAATATATTTAAGATTCATGCATGGCTTTTCGTGACTTGATAGCCCATTTCTTTTTATCATTGAATAATATTATACTGTGTGGATATACCACAGTCTCCTTATCCATTCATCTATTGAAGGACATCTTGATTATTTCCAGTTCGGGGTGATTATGAATAAAGCTGTTATAAATATTCACATGTAGGTTTTGTGTGAGTATAAATTTTCAAATCAGTTGTGTAAATACCTAGATGCATGCTTATTGGATCATGCTTATGGCATGACTATCACTAGATTAGTAAGAAATTATCATTTCAGCCAGGCGTGGTGGCTCACGCCTGTAATCCCAACACTTTGGGAGGCCGAGGTGGGCGGATCACCTGAAGTGAGGAGTTCAAGGCCAGCCTGGCCAACATGGTGAAACCCTCATCTCTAAAAAATTACAAAAATTAGCCAAGCATGATGGCAGGTGCCTGTAATCCCAGCTACTTGGGAGGCTGAGGCAGCAGAATCGCTTGAACCTGGGAGCCAAAGGTTGCAGTGAGCCGAGATTGCGCCACTGCACTCCAGCCTGGGCAACAGATTGAGACTCCGTCTCAAAAATACATAAAAAAAATAGAAATTATCATTCTATCTTCCAAAGTAGCTGTATCATTTTGTATCCTTTATCTTTCCACAGTAGCTATATCAAGTGGAATAAGAGTAACCCTTGCTCTGCATCCTTGCCAGCAACTGCTATTGTTCATTTTTTGGATTTTGTCCATTCTGATAGATGTGGAATGCTATCTCATTGTTGTTTTAATTTGCAATTCCCTCATGACAAATGTTTACCATCTTTTCATATGCTTATTTGCCATCTGTATATCTTTTTTGGTGAGATGGCTGTTCAGATCTGTTTTCCATTTTTTTGGTTGAGTTGTTTCTTATTTTTGGTTTTTAACAGTTTTTTGTATATTTTGGATACAAATCCTTTATCTGATATGTGTTTTGCAAGATGTGTTTTATCAGGTATGTTTTCTGCCAGTCTGTGGCTTGTCTTATCTTTCTCTTAATAGTATCCCTTTCACAGAGCAGAATTATTGATAAAAAGTTCATGTCTTAGTCTATTTTCTGCTGCTATAACAATATTACAAGCTGGATAATTTATAAAGGATAAAGTATTATTCGGCTCACAGTTCTGGGAGCTAAGAAGTCCAAGTTTAAGGGGTTGTATCCTGTGTGGACCTTCTTACTAAGTCATAGCATGGCAAAAGACAGAAGGACAAGCATGTGTGCAAGACAGAAAATACACTCCCAAAGCCCCTTTTTGAAGCCATTAAACCCACCCATCAGTACAGAGTCCTCACAGACTAATCACCTCTTAAAGGTGCCACATCTTAATGCTGTTATAATAGCAATTAAATTTCTTATGAGACCGGGCACGGTGGCTCATGCCTGTAATCCCAGCACTTCGGGAGGCCGAGTCGAGTGGATCACCTGAGGGCAAGAGTTCAAGACAAGCCTGGTCAACATGGTGAAACCCCACCTCTACTAAAAATACAAAAATTAGCTGGGCGTGGTGGCACGTGCCTGTAGTCCAAGCTACTCAGGAGATTGAGGCAGGAGAATCGCTTGAACCCAGAGGCAGAGGTTGCAGTGAGCTGAGATCGCGCCATTGCACTCCAGCCTGGGTGCCAAGACCGAAACTCTGTCTCAAAAATAAATAAATAAATACATTTCTATATAAGTTTTGGAGGGGACATTTAAACCATAGCAGTTCAATTCATCAATTTTTTTCTTTAATTGTGGTTTTGGTGTTGTATCTAAAAACTTATAACCAAACACAAGGTCATCTAGATTTTCTCCCATTTTTCTTCTACAAGTTTTACCATTTTGTACTTTAAAATTAGGTATATAATGCATTTCAAGTTAATTGTTGTGAAAGGTATAAGGTCTGTGTCTAGGTTCAGGTTTTTGCATTTGGATATCCAGTTGTTCTAGCACTGTTTATTGAAAAGATTATCCTTTCTCCACTAAATTGCCTTTGCTTCTTTGTCAGAAATCTGTTGACTGTATTTGTGTTGTTCTATTTCAGGGCTCCAATTTATTGATCTCTGTGTCAACCTTTTAGTATCATGTTAGCTACTCCATACAAATTCTAGAATCAGTTTGTCAATGTATACAAAATAGCTTGCTGGAGTTTTGATTGAGTCTGCTTTGAGTATACAGATCAAGTTGGGAAAAACTGATGTCTTAACAATACTGAATCTCCCAATCCACGAACACAGAGTATCTCTCCACTCATTCAGATCCTTTTTTTTTAATCAGTCTTATGGTTTTCTGAATACAGTTCCTGTGTATATTTTGTTCAATTTATGCCTTAGTATTTATTTTTGTGCTTTTGTAAATGGTATTTTTAAATTTTAAATTCAAATTGTTTTTATGTATGTAGGAGTACAGGTACCTCATAACAGAGGATTTCTAATTGCTCCCTTTTATCCCTTATGACATTGCAGTCATTCATTTTACTTATCCATGCTATAATCATCCAATATATTGTTACTACTAATACTTTAAATAGGTGGATATTTTAAATCAATTAAAAAAATAAAAATATTATCTTTATTTCTTTTCCAACACTCTTTATTTCTTTATATAGATCTGGGTTCTGACCTATATCGCTTTCTGCCTGAAGAACTTAATATTTTTGGCAAAGAAGATCCAGTAGTCATAAATTTCCTCAGTTTTTATTTGTAATGACTTTATTTCTTCTTCACTTTTGAAGGATAATTTCAGTGTATGTAGAATTCTAGGTTTGTGGGGTTTTATTTTCTTTCAACACTTGGAGATAGATATTTCATTCCACATTCTTCTTGCTTGCATTATTTCTGATGAGAAGTCCACTGCAATTCTTATCCTTGTTCCTCTTTATGTAAGGTGTTTTTCCCTCTGTTTTCTTTCAAGACTTTATTCTTGCCTTTTGTTTTCTGCAGTTTAAATATGATATGCAAAGCAAGTATTTATCCTGCTTGGCATTTTCTGAGCTTCCTGGATCTGTTCTTAGGTGCCTGTCATTAATTGTGGAAAGTTCTTGGCTATTATTACTTCAAATATTTTTTTTCTCCTCTGCTTTTTCTTCTCTTCCTGGTATTCCAATTATACACGTTACACCTTCTGAAATTTTACCTACAGATTTTGAGTAATCAGTTCTGGGGTTTGTGTGAGTTTTTCTTTTCTTTCTTTTTTCACTTTGCACTTCAGTTTGGAAAGTTTCTATTGAGCTATCTTCAAACTCAACGATGCTTTCCTTGGTTATGTCAAGTCCACTGATGAGCCCATTGAAGCCATTCTTCATCTCTGTTACAGTGTTTTTAGTTTCTAGCATTTCCTTTGATTCTTAGAACGTCTATTTCTCTTGTTATATTATCCATATGTACATGCATGCCGTCTACTTTTTCCATTAGAGCCCTTAATTATAATCATGGTTATTCTTTTAAATTCTGTATCTGATAACTCTTAACATCTCTGTCATATCTGAGTCTGGTCCTGATGCTTGCTCTATCTCTTCAGACGATTTTATTCTTGCCTTTGGCAAGCTTTGTAATTTTCTGCTTAAAGCTGGACATGCTGTATTAGGTAGCAGAAACTGGAGTAAATAGGCTTTTAATGTGAGGATTTATGTTACTATGGCTGGGAGTTGGATTGTGTTTAATGCTTGGTACAATTGTAGGAGCCAGAAGCTTCAATTTCTCCAGTGTCCTTGTTTTTGCCTACCCTCTAGACTTGGGGCTTTCCTAAGTATTACTCTCAGAGGAGTACGTGAATCTTGCATTTATTTCAGCTATAGTCCATTCTTATTATACTGGAGCCCTATTGGGGTAGTAGCAAAATATGGGGGGAAGGGGCATATTGTTAAATCTCAGTCTTTCAATTGGCCTGTGTCTTTGGGCTGTGACCTTCACAAGCTCCAGTGGCATAGCTTCACCACCCCTACTTAGACGAGAAAGGAAGGCTGGAAGAGGCTAGAGTGAGAGGGATGTCCTTTCACTAGTGAGATAAGGTTCTGGTATTTTCCCTTGACATTGGGCCTTTGTTAGGGAGAACGCTCTTGGTGTATATCACAATGAGTACTCTTCCCCTCCCCCTGCCAAGGCCACAGAGGATCTTTCTTGGATCTTTACCGTGAGAACCTGCTGGACTTCCTGGAGGTAAAACCCACAAAAGTGTGAGTGTCCCTTGTGATGGTTAATACTATCAACTTGATTAGATTGAAGGATGAAAAGTATTGATCCTGGCTGTATCTGTGAAGATGTTGCCAAAGGAGATTAACATTTGAGTCAGTGGGCTGGGAAAGGCAGACCCAGCCTTAATCTGGGTGGCCACTATCAGCTGCTAGTGCAGCTAGAATATAAAGCAGGCAGAAAAATGTGAAAAGACGAGACTGGCCTAGACTCCCAGACTACGTCTTTCTCTTGGGCTGGATGCTTCCTGCCCTCAAACATCAGACTCCAAGTTCTTCAGTTTTGGGACTCAGACTGGCTCTCCTTGCTCCTTAGCTTGCAGATGGCCTATTGTGGGACCTTGTGATCATGTGAGTTAATACTTAATAAAATCCCCTTTATATATATATATATGTATGTATTTTCTCCTATTAGTTCTGTCCCTCTATAGAACCCTGACTAATACATCCCCTAAGACAACATAATACTGTGCCCCTACAGGTTCCTCACTTTCGGCTAGCCCACAGTCTACCTCTAGCAATTCATCAAAATTATCATTTAATTACCGAAGTTATCAGTGGCTTCTAATCCAGGTAAGCAGGTTTCAGCTGTGGCTCTTTGCATTCACCTGTCTCTCTAGATTTCAGGGTGGTGATTTGTCCTGCAACTTCATTTCTCTAATGGGTCTGAGAAAAGTCCCTGGTTTTCCATTTTTTCAGGTTTTTTTCTTTTTGTAAGAATGGGAGTGATGACTTCCAATCTAAAGAATTTTCAGAGCTGAAATTGAAAGTCCAAAACTTATCTTTTTAATTAGAAAAATTTGAAAACAAGATTGGACATAGCTGGGTGATAAACTCATAGGGGTTCTTTATAAAATTTCTACTTTTAGGTATATTTGAAATTTTCTATAATAAAAAATTATGGTTAAGAATCTGAAACAGGGTAGCTTTAAACAATAGGGACAGCAGAGAAAAAAAATTCGTCAGCAATATTTGAGTATCTAATATTGACCAGGTACTGTGCCAAGATAATTTGGATATAAGAATGAACACTACTATCTGCTGCCTTCCTGGAGCTATCAGCTTTTGGGGAGAGAATGACATTAAATAAATAATTATGACTTACTTACTTAGGCTAAGGCCTACAGCGGAGGCAAAAATGGTGCTGTGGGAGCAGATAACAGAAACTAGAGAATCTAACCTCGTTGGGAGAGTTGGGGGAAGACAACTCAAAGACCACCAGGGGACTGGGTACAGAAGGCATGCTGTGCCTATTTCCAGGGGACCCAGCAGCCTGGATCAATGGTATAACCTGAACTTAGTCAGGCTGGACGCAGGGGCTGGTCTCCAAAGTTTACACGTAATAACAACAATGTTAAAGGTAAGAAGAGAGAGAATGTTTCAGAAGCAAGCAAGCTTTCCATAGGTCGGAATCCCCCATAGACTCTAAAAACCCTGACCACCTGAATTTAGGTGAAACAACCAAGTGGGATTTTCACAATTCATTCTTACTTTCTATAATATTGACCATTTTCATGAATCCTTCTTCCCCACTCATTCAAATTCTCTTTGGATACCAGTAAACTCCGCACTTGTTGTTTTGTTCCTGGAGTAATACCATAGGAGAAGGATTGTAATTTATCGTATTGGACAGAGCAAAAGTAACAGGAGCCAGGCAGAGGGAAAAAAAAGATGATATTTTGAAGGTCTGCACTCAGATATGCCATGATTTCAACATATAAGTTAATGCGAATCACATGATTCTTGTAACATTTTTCCCATCAGGAAAACAGAAATGCCACTTACCAACTCTGGTACAGATTATTACTAAGCAAGTTTCACAGTTATATCTACATAAATGTTTACTACTGATTTATTACACAGCTAATGATAAGTAATGATGGTAATTATTAAAATACAGATTGATATTAGCATTTAGAGCAACATCTAAACTTTCCAAATTATCAATTTATAATTTTTTAAATAACAGCAATTAATCATTATTATGGTTAAATGATAATACTTTGTAATATATTATCATGTTTTCTACAAATAGGAGAAGCACTAGTCTATTATGGTGAAGATAATAACACTAACAATGGTAGAGTAATGATTGCTAATCATTTCCCATTATTGCTATTAAAATGTACAAATCACTCAAAATGACCAAAAATCTGTGAAATAAAAACCTAGTGAAGGCGTACGATAAAATAAGCAATCTATAGTTACCAAGCCTACCAAATCAAGATTCTGGGCCCTGGTCACAACAGTGGCTGCCCATCAGAAAAGACTGGGGACTTTTCAAAAAATCCCAAAGCCCACCGCCCTACCCAGAAAATCTGATTTAACCTGTCTGGGGTGTGTCTGATTTTGTTCTGAAAGTTCTCTAAGTCTAATGTGCATCCAGAGTTGAGAACCACTGCTCCAGGTGTCTGATTTTTATGCTTGAGAATAAAGATGTCTTCAGTCCTAGGGGCAAAATTCAATTGGGAAACCCACTTGCCCAGCCTCTGTCAATCAGTGCTGTGTGTAGCAGAGGAAAGAGTTGTTAGTTTTCGTTGTCAGGGAATTTTCTTCATAGAAAAGTACATTAAAATACCAAATTACAGTATTTACATATTTCATGTATTTTTCCCAACTGCGTTCCCATAGCAACTAAATCCATTTGCTCCCTACTTTCTTGAGTTATTTTCCATCATGAGCCATGCTTTATTAGTGAGGCAAGCAGTTTGCCCTCTGAATTGACTGTTTTGCTCTTTACTATTTCTTTGCCAGGGAACACAACTCTGTTGTGTCTTTCTAACTCCTGTACTCCCTGAATTTGATAAAGTTGGCTTTGCTAGTTTGGGCAGAGACAGTGTCCCTGACTGCTTTCCTCAGTCTGGAGCAGTCCCTGTTTTTTTCCAGTGAGCTGACCAAAAACAAAAAGCAAATGGCGAGGAAGGGTTCCCTCAAGAAACCTGTGACTGGGAAAGGATGCAAGGAAGGGAATTGCTTAAATCCCAAACAGTGACGAGTTCACCTGAATCAACAGCGGACAAAGGATAACCCAGCTCTCTGGGACCTCACTAGGTTTATCAGGTAGGGTCAGTGGTTAGATATCACGGCTTTGGAGACAGTCACCCACTAGCAAGCAGGAAGGAAGTCAGTCCTGCTGCAGCTTCTGAATCCCCAGAGAGAGGGCCCAAAAGAGGCACAGGACACTGAGATTTCTTTGTGATTTCACCCAGACGACTTGGCAGACTTTAGGGCTTGTTTGTTTGTTTGAAACTATAACATTTCACTTGCTAATGAGGCTCTGCCTTGCAAGGGGACAGGGATGCCAGAGAAGACTGCGGGAGGGAGGCAGCAGGCCCAGTGCTTCAGGGCAGCTCTCCTTGTGGCCGCCTGACGCCAGGACGGACTTGGGCCACCAGTGCCAGAGGAGAGAGAAGCGGCACCAGAGACAAGGCGATGCTTCAAAATCATCTGTTCTCAGTTGCTGACTCAGACGCCTCCTTCTGTGCCAGCAGCACTAATGAAGAGGACTTGCTTCCTCCTCTCTCTTAGGCTCCAAATAAAAACCAGAGCTATAGTGCAATGGCTCCCAGGCCAGGGGGCAAGTGATCCAGGCAGTATCTCAGAAAACAGCAACAGAAACCACACGCAGCAAGAGCATCCCTCCCATCTGCAAGATCCAGTGCAACTTACATAGGTACATCTGTGGCATTGCTTGCTGCTGGGTTCTGGGGGTCATGGTGAAGTCCTTCAGTACTCTTCCACCAATAGCATTTATTCAAGGACAACTTCTATCAGTTAGGGTTCCAGCAGGAAACAGATGGCACTCTCAAATTGGGTTATTTGAGGAGAGTTTAATTAAGGGACTATTTACAAAGGTATGGGCAGGATGTAGGAAAGACCATAAGTCACAGTGTATTATCTCAGAGCTAGGAATAGCAGGGCACTGCTCCTACCCTAGGCGTAAGCAGTGGAATCCAGAGACAAAGCCACATGGAGTGACAGGAGCTGAGACCTTCAGTTGCAGGAGATGGCCAGCACACCACGATCAAGCAGGGAGGAAGCCAGGAAATAAATACCTGGACCTCATTCTCCTTCCTCCCTTCGATCTGCTGCCAGTGCTTCCTGGTGCCAAACTCAGCCAGAAACTGAGGGCCTGGGAGCCCTCACTGCTGCAGTCCATACAGGTCAGCCTCCTGGGGCTCAAAACAAGATAGAGAAGTGGGGAACTAGGAGGGTGGATAAAGACATCAAGCACCCTCTCTTACAAATCAGAGCAGGTGAGATACTTCATGACCAAGGATATATTTGTTCTGCCACTGCCAGAGCCCTCCCAAAAGCAGCAAATTCTGAGATAATAGTGTCCGGGGGTTGGAAGATAACATTGAGAGCTTGCAAAATGTTTAACCACAGAGAAGGCAAGTAGAAGCCCAACCTCCTCAAGAGCAGAGAGGTGATACTGAGAACACAGACGAGCATCCTAGCCCTGATTCAATGATACATCCCGCCATGGATCACACGGTTGCTGTCCTGCTCAAAAGGAAATCATGAGCACCACGATATGCTCACTTCACAGGGAACATTTTGCCTGGTTACCTATTTGCACAGGCGAATGGAAAAGGAAGCCTCCGTTATTCTGCAGTTTGGCATCATTTGTTCTAAGAGTGTGCAGAATTATAAATAGACACACTGGCCAGGTGTGGTGGCTCACACCTGTAATCCCAAAGCTTTGGAAGGCCAAGTTAGGAAGATCACTTGGGACCAGGAGTTCAAGACCAGCCTTGGCAACATAGTGAGACCCTATCTCAAGGAAGGCAAAAAAAAAAGTAGCTGGGTATTACACTGCTCCCCTGTAGTCATATCTACTCAAGAGGCTGAGGCAGGAGGATTGCTTGATCCCAGAAGTTTAAGGTTGCAGTGAGCCATGATCATGCCACTGCACTCCAGCCTGGGCAGCAGAGCAAGAATCTGAAAAAAAAAAAAAAAAAAAAAGAAAGAAGGAAAAAAACACACTTTAAGAGTCTCACAAGATATACTTGGTTATCAAAAGTTCAATGTTTGAGGAAAATCAGCAGGGTTGGTTTCCATTCTGATGGAGCTAGGAGAAGAGCAGATATTTGAAATGGATGTACAGAAGGCTAGGTGAGATAATAGCAAGATGCTCTTCTGCTACGTTATGGGGTGGTGGAAGTGGAGAGGCAATACTAATTATAACATCTACCCTACCTGATTTAAGAATCTCTGTCATACATTCTATATTTTGGCATCTGCTTGTCTTATAAGGAATCTGAAGAGTAAGTGCTATGTACAACTCAAAAAAAAGATGGTCTGACCAAATATTTATGGTGATGGTGGGAAGTATCACAGATTTTTAATTCAAGTTCATATGCAAACTTGATGGATCATTCTCTACTGCAATTTGTTCACAAAATTTCAAAATTTCATATTCTAGATTCTAAAACCAGCCCAAAGATTTATGCTTATATCAGTTCAACTCTAGAATTGTTCCACTCTAAGATTATTAAAAAGAAGACAACATTTACCAAACTGCTCAAAAGAAGAGAACTGAGGTGGTAACATTAATTTAATATCTCTGTGCTTTGCACTGACTTTGTTCAGTATATTAAATTTTTCCTAATTGTTTGCTTAATAAGGTACCCCATGCACTTGAATAACTTCATTTAAGAATCATTCTTTTCACAGTCTATAGCTATGGGGATCATGTAAATATTTTCCCAAATAGATATTAAGTATTTTCCCAAGTAAATATTACAACTTATCACCTTGACACAGGCGAACCTGGAAAACATATGGTCACTATGGTTATGATACATATAGTGGCACACTAGGGGTAACAGCATCCACAATAATAGCCAAAAATAGTCTCTCAAAAGCCTTTCTTTCACCCATGAACCTGTTCTCCACGAAACTTGATTCTTGTGATTATAGTGGTTCAGAGTAAATTTAGACAAATGGAGGCATTTGTCATTTCCCTTGCACCTTCACCCTTTTGCCTCCTCATATCCAACAACCACCCCCTCCCGCCGCAAAAACAACATAGTAAACATGCAGAACACAAGCCAGTATGCTCCACTTTGTTCTTGAGCCATGGAATTTCTCCACTGTGCTCATTGTACACAAGCAACAGTATTATTTTCAGAGTGATAGAACACTTTGCCCAGACAGCTGAGGCCACAATTGTTCAGAAAGGCCCTTCAGTTTTCAATCTTTCATCTGTTCTCTACAATAATTGATGTGCAGGTCTTCAGAGCCACAGTCTCCTTCTAAGACCCAAATTAGTAATAGGGGGCACTTGGAGAGCTCCCTGTTGTCTCCTGTGGCTGTAGAGCAGGTTTCAGGAAGGAAAAATAAGACTGGCCCCAGTTGAGGGGGAGAGAATCGATCATCTTCCATCCACTGGGTTTGTGGTTGATTCAAAGCCAAGAATTTTTTAACCTCTCCTATAGAAAATAGGGAGCTATCACAGTTTTGTAAGCAGGGATGTGAATTAATCAATAATAACTTTGTTGACAATGTGAATGATTAAATGGGAGGGGTAGAGAGATAAAACTGCAGTAGAGACACTAGATAACAAGAGTTTAGCTCGGGCAACTAAAGCCGTGGTAGTAGTGAAGAAGACAAAAATAGAGGATCTCTAAGAAGAAAGCCTTTCAACATAGTCAAATGCTATGGAGAAGTTAAAGAGAATAAAGGATTAATAAGATTTCTTTGAATTTGGCTATTTGTCTTTGTGGTTGCTATTATGAAAGCTCCAAGGACATAACCCCTTTTCTCAGAAAACCTTCACTCTAATTGAGGGGCCCAAAATGTCATTGAAAAGTTAAAGTATCTAGAATAGAGTTTATGCCCATGAAATATTTAAGTGACTAAGAAGGTATTCTTCCATCTTTTCCTTTCCACCTTTTCTTTCTTCTCTTCTTTGCTTCCTAGAGACTTGTTTTTTCCCAGATGACAAAAAGTTGCCACGAAAACAGTATGTTAGCTTATGAGTTCCTAATTTAAAATTATTTTTCTTTCTTTGAGTTAGTTCTGACATCACTTACCATGTTAAGTAGTGGGTTTGATTGTATTTCTTAAAAAGATCATTCCAATATAGAAAAGATGATGGACTAGAGGCAAAAGGATAAGATAAGAGATATTCTTGTTTCTGGTCATTCAAGATGGCATCCTGTCTTTCAGGTGCCAAAGGATGAATATGATTCCTTACAGGCAAATTCAAACTCCACTGGGTCAAAAACACAAATACGCAGTTACAGACGAAATCCTTTCCCCAAATTACAAGGCTTAGAACCAGGCAGTCAGCTTAAATCTTAGAAGGACAGAGTTCCTCAAAGGTGATCCCAAGGCTGCCACAGGAAGCAATAATAAAGCTCAACACATGCTCTGGCTTAAACAATTTGCAATTAAGTTCAAAATTCAGAGGTGCTCAGAGTGCAAAGACATTAAACCTCGATATTTATTCTGCAGAACACACAGGAACAACGATGAAAGAAACAAATCCGTTGTGATATTATGAAGTAACTATCCCAATCTCATAAAATCCTCTCAGTCTTCTGTTTTCTGCCATGAGCTTCATTTCACTAAAATACACCCCCAACCACTTTGTGGACATGTTTTACATGTCAACAAAGGAGCAAATAGTAACTAGAGTAGACAAAGAGACATTTATCTCAGACTTACAGATTTATATATAGTGTGGCCAGACATTCTTTTCTGTATTTTGCCCTTTGCACTTGCATTCTTTAGATGGTGTGTCTAACTGCTATGTTGTATGCTCAAGTGCCTCTGAATACCATATATTACCTTCTGTTTAAACCCACATTGTTCTCCCCCTGGTTTTTGGTCATCTCCCCATCCTCTATGACTAGTGTAGTGGTGGGGTTTGCTTTAATTCCAATCGGCTACATACCCTAAATTCCATCCAGAGCATTTATTTGCCTGGCTTTTTGGCATCTTCCCATGTGCATCTGCATTCCTGTAAGGGTAACATCTTCATCCTTTTCCATTTCCCCTCTTTTCCATTTCCTATGGTTTTCTCTGTTTCTGTTCTTTGGCCAACCCTCCCTGCAGCTACATGTGTTTTTGAATCTTCCCTGTGTTTTTAAATTTTCTTGGTATTCTTAGCCTTTGGGCTTTCAGGACTTACTCAAACTCTCTCAACTTTCCTCTGCCGCCTTTCCAATTACTTCTCGGTCTCATTTTGCGTGGCCTACCCATAGCTTCTTTGTAAGTAAAATTTACTTTGTATGCAGTGAAATGCTTTACTAGGGTAGGATTCTGTAACCTCTCCTTGCAACACAAACTTCAAAGTCTTTGAGATGAGTGATTCACATATCCATTTTGCTTCCAGTCTCACTCGCTCAGAGTTCTAGCTTCTCCTCTGCCATTCCTCTATTAGAAAATGTCCCAGGATTGGGAAACATGCTAAGAGTGAGATGGTGCCAATGGCAAATAACTTAGATGTCTTTTCCTAACGTTCTACATGATCTCATCATCCTTCCCCAGAGGATTTTCTAAACCTTGCGCTAGGCACAAACACAATGCCACAAAGATTCACACTGGAAGCTTGTTATTGAAAATTAACCAGGAATTATCCTACAATCCACGTGGTTCTCATTGTCTTCCTATTAGACTTGCTGATCATTAGGCAGTTATGTGAGTCAGTTATTTAGGATTCATCTTCCTTCTCCCCTTTGTGGGCTGGCACATCTTGATGAAGGGCCTCATTTGGAAGGGACAGTCTACACATTTCTATGAGTACAAGATCATATTTATTTTTAGTCCAAAACACAATTTTTAAATGCCACAAAAAGCAGATGTATGGATCATTCTGCCTAATGCTCTGCTTATGATAATGAACTATGGGCATGTTCTAGGATATTCCTACTTTAAAGAGGGACTATAATATAAGAAAATTCATTGTAAGATGCCAATTTGAACTTATGCATTAAATTGCCTTCCCTCCCATATTCCCTCTGAAATGACCAAAATATTAAAATCGGGGAGAAAACATTCACATCAGCCCATGAAAACAGGAAAGTTATACAAATAGTCCAAAAACAGAAATGAAGTTTTTCAAGATATAGCTTAGGTGAACTGGATTTAAATACCAATATAGAATTACGGTTAATATTCTGAGAGGATAATAGTGTTAGTCTTATGCTAGGAAATACATGCTGAAGTATTTAGGAGTGAAGTGTCATGATATCAACATACTCTCAAATAGTTCAGGGTGAAAGAAGATGTATGTAGAGAGAGATAAGCCAAGTAGAGCAAAATGTTGATTTTTGAAACTTGAGTATATGGATGTTTAATATACTACTCATTCTCTTTTCTGTATACTTGAAATTTTTCATAATTAAAATTTGGATAAAAAATTAAAGGAAGTACTGACGTTCCTGTGACCCAATCCATGCCAAAGGAAAGCTACTCTGGCAATACTTAGGCATGATGTATCATGAAAACTATCACTCTCTCTCCCCAAATAAATAAACAAACTCAGGGAGTCTGCAAGTTTGGGGAGGGAAATACCGCAAATATGAAGACCTGGATCAAATGAGAACAGGTAACAAAAAAAATCAGTTTTCCATTATTCTTTTACATATATGTTAAATATGAAAGATAATGAAGCAATGTATATAGAATTTTGAGGATAAGTTAAACATTGAAGTCCACAATTATATAAGCAGCTAATCAAACATACAAGAACTCAGAAAGGAAATTAATCACATAGTCTTTTGACAAATTTATTTGGAAGAATATTTCAGCATGCTAGGAAATAAATCATAAACAGAACTCAAATATAAGTATGCTCCAATATAAGAATTGTGACAGTGGACAATGAAACCAATTTCTATTAATTTACCATTAATGTCGACATAACCAACTTGCAAAAGATTTTGAAACTTAATACAAATGCTAAAAATAATTATTTTAGAAATATTTGTTAATGTAGAAAAGAAGTTAATAAAAATAATCTGGATCTAAAGGGTTCAACATAGTCAAATGCTGTGGAGAAATTAAAGAGAATAAAGGATTAACAAGATTTATTTGAATTTGGATCTAAAGGGTTGGTGGGGTGAAAGCAAGAAGGAAGAAGGAATGAAGATGTGCTACATCATTCATTTTACATGGGGAATCTCATTTCATTCCTGATAGACAAATATGAGTTTATACTCTTTAAATAATTAAGAATAACTGCTGGGAGACTAGAAATAAGTAACTTTCAGACAATATACAGGAGGGGGGCAGGAAAAAGACCAGGGTTCGGTAGAACAATGTTGGGGAAAAGAAAAAGAGAGCAGGAGAGAAAAAAGTTGAAAAAATATATAAAATAAAATGACAGAAATAAGACCAATACGTGTGAATGGGATAAAATCTACTCATATAAGATAAAGACACACTGGATCAACAAATAAAATTCAACTATATACTGTTTACAAGGCACACATTTGAAGCAAAATGATATGAAACAGTTAAAAAAAAAAGAGAGATGAGCAAGGATATGCCAGGGAAATGCAAACAAAACAAGAATAATATTAATGAACAAAACAGCATTGAAGCCAAGAAAAATGATTAAATTAGACAAATTTGTCAAACACAAAAAAGTAAAATCTACAATGAATATGTAAAAGCTAAGTATAGCACTGAAATATTTTTAAAACTATTAAAAATGCAAGAGAAAATTAACAGAATTATTACCATAGTAGAAGATTTCACATTCCATTGGAAGATCAAATAGTCAAAAGTAAATAAGAGTATTTTTTAAATTGAATAATACAATTATAATACCAGAAATTAAAAACAAAATAATAGACAAAAAAAATCAAGATACTTAGAAATTAAAAAGTACCCTTCTAAACTCTTTGGTCAGCAAAATAGTACAAATTCTAAAGAAAATACTATTAGCATCACATCATATTTTCCATGGTTTATGTGATGTTTGGCCAAAGATACACTCAGTAGAAAATCTATAACATAAATATTCTTATTAAGCAATAAATGGTAACAATTAAGCATTAAAAATTAAGATGTAAAAAGCTGATTATTATATAGAACTCTAAGTTATTTAATTTGAAATCTTTTTTAAATTGACTTTTTTTACTAGAAAAAAATAAAATAACAAAATTGACTTAAGAAGTTTCCAACCCTTTTTTTTGGCAGGGGTGGGGACAGAGTCTCACTCTGTTGAGGGAGTAGACTGGAGTGGAGTGCAGTGGCACTATCTCAGCTCATTGCAACCTCCACCTGCCAGGTTGAGGTATTTCTTGTGCCTCAGCCTCCCAAGTAGCTGGGATTACAGGCGTGCACCACCACACCAGCTAATTTTTGTATTTTTAGTAGAGATGAGGTTTTGCCATGTTGCCCAGGCTGGTCTCTAACCCCCAGACTTCAAGGGATCTGCCCGCCTCTGCCTCCCAAAGCACTGGGATTACAGGTGTGAGCCACCATGCCTGGCAATTACTAATATAATAAACTAAAGATATAATAATAAAGTCATCCCCATTAGAATGAGAAACAAGACAGGCATACACCTAATATTTAGCACCACTCTAGAAATGTGTGACAATTAAAATGTACCCAGAAACAAAATAAGAGTATCAATATTGAAAAAGAAGAGGAAATTATCATTATTTCTTGATTATTTGATTGGTTAAACTGGAAAACCTAAGAGAAACAACTGAAAAAAAGCTAGAATCAGTAAGAAAGTTTGTCAGGGTGTCCACTTAAAAAAATAAAATATTTTAAAAGCAATAATTTTCTTATATGCCCTAAATAAGTAGCTAGAATAATGGGAGAAAACCATTCACAATAGGAGTAAAAAGTAATAATAATAATGCTGTGGACCTAATAATCAAGTTAATAAGAAATATGCAGAACAAATATTCATAAAATAAGAAAATTTTAATGAGACATATAAAGACTTGAAAAATGAAAAGATATACTGTTTCTAGATAAAATCACTGCATATTGTAAAGATTTCCTCCAAATTAATCTGTAAACTTAATGTAATTACATTTAAGATCCAATGGGACATTTTTAAGATGAGAAAAGTATTATAAGCATAGAAGATAAACATATAGAAAAACCCAGAATTATTTTAGCAGTATGGAATTGGTCAAGGAAATTATAGCACATCGATACAAAGCAACACATAGCAGTCATTTGAAATGTTTGTGTAGCTCTAAATTTAGGGACATGGAAAGAATATCACGAAATATCAAGTTGAAAAAGCAAATTGCAACTTTGCTTATTTTAGTTTGAGCCCATTTGGATAAATTAAATACATAAACAAAAAAAATAAAGTCTTGAAGATATACATCAAAATATCAAAAGTTATTTTTAAGAAATTACAGGTTTTTAAACTATTTAAAATTTTGCTTATATAATTTTTCTAATTTTTCTACAATTAATATATGTTATTATTCTGATTTAAAACAAAAAGTATGGCCTATTTCTTACACAGGCCCACTACGAGTCCTACACCCTTGAGTTTATCTAAGCCCTTCTTAAATTCTACCATATTTGGACCTATCTCTTAGAATAATATATAAAGCCACACTTTTTCTTTGGTCTTAAAACTACCTTCAGTATGTATTCTTTGCTCTTATTTTTCTGAGTTGTTTTTTACGAGGAAAATATTCTCACCTGATTCATTTCCTTCATGACACTGTAAATTTTTATCCCATCCTACTCCACCTTCATCCTTCCAGATTGAGAGCATTAAGTAGTCAGCCCATCCTCATAAAGAAGCACTCATTTGCTCCATCTCTATTTTTACTACATCATTAAAATGACCACATGGCCAGAACTGTGCAGTACATTCCCAATTTACTTTTCCCTAACTTCC
Organism: Homo sapiens; assembly: GCF_000001405.40. Lineage (NCBI taxonomy): Eukaryota > Metazoa > Chordata > Mammalia > Primates > Hominidae > Homo > Homo sapiens. The sequence continues at coordinate 68,827,987 of NC_000005.10, forward strand.
ACTGTGTAAGAGTTATTCTCCCAAATGTAAAATACCATCTTCAATACTATTTATAACAATATTCATTGAGTCAAATATGTCTATGGATTACTTCTGCACTGTCCACTGGGAAAGCAGAATCTCTCTTAGGTCAATTTCAATGACAACATCTATAATACTATAGCTTTTTACCTCCCAAATAGACTTAGATTTGTCTAGACTGCACAGATGAATTTACATCCACATTCCCAAGGAAGGCCTTTTGTGAATCAATAAGTGCTATCCTCATGTCATTTTTCTTGCTGTCAAAATGCCACAGTAAAGGAAAAAAGGTCCCAACTCAGCCTGTGTAAATTGTTAGTTTTAGGCTCTTCCCAAATTACCCTGTGTGGCCGTGTACTCACAGAATGTCTGAAATGGTCTGATTAAATGTGCAGCATCACTAGGAAGAAGTGGAAAATCTGCTGTTTAAATTTGGATAAAAGAGACTGGGAATGGGAAGGGAAAAGAGTAAGACCAGGTAGTGGGCAAACATGGAGAGCCGAGGGAAGGAGTAGAGGCCACGATCCGTCTGCTCATCAAGTCAATATAACAGCGCACCTGTATGGAGGAGGTCAGCTACGCAGCAGCGAGCCATTTTGATTATCATTATGAGGCTGCTCACACAGACCATTTATATGTTCACTCTTTTGCGTCCACCATTTATTGTCACACGGAAAGGGAATATTGACATCACACTTACCCTTCATTTCTTCTCACCCGAACTGTCAGAGCCTCCCAGTACAGTTCCATTCCTGTCCACTTCATCTTACACATTGGTGTCAGAGTGATATGTTTAAAGAAAGTTTTTAAGTTGTCACTTTTCTGGTTAAAAAAAAAAAAAAAGAAAAGAAAAAAGAAAGCTGTCTCTTGGTCCCTATTGCTTCCGCCGAAAACCTTTCTGAATAGAGGAAAATCACATCATGTGGAATATGAAGCCCCTCTAAGCCAAGCCCAGCATCTTTTCCAAAATGCACCTTATCCCAGCTCCCAAATTCCTCCCTCCCCAATGAAGCCCTCCCATTTGCTTTTGCTGGCCTTTCCTTCTGTATGGATTCTCTGGCTTCCACTTCTACCTGTCCAAATATCACCCATTTTTAAGATCCTCCACAATTGCACCAGCTGGGGACTACATCATTACCTTCTTCCTACTTTCCTTTCTATTCTCCAAGGACTTTCGATGAATCTCAATAAATCCCTTAGCACAATAAGAAAACAACAAGCACATGAAGAGAACTCACTAAATACTGGGTAGGGTGCTAAGTGTTTGAAATAGGGGATCCTTTGATTGTAAGAAATAGAAACTTTCTGGAAACAAGCAAAAGGGATTTTATTATTAAAACTCAAGGAACCCTGGGCAAAATGTATAATCAGGAAATCAAGGAAGCACTGTCTTCTCTCTCTCTGTTTCTCCCTTTCGCTCCCTTGCTGTCTTCCGGCAGTGCCTCTTCCTTGTTGCTGGACAGTACAGTGGAGACATTGTGAAGACACTCCCTCCCTTCCTCCACCAGCCACTACAAAACCATAGAAATGACTCGACCTCTAATTTATGAATGTTGAGTGGATATTCTTTATATGTGCAGATTATTATGTATAAAAATGATTACTAGCAAAAGAACAAAAGAAGGTTATTTGTATTAGGTAAATATACCCTATTTAATCAAGTCTAAGACACCACTGATTGTGGGATACCTCTCTATTTTAGGTACCATCAAGAAAGAAAAAAAATGCCACCTTTCATAATGGTTAAGAAGCTGTCAGTTGTAAGATATATCCTTATTTTTAGAGATGTTAAAATGTAAAACAATTTCTTTTTACATTTCCCATTTAATTATATTTTACAGGTCTCCCAATTTTTCTCCCCATCAAACGTGCAGATAACCCATCATTCTCCAATTTCTTTTCATCTCTAGCTGTTTTGTCTTGATCAACTAACTGTGTTTTTTTTAATTGATATACAATAGTTGTACATATTTTGGGACACATATCACATTTTGATACAATGTATAATGATCAAGTCAGGGTAACTGGGATATCCATCACCACAAACATTTATTTTTGCTTTGTATTGAGAGCATGACAATTCTTCCCAAATACTAGAACTTACTCCTTCCATTTAACCTTATTTTTGTACTCCTTAACCAACTTCTCTTCACCCCCTTCCACAATGTGATACTTGATGAAATGTTATATGTTGAAAATAAATTTTAAACTTGCCTTTGTGCTGTACCTAAGATCACAAAAGGAGAGGTTGTTTAAACCATTTTCCAAGGAGAAGCCCAAAATGACCAGCTTACTACTGCATAGACCCCCAAAAGGACCCAGCAGGGAGGGGTCCTTCCAGAAGCTATCAGGAACTCATCAACTCAACTCAAAGATGATATCAATGACAGTAAATCAGTAATTAAAAGCCTTTTGGGTCAGACCATATAGACTACCCAGATAACAACTGGAAAGAGCTGGTCATAGGTTTCCCATCCTGAAGCAAAAGAAAAACTCCTCACTGTCTACTCCCTAGCCCTCTGAGCCAACTCAGTTCAGGAGTCCAGATGTTCAGGCAAAGGGTGGCTCTCAACCTCATCACCAAGATGAATATTTTCACTCTGCACTGCTCTCCCTTCCCTAGGGTGACTAATATGGTGGTTCTGGAACAGTGACTACTACTGCCCAGCTCCGCTTCTGCTCCCTGCTTGTACGATGGCCTAAAAGTGGGCTGCTGTCAGGGCCAGTTATTGATCTAAGGTCCAAGAGGACAGCATATAAAACTCTCCACAGAGTCCAACTGTTCCTGAAAATAGTTTATTCTTCCTCAATATTACCTCTAAGATCTGTTCCCACTGTTGAGTGTACCTGTGGCTCCTCCACATCCACTCCTGCATACTACTCTGCCGTGTGAATGCACAAGGCAGTCACCCATCCTCCCATCAATAACATTTGGCTTACTTTCTGTATTTTTCTTCCTCATCAGGAGAGACTCTGCAAGTCATTATAAATGTCTGCAGAGTACGTGAGCAAATGTTTTTCCAGAGCATATACCTAGACATGGAATTGCAAAATCTTAGGCTACCTTCATATTCAGCTTTGCAAGATAATGCCAGATTATTTATCCAGAGTGGTTGTCTTAATTTACATTTCTATAGGAGATATGAGTTCCCATTACTTCAGACTTCACCAACAACTTGAGATAGTCAGAATTCTTAATTTTTTTGTCCATGTAGTGGAATGAAGCAGACAATATAGAGTATATTATTTATAAAGTTCAAAAAACTGCTCAAAAATAAATTTGTTTAGGTGTATCTATACTTGTGATAAGAAATGATAAACACAAAATTCAGGATAGCAATGACCTCTCAAGAGAGGTCAAGGAATGGGGTTATTGTGTTTATACACAGACATGTGTATATATATTGATTTTATTATTTCAAATAATACACAATAAAATAATATTTTTCAATTGCTTTATTCTCTGTTCACATGACACTGAAACAATGGCTGCAGGCACCCTTGAAATTACTTGCTTATAGCCTCATCATCCAAAAGAAAAAAAGTTCTTCCCTTCTAGCTCCAGATAGAAAAAGATAAAATCTCAGAGAAGGAATCTGATTGGCCCAGATTAGATACTGTGTCCATCTCTGAACCAATCACCGTGACCAGAGGTAATAAACACTAACTGACCTATCTTGGGCCCACTTCTGTGGCCAGAGGGATAGAATCTGTAGCCATAAAGTGTGAGGTGGCATGGAGCGGTGTGAAAAGGCAAAGCATGACAAAATCTTATGAAGTGTCAATATCATCACCTTCTAAAGGTCATGGAAATGATAGGTGGCAGGGCTGGATTCAAACCCAGATCTGCATGACTCCAAAGCCTAGGCACTAGTCACTTCAGTTCCAGCTTCTGCTGGATAAAAATATTGAGTTTTCTTTAGTGTTATGCCAGGATTTCCTTAAAGGCTGGATACTGTCTTATTTATCTGTGTCCTTCCACCTGGCACTTTTTAGGTGTCTTGTAGAATTAATTAAATCACCAAACCACAGATTGCTTACTCGAACATATTCTTATATCAGTGTGGATGTGACCATGTCTGAGACCAGCTGTGTGGGTCTTGTGCTCACAAGAGAACAGATGGGGATCTGAAGAGTGGGAAGGGGTGGAACATTTTAATTTCAAGAACATTTTAGCATCACAAAATTCAAAAGAGAAATAGCAATACCAGAAATTTTATACTCAAAGTTGCCTGATAATCAAAAGTGAGCATAATAAGAGTAGCAAGGCAGAGCTAGCATATATTTTTCTTATTGAGAAAATTATGACCTTCCAGATTTGTTATTTCTTGTATGTTTTTTGATAAACTCTTTGGACAAGAAAGTGGGATTTGGTGGGGCCAAAGGAGGAACTTTTTCTTTGACTGCATCATTTCAATTGTTATTTTTAAAAAATGTATTCATGAGATACTTGCAAAATTAAAAATAAAGAAATAAAATAATAAAAAATTTACTGCCTAAATACATATTTTAAGTCTGCTGGCAATAATTACCAGTTTTCTGTCTCTTTCCACTTTGCCCAGCCATGATGTGAAGATATTGTTCAAGAAATGATCTTTATCTTCATCTGTTTTCATTTGGGTAATGTTATTTTCTATCTTTTTTCTTCCATAAAATTACATCTTTTCCTGAGACTTGTCTTTTACATTCGTTGTAAAGCCTAAAATAAGACAAACAATCACAAAAACATTTCTTTAAGTGCATTCTTCTCACCTCTCACTGTTCACTCTGTCTTGCTTTGGAATGCTTCTAGCCTCCTCAGGATTTTGGATGCACATATCTAAAGTTTTTATCTTCATTTTAGTCTTTCAACCCTTTTGTTCTCTTTTCTTTTCTTTGTTCCAGAAAAAATAATGCCTCATTTTAAGTGACTCACCATTGTATTGCTTCCTTGGCTTGCATAGCCATTAAGTTGAACATAGTCTATTAATTTAGAGTTGTGTGTTGTGTTGGTTCAGGCTGCTTCTAATTTTGCTAAAGGATCTGTTATGTGGCTGCAATTAATTTATTTTTAAACATTTTCTTTCTTTCCTTCTGTCCTCTTCTCTGTATTATCCAATCTGATATCTACCAGAGCATTATACTCTAATCCAAATTTTGCCCCATTCCAAACTTCAAATTTTCCTTTTTTTCCCCCTCCCATTAGATTCATTTTGTTTCTAATTATAATCCAACTACCCACAGGCTTGTTTCACCAGAGGCCATAACACTAGTGTTTATTCAAGGGATTTTTGAAGTGAGTTTTATCCTGCATTTACTAGGAAAAAGGAGAGGGGAAGGGAGTATAGAAATAGAAAATAATAATTGTTTCAATCTTGAATTCAAATTTCCCTATTGACTGTGTACACTGCTCGGATTCTCTGAGCCCTTATTTAATCCTACTATTGCTTTGCCTTTATTGACTTGTACATCTAGCAGGCTCAAAATAAGCAACGAAGACCCAAGAACCCTGACTCAAGACTTCTCTTCCTTCCCCTAGTCCTTTTCCCTTACCTCTCATTTAACAAACACTAGGTCCAAATCTACCCTTGTTCTCTGGACAAAAGAAACATTTCCTTTCACCTTCCTCTCCAGTCTAGAAGAGGTAGGCAAAAAGAGAATGGTGTAGCTGGACCCAGGACAATTTTTGACATAACATTACTGTCATGGCCCAAGAGCAAGATCTTAGCATATTTAACTCATGGAAAGCCATGGTGCAGGGAACAGAGGATAGTTATTTTGTGGGGTAAATTAAATCTCCAAACTACAGATTGCTTATTTGAAGACATTCTTTTTTTTTTTTTTTTTTTTTTTTTTGAGACGGAGTCTCGCTCTTTCGCCCAGGCCGGACTGCAGTGGCGCGATCTCGGCTCACTGCAAGCTCTGCCTCCCGGGTTCACGCCATTCTCCTGCCTCAGCCTCCCGAGTAGCTGGGGTTACAGGCACCCGCCACGGCGCCCAGCTAATTTTTTGTATTTTTAGTAGAGACGGGGTTTCACCGTTGAACACATTCTTATATCAACATGGATGTGATCATGTCTGAGACCAGCTGTGTTGGTCTTGTGCTCACACAGAACAGATGAGAATGAGAGCTCCTTCCCTGGAATATCAGAAAGAATGGGACCTTCAGTAGAGTCCATGCTCACCATGGTCCGTCCTCTCAGGGTTACATGCCAGATGTGGGGTTCATGTGACTATAGCCATGGGCAAAATGACTCTGCCTCCAAGATGAGATCGGTAGCCTCAGTTGTAAAGAACTGAGGCACGGTACCTCTACCCTAACTATTAATCCAGTACAGTGCCTTCTCTGCTTCAGGTATCAGACTAAGAGAAAATTTGGGATTAAAATCTCGCACGAACTTTTCTCTCATGTCTTGTGGAGACATAAAAAGGGCCATGGAAAAACAGAAACTTGACATCAGAGAGAAGTTGGGTCCTAATGAAAGGGCTCTGGCCACATAGGCCTGGTGCACTGGGAGAGCCCTGACTGCGACACACATCTGCCTGTCTCGCTGGGCACCAGACGTCAGTGGAGGCTGGAGTAAGCAGATGCACACAGTCTGTCTCCTAGTCACAAAAGTTTCCACCATCACCCCCACCATGATTCACTGACCCAAGTCTGGAAATCCCAAGTACAGGACCAAACCTCACAGAAAAGCATGAAGATGTCCCCAAGCCTTTTCCAGGCAAAGCTAATGCTTCCTGTTGGTTACAACAGATGCCAGTGAGGCCAAGACTTAAGCAACGCATAAAACAGTTCCTCACAGGGAAACATTCCACTCCAGAGTCAGAAACTAAACCTGTAAGCCTAGCCAGCCAAACATTTTGCAACCATGACCATAATGAAGTCAGTTAATTTTCTTTTCAATTTTCTGCTGTTTGAAGGGATGTTGTCACTTTAAATTCTATGCCAGAGGCAGTCTCTAAAGAATTTGGTTCCTGGAACAATGTAGCCAAGGGCTGTAGATGAAGAGCAAGATGGAAAAAGATTCCTTCTGAGAAAGCAGAAAAAATATAAGTAGCAAAATCAGAAAATCCTCCTATGATTACAGCAAGCCAGACACAGGCGTATTTGAATCTCTGTTCTATAGATGCAAAGGAAAATATATGTGCTTCGTGGTAGATTCTAAATTCAGAGATGAGAAACTGAATTAAAGAAATACCAAAGATGATTGATTGTTTTCCTCTCACTGAAAACCATCTCCCTCACAACCAGTTCAGGACATCTTCACATGGATAAAGAAATTAGGATACATAAGAGAAACTACCAGTGAGTTGAAACCAAAATAAGGAGGGGGCGACGGGTTAAGAATAGAAAATGATCTCATTCACTGTTGATGGGAGTGCAAATTGGTACATTTCTGGACAACAGTTTGGTAACATAGTTATCAAAATCCTTCAAAATATATTTCATCTTTGACTTAGTATCCCTACTCCCAGGCATCTGCCCTAAGAAAATCATAAGGAAGGTAAGGAAATATGCATGTCACAGAACTATTTACAATGGTGAATAGTTAGACATCTACATATGCAATAGGAGAATTCACACTATAGAAAATTATGCAGTTATTTAAATTGCCACCTTTTAGATTAGTAGGTAATCTGAGGACATGCTCATGACATGTTAATGGAAAAGAATAGATGCAAAATAAAACAAGTAGAACTATCACAGGTTTTTACATATTTTTGGAAGGAAACACACTATTAATAGTGGCTATCTCTAGGCAGCAGAATCGCAGTTCATATTACCAATTTGCTGCATCAAACCAGTACTACTTTTACAATCACCAAAAACTTATTTTTAAAAGAAAATGTAAAGGTTTATCCTATAAACTTTTAGGGGAGGAAGGGGAAGCAGAATATAAAATTCTACAGAAAAAAAGGCCTGAAAAAATACTTAAAATATTAATGTTTGTTCTTTTTAGGTTATAGGTCACTGTATAACTTTTCACTTTCTTCTTTTTCATATTTTCACATTTTTCTTTAAAGAAAATATATCCCTTTTATACTGAAATAAATTTTTTAAAGAAAAACAATATAATAAACAAGAGCATATAGAGATTCTCATTAAGAAGAACTAAACACCTGAGAAGTACAGAAGGGATTTGTTCTTTTATGGAAAGATATAGTAGGATGAGAAGACCTTTTCATGTTGTTCCAAAAATTGGCTACCAAACCCAAATCTAGAAACAAAGAACCATAATGATACCAGATTTTAAAGAAAGCCAAAAATAAGGTGAGGGGACTGCCCCTTATGAGACAGGCTGAACTTGCTCAGCTACCCCATCAAGCCCTACCACCTCTCTCCAGTTTAAACACACAGACAACTACGAGATATAGGGGTTTTAAGGAGAATCTTTGTAACCATGAGTCATTGATGTAACCTATGGAAGAGCACTAGAGTTTGCAGTTGTGGTGGCCATGAAAATGTGCTCTCAGATCTCCTACTGCAGAGAACACAGCAGCCCAGCTGCTACAGACTGCCATCTACCACAGCACTGGAACCAAGATCATGCTTTCCTTTAGCTGCTCCCAGACCAATGACTGAATGTAGCAGGGACACGAAGTCAGGCTCATTCCTGGCAGCCTTGATGGAACTATCTTAGAACTGCACTGTTGTCTAATACTGTCCTTCTTTTTTCTTCCCTGTCTCCTTCACAGGGGTCAGATCAACATCACAACTGGGTAGTGCTCTCAGCCTCCTCCATCTCCTGCTCCTTCTCCTTCACAAGCATTTTTCCCCCAATAAATCCCTTGCACATCTAATCGCATTTTGGCATCTGTGTCTCTAAAGACCTGGACGAATACAGGAGTACTCCAGTCACTAATATAGAGCCGACTACAACAGAGAGTTTTCTCTGACTGGCAGCAGAAGAGGAAGTCAGATTTGAGCATAACGGGGATGTACACTAAGGGATTTTGCTGCCAGCTTCAATGTTGCAAATGGTTCTGTGGATGGCCTATGAGAAGGCCTTTGGCAATAGACTGTGAGAAGCTTCTAGAAGATGACAACAGCCCCCCACTGACAACCAAGAAACTGGAACCTCAGTCCTACAGCCACAAGGTTGTCCTGCCCACAGCCTGAATGAACTGGGAGGTAGGCTCTTCCAAGATCCTTCGGTAAGCACCCAGTTAGCTGACTCCTTGAGGGTGAGACCCTTAACAGAGAACCCATTTAAGCCCTGCCAGACTTCTGACCTACAGAAACTGTGATGTCAGAAATGAGAATTTTTTTTTTTTTTTTTGAGACGGAGTCTCGCTCTGTCGCCCATGCTGGAGTGCAGTGGCACGATCTCTGCTCACTGCAAGCTCCGCCTCCCGGGTTCACTCCATTCTCCTGCCTCAGCCTCCAGAGTAGCTGGGACTACAGGCGCCCGCCACCACGCCAGCTAATTTCTTTTTGTATTTTTGGTAGAGACGGGGTTTCACCGTGTTAGCCAGGATGGTCTCGATCTCCTGACCTTGTGATCCGCCCGACTCGGCCTCCCAAAGTGCTGGGATTACAGGCGTGAGCCACCGCGCCCGGCCAGAAATGGGTATTGTTTTAAGCTGATAATGTGTAGCAATTTGTAACACAGTAATAGAAAAGTAATACAAGAAGATCTGACAGCATGTATTTGATAACAGTAACTGGAAAAAAGTAAACCACTTGTGCCACCAGCAAGTTAAGAATGCTTAATAAACTGATCACAAAGTTTTATTATTAATCTTGTCTCGTATTGTTAAATGAATACATTCAAGTGTTTCATAAACAAGTTATATCAATTATTGTACAATGCAGTGGCTTAAAGACTCATAGTAATCTCTTTCCTCAGATCATAACTGTTTAGAACCGACCTGATCATTCCCTATTGTGTTATTTTTAAATTACCATGTACATGCTACATACCTAAATTAATGGCATGATATTTAAAGTAATCAGCAATCTCCATACCACTGAATCTAAAATCTCTATCAGTGTCCCATCATGGCTTGCGATATTATATGGCATTGCTCATTGAAGGCATACCCATTCCCATGAGTGGGAAAGCAGGGTTAGTAGCTCCACTGTGATATATAAGGAGCTGAAAAATATTCTTGTCTTACCGCGGATTTCCTAGAAAATCAAGCCTCTGAAGTACAGCTTGTGTGCTAATGCTTTATTAAGGGGTACAGTCTCAAGACAGCAAGAATAAGGGGGAAAGGGAAGGGAGGCAAGAAAGGAGGGAAAACATGTAAGTGTGGTTCATCACTGGGCTGGCCACAGCATCACTAGAAAACACAGCTGGTTCCTTTTTTATGCAGGACATCTCCAGAGAGGCCATGTGCTTCTCATAATAGTCCATTGTGGGAATAGAGGGAACAGAATGTATCTGCCAGGTCTTTCCTGTCTCCTGTCTCTCACTGCTCAAAGAATGCCTGACACTTCTAGAAGTGTGAACGCCCCAACACTTCTGGGTGTGTCTGTGTTACCTGAGCTCTCCAGTCAGCCACTAGGGAAGTCAGATCCCATGCCACTTCCCAACACTTCTGAGCCTAGGTGTGGTCGAAAGGTCCGGGGTGGGGTTGCTACAGTTCTGCCCAGTGAGCATAGTGAAGCCATACAAAAGCAGGCTCCTGGCAGGGCACAGTTGCTCAGACCTCTAATTCCAGCACTTTGGGAGGCCAAGGCAGGTGGATCACTTGAGGTCAGGAGTTCAAGACCAGCCTGGGCAACATGGCAAAACCCCATCTCTACCAAAAATACAAAAATTACCCAGGCATGGTGGTGCATGCCTATAGTCCCAGCTACTTGAGAAGCTGAGGTGGGAGGATCGATTGAACCCGGGAGGCAGAGGTTTCAGTAAGCCGAGATCGCACCACTGCACTCCAGCCTAGGTGACAGGGCGAGACTTCGTCTAAAAAAAAAAAAGTCAGGGTCCTCACCTTGGGGAGGCTGGGACAGCTGACAATGTTAAGAGATGGAAGAAAGGTAGTGGTCAAGGCTTCTCTGCTGAGCAAGTGGTCAGGACCTAGAGGCAGCTGGAGCAAGCAGATCTGGAGAAAAACAGTAACACGGATCACACAGTCCCAAATCTTATGTTGTTTGCATTGCATCATCCTTCCTCTCATACTAGTATCTTGACAACTAGGTAACAGAGAATGGACACATCTCCCCCCACCTCCCTGCCCCACTGCTTCTAAGAAACAACTACTTCTTTGCTTTCATCATCATCCTTAATTTTGGGTTCTTCCATCTGGTTCACATTTCTTCCCAGAAAGCTCTTGATGCCCTTATTTCCAAATCCTTTTCTGTACATGAAGCTATTTCTTTCCCACCAATTTTTGTAATCCATTCTGGAAAACACACCCAAAGCCCTGGGGCTTCTGCCCATTCTGCTTTTCATTATTGCGATTGCAATGTGGTTAGACCAGTAATGTCAAAACCGTGTGTGTGTGCGTGTGCATGTGTGTGTATGTGTTTGCAATGCAGTCTCCTCCAAAGCTGATAAGAGCGGACTTAAACACACACACACAGACACACAGACACACACTTTTCTCCTGGGTAGTGCAGTATTTGGACAGAGATAAGATTACATCTCTTGGAAAGGAGAAAAGGTCTTGGTCTGAGGGATAAGTCTTCCAATTTTAAAATGGGAAATATTTCAAAACTGGTTGCATTAAGCCCTTACGTTCAGGAGACCAAAACCTTACGAAGGGCATGAAAAACTTAAAAATAGTCCATTAATAAAGAAAAGCATTTTTCCCACAGATTAATTGGGCTTTGAGTTCTTTATCCAAGGCCTTCTTTTGACATTTCAGGGATTCTTGTATTTATATTCAAACTCATCAGAAATGGTCTTCAGGTGAACAATTGCTTCTTGTGGTTTTTCTTCCTTCCTCTTGATTAGTTTTTCTCTTCAGACCTTTGGCTGACTGCTTTACTACTGTCACCAGGACTGAAATTCCTACCAGGGTTAAAAGAAAGACCCATGAGTAGCAATGCTGTGTTCTCACATTTTTTCATCCAGAGCAGGAAAAGACCATTTATGGATTGATCTTCAATCAGAGAACCATGTCACCCAATCTCCCTGCTCTGCAACTTGCCACAAGATTGATGGTAAATATAATACATATGAAAATGAAGGAGGAAAATGTATGTAAAGCCTTGGTGGTGGTGCAGGGGCCGGAAACGATGTTATGCAGTACATCATTTCATCGGAATTTCTCATTTTCAGGACATTGACTCTAAAATTACTGCAGTCGTAGTGTTTAATGTTCCTGTATTCAGATTCCAGGGTTTTCAAAAAATGATTTGAAGCCAGAAAAGCAAGGCTGACTTCTTTAGACCCATAATGTAGTGTGACCAGAAAAATTGCAAGGAAATTTGTAAATGCTATAAACACAGACACACACATACAGACACACAAAGATGATGGGGACGGGGGCCAGGGAGACTCACAGTGAGCTTAATACTCTCTCCAATAGAGCATCAAGCAGGTTGCCAATAAAAGAAGGAACACAACGTAATAGTAAACTAATGAAGCTTAAGTTCATGGCCCTGAGAGGGGACCCAGCGATGGCCTAGCAACATGGTCAATATTTTTACAAGTTTTTGTAAAATTTAAGCTATTTTAACCAAAATGCTTAAGATTGCTGTCTCTCCCTACTCCAATTTTCCTTCTGTATTGGGTGACATTAGACAGGCCATGAGAATTCGGGGGATCCAGCTAACAGAAGGTGAGTTGATATTTCATTAGGGTTTAGTGGAAAAGTAGGCTATATTTAGGAGGATCTCAGTCACTTCTGTGTTAGTTACGTGATTGCCAGCGTTCTGGTAGAACACTGGCTTCTAGGAGTGCTCCTCTGGCTCCTGAGCGACACAGAGGTGCAAGGCAAGAGTCCACATCTCAGCATGAATATGAACTTCAGGGCCCAGCACCAGGAGTATGTTAGGAAGTGGAGGAGAAACCAGAAGACAGTCAGAAGCTAATCATCTATGGGAAATCCTTCCAATCATCAGATCCATTGATACAGAGAATTCAAGTTTCACTGATGCCTCAAAAAGACAGAAGTTTTCTCCTCAACAAAGGCTTTTCCAAATTTGACACCAATCCTAAAAATTTATGTGATATTAATCTAACTTAGGACACTGGAAAAAAAATTATTGTAAACTATCAGTAATTTTTTAAAACTTCAATCAACCATGCTAGAACAACTGAGTTATCTCTCTATTTTCTCTATGAAAAACACATTACAAAATTTTTGTCCTATGAAGGGGCAATCAAAGTTTATGAAGCCAAAGAATGTATTTTTAATGTTCGTGATATTTGTCAGCTTTTTCAGATTTGTAATTGGTTGCAACTCTTTTCTCATTCTAAATACATGTTCTTTCATAATTTATTTAGTATTCATGACTGGTTGCATATAATCTCTTATATTTTCTTCTGAAATATGTATTATCTTCTTGTTTACATTTAAATCTTCAGGGCATCTGGGATATATATATATACACATATATTTTTTGAGACAGTCTCTCTCTGTCACCCAGGCTGGAGTGCAGTGGCACAATCTTGGCTCACTGCAACCTTCGCCTCCCAAGTTCAAGCGATTCTCATGTCTCAGCCTCCTGAGTAGCTAGGACAACAGGCCTGTGCCACTGTGTCCAGCCTGGAATTTATATTTGCATATTTTGTGTAGTAGGGTCCATCTTTATTTTCTTCAAGAAAGATAGTTACACTGACACTATTTATTAATTATTTATAATGTTACTGTTTATTAATGAAATATTTAATAACTATATAATTTATTTCCTGCTGCATTGAGGTACCACCTTTATCATAGAGTTTTTCATATATACTGAGATATATTCTTTTATTATAATTTTAACTTTTATTTTAGATTCAGGGGGTACATATACATGTTTGTTATCTGGGTATCTTGTGTGATGCTGAGGTTTGAGGTACAATTGATCCTGTCATCCAGGTACTGAGCATAGTAACCAATAGTTAGTTTTTCAATCCTTGCCCCACTCCCTCTCCCTCCACTCTAGTAATCCTAGAAATGCCATTGAGATATATTCTTGGTTCTATATTCTATTCTACTGATTTGTTTATTCTGTGTCTATACTATCTTGGTTTTTATTACAGTAGTTTTGTTGAATATACTGATATCTAATAAGAAAAGTATCTGTTTTATGGATACTTTTATTATTATTTGGGGGTGTTTACTTTTCTATACGAAATTTGAGATTATTTCATCCACTTAAAATGGCTGAGAGTCTATTGGTGTTATACTAAATGTATGTAATAGTTTGGGGTAATTTGACATTTTTATGATATAATGTCTCCCCTTCTAAGAATGTGGTATGACGTTCTAGTTGTTGAGATTTATTTCAGGTTTCTTCATATAGGTTCCTCACTTTTCTTGCTAAATTTATTTCTCAATATTTCATAGTTTTACGTCATTATCTCGAATTGAATACTTTTCCCACTTTCATTTCCACATTTTATTGATAGTATGAAAAAAGTGCTTATGTTTTTTAAATTATTATTGATCCAATTATCTTTCAAAAATTACATTCTTATACATTTTTATTAGTGTCTCCTGGGTTTTCTGGGAATACTATTATATCATCAGCAAAAAAAGTGATAGTGTCATTTATCTCAATTTCTCTAGCACTGAGCACAGTGTCTAATACTGTTCAGCACACCGTAAATGTTAACAATGAATGAACAAATGAATGAACAAAAAAGTGGATCGGAGATTCTTCACATGGAGCACCAAGTTCCTCACTATTGTAGTTCTCCAATGAATTCTCCATCCTCCTTCTGAATGCCACCATTTCTTTGATTGAAACTGCAGAAGTTTCCAAATCTAGTAAAGCAGAAGACGAATAAATATGATGACCAAAGGGAACACATTCCTGATGAGTGAAGGATCTTCCTGAGTGAATTGTAGGGTGTGTTCTTTAAGTTTCCCTTTCCATTCAAGCTGAGACAGAGAACACAAGGGAGGCTTTTTTATTCTGCCCAGGAAAAAAGCAATGGGCTGTCACTGCACTTTTGAATGAATTAGAAGGCATAATGAGGCAAACAAAAAAAATTTCTTTTAAAAAGAAAATGAGGCCAGGTGCGGTGGCTCATGCCTGTAATCCCAACACTTAGGAGGCTGAGGCAGGTGGATCAACTGAGGTCAGGAGTTCGAGACCAGCCTGGCCAACATGGTGAAACCCCCATCTCTACTAAAAATACAAAAATCAGCCAGGTGTGGTGGCATGCACCTGTAATCCCAGCTACTCGGGAGGCTGAGGCAGGAGAATTGGCTTGAACCAGGGTGGCAGAGGTTGCAGTGAGTGGAGATCATGCCACTGTACTCCAGCCTGATAGAGCGAGACTCTGTCTCAAAAAAAAAAAAAAAAAAAAGAACAGGAAGCTAGTCAGAGGTTTGCCAGCAGAAGCATTTCAGTGAAGGGTCCAGAAGCACAGATAACAAAAATCAAGGCAGCCTGGATAGCTTTCTAAATCTCAGAAGAGAGTTTTTTTTAAAAGTCTGTAGGTGGTGATGAGGAGAAAACCTAAGTGATGCCAATTTATAGATAGGTATTCATGTTCATTTTAGTCTTGATCCATATATTATATCCATACTTAAGCCTCAAAAATGCTGCATAATTGAACTAAAAGCATGTGCTCACCAATCTAACCTCTCTAAGTCAACCATATGTGAGAAGAGCCAAGCCACTAGGCCTAAAATCACAACCACGGCCATTCACCTTTTGGGAGCTATTAGAGTTTGTAGAATTGTAGGCATAATTTATTACTGAGGGAATTAGCCATTATGTTGCATACTTGAAATTCCAACTCAACTAATTGTCAATCTGAGTCATAATAAATAATAAATAGGCCCCAAATGCTAGAAGCTTCTGACTTGGCATCATAAGATATCACTTAATCCTGCAAGAGGTTTTCCAACAAACCACAATAGCTCCCTGCTTTTCCACAAAATTAAAATACACATATACAAATTTATGAGTGCACACAAAGAATTTTCCACTGTAAGAAATACCTTTGTTTTCAAAAACAGAAAATGATGATCACCAAGCTGGAGAGCATGATGCAAAGTGCTCCCCATAAATTAGCAGCAAGAACACCACGTACTAAGACAACCAGGAGAAAAGGGTTATGTTCAAGTTGTGGAAATAAATCCAAACTCTGGCGCAGATTACAAAGGATGGTTATCTGAAGGATATCCAAACTGTTCTTCTAGGGAAAACAAAATGTTTCTATTAGGGAGTCCCTAATAGGGAAATCACTTGAGAGGCAGCTAGAACACCAGCATAGTAATTGGCTAGATAATCCCAAATACTGCACTTGAGCTGACAGCACAAGGCCAAATGAGGAGTAGCAGCTTTCACGCACACACCAGGCTACTAGGTAGGGCTGATGCTTTGAAGCATCTCTTCGTGTTTTTAGTTGGTGAAAGGTTTGTAAAGAAAATGTGTCCCTCTAAATAAGCCTAGCCCTGCAAACACATGAGTGCATTGGTGATGTGGCTCGGGTCTTTAATTTGTCTTGGATAGCAGCTGGCACCCTGCTGTTAGGCCTTTGCTCACAGCCTCGTCCTGATGGAAGTGCTCTTGCCCTTCCTCTCTGAGGATCTGCATCTTTCTCATCTACTGTGCATCTGCCAGACCTAGAATCACTCCCTTCCCTGAGCCAGGCCATACTTCAATTCTTTTGATCACAAGATAGAATTTGAAGACATTAAGAGACAGATCTCTCAAAGAGTTTCCTATGACCTTAATTCCCTATCAAAGGCAATGCTAGGCAGATCCTGCGTGTTACCCATATTGTCATGCAGCCTCTGCCCAGCAGTGAAAATCTTCAATCATCCAAGTGGCCGTGATCCCTGGAGCTGGCCTTCTTCACTCAGTGGTTGGGATAGACAATAGTGAGGTTTTTCCCTGCAGCCCAAAACAGGGCCCCTGAAGATGACCAGGAGGGTAGACCCAGCAAGCAGAAGGAGTGCTCTTTATTTTCTCTGGGGTAGAATTATAAGTTTAGATTAATTGAAACCAATTATAACATCCCTTAATTTATAAAGTGACCATTAAGTCACGTTTGCCTCCAACAATCCTGGTTTATACCTATTGTCCCTGAGTCATTATTTATAGTACTCTCCCTTGCACTCTCAAAATTGTTCCACTTTGGAAAATAAATGATATTGTCAACCACTTATTTAGAATACCAAGGGCAAGTTCCTCCTTGATCCATACAAGGTAACATATGTATCAACAAGGACAAGTAAGCAGGATGCCAAAGTCAACAGACTTTAAGCAGAAGGCTGGGGCTTTAGAAATGTTACTCATTCTCCTTTGGCACAGATATCAAGTTTATTTTCTGTAAAGGGTGTAGCAACTTAGCATATCTTGCTGGAGAAAAACAATCATAATCTGTTGGTTTCATCTCTTCCATTAAAATGAAAATTTGTTACACAGCTGTGTTGTAGCTTCCCAACAGAGAGCAGATGACCCACCTGAACTAGCATAATTCAAAGAGGACTTGTTTACAATAGTGTGGATGTAGGGGGACCACAAGGAATAGTGCAGAAACCTGATGCTTAGTGCCAACCAAACTGATATCACCACAGGCCAAAGCAAGGAGGAGAGGGAAGGCATCTTGTGAATTGGCTTCTGGAGAAGAGGAGAGTCTCCTCTCATGATACAACTCGAGTCTCCCTTCTTTTGTAAACCAAACCCCACCATCTCAGCCCATAAGCATTCCACCTGAAAGCTCTATTCACAAACTGCACTATGCATCTGGCACTCACACAGATGAACTTGTGTTCTTACACCTTTTCACAGTACAGGTTGAGTATCCCTTATCCAAACCACTTGGGACCAGAAGTGTTTTAGATGTCAGTTGTATTTAAACTTTGGGATATTTGCATTATACTTACCAGTTAAGCATCCCAAATCCAAAAATCTGAAACCCAAAATGCTCCAATGAACATTTTATTCGAGCATCATGTCCGCACTTAAAAGCTTCTTATTCTGGAGCATTTCAGCTTTCAGATTTTCAGGTTTGGGATGCTCAACCTGTATTGTTTTTTAACTGATGTCATAAATGCCATGAAGGAAGGTAGAGACCACATTTCTTACCTCTAGATCTCAAGCATCACAACATCAGTGTTTCTAAACCATTTGTTTTCTCGCTACAACACATGAAACCAATGACATTCGCAGGCAAGACATTCCCCCAAGACATCCACTGGGTTATGCATAATTCCTACTATGCTCCCTCATTTATCTCCCACTCAAGAAGGCATACCAGAATATAGATGAGTGAGGTCAGGTTATTGTATAGGTAATGTCGAATCTACTCCAACTTTTTAATGTAAATTGTGTACAAACTATGTTGTTACTATTAACTGGTGTCTGGCAACACATCTCACAACCTCTCCTGCACACTGTGTGTCATAATGGCACAAACACATAAAGTACTTGATGATAAGGAAAAAGGATTCACAAAGTGGATAAGAAATGTGGAGGAAAAGGCTGTCTCTGTCACCATGGACACAGGTGTAGACCTATAGAAGAGACCCCAAGAACCAGCATCCCAGCATGCTATTGTTGGATCTCGGAAGATATTCCACTTTTACAGTCCCAGAAGAATGCAGCCAACTTGCCTTACACACTACCTAGCCCAACTCTGAATTTTACAGATAAAGAAATTGGGATATGGAATCTGACCCTGATCATACAAAGTACTGATCAAAGTGATGTTGGAGCCCATAACTAAATCAAAGACATTCAAGGAAAAATAACAACAACAACACTTTTTTCTTATCTGGAAACTAATGAATTCATTTGTATTTACTGGTTTCAAATATTTTCTGATTGTCACCTTGTCCAAAGTAATGACACTGTTCTTGGTAATGATGATACACAGTAAACAAAAACAAAAATGGTCTGCTCTCATTTCTGTGGGTCAGGAAAAGCTTTCTAATGTGGTGACATTTGAACCGAGAGGTAAAGGGAGTGAGGGAGTCACGTGGTTCTTTAGGGTAAGAGTGTCCCAGGCAGACGAATGAACCAGAGCAGCATGTACTTGGTGTGTTCCAAGTGAGCAGGCCATGGTGGCCAGACTGGAAGGGGAAGAAGGGGAGAGTGGCTGCAGGTGAGATCAGATATATGGAAGGGGGCAGATCATGTAGGGTCTTGGGTTTTACCCTGGGTAAGATGGGAAATCACTGAAGGATTTTCATCAGAGGAGACCCGTGACAATATGTTTTTAAAACATCACTCTCACTAGCTTGTGGAGAAGAGACTGGGAGAGCAAGAGAAGAACGAAGTGGGAAACTATTGCATGCATCTAGGAGAGCGATAGGCAGTTTGGACGAGGATAATGGGCCTGAGGTAGAGTGGTCAGATTCTGAACACATTGTGAAGGAATTGCTGACATTTGAGGATGGATTGGATTTGAGCTGTGAGGGAAGATGGGAGTAAAAATGAGACCTAGGCTTTTGACCTAAGAAACTGAAAGATTAAAGTGGACATTTACCAAGAGAGAAGAGAATGAGGGAAGAGCAGGTTTGGAGAGGAAAGTCAAGGGTCTGGTTGTTTTGCCAAGTTAGATCTGCCTTTTATAAGTCTAACTGGAATGTCCAGCAGGCAACTGCACATGGAGTGTACAGTTCAGAAGAGAGGCTGGGGTTGCCTACACAGAGGTGGTATTTTAAGTCATAAGACAAGATATGAGGGCAGACAGAGAAGAGGGCCCAGGACCAAGCTCAAGTTCAAAAACTGTGTTGCCCTTTCCATACATCACATTTGCCTTTAACTTAGACGTTCTGCAGATAGTGCCTCTTATTCTCCTTCAACAATCAGCTGAAGGACGATTTACTGCTAGAATGTCAATGAGCCTCACCTTCCTATTCAGGGAAGCAGCACTTCCTTTTCAGGCTTTTCACCCTTAGCAAGCAGCCAGTGGCCTTTCACAGAAGCAGAAGGAGTTGTGAAGGAGTGAAAGAAACCACCCTGAATGTGGGGGTGCTGGGAATGCAAGGAGAGAGAACAGGAGTACTGCCATTGTCAGAAGGTACATAAAAGAGAGAGATGCCACCTCATGGGCCCCTCCCAGACATCGCTCATGAAGCCATCCCAAAACAGAATGGGCAAGGAGAGAAGCGGGCAAACCAAGTGGACAGCTGAGCAAGATTTTGAAGAATGGCACATCCAGATGAGGGTGGGACTCTGACCACAGTCCTGAGTTGCAGTGATTATGTCCTTCAGGCTATAAGGAACGATGACTGGCTATGAGTAGAATGCAGGGCTGGGAGTCACAGACATTGTGGGATTGAATCATTTTTGTGGCCAAGGACAGAGTGATGACAGCAGGTCCTACCATTCAGCTGAAGCAGGAGCTTGGCACTGGGAAACCTCTTGCAGATTATCTGACTTCTCTGAGACTCAGTTTTCTCTCCACCATGAATTGAGACTGGTGAACTAGACCACCTTTACAGGGAAAGTTTTTCAGAAATAACTTATGGAGAATTATTTTACAAGTAAAAATAGCAAGCACCACCACATTAAGTTTTAGACAGTTAAAAATAGGTAAACTCCCATTGTGTTGAACTCAGGGAACTTGCCAATTATTTTAATGAAGTAAAATGGTTCTAAAATTAACACATTGTTAGAAACCAGGTTCCAAGATGAGGAATCTGGAAAAGAAAGAATGCCAGCATCCGGCTTCTGCTTAATAAATCCATGAGCTAAGGGAACTCAGCCCAGCAGGAGGAAAGAAAGGTCACAGATGCACAAGTACCTATATTCCCCCTTACCCTCCTTAGGTGCGGGACTTTTACGATACGTGGGGTTTTTTAATCAATTATTTGGAACATGAGATGGCACCAAATTAGATGGCTATCTCTTCCAGGTGAAAAAATAAGAGTTACTGAAAAAAATCTTTATTTTTTTTGAGACAGAATCTCACTCTGTCGCCCAAGCTGGAGTGCAGTGGCACAATCTAGGCTCACTGCAACCTCCGCCTTCCATGTTCAAACAATTCTCCTGCCTCAGCCTCCCGAGTAGCTGGGATGACTGGCACACACCACCACGCCCAGCTAACTTGAAAAATCACTTCTACTGGAAAAGCTTATCTACTAGGAAGAGCTGAGCTATCTTCTCCAACCCACAATGCAGGAAACATACAATCATTTCTTTTACTATTGGAGTGGCTACAATATAGACAGACATTCCATCTGATTGTTATTGCCCTTAACTGGCTGAAGCCAGACCAACAAAGACTTGTTTGCAGAGTATAACACAATGACCATGAGCAATAATTTTGGAATCAGACAGAGATATGGGTCTATATCCCAGCTCTATAAATTTTCAGCTATGTGACCTTGGGCAAGTTACTTTGCCTCTCCCATGTGTTGGCTTTCTGTTCTGTAAATTGGAAATTAATCACCATCTCATAGGGCTATAAGGGCTGAGTAAGTGTACATCACTTAGCACATTCCTAAATGTGGCTATTAACCATCAATACTCATATAATGGATTATTTAGAACATGGACTTGACTTTATTGTCTAGAAAGTTCTCCTATAACAGTATTTCTTGTGATGAGATTTAAATGAAAAGGACAAGCAAGTTCTCTGCTAAGTTCTCTGCTAAGTTCTGTTCTCTAACAGGCTTTTATAAAAGGAAAGAAGGATACAGAACTACAGCAAGCTGATTTTAGTAGCATTAACCTAGTGCTTGGCAAGATAACATACAAATGAACTGAGGTTTATAAGGGAAAAGTGACAAAGACAACAGAAAAATAATGTTTAAAATTCTCTCTTTGAGAGAAAGAAGTACATGAGATTAATGAAGTACTCCAAGACACTATTAATATTCTAATTAAAGCTTACAACTTGAAATTTTCAAAGATAGAATGATATAAAAGTACAAACAACAAGAATTGGAAAAAATGGTTCAGTGGCAGAAGTTGGACACATTTGTCCTGAAAATCCTGGAGAATAGTGAGGCTCTTCCAGCCTAGAAAGGCCTGACAGCGCCTGTTTCTTATTCACATTCCAGCAAAGAAGGTCTGCTGGCTGCTGGGGAGGGGCTTGCATGGCAGGCAAAGGCTCAATGCACTATGATGCATGCAGCTAAGATATGAGGATTTTTTGGTCAGTGTGTGGCAAAATCATTATAGTGGGGAATCCATTCACTATTTTGTTATGAATTATGTGTTAATTAGGTTTGCCAGATTTAGCAAAAAAATACATAGGACAACCAGCTAAATTTGAATTTCAGATAAGCAGGGAAATAACTTTTAGTTTAAGTATGTCCCGTGCAATATTTGGCAATCCTAACTTTGGGCTATCAATAATTTGTCACTTCAGCAAGGCCTGAATTTAGGAAGGAAGTGATTCTATTCAACTTTTGCAAAGAGCACAGGGTCTATTTGACAGTTTTTTTCCCCTTGCTTATTCATCATTGATCATTTCTATTAATCTAATCCAGTGGTTTTTAAACACACACACATAAAAAAACTCTTCAGAAAACAAATTCTCAGGTAGAATCCTAATACAGTTGACCCTTGAATAACATGGGTTTAAATTTCTTGGGTCCACTTATAGGCAGATTTTTTTCAATAAATATATTGGAAAATTTTTTGGAGATTTGTGACAATTTGGAAAAACTCACACATGAACCACATAGCCTAGAAATATCAAAAAAATTAAGAAAAAGTCATGTCGTGAATGCATAAAATATATCCATATACTAGCCTATTTTATCATTTACTACCATATGATATACACAAATCTATTATAAAAAGCTAAAATTTATCAAAACTTATACATGAAAACACCATATATGGTGCCATTAGCAGTCAAGAGAAATGTAAGCCAATGTAAAAATGAAGGAATAAATCATAAACTGCATAAAATTAGCTATAATACATACTGTACTACTGTAATAATTTGGTAGCCACCTTCATTGCTGTTGCAGTGAGCTCAAGTGTTGCAAAATGTCTGCTTAAAATGCTGTGTGATGCTAATGATCTCCATATGAGCAGTTCCTCTCTCTAGTAAATTGCGTATCACAGTAAAAAGTGATCTCTTGCAGTTCTCACATATTTTTCATCATGTTTGGGTGCAATACCGTAAACCTTGAATAACACCATGGGACCCATTTGAAGTGCTGCTAGGGATGCTGGAAGTGCTCCCAGGAAGCAGAGAAAAGTCATGACATTACAAGAAAAAGTTGAATTGCTTGATATGTTCCATAGATTGAGGTCTGCAGCTGTGGCTACCCACCATTTCAAGATAAATGAATCCAGCTTAAGGACCACTATTAAAAAAAAAAAAAAAACGTGAAATAAAATAAAATAAAAAGGAAATTCATGAAATTGTCACTGCAGCTACACCATCAGGTGCAAAAACCTTACACTTTTTTTTATTATTTAAGTTCTAGGGTACATGTGCACAATGTGCAGGTTTGTTACACAGGTATACATGTGCCATGTTGGTTTGCTGCACCCATTAACTCATCATTTACATTAGGTATATCTCCTAATGCTATCCCTCCCCACTCCCCCCACCCCACAACAAGTCCCAGTGTGTGATGTTCCCCACACTGTGTCCAAGTGTTCTCATTGTTCAATTCCCACCTATGAATGAGAACATGCAGTTTTTAAACCTCATACTTTTTGTGAAATATCTTTTATCTCAGATTGAAAATGTGGGTGTAAGATCGCTATAAGAAAGGCATGCCTATAGATTCTAATACAATTCAAGAAAAAGAAAAAAGGTCATTATGTGACAACTTAAAGCAAAAGGGAGGTGAAGGATCTAAAGTTGCAGAATTTAATGCCAGCAAAGGACGGTTTGATAATTTTAGAAAGAGGTTTGGCTTTTAAATTGTCAGGATAACAGGAGAAGCAGCTTCTGCTGACCAAGAGACAGCAGACACAATTAGTTCTGAGTTCAAGAGTTCCCAGACACCATTAAGAAAATAATTGAGGAGAAAGGGTATCTGGCTGAACAGATATTTAATGCAGATGAAAGTGCCCTATTCTGGGAGGGAAAATACCACAAAGGACATTTATTAGTAAGGAATAAAAGTAAGCACCAGGATTAAGGCAGAAAGGGATAGGTTAACTCTATTATTTCATGCAAATGCAGTTGGGTTTGTGATCAGGACTGACATTATCTATAAAGCCACTAACCTCTGAGCTTTGAAGAGAAAAGATAAACACCAGCTGCTAGTCTTTTGGTTTACAACAAGAAGGCTGGACAATGAAAACTCCTTTTCTGGATTGGTTCCATCGATGACTTTGTCTCTGAAATCAGGAATTACCTTGCCAATAAAGGACGGCCTTTTAGTGTTCTTTTGATGTTGGACAATGCCCCTGGCCACTCAGAACCCCATGAGTTCAACACCAAAGACTCAAAGTGGTCTATTTTTCTCCAAACAGAAGGTCTCTAATTCAACCTCTATATCAGGAGGTTAAGGACTTTTAAAGCTCACGACACACAGCATTCTGTGGAAAGGATTGTCAACACCATGGAAGAGAACCCCAGTAGAGAGAACATCATGAAAGTCTTGAAGGATTACACCATTGAAGATGATATCATTGTTATAGAAAAGGCAATGAAAGCCATCCAACCCAAGACAATAAATTCCCGCTGAAGAAACTGTGTCCAAATGTTGTGCATGACTTCTCAGAATTAATGACAGAACCAATCAAGGAAATCATGAAGAGATTGTGGATATGGAAAAAATAGGTAGGGGTGAAGGGTTTCAAGATAGAGATCTTGGAGAAATTCAAGAGCTAAAGACATCACATCCGAGGAATTTACAGAAGGCAACTTGATGGAGATGAGTGTTTCCAAACCAGTGCCAGGGATTGAGGAAGATGTAGAAGTGGCAGTGCCAGGAAACAAATTGACATTAGACAATCCGGCAGAAGGGCTCCAATTATTCGAGACTGCTTTTGACTTATTTTACAACATGGACCTTTCTATGATATAAGCACTGAAACTAAAGCAAAAGGTGGATGAATGATTAGTACCATATAGAAACATTTTTAAATAAATGAAAAAGTAAGAAAGTCAGACAGAAATTATAATGTATTTCCATAAAGTTATACCAAGTGTGCCTGCCTCCACCTCTTCCACATCTTCCACCTCTGCCATCCCTGAGACAGCAAGACCAATCCCTTCTTCCTCTTCCTCCTCCTCAGCCTACTCAAGGTGAAGACAATAATAAAGACCTTATGATGATTGACTTATACTTAATAAATAGTAAATACATTTTCTCTTGCTTATAATTTTCTTAATGATTTTTTATCTAGCTTACTTTACTGTAAGAATACAGTATATAATAAATATGACATACAAAATATGTGTTAATCAACCATTCATGTTATCAGTAAGGCTCCCATCAACAGAAGGCTATTAGTAGTTAAGTTTTGGAGGAGTCACAAGATATACATAGATTTGTGATGGTGTAGAGGATTGGTACTCTTAATCTCCATATTGTTCAAGAGTCAACTATATATAATAGAATTGTATTGCAGTTCAGAGATATTATGACTCAGTTTTAGACCACTATAATAAAGTGAATATTGCAATAAAGCAAGTCACACTAATTTTTTTGTTTTCCCAGTGCAAATGAAAGTTTTGCTTATACTGTACTGTAGCCTATTAAGTGTGCAATAGCATGTCTAAAAAAATGCACGCACCTTAATTTAAAATTTTTTTATCACTAAAAAATACTAATGATCATCTGAAGCTTCAGTAAGTTGTAATCTTTTTGCTGATGGAGGGCCTAGCCTCGATGTTGAAAGCTGCTGACTAATCAAGGTGGTGGTTGCTGAAGGTTGATGTGACTGTGGCCATTTTTTTTAACTTTTATTTTAGGTTCAGGGGTACATGTGTAGATTTGTTATATGGGTAAACTCATTTCAAGAGGGGGTTGTTGTACAGATTATTTCATCACCCAGGTACTAAGACCAGTACCCATTAGTTATTTTTCCTGATCTTCTCCCTCCTCCCACCATCAACTCTACAGTAGGCCCCTATGTCTGTTGTTCCTCTCTTTGTGTCCATGTGTTCTCATTATTTAGCTCCCACTTATGAGAAAGAACATGTGATATTTGGTTTTCTGTTCCTGCATTAGTTTGCTAAGGATAATAGCCTCCTGCTCCATCCATGTTTCCACAAAGAACATGATCTAATTCTTTTTTACGACTGCACAATATTCTATGGTGTATATGTATCACATTTTATTTATCCAACCTGCCATTGATGGGCATTTAGGTTAATTCCATGTCTTTGTGATTGTGAATAGTGCTGCAATGAACACATGCATGCATGTGTCTTTATGTTAGAACGACTTATATTCCTTTGGGTATAAACCCAATTATGGGATTGCTAGGTCAAATAGTAATTCTGTCTTTAGGTCTTTGAGGAATCGCCACACTCCTTCCCACAATGGTTGAACTAATTTACACTCTCACCAACAGTGTATAAGCATTCTCTTTTCTCTGCAACCTTGCCAGTATCTAGTTTGTGTGTGTGTATGTGTGTGTGCATGTGTGTGTGTGTCTTTTTCATTATAGCAATCCTGACTGGTGTGAGATGGTATCTCATTGTGGTTTTGATTTGCATTTCTCTAATGATCAGTTATATTGAGCTTTTTTTCATATGACTGTTGGCCATGTGTATGTCTTCCTTTGAAAAGTGTCTGTTCATATCCTTTGCCCACTTTTTAATGGAGTTGTTTTCTTCTTGTAAATTTCTACAAATTCCTTACAGATGCTGGATATTAGACCTTTTTCAGATGCATATTTTGCAAATATTGTCTCCCATTCTGTAGGTTGGAATGTGCACCTCTAAGAGATAAGGTGAATTCAAATGGTACCTGCATATTTCTGTCATCTTGTCCAATCATGTTTCTCCATTCCATGAGTGATCACAGCAGACGTTCAAGTTCAGTTTCCCAAAGCCTGATGTGACCTCCCATATCAACAGTAACAACACCGCTTTTGTCCCACTCAGCTAGCAGTGCATCTGTGTCTGAAATGGTAGACAGCCATGTGGCTGTCTGCTCTTACCTGTGTCACCACATAGGAAGGTTATGAAGATATGCTATGAGCAAAAGTTCTTCAACAAACATGTCCACTGTTGATAGTTTCTTTTGCTGTGCAGAAGCTCTTAAGTCTAACTATACCCCATTTGTCAATTTTTGCTTTTGTTGCAATTGCTTTCGGTGTCTTCATCATAAAGTCTTTGCCAGTTCCTTTGTCCAGAATGGTATTGCCTAGGTTGTCCTCCAGGGTTTTTATAGTTTTAGATTTTACATTTAAGACTTTATTCCATCTTCAGTCGATTTTTTATATGGTGTAAGGAAGGAGTCCAATTTCAATCTTTTGCATACAGCTTGCCAGTTATCCCAGCACCATTTATTGAATAGTGAGTCCTTTCCCCATTGCTTGTTTTTGTCAGCTTTGTTAAAGATCAGATGGTTCTGTTGTATGGCCTTACTTCTGAGTTCTCTATTCTGTTCCATTGGCCTGTGTGTCTGTTTTTGTGCCAGTACCATGTTGTTTTCATTACTGTGTCCTGTAGTGTAGTTTGAAGTCAGGTAGTGTGATGCCTCCAGCTTTGTTCTTTTTTGCTTAGGATTGCCTTGGCTGTTCGGGCTCTTTTTTGGTTCCATGTAAATTTTAAATTTTTTTTTCTTGTTATGTGAAGAATGTCATTAGTAGTTTGACAGGAATAGCATTGAATCTGTAAAATGTTTTGGGCAGTGTATGGCCATATTAACAATACTGATTCTTCCTATCCATGAACATGAGATGTTTTTCCATTTGTTTATGCCATCTCTGATTTGAGCGGTGTTTTGTAATTCTCCTTGTAGAGATCTTTCACTTCCCTGGTTATCTGTATTCCTAGATATTTTATTCTTTTTGCGGCACTTGTGAATGGGATCGTGTGGATTGTGTTCCTGATTTGGGTCTCGGCTTGGCTGCTGTTGCTGTATAGGAATGCTAGTGATTTTTGTACATCGATTTTGTATCCTGAAACTTTGCTGAAGTAGTTTATCCGTTTAAGGAGCTATAGACCAGGACTATCAGTTTTTCTAGATATATAATCATGTTGTCTGCAAACAGGGATAGATTGACTTCCTCTCTTCCTATTTGTATGCCCTTTATTTCTTTCTCTTGCCTGATTGCTCTGGCTAGGACTTCTAATACTATGCTGAATCAGAGTGGTGAGAGAGGGCATCCTTGTCTTGTGCTGGTTTTCAAGGGGAATTTTTCTAGCTTTTGACCATTCAGTATGATGTTGGCTGTGGATGTGTCACAGATGGCTCTTATTATATTGAGGTATGTTCTTTCAATACCTAGTACATTGAGAGTTTTTAACATGAAGGGACATTGAATTTTATCAAAAGCCTTTTCTGCATCTTTTGAGATAATCATGTGATTTCTGGCTTTAGTTATGTTTAGGTGATGAATTACATTTATTGCTTTGCATATTGTTGAACCAACCTTGCATCCCAGAGATAAAGCCTACTTCATCATGGTGGATTAGCTTTTTGATGTGCTGCTGGGTTCAGTTTGCAAGTATTTTGTTGAGGATTTTTGTATAAATGTTCAATGAGGATATTGACCTGAGGTTTTCTTTTTTTTGTTATGCCTCTGACTGTGGCAATTTCTTAAAACAAGAAATAAAGTTTGCAGTATCTATTGGCTCTTCTAATATAAAAAATTTATCTGTAGTATGCGATGTTATTTGATAGCATTTTACCCACAGTAGAACTTCTTTCAAAATTGAAGTCAATGCTCTCAAACCCTGCTGCTTCTTTGTCAACTAGTTTTATGTAATATTCTAAATCCTTTGTTGTCATTTCAACAATGTTCACAGCATCTTCACTGGAAGTAGATTCCATCTTAAGAAACTACTTTCTTTGCTCATTCATAAAAAGCAACCTCTCATTCATTCAAGTTGGATCATAAGATTGCAGGAATTCAGTCACATCTTCAGTCTTCATTTCTATTCTGGTTCTCTTGCTATTTCTACCACATCTGCGTTACTTCCTCCACTGAAGCCTTGAACCCCTCCAAGTCACCCATGAGGGTGGGAATCAACTTCTTCCAACCTCCTGTTAATGTTGGTATTTTGACCTCCTCCCATGAATCACAAATGTTCTTAATGGTATTTATAATGCTGAATCCTTTCCAGAAGGTTTTTCAATTTACTTTGCCAAGATCCAGCAGAGAAATCACTCTCTGTGGCAGCTATAGCCTTATGAAATGTATTTCCCAAATAATAAGACTTGAAAGTTGAAATTGCTCCTTGATCCATGGGCTACTGAATGGATGTTGTGTTAGCAGGCATGAAAACAATATTGACCTCCTTGTACATTTCCATCAGAACTCTTGGGTGACCAGGTGCATTGTCAATGACTGGTAATATTTTGAAAGGAATCTTTTTCTCTGAGCAATAGGCCTCAACAGTAGGCTTAAGATAGTCAGTGAACCACGCTATAAACAAATTTGCTGTCATCCAGTCTTTGTTCTTTCACTTATAGAGCACAGGCAGCATGAATGTAGCATAATTATTAAGGGCCCTAAGATTTTCAGAATAGATGAGCTTCAACTTAAAGCCACCAGCTGCATTAGCCCCTAACAAGAGTCAGCCTGTCCTTTTAAGTCTTGAAACAAGACTTCTCTCTAGCTATAAAAGTCCTACATGTCATCTTACTCCAATATAAAGCTATTTCATCTACATCGAAAGTCTGTTGTTTAGTAGAGCTCCCTTCATCAATGATCTTAACTAGATTTTCTAGATAACTTGCTGCAGCTTCTCCATCAGCACTTGCTGTTTCCCCGTGCATTTTTATGTTGTAGAGACAGTTTCTTTCCTTAAACCTCATGAACCAATTTCTGCTACATTCCAACTTTTCTTCTGTAGGTTCCTTATCTCTCTCAGTCTCCAAAGAATTGAAGAGAGTTAGGCCCTTGCCCTAGATTAGGCTTTGGTTTAGGAGAATGTTATGGCTGGTTTGATCTTCTATCTAGACCACTAAAACTTTCTCCGTATCAGCAATAAGGCTCTTTTTGCTTTCTTATCATTCATGTGTTCACAGGAGAAGCTCTTTTAATTTTCCTCAACAATTTTTCCTTTGCATTCAGCATTTGGCTATTTGGCACAAGAGGCCTAGCTTTCAGCTTCTCTCAGCTGTTGACATGCCTTCTTCACTAAGCTTAATCATTTCTAGTTTTTGAATTAAAATGAGATGCGAGAGTTTTCCTTTCACTTGAACATGTAGAGGTCACTGTAGGGTTATTAACTATACTAATTTTAATATTGGTGTATCTCAAGGAATAAGGAGGCTTGAGGAGAGGGATGGAGATGGAGGAATAGCCAGTTGGTGGAGCAGTCAGAACATTCACACCAGTTATAGACTAAGTTTGCTGTCTTACATGGACATGGTTCATAGTGCCCCAAAACAATTACAATAGTAACACCAAATATCACCAATTACAGACCGCCATAACAGATATTATAATAATAATGAAAAGTTTGAAATGTTGCAAGAATTACCAAAATGTGACACAGACACAGAGTGAGCACATGCTTTTGAAAAAATGGCCCTAATGGACTTGTTCAATGCAGTGTTGCCACAAATCTTCAATTTGGAAAAAACACAATATCTATAAGATGCAATAAAGTTAAATGGAATAAAATGAGGTATGCCTCATTTTAGATTTTTTTTTCTCAAAGGAGAGGAAGGTCCTCTGGTTGAATGGGGAAGTTAGGGTAAGATGGAAGAGGATGGAGAGTCTAGACCTCTGCCCACTTGCTTTACCCATCATCTTTGCCCTCGATAGTACCCCCAAAGGATCTTCTTGGAACAAAGGGACTCTACAGAGGAGACATGAAACATCAATCATTTGATCCCTCTCTTTGCCCATGTCAGGCTTTTTGTCACAGCCGACAGTATCATCCAATTCCCATTAAAGAAACACTGGAATTCTATTTGACTCATTTCAATCCTTCCTTTACCACAATCAATCTGTTACTGCAGCATGCTGTTTTTTATTTTACAACTGTACTTCTGTGATATAAAATAACCCACTAAAAACAGACAAAGTCACCCCAACAACTCATCTATATAAGAAGAATAATCCAAGAATTGAAATAAATTTCTAGATGCTTTGACTAAATTTTCCAGTTATCATCTAGACATCACTATCATATAGATATAGCCAGCACTCTTCCATGTCAGCCCTTCCTCTCCAGGTTGGTTCAGAAGAATGTTCTCAGCATCGGGAACAAGAACCACTGCTGTGACTCATAAGCCTTCTCCTTGCCCCACTACTATGACTATCTGTAAGGGTACACAGCACCACCTGTAGCCATACCTCCATTTGGTATGTGAGGAGTGTCCTTGGATAGACTTTTCATATTAATTTAAATTCTCATAATTCTTGCCCACCAGTGGATATCTTTGACACACTTCCTGTCTTCTATCTGGGAGTAATGACTTACTATGATTTTGCCCCCAACCATTTTCCATGAAAGACCCTTTATTTTGGAAAAGTCACCACAGAGAAATTCCCAGAGCACATGGAGGACATCATTGATGAGCTAAAAAAAAAAACAACTCTAGACCAATGCTGACAAAAGCTGTCTTTCACCCATAAACATAATCCTGACAGGTCTTCTCGTCAAAAGTTATTCACCTGTAAAAATGCTACCAAAACTAATAAGTGAGTTTAGCAAGGCAACAGGATTCAAGATCAACATA